>NC_000021.9:28005187-28635109 GCF_000001405.40 Homo sapiens
ATCATTATAATGCCAAGTGAGGTAGGGATCCATTATCCTCTTCACAGTGAAGAGAAAAAGAAGCAGTTAAATATCTTGACTAAGGTCATAGTGAAGAGAAAAAGAAGCAGTTAAATATCTTGACTAAGCTAATAATAAGTGGTGAAACCGAAACAATAATCTTGTCAGTCTGACTTAGCTCTCAGGCATATACTATGAGCATGTTTAACCTTATTTAAAATATTTTTATTTTTTATGTGTTTCCCCATGATATTGAGCAGTAAAACCTTACAATAAAAAGAGACTAGGTGGTTTTCCTTCAGGGCAACTAGGAAGTAGGGAATAGGGGAAACAGCATTCCATTCCACAGTCTACTTTGTAGAGAGAGACCAGACAGCAGGCAACAGTAGAAAAGAAGAAAATAAAACAGGATGTTTTTAAAGACCTATTATAAGTGGATAAACAAAGGAAAAAGCAAGAAAAAAGGATAAAGTTTTCCTACTTTGGTTTTTTTATTTCTTTTGTTGAAATTCCAAAACTTATTCTATTTTGAGTATTATTTATTACTTGCCCTTGAAAACATTGCATAGATGATCTGTTGGAAGATTAAGACCATGAGTGTACAGTATATCCACATAAGATGAATTAAATCCGTTATTTGTAACCATGGAAGAAACTATATGTTTTTATTTTCTTTTTTTGTCACCAACTCAAAATGCAAATACACACACTCATAGACTTAAATTTAGTAAAGAGAAAACAATGATAAGAATGGATTGCAGCTCAAATATCTACACATTTCTCATGACCCTAAATAATTTGCGAGCACAAAATTATACTAGCACTTGGTTACATTTCAGGAAATATTAAAAAATATTGATTAACAGTGATTTATTAATATTTTAGAATAGAAGATTATTGAATGTGTTGTAGATCATAATAATTTGTGAGCACAAAAGTATACTATTACTTGGTTACACTTCAGGAAATATTAAAAAATATTGATTAACAGTGATTTATTAATATTTTAGAACAGAAGATTATTGAAGATTTTGTTGTAGATTCTATTTATTTTCTATGAAATCCAAATAAGATATATTTTCCATGAAAATACACTGTATTTGAATTTAAATCCTGGGATCATATTAATGCAGAAATTACAAGTGTGTCATTTAGCACATAATTTTCCCAAATGGAGACATTTTGCTGAATAACAAACTGCCAAATTGAAGGTACAGCATATGATAAAAGCAGTTTGAGTCAGATTTTCCCCAATGAAATCAAACAACAAATTGTGTTGATTTAATTGTGAACTTATACTTATGGATTATAACATGAAGGAATGAATTTTTCACTTTCCTGTTACACCATTGCCTTTATTTCCAATCCAGAATTACAGAGGAGTTGTAAGGCAATTAAGGGTGTTACACAGGGCTTTTGGGAGCAGCACTGGAATTTTAAAACAGGTTTAATGGCAATTTTTGATAAGTAATATACTGTAATATACCTTTTAAACTCTACATGGACTTTAAAATCTTTTATGGAAAATTATCAAGTTTCCATAATAAAAAAATGCTCTGCTTTCTTTGGGGAATATTTTTGGGAAAAATAACTTAGTTCAATTTTCATGGAAAAAATACCTAAATAGTAGTATTGCTGTTCAAATTGTGTCACATTTCTTTTTGTGGGTCTTTTGAAGTAAATCAACAGGTTTATGTAAACATTATGATTTGGCTTCTCCTAGATGTTAGAAAGAAGCAGTGTGTAAGTAGTGACGTACGTGGGCTTTACGTAAAGAAAATGTGCCATTTTTTCAAGCCAGATATAGCTTCTGTATCAACAAATGGAACACAAATCTTTAGTCTAGGACTTAGAGTTGGGGAAAAAGGGAAAAAACAACTATAACACTTAAATGAAATCTTTGTATCTTAGGTTTGTTGACCAGAGTATTATATATATATCTAATGCTACTAAAATTATGATGTTATCGAATATTCAAGTTAATTCAATAAGTGGTGGTTATCTGTAGTAATCATAGAGAAAGGAACTATTACTATGAGGGACCTGCGGGTACAGGACCCTAGTAGTAAGTTAGAGTAGAGGTAAGTATCTGAGCAGCCCATTCTGCTTTCCTGTGAAAAAGCAGGTATGCAACACATATTTGCTGAGCACACCAAGGTCTAAGAATGATACACATTGAGAAGCTTGAACATTATTACATCTTGATAGCAGTTACGAAAATTGTTAAATGAAGGTTCTTATGGTGCACCTAGAAATCACTCTTTAATCCAAGATGTGATTTTCATTTCCATTAAGCTTCCACCCACACATACTAATGTCTTCTTAACTTTCTGTATAATTCCTTGGCCTTTTCTTATAGTATCTTAGGTTATGTTAGTCTTTAATTTCTATCCGTTTACTTATAGGACATATTCAGCTGCCTGTTAGTCACACCACAAACCTTTGTGCAGACACTTGGAATATATTCCTAATTGTTTTCACAGTTGATTATCGTGGAGTCAGCTATAAAAGAAAGAGCCACTCTAATTAGTGCAGCTGATTCCTATGTTGAGCTGCTAACATCGATCTGTTTGAAAGTCTCTTTTTGTGCATTTACACACAAGTTCTTAAGCAATGATGACAGCAGTACCCTAAATATTAAAAAAGAAAGAAAAAAAGAAAAGAAAAAAGAAAAGAAAATAGCATGTAGAAAAGTCGGGTAGAGTTTATTCCATGGCATAGTCATTTTAAAGCAGGTAGTTTTTGAGAAGAAGGTGTTTTTTTTGTTGTTGTTTGTTTGTTTTTGTTGTTGTTGTTATTGTTGATTTGTTTGCTTGTTTGGAGAAACCAGCAAAGTAGAACTCCAAAGTCCATCTTTTAGCAGTGTACCTCAGGGTTTTCAATTCAGACACAATGTATATGGGTTGACACTTTCCAGATCATTGAATGCAAACCATTAAAAAGAACTATATGTAGCCAGGAAATAAGAAAACATTTTATGGCTCTCTAGAAGACAGACTGGGTGTCTGCTTCTGCATGCCCTTTTCTTTTCTTTCCTTTTTTCTTTTTTTTTTCTTAATCTCTAGGATAATGCTGACACCATTGCTTAAAGTTCTGAATGTGACTGAGAATAATCATTTCACACAAAATATCCCCAACGGGTCTGTCAACTGGCAAACAGCTAGGAATATCTTTTGACATCTTGCTTTGCAGAACAGCAATAATCTCTCGCCACCTGTCAATTCCACATGTCTCATCCCCTGCCCCTGGTGATTCTTGGCAATCAGCAGCCAGTGCCTGTGTAATAGCACTTCTGCCTCCTTCTAGTGTAGTGCTTCAAGCTGTCCTGTTTCTCAGAGAGCAGACACATTGCCTAAAATGAAATCTTAGAGGTACTGTCCACACTCTGTCAGTAGATAAAGGAATCAGAACTACTCAGACGGAAAATAAGGTGCAAGGGGGTGTAATATGGATGTAATATGGACTTGCATACATGCTTCTTTGGCATATGTTTCCCTCTATAAAAAAAATTAAGTTGTGAAATATGTTAATGACATCATTGACGTAGATAAAAAGGAGCAAAGAAAACCAAGAAGTTTCAAATGATACATTTTGAATTTAGCAAAATGTGGTTTTACTAGGAAACATTAATCAAATGTAGATGAAAATCAAATTCATTCCATATTTCTCCCCAGGAAATAATGATTAATAAGTGAGTGAGCTTTGAATTCAAACAAACTTTGGTTAATGAGGAAAATACAAGCTTTTACTGTAGGCAATGGTCTTGACATATATTTTTTTCCTCATTTCTGGAACAACTCTTGCCTCATGATTCATTGATGGGATACCTATGAATGAATAGTTGCATAATGGTGAAGAGATTGTGTGTGTATTTTGAAGCCTTTCATTTTCTTCTGTCTTCCCTGATTAGTCATGTCCATTATCCAGCTAGCTCTAAAATTCACATCCTAATTGCTCATTAGTTTAGTTTAGTGAAAAATGATTTAAAAATTATTATTCCACCTTTAAAAAATCTAATAGCCATTATGGTCGAAGGATAAAACCACTAAGCATTATATTTAAGAAACATAAAAATCATATTTAATATAGTGGGAAATACTTCAAACTAGAAACGGCGTAGATGAGAGATTTGTTTAAAACTTATATATACTATGAAAGTATAAATGCAAAGCAGCAAAACTTGTTTAAAAGTCAGTATTATTATATTTGAATAAAAATTCTTTGATAATTACTAAGCAAATTTCATAAAATGGGTTTTTAGCAATTTAAAAAAAGGAATGCAATTTGAAAATTCTCACTACATTTTAAATGTACACATTTATGGGCAAGCATTAATCATAAATATCAACAAGTTACAAAAAAAGCCGCACAATTTTATTGCATGAAAATTTGTTTTATGCACATATTTCTTATGATATATATTCAGAGCACAAATAAGCATAAGTATCTAGATGGCTTATTCATAAGCAAGTGATATGTATGTGTCACAACATACATTTTATAGTTGGTAATGTTTGCTGAGGTTTCTCAAATGGCATTGAAGTTAGTCAAGGTCAAACTTCAAATCTAAACTTTAATCTTACATCCATTTCAAAGATTCTACATGCACACACACACACACACATTCTAGATACCCACACACATACACACATAAACACACACACACACACACACACACACATGCAGAAATGCACTTACAAATTCCAGCCTTAGCCACTACTTGGGTCAGCCTGCCTGGGCTGTTTGTGTGTGCGTGTGTGTGTGTGTGTGTGTGTGTGTGTGTGTTGTGTGTGTGTTTGCATGTTTTTTACTTTTTTTTTCCTCATTACTTTTCTATTTCTTACCCACTTAATGAGCTGCAGGAGAGGTGGGCTGGGAGGGAAAGGGGCACATCCTACCTCACTTGTACATTGACACTGGAGCAGTCAAATGTCACCGCTCTTGGGGGTCAGTTCCTCCAGCTGACTATCTCCTGTTGGTGCCTTCCAGGCTCCTTGGCAACCTCTCCACTGAGCATCGCCATCCCGCAGTTTTCTGAGGCATTCCCTCCGCAGCAAACATCCTGCCACTCAGCCTCTGCTCCATGTGCATATCAACATGCAGCCCCTGACTCGGACTTGCTTAGTCCTACCTGGTGGCCACCTTTAGTTGGGTTCATAGTGAAGGCTCTGCCTTTTCTTCTATGTACTCCCGAGCCTATATCCTGCCAGAATTGTAAGTTCTATTCAGACACCTCAATAGATTGGCACTGGTTTCTATTTCCTGGACCCCAGGGACCCACACTCAGTTCTTCAAAGCATCCTCTCACTGTGGTCCCCAAAGCATTCTCTGACATCATCCTTCTACCAGGGGTGGGTTAGGAAGTAGAAAGCATCCACTTCTTTCCACCTCCTGTTAGGCAGACAACTATCTTCACGGAAAACAGTACTTACAAATTCAGCAAATCTAGCAGATGATATTCTAGTACTTCTGTATAAAATATATGCATAAAATCTAGTTTTTGCCTGAGAGTGAAAATAATGGATAATATCCATTGTAACCACCCATTAGACAGAAAAATAGGTAGATATAGCAATCTACACATATAAATAGATAGATACATAGATATGTAGATATATAGATTATAGGTACCTATGCACAGATATATTCCAAACACTGTTGCCAACTGATATGACTTGGATCTGTCCAAATCTCATGTCTAATTTTAGTCCCCATTGTTGGAGGTGGAGCCTGGTTGGAGGTGTTTGGATCATGGGGATGGATTCTCATAAATGTTTTATCACCATCCCCTTCGTGGTGTCCTTGTGATAGTGAGTGAGTTCTTGTGAGATCTGGTTGTTTAGAAGTACGTGGCACCTCTCCCCCACCCCCACCCCCACTCTCTTTCTCTCTTGCCCCTGTTCTCTCCATGTAATATGCTTGCTCCCTATTTGCCTTCCATTGTGATTGGAAGCTTCCTGAGGCTTCCCCAGAAACAGAAGTCACTGTGCTTCCTATACAGCCTGCAGAACCATGAGCCAATTCAACCTCTTTTCTTTATAAATTACTTAGTCTCAGTCATGTATTTATAGCAATGCAAGAACAGCCTAATACACCAACTAAAGATATGTATTGTCATTAATGACTTGAACATTCTCAACTATTCATGGCATTTAACAATGCTTCATTACAAAAAATGGATTTTTTACATTTTATGTGTTTTATTCATGATAAATGAAATGTGCTTTATTCATGATAAATTTATGTGCTTTATTCATGACAAATGAAAACTTGTTCTTTTTGTTTGTTCTTTTTATCATGAATAAAGCACATAAAATGTACCTTTCATGTTACAGGCTAAAACGTTTACATTGCAGGCCCTTTTATTCCTCTCCTACCCTTAACCTCCCCAACCGTATACATCAATAAAGAAAAGAGAAAGAGAAATGAATTAGCAGTGAGCAGTAAGTGGAAAAGATACAAGTTTTTTTCATGGCCAAGTCTAAAGTCATTTTGAGTTAATTAAACACAAGCTACTACTAAGCCAATAGAGGACATATTAAGTCTTTAAAAATATTAATTGTGATTTTTCTACACTAGATTTCTGTTGCTTGATTTCTCATTCATGACTAAAATTGTTAGACCTGTTAAAATATAAAAACACTTGGGAAAAGAATCCCAAAACAATTGCTCCTGGAAAGTTGCCATCTTCCCTGGAAGTTTCCAGTGAGCTGAGTTATTCTCATTGCAGCACGAAGGACACATAGACCCACAGTATCATTCCTTCTGTTTGTCTTTGCATTCTCATTTTCCAGGCTATTGCATACAGCAACTATTCAAACGTTTTTTGGATACCTTCATTAGCTATGGCTTCCAAACTTTTGGTTAAAATAGTAAGCTAAGCTGAGCAAGCAACATTTTGGCCTTTTCATTTTATTGGGCACACTGGTCATTTATTGCCCCTCCCCCACTCTATTCCCCTGGCACCAGCACCGAGGATTCCCTGGATGGGGATTTGGCTGTCTGGCTAGTGGCCACTTCACTGCATGCCACACATCTGTGCCCTTGGAATCTGAGGCCTTGTCTTCATTTTAGGGCACTAGAAATATTTCTGCCAAAACTCCAAAAGTTGTTTCTTTCTTTTCTATTCTTCTCTTTTTTTCCTCCTTTTTCTTTTCTCTTTTCCTTTTCTTTTTTTTAAATTTCTGAGAACAATATAAGCTACACATACATTTGATGGTCAACAGCTGACACTACTAGGAAACATATGTGTAAGAGCAGATTTCAAAGGCCTTAATGCATCTCCTAGCTCCATTTCTGACTCTATAATGTTGTAGAAGTCACTTAAATCTCTCATCCCCTGTTGATTTAACTACAAAATGAGACCAGTTATAGAATTGTGTGAGAGGAGAAAATAGTTGATATAGATGGAAGAGCTTTGAACATTCTGCACTCTCACATATGCATTGTATTAGTATTACTATTAGGTCAGATGGACCCTCATCTATGACTGACCAAGATGCTGGGTACACGAGCTAAAGGAATCCAATTCACTATCCCAGGGTTGCATCGCAGTGGATTTCATACAGGCCAAGAAAAAACAAAAACGTTTTTAAGCCTCCATCCTCAGATCAAAACAATAAACAAAAAATTATGATATCCTTAACAATGTCCTGGGTTAATATTTTATTCCATAAATCAAGTTTTCAGAACTCTTTACCCTCTAAGAGATACAGATTGAACATGCCTTTATAGGCTCTGAATTTCATAACTTCTAATCTATGCTCATAACCTGGAAAATGTCATCATACTGAATGCCCACATGAAAAGGTACTTTTAGGACCTGCCAGTGACAGTTTATACACACATCAGTCCCTTTTCAAATGTCATTTCCATTAGTATCTTACATCAGAATCACAAGTGAAATGAATATGCTGTAACCTAGTATTTTAAAAGGTTATGTTGAAGGAGTAGAGAGGCTTAAATTAATTTTCCCTTTTCTCATCCAGTAGGCCTTTACTCAATAGGATTTCCTACAATTCTATCTTAATCCATGTCTCTGTGGATGAACCAAACAGACCACAACATAGAAGAGCCTGCCAAAGTGGCTTCCTGCCAGCAGCCCTCTCTCCTCTTTAAGATAGACTTCAGCTTAATGATTGTACAGTGATCCAAATCAATGAAGAAAGCAAAGAACAGACATGTATCTCATTATCTTCTGCAAAGATCTATTTGTTTAGCCATGTGCAAATATTGCCCTAAAATGGTAAGTTGGTTAGCACATATTAATCATTTACTAGATCTATTCAATTCCTAAAATTAATGTTAATTTAATATGCAGGGGGAGTTGCATGGCTGTTTTCGTTGCTGTAGACTTGATATAGGCAGAGAACAAGCAGAAAATTATTTAGAATACCCAGTGGAATCCATCAGTGGAATCCATCATTATATTTTTGAGACTATTAATTAGCCAAAGATTGTAAAAGTATTTTCTAGCAATACCAGTTAAATGAAGTAGAAAAGTTAAATGAAGGCTAAAAGCCCACACAATGCTATCGTGCTGTAAGTATTGTTCTCAATTATTGGAAGTACATATATTATAGAAGCTCAGTATGTATTTCCTAATGAACTGCTTCATGTAAATTATTTCATGCCATAATCTTATCCTTTCCTATACTTTGGCAACTGTTGAGAGGCTGGAAAAGACTGTATTATTTATTCTGAGGCCAAAATATAATCATACTTGGGTAAAAGATACTAGATGTTCATTCACTGAACATTTATTACAGCAAATTTTCATAATCCATAACACTTAGGATGTTTACATCTAATTTTTATCTTGATTGAATTCAGCATTAATAAATTTGAATTTTTTTCACTAAAATATTATTTGGCCTATGAATATCCTGGCAAAAACCAACCACATAAGACTAGGTTTTTATCAATTTATAAACAAATAGGTTGATTTTGAAAAAGTTATCTTTTTAAGTATCTACAAGGAATTTAGAAAATGCAAAATATCTTATAAATTTGAAGGTTGATATAGTAGATTCACTTTAACTCTTTCTACAGGAAACTTTCTCAGAATATGAATCAATAAAATAAATAAAAAGTGTTTACTTCTGTATCTTATGTAGAAATTATTACTAAGGTAGGAATGAATCCTCTCTTAATAGTCCATACAATCACTTTATTCAATCACTTATATATTTACCAAGAAAACTACAAATCTTATACTTTGTATACAGGAAAGACTGTTAAAGTATGAGATATACCCATATTGTAATCTATTTAAGAAAACAAAACTAAATTATGAAAAAATAATCAACTTTGTGATATTGCCCTATGTAAAATTTCTTCTACTTCACAGTCTATATACTACAGCTTCTCTATAAAAAACTCTCTCAGCTCTTCAAGATCTTACCTACAAATAAAAATATCTCTACATTCATCATTATTTTTTTCCTATTACCTAAAATGAAATTATTCTCTGGAAATTTTGCTCTTAATACTCTTTCCTTACTAATACAAGAAGGAATGTATCTTCTTGTAATTCCAGCCCAGCCTTTTGAGAGGCTGATAAAGGAGGATCGCTTGAGCCCAGGAGTTCAAGACCAGCCTGGGCAACATAGTGAGACTCCATCTCTACACAAATTTAAAAATTTAACCAGGCATGGTGGTGCATTCCTGCTGTCCCAGCTACTCAGGAGGCTGAAGTGGGAGAATTTCCTGGGCCTGGGAGATTGAGGCTGCAGTGGGCCATCATGGTACAACTGCACTCCAGCCTGCACAATAAAGTGAGACCCTGTGTCAAAAGGAAAAAAGAAAAAGAATAGCCACCAGGCAGGCTGCAACCCTTTATAAGAAATAAGTCTCTCCTTTCCAAATTTATGAACCTCATCATTCTTCAATTGACAGAATCCTCTCAATAAACATGCTGCACATATTTTAAAAATTCATGGAAATTGACATTTCTTTTTCATTCCTTGGTATCTATCCCCTTAGATACCATACTTAGAAATCAGCCATGTGTGTCTATTATGCAATTTTCTGTATTTCATTGTGTTTTATAGGTATTTGTGAATTTATATTGCCTTACTGAAAAATAGTACCTTCTTGAAAGCTGTCTCTTGTTATATATTGGGCTTGTATCTCACATAGTGTCACACAGAATCCTTCACATAGTGGAAATTTGCCATTTGATGGCAAGAGAAACAGGAAGGCATGAAGACCCATTCATTCATACCGCCCATTCAGGATCATCTTTTCATGGAGAATTATCTCTAGGCCATTTAGTGAACAAAACATTTCAGAGCTCAATACATTTCAAAGGCATATACATTCAACAACTGGATCAGTATTAGCTGAAGACAGTTTTCCAGAGATAGTTTAGAGGTACCAGTTCTCAGAGATTCTAAACCAGTATTTCTGAGGTAGAGTCCAGTAGACTACACTTTTAAAGAACTCTACATACTTTTTTTAAGCCTGTTTCACAGCAAGATTTTAGAACTAATGAATATTTTACATGACACATTTTCTTAAAATCTTGGGGCCTTAATATTAGCATGAAACATGAGTAAACTATGACTTGGAGTAAATAATAAAACTTGCCTAAGTTTATTGAATTATAACTCACATCTGGAGTTTGGGGTCAATACTACCTTTTACCATACCACAATTGCCTTCCATGGAAATACTTTTTTGTTTAATTATGTGTATCACTTTCTCAGGAGATATTATTCTAGATTGTGGGTTACTACATCAAGCCTATCTAACACTCCCCCTTTCTCCTAAAGTTTTGGTCAAGGTTTTATTTGCTTGTTGGTTTAATTCTCCACTGTGGCTTACTTGAGCACACAGAGAGTCTGTCTTGTTTTCTTCCCATCCCTAATCCTAACCTGATCCTAATCCATTACCTGAGAAAAACATTCATATGAGATCCTCTTTCTCCTAAGGAATCATTTTGTATATCCAGCTTTTTCTAACCACTTAGTAGTAATTTAACCAATTCTCCTGGCCAACACTTGAATCAAAGTGATAGGACAAGTTAATTCACACTAACCTGCTAATGAATATAAAGAAAATATAGCATCATTCTCCCAAAATATATAAGAATTCAGTGTGCTTATAAAAAATTGAGGAAAGTACAATCATTGAGTGATAATAATTTTGCCTAGAAGAGGCATTTAGAACCATTTATATTTATAATGCAGCTAACATTTTGACTGGTGTATTAATATCATCCAGAGAAACAGAAACACATATACACACACACATATATATACAGATGTGTATGTATATTACATACACATGTTTATATATACACAGCTGTATATATACATATATACATGTGTGTATGTATATGTATATATATAGGCACATATAGCCTATTGATAATTCTGGAGAGAGAAAGAGAGAGAGAGATTTTAAGGAATTAGATTACAAAATTGTGAGAGCTAGCAATTCCAAAATCTGAAGGATAGGCTAGCACGCTGAAGACCCAGGTAAGAGTTGATGCTGCAGTTTGAGTTTGAAGGCAGTTTTCTGTTAAGGCCTTCAACTAATTGGATGAGGCCTACCAACAAAATGGAATGTAATCTGCTTTGGAATGTAATGGAATGTAATTGCTCAAACTCAGCTGTTTTAAATGTTAATCTTATCTAAAAAATACCTTCATAATACATGCAGAATCATGTTTGACCAAATATCTGGGTACTGATGCCTAGCCAAATGCACACATAAAATTCACCATAATACCTGGTAATACATAAAGAAAATTCATTTTACAAATCAAAATAATCTGAGATTAAAATTAAGGCAATGTATCCTTATGGAGTGTTATTGTATCTCATCAGTCAGCTTAACGTGAAATGAGACTACTAGGACAGGACTGATGAGAAAACCATAGCACAGAGAAATAAGATTTCATAATAACATTTCACAAACAGAAGTTCAGGGGCTGCAGGATCAGAAACCCAATTATGTCATCATGTTATTTTTTTGTGAGATTTGAAAAGCAGCTTTGTAATTTATTCCAGGGTAACCATAAATCTGAATTTCATGGCAAACTTCTAGCAGCAGCAAACATGTGCACTTGAATGTATTCTAGACAAGAGACCAGAGTAAAATGTAATAAAAATTTCAAAGAAACTAATATCTACTTCTTTGAAAAATGCCACAATGCTTCTAACCTTCTCTTTTCTCTATATCTTGTGTATATACGCAAGATACCTAAAGGAACATTAGTGTGCTCCTTCTTCAATCACCTTACACAATTTTATTCTTGTCTTGTTTTTCTTTTTCACACACAAACACACACACGCACACACAAAGTGTTTTCAAAGCTCAGTATGTATTTCCTAATGAACTGTTTCACATGAATTATTTCACGCCTTAATCTTATCCTTTCCTACACTTTGGCAACTGTTGAGAGGTTGGAAAAGACTGTATTATTTATTCTGAGGCCAAATATAATCATGCTTGGGTAAAAGGTACTAGATGTTCATCCACTGAACATTTATTACAGCAAATTTTCATAATCTATAACACTTAGGATGAACTTCAAAGCATGTATGGGGTTCTTGATATAGCTTGCTTGCTTAAGTAAAAGCTATGATAAACTTAATTTATCCTGAGGATACTGGAATCTGTGAGAGAGTGAGAGATGTTCCTAGATATTATTTTTGGCTTAATTTTTCAGTTTGTAAATCAATCAGAACCACTCAGCGGCTCTAGGACTGACAGAATAGAGGTATGGGCACAGAGAAGTCTTCAGGAAACGTACACCTTCTAACATAGCTGGAGCTGAGGTCCAGGTCCAGCACTATTACAGATGGAGGACGTGTGTCTAGTCTCAAGTAGGGGGATTGGCCAAGGAAAACTGAGTCAGACAACCAAGTCAGGGTTTCAGGCACAATGGTGTTTTGGGATCCTTGGGGGTGTTGCTTTTCTGGCCTAAAACCTCTTTCCAGTGGTGCCTTTTCCTGAGTTTTGCTCGGCCCGCTGGGCTCGTTCCACCCACTCGGCCTGGCAGGCTGTGCTTGGCTCAAGCTACTAGCCTGTATCCCATGCCTCCCAAGGGTGAGTTAGGCATGGAGTGGCGAGGGGTGTGTCAACAAGCGTGAGGTCCAGCCTCTACGCAGTCAGATCCTTCAGCTACTGCAATGCAGGCAGCACCAGGTGCTGGCATCGGTGCCAGCTCTCTGCAAGGCTGCAGCTGGACAGGTACCCCACAAGCAGCTGGCACTGGGGAATGTGGTGGCACCCAGAAGCTCTGAGATGCCAGGAACCGCAGGACCTCAAAGAGGGACTAACAGCCCTAGTTCGGAGAGCTCCCGGGTCTGGGATCCTACAAGGGCTGCAGCTCTTCTCTCCCTCTCTTCACCCACAACGAGGTGAGCAAAGGGCATGTTTCAGTCCCGTTTGTGGTACAGCTCTTCTAGACTTGCCATTCAGCAGGCCCTGAGTTCTTGTCCTGCAATCAGAAAGAATGAGGCACATAGACAAGTGGAGGATGAGCAAGAAGAAGAGCTTTATTGAGCAGTAGAATAGCTCAGAGACCTGCTGTAGATAGCTCTTTTCTGTAGCCAGGTGTCTGGACGAGTGTTCAGCCCTCAGCAGAGTGTAGAAAGCCCTGGGTTAGGTTGCTCCCCTCTGCAGACAGGTCTCCCTGGAGTGGAAGCTCCTCTCTGCCGCTGGTTGTCCCAACACTCTCCAGCTATCAGCAGAGAGAGTAGCTCTTAGCTCCTCTCTGCAGCTGGTTATCTGCTTCTCTGCTCTGCTCTGCTCTGGCTAAGCCCAGGGCTTCTATGGGCCTCAGAGCGGGGAAGGGCATGCTGATTGTTACATGGGCAGCCATGGGCAGGCCCATGTAAAAGCACCACGAGATCCCCCTCAGAACTGGCAGCCTGCCGCCAGGCTTCAGACCTTCCCCGGCCTAAAGGTGGGGCTTCACTGGGGACCTGCTCCCTTCTGCCCATGAACCTGCCATCCTTCTCCTGCTGTTCAAGGCAACCAGGCTGCCTGACTTTGCTCCTATCTCCTGGCACAAAAAAAGAGAGAAGCCAGACATCAAGAACAGGCACCTCCGAACCTGCAAGGACAGGGGCCTTCCTGAGCGAGAGTGCAGGGAGGTTTTCCCAGGCCTCCAAGAGTGTGAGGATGCCTGAGTCTGCAGCCGCTGTTTGGGCAGTTGCAGCTGTGCCTGGGAGTGGGGCAGGACTCCTGCCTGCTCCACGGAGCGAGGCTGTGTATGCAGCTGTGGTTTGGGCAGCTGCAGCAGCACCCGGGGAGCTACCACCCCAACTCAGAAGGGGTGGGGCTCCAGCTTGTCCATGGTCCCCTGGCTCCACACAGTAGGCAGCCCCAACCGCACCTCCCTGCTCCAGCCGGGTGATGGCAGTGGCAGGTTGTCTGGAGGGCTGCTACCATCACAGGAATCAAATGAAAGTAAAAGTAAGCCATAGTGCTTAGAACGGTTTCAGACAGGACAGAAGCCAAATTACAAAAAGATGGAGGCATAAGGTCAAAGATAGACTGTCATATCTTGATTTAACTAATTATTGTATGAATTGAAAAAATGTATGCCCTAGAAGATAGCAGCTGAGCCTGAAGATCTGAGTAAAATAAATCAGTAACTAGGAGAGAAGAAACAAGACAGTAGGAAACAAGGGGCCAAGACGTAAGTTAGGTGTGGAGTACCCAGTAGCTCTGTCAAAGTGGGTCAGTAACTGTGCAGGTCACTGTAGAAAATGTTGACTTCAACTTCCTCTTTAAAATCCTTCTGGAATCTGTATTTAAAAATGAAACAACACTATCCTAAACATTTTATGTGGATAGAAATTTGTTTTCTTCCCCAGATATGTTTGATTTGTGTCTTAAGTTTTAATCCTTTAGATATTTTGGTACCAATAAACAGGAGTGCAGTTACTACAGTGTATTTTGTAGACAATAGAAAACAGTGAGTATATTTTTCAACCCTAAGAAACTGTACTATAAAGTTTGGTGGGACTTTTGTATCCACCACATTTAAATATACTTAATAAAGATATAGTCTGACACTACAAATGCTACGTAACATATATAGTTCTTTTTTTTTTGAGACGGAGTCTCGCTCTGTTGCCCAGGCTAGAGTGCAGTGGCTTGATCTCAGCTCACTGCAAGCTCCGCCTCCCGAGTTCACGCCATTCTCCTGCCTCAGCCTCCCCAGTAGCTGGGACTACAGGTGCCCGCCACCACGCCCAGCTAAATTTTTTTGTATTTTTTAGTAGAGACGGGGTTTCACCATGTTAGCCAGGATGGTCTCGATCTCCTGACCTCGTGATCCACCCGCCTCGGCCTCCCAAACTGCTGGGATTACAGGCGTGAGCTACCGTGCCTGGCCACATATATAGTTCTAAACACAAACACACAGAGAGGGAGACACACACAGACACACAGAGAGAGAGAGACACACACACAGACACACACAGACGCGCACACACGCACACACACACACACACAGATGCAGTCATAGTGCACTACAGCTTCAGACTCCTGGACTCAAGTTAACACACTGTTTTCTCATGGTGCCTTCTTTTCACTGCCCATCCCCCTTTGCAAAATGTTCAGCAATATACTCTCAGTGACATATTTTTTCTATAATTTCAATTCCATTCAAGATTAAATATATCAGCCAGGCACAGTGGCTCACGCCTGTAATCCCTGCACTTGGGGAGGCCAAGGTGGATGGATCACCTGAGGTCAGGAGTTCGAGACCAGCCTGGCCAACATGATGAAACCCAGTCTCTACTAAAAATACAAAAAATTAGCTGGGCATGGTGGCAGGCGCCTGTAATCCCAGCTACTGGGGAGGGTGAGGCAGCAGAATGACTTGAACCCGGTAGGCAGAGGTTGCAGTGAGCCGAGATCGCACCACTGCACCCCAGCCTGGCCAACAAGAGCAAAACTCTGTCCCTGCCTCCCCCCCAAAAAAGATTAAATATATCGCTATTCATAAAATTACCTCAAATATCAAAACCTGTAATACAGTAGGCTTTGGGCATTCAGAAGGAATCCTGAGACCTCTATAAAATCTCAAATTCACAAAGCATGTAATTTTCTCCCTAAAATATGGACAAGACATAACAAAGTGCCACAAAATCAGGTCAAGATGTAGAAGCTTGGCAGATTGTGTGCATAGGCCTTGAGCTAATTCCCAGAATCTCTTACAAGAGTATCACAGTTTCTCAAATTAGTGTCTTAGTAAAATTAAAATGAAATTCTAGTGTCTTTAATCACTAATTATGAAGAATGTTATATATCTGACCTATAGACGTTTTTACGAATTTGGATTTTATACAACTTTTTGCTAATAGATCCTTCCATTCTTTTCAAGTAAAGCCCACTATCTTCATCCAAAAAAAAAGGAAAGATTTTCTCAGGAAACCCTTGTGTATTGTTGGTAGGAACGTAAATTGGTACAGCCATAATGGAAAGAAGTATGGAGGTTTCTCGAAAAATTAAAAATAGAGGGCCAGGCGCAGTGGCTCACGCCTGTAATCCCCACACTCTGGGTGGCCAAGGTGGGGGAATCACTTGAGCCCAGGAGTTCAAGACCCACCTGGCCAACATGGTGAAACCCCATCTCTACTAAAAATACAAAAATTGGCTGGGCATGGTGGTGCTTGTCTGTAATCCCAGCTACTTGGGAGGCTGAGGCATGAAAATCGCTTGAACCCGAGAGGCGGGGGTTGTAGTGAGCTAAGATCATGCCAGGGTACTCCAGCCTGGGTGAGGGCAAGACTCCATCTCAAAATAAGAAATTAATTTTTTTAATTAAAAATAGAACTACTATATGACCCAGCAACCTTCTTCTGGGCATATACCCAAAGAAAATGAAATCGGTACTTCATAAAGATATCTGCACTCCTATGTTCATTTCAGCATTATTCCTGATAGCCAAGATATAGAAACAACTTAAGTATCTGTATATGAATGGCCAGATAAAGATATCATGATACATATACATATGCACATCATATAATGGAATATTATTCATCCTTTAAACAAAAGAAGGTGATCCTACCATTTGAGACAACATAGATAACCTGGAGAACATTATGCTATGTGAAATAAACCAGGCACATACAAAAAATACTGCGTGATCTCTCTCGTGTGGAATCTAAAAATATGGTCAATAAACAGATATAGAGAGTAGGAACAGCAGTTACCAGAGACAAAGTGGGTTGGAGATAAGAAAATATAGGACAAAGGGTATAAAATTGCAATTACTTAGGATAACTGTATTTAGGATCTAATATACAGCATGATGACTCTACCTGGTAATAGCGTATGCTAAGAGAGTAAATTTTAAATGCTCCTAGCCACAAAAAAGTTAACAATATAAGATGAACGATATGTTAATTGTCTTGACAGTAGTAGTTTTAACTATGCCTATGTATATCAAAACACTATGTTACACACTTTAATTAATAAAATTTGCAGGACAAAAAAGTCCTGCAAATGTTCCTCATGCTCTTTCTACTTCTAGTTCACAGGTTCCAGGATAACCAGATGACTGAGGAATGTTGAAGATTGCAGTGATGGAAGTGTCTCAGTCAGCCTGGAAGACTGTATGGAAGGAGGTTGCCTGGCCACACTGTCATGTCCCCCTCTCCCTAAAAAAGGGACACATTTGCCTTTGTGCAAGGCAACACATACATTTGGTCTGTGTATATACTTTGGTCTATGTATTCTGTTATTTAACATTCTAATAATGTTGATGACCTTAAAATATGTTTGACAATGATCCTTGTAAATCATTATTATTCTGCCTTCTGCAAGATAAGAATTATGGGCCAGGTATGGCACTTAACGCCTATAATACAAACATTTTGGGAGGCCCAGGCAGGAGGATTGCTTGAGCTCAGGAGTTAGAGACCAGCTTGGGCAACATAGTGAGACCTCATCTCTACTAAAAATAAAACAAAAAAAGTTATGATAGTGACACTGCACTCCAGCCTGGGTGACAGAGCAAGATCCTGTATCCAAATAAATAAATGCCTAATATAGGAATTATCAAATTCAACACATATTAATTATTTTCATATCCATTTGTGGAAAATAATAACGTGGGGATTATTCTTAAAAAGGCTTCTGGAAGTGGCTTCTTCAATTAAATATATTCAAAACTGATTCCCGCTTACTACGCAAATCAAAGAGGAATTGAAAATGTGTGTGATTCCCACTAAATAATTTTCCTTTTGTATGACTTGATGTTACTATCTTTGTGGAGTGGCTGAGGAATGTCTCCTTCTTGCCTTTGTCTTCAAAGGCTCTGCCAATGTGAAGTACAGGAGAGAGAGGCAAGACCAGGGCCCACTAGCGGAACCATCTCAGCCTTATTCCCCAGAGGAAAACACATTCTTTTTCACTTTCCTGAGCTGCCTTATCTGATAAAAATGATTCTTACATTTCCGAGCAATGCCTTCTGATTGTAATGTAGCTTATGCCACTGGTTTGCCTATTTCTCAAATATAAACATACACACACATACACACATTTGGCCTTAGCCTTTCTAATTTCACTCTCATCAGGACAGATTGCACACCTGTAAACATTCTCAGATCAACTCCAGTAATCAATCCACATTCATGTAACCCCTGTAGAATTAAAGATCACTGGAGACCTTCAAGATCGACTTCCCATTTAAACCATAAGAAAACAAGACCCCAATGTGTCAGCTGCAGAACCACAACACGGACCCGAGTCCCATGTCTTATTTGTTCAGTGGTTTTTCTAAGTCACTGTAAAATTTTTCTACATTCCTGGCCTGAGAACAGAAGTACCTTTTGCTTATTTATTCAATTAAATTCAGTAGTTGGTAAATGTGAATAAAGGAAATCAAAACACTATTGAAGATTATTTAGATATGGCTGAGAAGTGGGGTGAGCACACCTGACCCACTTTAACTTAGAGATTCAAAATATAAACTTAACTCAGCTGCAGTCAACAACCTGACATTAAATGCAAACATACAAGTAAAGAACCCAAATAAACAGAAAAAAACTAACCTGCTACCTACCTTAAAACACTAAATATAGAGCTCCTGTCATCCTGTTTCTTACTGATTTATAACTTCAAATAACAGGTCAAGAAAAAAGCTATATATATGAAAAGATGAGATCTGTGTTTCAATCCAAATCTTTCTTTCAATAACCCTACTACTTGAAACCATAGAAGGAGACAGGAACTTCCTCCCTTGTTTCTTTTTTCTTTTTCAAAACTACCCACTAATCTTTTAATTAAAAGTGAATGATGGAGAGATGGCAAGTGAGCAGGAGAAGCTGAGGAACACAGCTCCCTTATGGATTTGCACAACGCTAATCAGTCTTCACATCTTACAGAGAGATCTGTATTAGTTACATGGAATCTAATCTGTTCTACTAAAGCTGATGCTGTCAGCTGCCATGCTTAGCACTCGTTCATTATGCTTGTAGACACATTTTGAGAAAACACGTAATCTAGAAGAGAAACTTCTAAGAAGGTTTTACATACTATATGATGCTAATATTTTAGATAATATTTTATGCTAGTTTAGTCTTTGTGTATTGAAAGAACTCTGATTTTCCTGGAAGTCCCTAGACAGTACATTTAATTAATCTTACCTCTCAATTCAACAAGTTGCCTTTTATTTTAGTCATAAAATCAATCTCTTGGTAATAATATATAGTGATATCCAGGTATGTATGATGCAAGCAAGTTTTTAGTTTAAAGCTAAGGAATTAAAATGAAAACAATACATAGTGCTCTCTGTACAACAATGACTGAGAATAGGTAGTGCGTGCTCTTTATATACAAGGCACTGTGCTGAGCATATTTCGTAAGTTATTGCCATGATTCCATGTAATTATGTATTATAATTTTACATTTGAAGAAAATAAGCCTCAAAAACGGCAAGCAGTTCACCCACCCACATTTAAAACTCTGTTACGCCTCTGAGATATACAGCCCATGAATTCTACCATTATTCACTCTGTCTCTCAACTCCATTCTGTCTTCATGTACCTCCCAGCCCAACTGATGTGTCAAGGCATTGGATTTAATTCATTCACCCCAAAAGTATTTATCACATGCTTATATGTGCTTGGCTCTCTTCTAGGTGCCCAAGTCACATCAGTGAAAAAAATAAACAAGATCCTCATCCTCATCAAGCTTATATTCATTTCCCAACATCTGATTTCAATTTCCTTGCCATGCACTCCTTTCATCATAGAAGCCTTACAAAATCCCCAATCCAATTGAATCTAATTCTGTGCTTCATATTTGTCACCCTCACTTGGTAAAACTCACAACTGTGCTTGCCGGATATTACCATAAATTACTAACCATGAACTTCAAGTGGTCTATTAGTGATCAGCACCAATGCTTTAACAGTTGTCTGCTCCTTTGACTCTTTCACGTTCCTAAAAGATTTTCCATTTTTTCCCTGTCTCCTTCCTGTAACTCCTGTCCAATTCTTATCTCACCTAATGACTTTGATTCTTATTATACAAAGACAATAGTAAAAATCAGAAGAGTACTTACAAAAACTACCACCATGAAAATCATCACTCTACCTGTATCTCTCCCGACTCTTGATCATCCTTCCTACCACTGTGGAGAAATTTTTCCGTGCATTTTTGTTCTCGGTACTGCTGAAGATTTTTTCCATGCCTCTGTCCAAGGAGGGCATCTCTTCACTAGATCCCAGTTGTATCATTCTAGCATTTGCCCTCATTTTCTCCCATATCACTGGCTTTCCAATTTTTCCCTTTTAAAAGGATAATTCCTATAAATTTACAGCTATAATAGATAACAGAAAAAAGCCTCTCTTGATCCAAGGTCTCCTTCCATTTCCCACCCCATTTATCTCTTTTCCTTTACATTAAAGTTTTTCCAACTGTTTCCAGTTTCTCCCACACAATTCTCTCCTTAATCTAGCCCTGAAGTCTCTCAGGCCTATGACTTCAAAATGAGAACCTCCACCCAGACCATCATTGATCTCAAAGTTGCTAAGTTCAGGTCAATTCCTGGTACTTGTCTTACTTGACCTCTGTGGTGCTTAAATTAGCTGATCCCTTTCCTTCTTGAAACACATTGTCCATTTATTTCCAGGATGCCATTTTCTTGATTCTTCTCATGAGATTCTGCTCAGATTTCTTTATTTGATCTTTCTCAACTCTCAAGCCTTTGAAATTTGGGATGCACTAAAATTCAGTCCATTGATATTTCCTTTTAAAAATGCCCATTGCCCTACTGAACACATCCAGTCTCGTATCATCTACACATGGATGATTTCCCAATTTATATTTCCACATTTAAACGCCTACTCTAAATATTTGCTTGGCTACCTAAAAAGCATCTCAAATGTAAAATGTCCATATTTGATCTCCCTCATACTTCCCTCTTCTAATAAAATTTTCAAGTCTTCTTCTCAATAATGGTAAATACTCTCTACTGCCATATCATCCTGAACATGCACAATCTCATTAACAATGGCAAATACTTTCTTCCAGATGCTGATGTGGAAAACCTAATGTTCATCCTTGATTAATATTTTTCTCTTACAACATATATCTCACCCGCCCCTGTACCACGTGTTTCAAGCCATCATCACTTTACACCTGCATTATTGCAATATCCTCCTAAGAAGCTGCTCTTTTTTCTTCACCACCTCCAACATCAGTTCTTAACACAGCAGCCAAAATGATCATTTTAAAATAAAAGTTAGATCCTCTCTCTCTCTCAGTATAAACCCTCTTTCTCAGAGTAAAAGCCAGGTCTAACAATGACACCTCATAATTGTCCATCTTATCTCCTGACCTCATTTCTTACCTCTCTCCTTCTCTAGCTCTTTTCCTTATACCCTAGAATCCTCAAACTTGATCCAGACTCAGAACCTCTGCCTGGAACATTCTACTCTCTGATAGCTCTAGAACTAGAATATAAGGTAAATAACACTTGCTGATTTGAAAAATATACTACAAACCTAAGTGGTTTAATACAATGTCTTTTTTTTTTTTTTTGCTAACATTACAGTCCAGTGAGAGTACGGCAGCAATCAAGTCACCAAGTGACCTGAATTGCTTATTATGAACTGGGTGCTTTCTGACCCATCTAGCCATCAAGGGGGCCATGCACAGCAGCATTCAGCATCAAATCATCAAATTAAAGTGGTATATATGTGATCTGGCTTGAGCAGGTCCTGAAGACACAAGTAAGTTACCTGAGAAAGTAGCTCAAATGTCCATGGTCTCCACTCCTGCCACCTTGCCTTCTTTCCCTTAGCCTGCACTGATGGCCTCATGGGGAGTTCCCTATGATCAGTTGACAGAGGAAGACAAGACTAGGGCTTGGTTCACAGATGGTTATGCACGATATGCAGGCACCACCTGAAAGTGGACAGCTGCAGCTCTATAGCCCCTATCCCTGAAGGACAGTGGTGAAGGCAAATCTTCCCAGTGGGCAGAACTTTGAAGAGTATACCAGGTTGTGCACTTTGTATGGAAAGAGAAATGACCAGTAGCGCCATTGTATACTGATTCATGGGCTGTAGCCAATGGTTTGGCTGGATGGTCAGGCACTTGGAAGAAGCATAATTGGAAAATTAATGACAAGGGAATTTGGGGAAAAGGTATGTGGATATACCTCTTGGAGTGGCCAAAAACTGTGAAGATATTTGTATCCAAAGTGAGTGCTCACCAACGTGTCATCTCAGCAGAAGAGAATTTTAATAATCGATTGGATAGGGTGACCTTTTCTGTGGACACTACTCAGTCTCTTTCCACAGCCACAGCTGTCATTGCCCCATGGGCCCATGAAAAAGGGGCCATGGTGGCAGGGAAGGAGGTTATGCATGAGCTCAGCAACAAGGACTTCCACTGCCCCAAGCTGACCTGGCTATGGCCACTGCTGAGTGCCCAGTTTACCAGCAGCAGAGATCAACACTGAGCCCTCAATATGGCAACATTTCTCGGGGTGATCAACCAGCTACCTGGTGGCAGGTTGATTATATTGGATCTCTTCCCTCATGGGAAGAGCAGAGGTTTGTCCTCACTGGAATAGACACTTATTCCAGTTATAGGTTTGCTTATCCTGCACCCAATGCTTCTGCCAAAACTACCATCCTTGGACTCACAGAATGCCTTATCCACCGTTATGGTGTTCCACACAGCATTGCCTCTGACCAAGGCACTCACTTGCGACAGTGGGCACATGCTCGTGAAATTCACTGGTCTTACCATGTTGCCCATTATCTTGAAGCAGCTGGATTGATAGAATGGTGGAACGGCCTTCTGAAGTCACAATTACAATGCCAACTAGGTGACAATATTTTGCAGGGCTGAGGCAAAGTTCTCCAGAAGGCTGTGTATGCTCTGAATCAGCATCCAACATATGGTACTATTTCTCTCATAGCCAGAATTCATGGGTCCAGGAATCAAGGGGTGGATGTGGAAGTGGCATCACTTGCCGTCACCCCTAGTGGTCCACTAGCAAATTTTTTGCTTCCTGTTACCATGACATTACATTCTGCTGGCCTAGATCTCTTAATTTCAGAGGGAGGAATGCTGCTACCAGGAGACACAACAATGATTTCATTAAATTGGAAGTTAAGAATGCCACTTGGACACTTTGGGCTCTTCCTACCTTTCAGCCAAGAGGGTAAGAAGGGAGTTACAGTGTTGGCTGGGGTGATTGAACTGGACTATCAAGATGAAATCTACCTACTACTTTACAACAGAGGTAAAGAAGAGTATGCATGGAATACAGGAGATCCATTAGGGCATCTCTTAGTATTACCATGCTCTATGATTAAGGTCAATGAGAAACTATGAAAGCCCAACCCAGGCAGGACTACAAATGGCCCGGACCCTTCAGGAATGGAGATTTATGTCACTCCACCAGGAAAAAAACCCACGACCTGCTGAGGTGCTTGCTGAAGGCAAAGGGAATACAGAATGGGTAGTAGAAGGTAGTCATCAATACCAGCTATGACCACGTGATCAGTTGCAGAAACAAGGACTGTAATTGTTTTAAGTATTTCCTCCTTTTGTTAAAAACTGTTTGTGCATGTATACACTTGTACTAAGAAAATATCTCCGTTTTATTCCTTTTTTCCTTTATCATGTTACATAGGATTTATTGACTTCATACCAGCATTTAAGTATTGTTAACTTTATGTAATAGCATTTGCGTTGGGGATTGATGTAGTTCCAGTTGTACCAATGATAGTTGTATTATGTTAGGTGTAATTCTGATCTTATTATTGTCTTTATTTGAAGATTATGTTTGATCTCAGGCGATGTGGATGGGTTCAAATTGACAAAGGTGGACTTGTGATGGTTAATACTGAGTGTCAACTTGATTGGATTGAAGGATGCAAAGTATTGATCCTGGGTGTGTTTGTGAGGGTGTTGCCAAAGGAGATTAACATTTGAGTCGGTGGGCTGGGAAAGGCAGACCCACCCTTAATCTGGGTGAGCACCATCTAGTCAGCGGCCCCTGTGGTCAGGATATGAAACAGGCAGAAAAACATGAAAAGTCTAGGCTGGCTTAGCCTCCCAACCTACGTCTTTCTCCTGTTCTGGATGCTTCCTTCCTTTGAACATCAGACTCCAAGTTCTTTAGCTTTGGGACTTGGACTGGCTTAGTGATGGAGGACTTGCAGATGGCCTATTCTGGGACCTTGTGATTGTGTGAGTTAATACTACTTAATAAACTCATATATATATATCCTATTAGTTCTGTTCCTCTAGAGAACCCTGTCTAATATGTACAGGCTCTATGCAAGTCTGAAATCTAATAGGGCAGACATTAAACCTTAAAGTTCCAAAATTATCTCCTTTGACTCCATGTCTCACATCCAGGTCATGCTAAAGCCAGAGGTGGGCACCCATGGCCTTGGGCAGCTTCGCCCCACTGCCTTTGCAGGGTACATCCCCCTTCCCTGTCTCTATCACAGGCTGGCATTAAGTGTCTGTAGCTTTTCCAGGCATACAGTGAAAGCTGAAGGTATATCTACAATTCTGGGGTCTGGAAGATGGTGGCCTTTTCTCACATCTCCATTAGGCAGTGCCCCAGTGAGGACTCTGTGTGAGAGCTCTGACCCCACAATTCCCTTCCATACCGCCGTAGCAGAAGTTCTCCATAAGGGCCCCATCCCTGCAGCAAACTTCTGCCTGGACCTCCAGGTATTTCCATACATCCTCTGAAATCTAGGCAAAGGTTCCCAAACCTCAGTTCTTGACTTCTGGGCATCCACAGGGTCAACACCACATGGAAGCTGACAAAGACTTGGGCCTTGCATGTTCTGAAATCATGGCCTGAGCTGTACCTTGGCCCCTTTTAGCCATGGCTGAAACAGCTGGGATACAGGGTACCAAAACCCTAGGCTGCACACAGCTGGAGGGCCCTGATGGCCCATAAAACAATTTTTTTTCTCTCTTAGGCCTCCAAGCCTGTGATGGTGGGGGCTACCATGAAGGTCTCTGACATGCTCTGGAGACATTTTCCACATTGTTTGGTGATTAACATTCGGCTCCTTGTTACTTATGTAAATTTCTGCAGCAGGCTTGAATTTATCCCCAGAAAAAAATATATATATGTTTTCCTATCACATCACCAGGCTGCAAACTTTCCAAGCTTTTGTTCTCTGCTTCTTCTTAAATGTTTTGCCCCTAGGAAATTTCTTCTGCCAGATACCCTAAATCATCTTTCTCAAATTCAAAGCTACACAGATATCTAGGGCAGGGGCAAAATGCCACCAATCTCTTTGTTAAGCATAGCAAGAGTGACCTTTACTCCAGTTCCCAAGAAGTTCCTCATCTCCATCTGAGACCACCTCAGCCTGGACTTTATTGTCCAAATCACTAACAGCATTTTGATCAAAGCCATTCACCAAGTCTCTAGGAAGTTTGAAACTTTCCCACATCTTTCTGTCTTATGAACCCTTCAAGTCCCTAAGAAGTTTCAAACTTTACCATATTTTCCTGTGTTTTTGTGAGTCCTCTAAACTGTTCCAACCTCTGCCTGTTACCTAGCTCCAAAGTTGCTTCCACATTTTTGGTTATCTTTACAGAAGCACCCCACTCCTGATACCAACTTACTACATTAATTTGTTCTCATGCTGCTATGAAGAAATACCTGAGGCTGGATGACTTATAAAGAAAAGAGGTTTAATTGACTTACAGTTCTGCATGGCTTGGAGGTCTCAGGAAACTTACAATCATGGAGGAAGACACCTCTTCACAGGGTGGCAGGAGAGAAAAATGAGTTCAAGCAAGGGAAATACCAGGTGTTTATAAACCCATTAGATCTTGTGAGACTCACTGATTTTCATGAGAACAGCATGGGGGAAACAGCCCCCATGATCAAAATACCTCTACCTGGTCCCACCCTTGACACAGGGAGATTATTACAATTCAAGGTGAGATTTGGGTAGGGACACAGAGCCAAACCATATCAGATAGATAGGTGGATTATTCTTTTGATTTTCATTTTGATTCTGTTTCTCTAGTGAATTGTGACTAATAAATTGATTCAATGTATTTAATAGATATGGACCTATTTAGACGATCTAATGACTCTTGTTTGCATTTCAGAAGCTTGTGTATTTTGAGAAATTGTTTTATTTTATCTAAGTTATAATATTTTTTATCATAGAGTTATTAATATTATCCCTTTAATATGCTTTTAATGTCTATAGACTTGTTAGTGATGTTCCAACTTTCATTTCTAATATTGGTAATTTTTTCTTTGGTTGTCATGCTAGCATGCAAGTCATGCAAGCATCCAAAATACTACATTAAAAATAAAGACAGATGCAAAGCACAAAAAGAGCCTAACTTACTCTTATAAAACTGAGAAAAAACAGGAGAATGTTTTCACAAAAGAAAAATGGAAGAGAATGTAGTCTTTAATTTAAAAAGACATCAAATATAAGCAATGTGAATAAACTCAACAGACAATTGTAAAGTTAATTGAACAGAGAACCAAAATGACAATATTACGCAGATAATTAAATAGAAACCATAGAAAACAGATTAGACAATGTGGATGATAAAATTAGTAACAGAAAAAGCCATGAAGTAGTCTCAGTGAAATAAAGGGGTAAAAAAAAGTAATCAGAAAGAAGTTAATGTTAATGGTATACAGAAAATGTGGATCCAAAATAAAGGTAAATGATTCACCAGCAAAAAAGCTCAACAAGTAAAATTAAAAAACAATAATCATATAATAGAAGAAAATATTTCTAAAATGTAAAATAATACTCATAGACTTAAAGGCATACTGTTCTCAAGAAATTCATTAGAAGAAACAATTTTATGACATTCTGGTAAAGTGATTGAATTTCAAGGATAAAGAAAGAATTCATCAGGTATCCAAGAACTTACAAAGGGGATAAATCTGGCTGGGCGCAAATGCCTCCATGGAAAAATAAAGTGCCAGAAGATAATAGAACAATATTTACAAAATTCTAAGGGAACAAGTGTGTCTCAAGAATATTATAACCAGGCAAGTTGTTATCCAAGTACAAAATGGCAGTACTGGCATACTTAATCATGCAAAAACTCACAGAATATGTCATTCCTTATTCTGTCTTAGAATGAAACTATGTAAGAGACAAATGAAGAAACCATTGTAAAAGAACTGAATGGAGCGTTGTTGCTGCTTCCTCAGAAGGGAGGGAACACCATGTCCTCACATGCAGAAGGTACAGAAGGGAACAAACCCACACCCTCAAACCCATTTATAAGGGCCTGAATCCCTTCATCACCTTCTAAATACCCCATCTCTTAATATTATTACATTGTCTATTCAGTCTCAACAAAAAATTTGGGGCATACCCAATTTGGTCATTGTTTGGATATTAGAACACAAAATTTAATTACTCAGTTTCTTACTATACATAAGACACTATTATCACCACATTGATTTTATTTGTTATTTTTATTACAATTGTAACAAAACCTAGGAGCATCTGTATACAGAACTTAAACACAAACAAAGACTTTTCCGATTTTGTCATTTAATCTCCAAATCTTACCGCTTAAGGTATCTTAATTACGGTTATCCCTAAACATATGCAAATGCAGAGATTGGAAGAGCTAAGTAACTACTAAGTTGTGGAGCTAAGACTGAATTCTGGGTTTCAGACTACAACTTTCAAAACATTTCTGTTGCATAATGAGGTAAAAAATATAGTGCCTAAATTGGAAGGTTAAATGATTCCTTCATAGAGGAAATTCAGAAAACAATATAAAATAGAAGAAAACAATTCCTGGTTATTATGGAAATTGTATTATGTGTTGCAAAACAATGACAATAAATGTACTTAAATAAATCACCAACTTAATAAACCATCTTCGATTGAATCCTTAGTTTTCTCATGCAAAGTCTAGTATTCCTACAGAGCCAGAACGGTGTACAAAGAACAAGACGGGCAGATAAAATTAATGCTAGCTTAGTTTTATATGAAGCAGCAATTGGGAATATCAACTGTTCTCATGTTTAAATATTTGCTTTTGGCAAAATCCAAACAAGCTCACTATTTGTTAGATTCGTAGGTATAGAGTCAATGTGGCAGTAGGTCTGGAGTGGGGCACATGTATTTTGTAGATTCAAAGATGTTGTCAATTTTAAAACATTAATTTTATATTAAATTTGGAGAGAACACCACTTTATTGAATGCATGCCAACATTTTAAGATGTCTTCCATTTTCAGAGCAATTTTATAAAAAGGATATACTGAAGTTTATTCTACTACAGGCATGAAAGTTACCACGCAAACCAGAGATACATTTGCTCTTTGTGAAGAAGCTTCTGCCCATTTGTCCATTTCAGTATATCATTTAAACAGGACAGCCAGTGCTGAATAGAGGCATCAGTTGAAGTCACCATCATGGCTACACAAATTGATTCCTTATGTGGGGAAAAAGAAAAATCCTCAAATGGCAGATGGACAATTAAATATCTTGGTTCCCACGTTATTTCCCTGGAACCTCAAGTAGATTTAGTCAGACCCTTGGTAATTGATAAATATGATTGAGGACTTTGCTCTATCTTTTTTACATTAAATGAGTACATTACTCAGAAACATAAATAACCCATTGTAGTGATCATTGCCTACATGGGGAGATTTTTAGCTTCAAGTAATGGATGCACAACCCAAAGTGAACATTTTTTCTATGAGAGAACACAAAGTACAGACGGAGCGTGGTTCCATGATTGATTCAGTAGCTCAGTGACACGATCCATGTGCTAGGTGTTTTTTCATCTTTGCACTCTCCCAGACACAGCCTATCAGCCAAGTGTAAGTCCATATTTCCAAAACAGCTGCAGCCTTTCCAAGTCTTCGCAGGGAGAAATGATCATGACCACATTCTCTGAAGGAGAAGAAGGGAACTTCCTCCCCTGAGTCTCATTTTATTGAGGAAAAAAAAAAAAAACTTTTTACATGAGCAGCCCTCACCCTGAAGACATTCACAATTCTTATTTTTCAATAGCAATTAATTTTATTAGTTTGACAATTTATGATCATAAAAAATGCAATTCAAGAAATGACTAAAATATGTTAAAGAAAATATCAGAATTATTCCTGGCACTTATATCTAATATTTCAAAACAGGCTATTTCAGCAACTGATTTATAAAGTGCTAATATAAAAATAATCTCAAATATGTTTAATTTCATCCATAAACTATAAATTATGAATTGCTATAAATTTTTGGTTAGCAAAAAAAACCAAAATATTTTTCCTCATGAGACTGAATTATAGTGATAATTAATTTCAAGAGCACTTATATAGACTGAATGTTGACACAAGAAGTAGTTTTTGCATGAGCATTTTGAGTATTATCTTGGAATTAGAAGTAGTTTTAAGTCACTTTCCCCTGTGTATTGGTTTCCTGCTGCCTCTGTAACAAATTACTGGAAACTTGGTGGCTTAAACAATAGAAATTTATTCTTTTACAGTTCTCGATGTCATAAATCTGAAATCAGTATCGGGGGTTTGTAGGGTGTGGCCATCAGGAAAGTTCTAAACAGATAATTCCTAATCCTTTAGATAATATTTCTAGTGGCCACCAACATTCATTGGCTTGTGGTACATCAGTCTAACCTCTGCCTGTGTGATCACATCCCCTCTCCTTTTCTGTCTGTGTGGTCAAATTTCTTTCTGTTTCCCTCTTATACAGATACATGTGATTGTATTTAGAGTCCATCTGGCTAATACTGGATAATCTTTTAGGTCAAGATCTTTAACTTAATCACATGCAATGATTGATTTTTTGTTTGTCTGATTTTTCATATAAGGTAATATTCAGAGGTTCAAGAAATTTAGATATGAATTTTTTTTCTGGAACATTTTTGGCCTACTGCACACTCATTCACTTATTCGTTTATGCATTTAACAAATATTATATGAACACCTGCAATGGATCAGACACTGTTCTAATGCTGGTTATATAACAGCAAAGTAAAGAGACAAAGGTTTTACATTCTTGGAGTTTACATTCTAGTACAAACATTGGCAAACTGTTTCTGTAAAGGGCCAGATAGTAAATATTGTTTGTAGATCATACAGTTTCTCTGTTGCAACTACTGAACTCTCCTGTTGTAGCATAGACACAGCTCCTCCTCTCTAAATACAAAAATGAATAGCTGTGGCTATATTCCAATAAATAATTACACATGAAAACAGGAAGCAAGCTAGATTTGGCTCTGGGGTTATAGTTGGCCAACACTTTCTCTGGACAGAAGACACAGGAGAAAAAGTGACAGGCAAATACAGAATATGTCAGATGGTGATAAGTGATGTGGTTTTAAATAAAGCACATTCAGAGAAATAGGACATTCAAATGGGAAGGCTATAACTAACTGCTATAACAGATAAATCAAAAAATTTTAGTGGCTTCCCAAAGAGCCATTTTCTCAGTGTTTATGTGAAGCCCAATACTAAGATTTCTTATTAGTGGGAAGCCTTCCATGTGGTCATTCAGGAACCCACCCTCCTGCTCTCTTGTATCTGCCCTCCTGAGAACTCTAGAACCCTGTGTTCAGTTGGTGGTTGAAGAAAGGGAGTAGAGAACAGCACACAGGCATTTTAAGGAAGCAGGATTACAAGGTTTGATCAATTCCACTCAGTTTATATGCATTTTCTTCTCTAAAAGCTCCATTGCCTGACTTCACCTAACTTTAAGAAAAGCAAAACATGCAGTTGAGCTGGGTATCCAGGGGCATTAAAAAAACAGGATTAGGCCGGGCGCAGTGGCTCACACCTGTAATCCCAGCACTTTGGGAGGCCGAGGCGGGCAGATCACTTGAGGTCAGGAGTTTGAGACTAGCCTGGCCAACATGGTGAAACCCCGTCTCTACTAAAAATACAAAAATTAGCCAGGCATAGTGCTGGGCACCTGTAATCCCAGCTACTTGGGAGGCTGAGGCAGGAGAATCACTTGAACCCATGAGGTGGGGCTTACAGTGAGCCGAGATCGCACCACTGCATTCCAGCCTGGGTGACAGAGCATGACTCTGTCTCAAACCAGCAAACAAACAAGCAGGATTGAAGATCACTGAGCAACATTTAATTTAGGAAGTGTTGCTCTTGTAAGCAGGGTAGCCAGAAAAAGTTTTCCTGGCCTTTCTGAGGAAAGCAGGGGGCTAATGTGGCAGAGATTTGCAGGGGGCATTCTAATATTTAGGCTAGCTTTGTGCTTCTGAATTTATCTCTTTACAGATAGATTAGTCATGAGACTGAGCAGTAGTTGTTGAAATGTGGGAAGGAAAAATACAGGCCATTTACAGGTCAGACTCCTAAAACTCACTGTACTCTTCTCCTTGCTTTTTCTTTCTCTCTTTGGGAACAAAATCAAGGACTTAATCTCGGCTTAGAAGAGAGCTAACCAGAGGTGCCATAGTCAAAAGTTCAGTTTCCACCAAAGCCCAGTAACAGGCCACAAGCTGTCTCTCAAAAAGAGAGTAGTTATCTGCAGAAGATGGCAGGGCCTTGCTAGAAAATTCTAGAGGCCCCTGCTGTGATTGACCTATAGGGGCCTGCCAAAGGCTCCAAACAGCATTCCTATCTGCCACTGGCACCTCAAGCACCTTTGTATCTGCTGGGTCATATGGCCCAAGTGGCAGAGCAGCTTGCATAGCAGCCTGGACCTGTTGCAGAGCCTTCTCCTGTTCTGGTCCCCATTCAAAACTGGAAACTTTTTGGGTCAGTCAGTAAATGGGCAAGAATAACACACCCAAATGAGGAATGTGTTGCCTCCAAAATCCAAATAGGCACAAAACCACTAAGTGTTGTGCCTTTTTCTTGCTTGTAGAAAGGGCCAAGTGCGGCAACTTATCCTTTACCATAGAAGGAAGGTCTCAACATGTCCAACACCACTAGACCACTAGACCCCTGGAAATTTTACTGAGGTAGAAGGTCTCTGAATTTTAGTCAGATTTATTTCCCATCCTCTGGCATGCAAATGTCTTACCAATAAGTCCAGTATGTTCGCTACTTCTTGCTCACTGGGTCCAATCAGCATAATGTCATTAATGTAATAAACCAGTGTGATATGTTTGTGGAAGTGAAAAGTGATCAAGGTCTCTTTGAATAAGATTATGATCCAAAGGCAGAGAGTTCACATACCCCTGAGGTAGAACAGTAAAGGTATATTTACTATAAAGGTATACTTACATTGCCAGCTGAAGGCAAATTGCTTCCAATGGACAAGAATAGAGAAAAAGGCATTTGCCAAGTTAATGGCTGCATGCAAGGTACCAGCAGACGTGTTAATTTGCTCAAGTAATGAAACCACAACTGGTAGAGCTGCTGCAATTGGAGTCACCATTTGGTTAAGCTTACAATAATCCACTGTCATTCTCCTAGATTCATCTGTCTTCCCCACAGGCCAAATAGGAGAGTTGAACAGGGATGTAGTGGGAATCACCACCCCTGCGTCTTTCAAGTCCTTAAGGGTGTCACTAATCTCCGTAATCTTTCCACGGATGCAATATTATTTTTGATTTATGATTTTTCTAGATAGAGGCAGCTCTAATGGCTTCCATTTGGCCCTTCTTACCATAATATCCCTCACCCTGCCAGTCAGGAAGCCAATGTGGGGGTTCTGCCAGCTGCTATGTATGTCTATGCCAATTATGTATTCTGGCACTGAAGAAATAACCACAGGATGAGTCTGGGAACCCCCTGGAGTTGTGTAAGTAGGGCCTGAGCTAAAACTCTATCAATTACTACCTCCATAAGTCCCTACTTTAACTGGAGGACCACAGTGACATTTTGGGTCTCCTGGAATCAACGTCAGCTTAGAGCCAGTGTCTAATAGTCCCTGAAACGTCTAATCATTTCCCTTTCATCAATGCACAGTTGCCCTGGTAACAGGTCAGAAGCCTCCTCGGGGAAGAATGGGAGAAAGAATAACAGCATAAATTGTCAGTAGTATAGTGGGGTTCTTGATCAAAGGGACCTGGCCTCCCCTTTATTCAAGGGGTTCTGGTTCTGGCTCCAATCTGGAAATTAATTGAGGGGCCATGGTTCTCTGTTTTTATCATTCAAATTAGTCTTTTGTCCATTTGACCTGGATGTTTTCTGCCTATATAAATTAAGCAGGAATTCAGTAGGCTTCCTATCAATTTCATTTCTAGGAACATCACGATTAGCCAATACCAGAGCTCTACACGAGTTTGCACTATTTAATTGCTGCTTTGCCTCTGCTGTCCATTATAATAGCTATGCCCACCTTGCCTTTGATGGTTTAGTGCTGCCACTTGGCCCCTGCCACCTCAGGATCCAAGTATTCCCATTGTATTTCAATTTTGTAGTTGAGTGACTGCAGTTCCCACTGTTAGATCTGATATACAGAGAAGAGCAATTACAGGGCTCTTCAAAGATGCAGGTGCTGCTCTCACAAGTCTATTTCACAAAACACTGGCCAAGAATATATCTTCTGGACCCACCCAGCTCGGATAGGTAGGTGTAAAGTGACTAATCTCCTCCATCATCCCAATCTTTCTAAGCCTTTTGATTCTTTCCTCTACATTAACCCAAGGGAGGAAATTAGGCATTTCCAGCTCGCTCACAGTAGGCTATCTTTTAATCCATATTTCAGCCAACAAAGCAAATAAACTATCAGAACCATTTTTTAACTCCCCAAGCTGTAACATTAAATGCAGAGTCCCTACCTAGTGGGCTTAAATCAATACGTTCAGCCTGATCCAACTCTATGTTCCTTCCACTATTATCCCATACCCTTAATATCCATTCCCATTCCTGTTCTCCATATTTATGCTTATATAAATAGAAAGCTCAAGCAGTTCTTTTGAGTGTAGTGCACCTCCTCATAGGTCACACTCTCAACCTCCCCTTAGGGGGGGCCAACTGGGACTTTAGACTAGTTATAGGCCCAGAAGCAAACAGGGGTGTTGGGGGTGGCTCCTGAGGAGAATCAACATTATCTTGCCTGACGACTGCCTCAGGGGAGGCCATCACTGTTGCCTTAGGCAGCGCAGGGTTTATCTCCTCAGACAAAGGTGGAAAGGCTGATGGAAGCATGGACTGGGGAGGGGATGTTGCCACTACTGGGCATGGAGAAGCTGTTTCTTCTGGCAAAAAGTGTTCATCAGAGTTGACAATCTCAGTGTGCCCACCTTCATCAGAGTCCTCCCACACATTCCCCTTCCAAGTTGCAGGGTCTTATTCTTTTCCAATTAATGCCCTCACTTTAACAGTAGACACCTGGTGAGGCTGTGCATGCACCTTTCATTGCAGTTCAGCCACTCACATAAGAGCTTGTGTCTGTTTTTCCACAATTTCAGCTCTGTCTCTACAGGAGATAAGACTCCCACTCCTGAGTGGTAATCTTAGCAGATTTGATACTTAGCATCTGCTTCTGAAGCTGGGAGTTAGAATCCCTGAGTTCATCATTTTCTTTCATCCTTTTGTCAAGTGAACTTAGGAGCAACCAACCAACTTCATTTTGTTCCTTTATTCTCCATATATAGTCACTAAACTCCTTGACTCTCATGAGCAGTGAATCAGGGGTGCCAAATGCTTTTATTTTTCATAACTATCTAAGCAGTCCATGCCAAGGACTATCAGTGTTCTCCATACTATTAGAGTAGAGTCCTTAGCATTTTGGGGTCTAATCATATTAAGCAGCCACTCTAGAAACCCTAAAAACAACAGAAGAACTCCATTATTAATAGTCTGTTCCTCTAGAACCACTCCTGATATGAAAATCTGTGTTAGTCAAGGTTCTCTAGAGAGACAGAACTAATAGGATATATATATAGAAAGGGAGGGAGTTTATTATGTTGTAGTAACTCACATGATCACAAGGTCCCACAATAGGCCATCTACAAGCTGAGGAGAAAGGAAGCCAGTCCAAGTCCCAAAGCTGAAGAACTTGGAGTTCGATGTTCCAGGGCAGGAAGCATCCAGCACAGGGGAAAGATGTAGGCTAGGAGGCTAAGCCAGTCTAGGCTTTTTACGTTTTTCTGCCTGCTTCATATCCTGGCCACACTGGCAGTTGATCAGACTGTGTCCACCCAGATTAAGTGTGGGCTTGCCTTTCGCAGCCCACTGACTCAAATGTTAATCTCCTTTGGCAAGACCCTTACAGACCCACCCAAGATCAATACTTTGCATCCTTCAATCCAATCAAGTTGAGACTTAATATTAACCATTACACTGTAGCTTCTTTGTTTTGGCCAGTATCTTCCACTTAGAATGTGTATATTTACCCAGTGACTATACTCCATTGTATCTGGGAAGTAACTAACTTGCTTTTGATTTTACAGGTTCATAGGCAGAAGGGACTGCCTTTTCTCAGATGAGACTTTGTACTTGGACTTTTGAGTTAATGCTGGAATGAGTTAAAACTTTGTGGGACTGTTGGAAGGGCATAACTGTGTTTTGAAATGTGAGGACATTAGAATTGAGAGGGCCATGGGTGAAATTATATGGTTTGGCTCTGTGTCTCTAACCAAATCTCACCTTGAATTGTAATAATCCCATGTGTCAAGGGCAGAACCAAGTAGAGGTAACTGTAGCATGGAGGCAGTTCCCTCATGTTGTTCTCATGATAATGAGTGAGTCTCATGGGATCTGATGGTCTTATAACAATTTGACATTTCCCCTGCTTGCACTCAATCTGTTTCCCGCAACCCTGTGAAGAGGTGCCTTTTGCCATGCTTGTAAATTTCCGGAGGCCTTTCCAGCCATGTGGAACTGTGAGTCAATTAAACCTCTTTTCTTTATAAATTACCTAGTCTCAGGTATTTCTCTACAGCAGCCTAAGAACAAACTAATATCTATCTATCTATCTATGATCTGGCTATAGCTATATATATATTATATATATAATATATATTATGATTTTTATATATATATGATTTATTATGAGGTATAGGCTTATGGAATTATAAAGTCTGAGAAATCCCATCTGTGCAAGATGGAGACATTGGACAGTCAGTGGTGTAGTTCAAAAGCCTGAAAGCCAGAGAGCCAATGGTATAGATTTCAGTCTGAGTTTGAAAGCTTGAGAAACAGAAGGACCAAGGGCAAGAAAAGATTGATATCTCAGTTCAAGTAGGCAGAAAGAGAATGAATCCTCTCTCTTTCATCTTTTTGCTCTATTCAATTATCAAGGGACTAAATGTTACCCACCCACAATGGGGAAGCCAACTCAGTTCATTCAGTCTACTGATTAAAATGCTAATCTCTTCTATAAACACTCCCATGGACACACCCAGAAATAATGTTTAATCAGCTATCTGGGCATCCTGTGATCCAGTCAAGTTAACAAAATTAACTTTCACAAATACTCTAATTGTCAATGTGGCACTTATATTCCTCTCCTTACATACTTAAATACTATGATATAAAGCCAATATATCTTATGTTACATGATAAGAGAATAGGAGACAGAAGAAAACCACAGTATTATATACACAATATATACACAACCAAAAATGCATTTATAAAAAAATGGGGAGATCATATTTATTACAATCAAAATTATCATTGCTGTAACTGGTCATGTAGTCATAGCTAGTATTTATAACTACTTTATTCAAGTATCCATTCTGTATTCCCTTTGTCTTCAGGAAGCACCTCAGCTGGTAGTGTTTTTTTGTCTTTTGTGGTTACCCAATTTTTTATTCCTGAAGGGCTGTGATCACTAACAACCTTGTCTTCATTGGGCTGTTGTTTCCTATTAACCTTAATCACAGGGCATGGTAATACTAAGCAAAACTATAAGGGATCACCCACACTCTAGATGTATTTTACCTTACCTACATTATGGACTAGCAGTCCAATTTCCCCTTGGTAGTCAGGATCAATCACCCCAGATAGTACTTTAACTCCCTTCTTTGCCTATTGATTGAGAAGCATGAGGAGTTCAAAGCGGCCAGGTGAGTCTTAGCTTCCATTTCAATGGAATCATTATTGTATCTCCTAATGGAAGGACTCCTCCCTTTGCAACTAAGACCTCCAGCCCAGCACAGCACAGGGTTTGGGAAAAGAAAATAAATATTTTGCTAGTGAGTCATTAGTGGTAGTAGTGAGGGTTTTCACTCCCATTTCTGCTCCTTAATTCCTAGAACCATGAATGCTGGCTGTAGGAGAAACAGGATCATATATCCGATGCTGATACAGAACATACACAGCCTTCTAGAAACCCTTTCCCCATTCTCTCTCAACAAATGTTCTTGCTTTAGCAAGAACACGCTGAAAGACTTGGAGTTTAATTTCCGTTATAATTCAGCCATTCATAGGATGAGATTCTGCATCTCACTTTCTGCAATCTCAACTCTGTGGACACCAAAAATAAGAGTTATCTTCAGATGACAATAAGTCCTCAGGTCACTTATGCTTCTGGGAATTTAAATCCTAAGTTCATCCTTTTCTTTCACCACTTTGTCCAGTGACATTAGGAGCAAATGGCCAACCTTATTATATTTGTTAGTTTTCCAAAACTGTTCAAAAGCATCATCTACACAGTCATTCAGTTCCTTGCTTTTTATAAGTGGTATCCAAGGCAGATATTTTGTATATCTCTATTACCAGATTATGTCATGGATGTTAGTGCTCTCTTTACTACTGGAAACAGAGTCATCCAAACCTTTACATCTAATCAGATTAGACAATTTATTCCAAAATCTACAGCATCAATCTGGGAAACTTATTTATAAAATTCTATTTCTGTAAAACCACTCCCAGTACCAATATATGTCTTAGTCAGGGTTATCCAGAGAAATAAAATCAATAAAATCTATCCTCTGAAACCTGGAGACCCAGTTGGTGTAATCTGAAGGCCTGAAAGTCAAAGATTCAATGGTGTAATTTTAGTCCCAGTTTGTAGGCCTGGCATTTCAAAGAAAGGAGAGGAATAGATATTCCAGCTCAATCAATCAGGCAAAGAAAGAGTGAATTCTCCTGTCCTTCACCTTTTCTTCTATTCAGACCCTCACTGAATTAGTTGATATCACACATAGAGAAGGGCAATGAAGTTTACTATGTCTATTCATAAAAATGCTAATTTCTCCCATGAATACCATGACAGAGACACTCAGAAATATTGTCTAAATAGATGTCCTGATCCCATGATCTAGGAAAGTTAACACATAAAATATGACAATCAATAACTAATAACTTTTCAAATGAAAAACCACAATATTTGAATGGTTTCACTGCTGAATTACACCAATTGTTTAAGAAGAAACTGTAAAATTTTCCACAATCCCTGTCAGGAAGTAGAAAAAAATGAGAATGTTTCCTAACATTTTTTATGAAGACAGTGTTACTCTAATACTAAATATAGATAAAGCCCTTACAGAAAAGAAAACTAAAGATTATGAACACAGGTGAAAATTTCACATGAATACAGATTCAAAATTTTTCAATAAAATATTAACAAATCAAACAACAACATATAAAAATAATTCTACACCATGATCAAGAAGGAATTACTCCAGGTATGCAAGACTGTTCTACATCCAGAAGTCAGTGTTATCTACCACATTAAAGACTAATAAAGAAGAAAATTGAATAATTATATCAATAGATACAGAAAAAGCATTTGAAAATACATGAAACCTATTCATAATAAGAAGTATTAGCAAATTAGAAGTAGAGAGGATGGGAACTCCCTGTATTTGATGAAGACACCTACAAAAATCCTACAGGTGGAATCATATTTAATGTTGAGAGACTGGAAGCTTTTCTCCTAAGACTGGGAACAAGGCAAAGATAACTTCTCTCATCATTTCTACTCAACATTGTACTAAAAGTCTTAACAAGTGCAATAAGACAATAAAAGAAATAAAAAAGATAGAAAAGGAAAAATTAGAACTATCTGTGCTGAGTTTATATTATTATCTATATAACAGATCTCAAGGAATTTGCAAAAACAAGTAGTTTTTTAAATCTAATTATAAGATCTCAGAAAACAAGGTCAATATACAAAAGTTAGTTACTTATTAAGAAATTCATCCTTTGCAGTGAGCAATGAGAAACAATATTAGTTTCTAAAAATGCCATTTACAATTGCACAGACATGAAAATAAATACTGAGATATAAATCTGACAAAACTTTTTAATAATCTACATGTCTTTTACTACATGTGCAAAACTACAAAATTCTGATAAAAGAAATTACAGAAGATCTAAATAAAGTGTGATAAGTTCAACATTACTTCACTATTGTTAAGATGTTAATTCTTTCCTATTTGATGAATATATTCAATGCAATCCCAATTTTTTAGAAAAATACTCCTTTTTAGATATCAACAAACATATATATAATGTTTATATGAAAAGCCAAAAAACCTGAAATACTCAATAAAAACTGAAAAAACATAAAGTTGGAGGATGCATGCTACCCGATTTTAAGACTTACTATAAAGGCACAGTGTCAAGACAGTGTGGTATTGACTAAAGAATTCACACATAGTTCAATGGAACTAGTGGGTCCAGAAATAGGCCTCATACAAATATAATCAACTGATCTTTGACAAAGGAGCAAAATGCAATTCAATAGCAAAGGAATAGTCTTTGCAATAAATGTAGTGAGTGGTGCTGCAACAATGGGCTATCCTTCTGCACACACATAAAAAAATGAACCTGGAGACACGAACCTCAGAGCTTCACAAAAAATCAACTTAGAATAGAACATAGATTTAAATGCAAAACTACAAATATAGGAGAGAATTTAGAAGACCTTGAATTTGGCCATAAGATTTTGGATACAACCACAAAACGATTCTGTGAAAGCTTAGATGTTACTAAAATTAAAAGCTTCAGCCCTGTGAAAGTCACTGTTAGGATAATTTTTAAAAAGTAATAGACTGGGAAAAAATTTGCAAGACATGCATCTGATAAAAGGCTTGTATCCAAAATATACAATAAACATTTAAGACTCAACTATAAGAAAACCACATTTGAAAGTTGGCAAAAGATTTAAATAGACACCTCATCAAAGAAGATACACAGATAGAAAATAAAGATGGTCAACATCATTTGTTACCAGAACATTGCAAATTAAAACAATTAGGAACCACTACTTATTTATTAGAATTGCTAAAATCTAAAAATCTGATAATACTTAATACTGAGAAGAATGCAGAGTAACAGGAACTCTCATTCTTTTCTGGTGGAAATGAAAAACTGTACAGATTCCTTGGAAGACAACTTTTCAATTTCTTTTTTTTTTTTTTTTTTTTTTTCTGGGACGGAATCTCACTCTGTCGCCCAGTCTGGAGTACAGTGGCACAATCTTAGCTCACTGCAAACTCTGCCTCCCGGGTTCATGCCATTCTCCTGCCTCAGCCTCCTGAGCTTTTCAATTTCTTATCAAGCTAAACATATAATTCAGCAAGCATGCTCCTAGATTTTTACTAAACTGATTTGTTAATTTTTGCCCACAAAAATTCTATTTATATTTTTATAGATGCTTTATTCATAATTACCCCAAACTGGAAGCAATCAAGACGTTCCCCAAGAGGAGAACAGATAGTCTGTGATACATCCATATGGTGAGATAATATTCAATGATAAAAAGATAAGAGCAATCAAATCATGAAAAAAATGAAAGAATCTTAAATGCAAATTTCTAAGTGAAATAAGCCAATTTGAAAAGGATACAGACTAGTGATTCTGATTATGTGACATTCCACAAGAAAGAAACCTATCAGGGGTTGCCAAATGTTTGTGGGGAGTAAAGGAGGATGGAAGAATAATTGATGCACAAATGATTCTTCTGTCAATAAAGCTATGATTATATGCTGTATGATACTGTAATGGTGGATACATGGCATTAGGTATTTGTCAAAACCAACAGAACTTTACAGAAGAAATAGTAAACCTTAATGTACGCAAATTTAAAAAGAAACATATAGTATGTCTGGAGATCCCTGACACCATCTAAGCAAAAAAAAAATCTAACTGTATTTCACATGTGTGACACAACCTCACTGAAGTTGGTAGAGGAAGAAAATGTGCTAACCTAAGTTACTTTATATACGATATAAATGAATTTTATTTGTCTCATGAACCCTGTACTTTAGTTGACAAAAATGTTTTTGTTAAGAGGTAACTTAGGTTACAAGTGCTCTGCTGAATGAATTGATTAATGCCATTATCTTGAGAGTAGGTTAGCTACCTAGGAAGTGAGTTCTTGATAAAAGGATTAGTTCAGCACTATTCCTATTTCTCTGTCACATGCATACATGCTGTCTTGCTCTTCTGCCTTCCACCATGGGATAACACAGAAGGAAGGTCCTTGTTACATGTAGGTTCCTCAACCTTGGATTTCCCAGTCTCGAGAACTGTAAGAAATAAGTCTCTGTTCTTTATAAATTACCCAGTCTAAGGCATGCTACATTAGCACAAAACGGACTAAGACACTATCTATCCATCTACCTATATGTCTATATATCTACCTAATCTATCTGGCTATTTATCTATCTATCTATCTATCTATCTATCTATCTATCTATCATCTATCTGTTCCCACCTAAGCAGGTGAAAGTAAGCTACCTTATAAAGCAGAAGATAATATACACATCAAAACACTCTCTTACCTAATAAAGACTGGTACGTTAAAGGTAGTGGTACACTGCTTTTACATCTCAATGTTTATTTGCTCATTTGTTTTTCCCAACTGTGAACAAAATGTTATGAAAAAGCTATTATAATAGCAACTAGTATGCAGCTCCACCATCTTTAACTTAATTGGAGAGAGACATAAAGAAAAATGTTTGTTCTTAACATTCTTGCAAGAAGAAGCAATATGCAGAGAATGTTTTTTTCTCTCTCTCTCTTTCTCTGTGTTTATGTATACATTCATTAATCTATACTTATATACATTAAAATTCAGTTTTTTAAAATAAGTAAGAAAATGGGTGTTTCAGTCAACTAAATATTCTAATTAATTCAATATTTTATCCTGTGAGATGTTCAAAAGATCAAATATTTTTAAAAGTCATAATAATCCCATAAAATTACTTAGATAGTCACTCTTTCTTCCTCATCTTTTGTCTAGGTCACTCCTACCATACTGAACATGAATTTGATAATTTTTTAATCTTATTCACGCACAAGCTTAGATTTGATTCCTTATTTTATATTTATAAACTATTTTTGTCTTGCCGCTGACTTTTTTGTATCAGATTGAGTTTTATACTACTGTTTTATTTAAGCCCTTTCTTGCAATTACCATCATCCTGCACCAATATAGAAATTTCAGTGTGTTTCCTTCTTCCTTGAGCTCACAATGAGATCTCCTGTTATAGGCTGATGGCTACAGGCATATTTTACTGTCATAATTTTCACAGAACTCACACACTAATAATCCAAACTAACCCTAAAATTATATCAAAAAATTAATCTGATTAGGATGATAATTCACAGTCACATAGTGTTTTGGAATCTTTGTGGTGAAAATAAATTGTTCGTTTAAAACTATTGACTTAGAAGTCGGACTCTATTATTGTGTAATGACTGAAACCAGAAGTAACATTTTTCAATATATCTCTATATAAAGAATATTCTCTGATATGGTTTGGCTGTGTCCCCACCCAAATCTCATCTTAAATTGTAACTCCCACAATTCCCACATGTCCTGGGAGGAACCGGGTGGGAGGTGATTGAATTATGGGGGTGGATCTTTCCTACGCTGTTCTCATGACAGTGAATGAGTCTCATGAGATTTGATAGTTTTAAAAATGTAAGTTTCTCTGCACAAGCTCTCTTTTTGCCTGCTGCCATCCACGTAAGATGTGACTTGCACCTCCTTGTCTTCTGCCACGATTGTGAGGCTTCCCCAGCCATGTGGAACTGTGAGTTCTCCATTATACCTCTTTCCTTTTTATATTGCCCAGTCTTCAGTATGTCTTTATCAGCAGCATGAGACTAGACTAACACATTCTCATTTTGTGCGTTTTGGAGAAAAAATAATACGGCAAGAAATTCCATTTTTGAAAATTATTATTGCTTAAACTTTAGATAAATGGGAATTGACTGTGTTTGTTTACCCTAACATGGACTAGGTGCTGGCAAATTACAACTGCAATTTTGTTTCTGCAGCCTCAAATTTAATCTTTTATTTTGTCAGATGTGGCTAGGTGAACAATTTCCAAAAAAAAAAAAGACTAAAATAGTGAGCCTTAAAAAATCCTATTTCTCTTCTAGACTTGGATCCCTAAGTACCAGTCAAGGAAAATATCTAATTTCTTCAAGGAAAAAGAGTCCATATTTCTTTTGAAACATATCATGTTGCCATAGTTACCAAATGCTCTCCTTTTATTTCCTAACAATAATATCACCATCTAGATACACATAGCTTACAAAAGTAAATGTTTTATTGTGGAATTTTATAAGGACACAGGATCTGCTTCCAATGACTTTCAAAAAAATTAAAATGGAAGGATTCTTTCTAATAAATACACCTGAGTTGAAATTAAATGTTTTCTGAGCAAGAGCATAGGAGAAAAGGAGGAGCAGAGAGAAACTGAAAAAGACACATACAGTTTTAACATTTCAAAGGTGAAGGTGATTTAAATTAGGATTTGGGCATGGCTGTTCTTCTCCACCCCAGTGTATATAAACATTCTCATATGGGTTGCCATGTCTCCAGGAGTGATACCTTCATCTGGACAGGCCATTAGAAATTAAAACATATTTACACATATACACATGCACATCTTAGAATAAGAAAAATTATAAACCAGCTTATTTTTATTTGTCTTGCCAAATATAAACTTTAGAGACAAAATTTTAAATAAAGCAGCAACTATGAAAATAAATAATGAGATTCCTGTGTACAGAATTACGTAGTTGGGGTTTACATATTTGAAATCAAGCTCCAAGTAGAAACGAATCAGTTTTCTCTTTCTTTTCTCTTACTTTTTAAGAAGCTATCACAAGAATTTTATTTACAGGAATTTAAGGTGGAAACATATACCTTTTGGGGAGTAAATCATTACTAAAAACATAATTAATGTGGTCATTTTGAACAATATTATCAAATAGTTACCTCAATGAATCATAAAAATCATCAAATATGTACATGATTTGAAAAATCTTGAAAACTAAGAAAGTTGAAATATGCAAAAAGTAAATTTCATAGTCTACCTTTATAGATAAAACATCAATAGCTAATATTAAACTATAAGCATTATTATTAAAATATAAACATTAATTGAAAATTTAAAATTAAATTTAAAAATTAATTAATTTCTTTATATCTTCCTATTTCATACTTAAAAGGTTTCTTATTCTAGCCTACACGGTGTATCACAAACTGCAAATTACAATACTTGATGTTTTAATGCACTATGTCGGGGGGTGGGGGGCAAGGGGAGAGAGGAAGAGCATTAGGACAAATACCTAATGCATGCGAGGCTTAAAACCTACATGACAGTTTGTTAGGTTCAGCAAACCACCACGGCACATGTATACCTATGTAACAAACCTGCATGTTCTGCACACATATCCCAGAACTTAAAGTAAAATTTAAAATAAGAAAATAATAATAATAAAGAATGTGTTATTTAAATGTAATCTTTAGCATTTCAGTTTTGTTTACTGGAGTAATAATCTCAATATTATTTTTAAATATAGAGAATTCAAAATTATTTAACATAAAGTATACTTCATTTTATTTGTAAAGTTTTACCCATCATTTTTAAAATGAATGATTTAGGCAGAGCATTACGGCGTTTGAGAAAAACTGGCCTTCATTGTAAGTTGACTGTAGGATTTATTGATACAAGCAAAAGATGCATAAAAAAGAAAACTTTTTCATAATTTTGTTTTTCAAAAACTTATATATGCATATGTGTATGTGTGTATGTATGTGTGTATATTTAAATATGTATCATGTACTTTAGAGAGATTTTTACATCTAGTATGGCTCTTAGGATAAAGGCCATGATTCCCATAGTATAAGTTTTCTCGATTAAAAAACTAGCTTTGTGTGGTGGTGGGTGAGATGTTATATTGTTTACTTCTTCAAACTCTGTTGGCCTGCCTTAAACTTATTTTGGTTTATTATTGTTTGTATTTTTAATTGTATGCTTAGAGGGATCCTTTATCTTTCCAATCAGCCTTGTCCACGTCTGAATCCCATCTCCTTTCACCTTGAGAATTTTTATTCTCAAGAGGTCAATTTTTTTTTCTGTCTTCTTACTCTCATTTCCCACTACAGGAGGCTTATCTAATTATAAACAATAAAGAAATGATTTTGAAATTATCTTTTTACTTATACACCCAAACAGGTATCTGTAGATTCTTTCTTATCTTTTGCTTACCCATTTCTGAAATGTTCCTATACCTAAAGCCAGATGCTTTTTTTTTTTTTTAATCTGCTGCAGTCTTTTTGGACAACTTAGTCCTCTTCCAGTCGCTTCACCTCTCACTCATAACTTGCTGACTCCAGAATCTATAACTCTTTAATTATCTTCTGAGGTCCTGAGATATATATATATATATATATATATATATATATATATATATATATATATATATATATAAAATATAAAATATATATATACACAATGTTTTATTGAAACTTCCCAATTATTGCATGTCAGGTATTCTCATTTCACAGACCAGCAAACAGATACTTACAGAAGTTAAGTATTACAGCAGGTTTACTCAATTAGCACATGTCCAAGCTAGTATTTAATCCAAAACTTTTGATTTTTTTTCTATTATACACGCTTTCTTTCCATTTTCTTGAATTCCAGTTTTGTCTACCAGGGTAAAGTAGGTGATTGTTAAAGAAGGGAGGCTTTAGAATTTCTATCTTTTTTATTTTTTATTTTTTTGGAACCCACTTGCATGAATTTTTCAGATTCCGGAAATAATGCTTTGCAATGAATGAGGTAGTACTTTTAATTCTATATATTTTTGCCATAATGTCTATGCACCCAGACTGTGAAATAAATTGCACTGACCTGTGTCTTTAATGCCTGTCACTTAAAATTTTTCCAAACCACCTTAAATGTTGAAGTTCATAAAATTGGTAATGCTCGACGTGGGGGGAAAAAAAACAACAGAAACCACTAAGATGTTCTACTTTATGGTCTCTGCATGACATCTAGTGGTTGGAACTGGAAAATTTGAGGAAATTATGATTTGTACCAGGGAAAATACAATCTGTGTTAGTCTGGAGTCCTCATTCCTAACATCAAAGGAAACATGATGTAGATATCCTTTACTTCCAAAGAGGTTGGCCACCGGAGGGTAGGCCTTTCTTAATCATTTCTGTTTCTCAGTCTGTGTATCAGGGAATAACAATTTCTCTCTGTGTTAAGCAATCCGTGCTCACTGGGGCTTGTGAAACATTGGTCTGTAATGAGTACCTACTTTTGATGGATATGAGTTGGATAATTATAAGATTCAAAAGTAAATAAACCCTTTGGTTTTCTTTCTTTATATGCAAGTATTAATGATACTAAATCTATGACCCTATTATTCAAAACTGTATTTAGGAAAACTTTTTGTATACTCCAGTTTTGATTCTTCTAAAGAGGTTATAAAATCAAGTAACTGCTTAGCTTTGAGTCTTAGGATAATATTGGGTGTAGGTCCTTGATAATCCAAGATTTAGGATCTGCCTACCAGAAATTTTAGTCAGCTTAGATAACTGACAATGGAAAATAGTACATGATATGTTCTAAATAAATGACAAGCCAATATCGTAGGGATGCCGCAAAGGATTTGGAGTCCAAGAGGTCAGAGAAGGGATCACGAAGGAGGATGGATTTGAACTGAGCTACAGTTGATAGATGGGCAGCTTAAGGTATTGTTAAGCAAACAGGCAACAGAGTGAGATTCCTGGGTGTTGGCTTTCCTTCAGTGTGACCTTGGACAAACTATCTAATTGCTCCACATTTTACTTTCTTCATTTGCATCACAGTACGTACATACATAGACACATAGCATCTATTTCTTGTGGTGAAGATCAGTATAATGTCTCGGTTGGCAAATTATCAGTTCTTTTTATTATAAATAAATTAAAAATGCAAATGTTTAGGTCAAGTGTTATTCTCTGAAAATGCACAAAGAGAAATGAGCCAAGAGAAAAATAACTAATAACAAATAAATATATTTCTGACACCAAGACAAGTCCAAGAGAATTTAAAAAGTAATTATAAATATTTTATGGTAATGTATTTCAAATATACATGCTGCAGATTCCACGATTTATGTCATGGGGATGGATCAGGAGTCCTTGAAACCTGGCACTTATTAATAAATGTTGTTTCTAATTTTCTATCACTGCAAGGTACTCTTATAGACACCATGTGAACAAATCAAATGTTACATCTCTGGGATTATAGGCTCATAAAAAATCAACACCTAGGGCATAACTTGAATCACAGTAACTTCATGCATTTCAAATGGGATAAAGTCAGCCAAGAAGTGTTTAGGTTTGCAGTCGATTGCTCAAGATTATGGTATCAACCAACTCTGGAATTAACTTCTGGGATGAAGAGTAAGAAGAAAGTAAAATCACTCCACATAGGCTCAAAGGAGACTTTTGTTGAAGTGGGTTTCCCCATGGTCTTTGAAGTGGGTGAGGCCTAGTGCTTGTTAAATCCAGGGGCCTTGTGATGAATGAAGTATAAGAGAGATTGCTGACAGATTTGAAATCCCACAGTAGTTGTTTTGTCCTTTGCTTTGAGAAGGTTGGTGATAATTAAACTGCTTTTCCAGCAGAGTCTTTGTTCCTAACCCAAGTATCGTATTTAAAGAAGAGCCAAGTAGTACAGGCATTTTTTGATGATGACACTAATCTGACTCTGACCTATCTTCTTCCATGTTTATTTCCCAAAACATACACATTGGTAGTTGAAGTTATTTCCTATGAAGTGACCAAGTGACTTGGGGCCTGTGTGTGTGTGTGTGTGTGTGTGTGTGTGTGTGTGTGCATATGTTTATGGATGTGCTTCAAGAAGGCTCAACCTTCACCTTCTCAGGATCATTTAGTTTCAATGTCATCTTTGCCTCTTTGTTATTTATCAGCAGGAGATAGCTGACCAAGCTCAGTGCTGAACTCAAGCAACGCTGGCATGTCTACCCTTGATGTTTAACAGACCTGAACTAAACAAAGCATATTCAGTTTGAGTCATTTTAAATATTTGGTCACTTTTTAACTCCATGTAAACCTTCTGGTTAAACCTTATTTCAAATAGTAAAAGAATCATAGCTTGAATATAGTGCCTGACTTATGACAGTTTCTCAATAAATAGTTTTGATTTATAATCCTAAAAGTAGGAGTACATTTGCTGCTGGAGGACAAATAGACTTAAAAATAATATGTAATATAACTTTACATCTGAAATAAATAATAACACTATCATAGAGTTTAACTCTTCGTTGCCTGCCTTTTTAGCTTCCTTATCCTTTTAATTTCTGCTTCTTTTTTTGTTTCTTATTTTTCTTGTAAATAGGTAGGATCAGATATATAAATATCCAGCACGGGCTACGTGCTGGAGATGTAATCAGCATTTTGAGTGTCCTAACTACTCAAAACACGCTTTTAACACATGAGTAGAATTTGATATTTTAAACAGATTCAGTACTTTATTTTCGTATGTTGATAACATGTAAAAAATCTATGTATTGCCAGTTTCTTTTTTTATCTGCTCCCCTTTTTCTATTGTATTTGTATTGAAATGTTAATTTTAACACATAATATGTATATAAATTTTAGATCCCTAACATTTTTAATAGTATGTACTTTTTGATCATACCACAACTAGAGTTTCATAGCAAAGTTCCCTGTTTTATTAAAATCCACCAGGGGATGTTTTCAACTTGTGAAATAACTTAACTGCAATAAACCTGGGCTGAGCTAGTGCTTATGATTAGCATGTTGGCAATGATCAACTGATTAGGGATATATTGACATGTCAAAAAACGTGATGAGGGAAGAAAGGAAATTGCTGCTTCTCAGTGTTTGTAAGTGCCAAAACAGATATGTATTTTATATTGTGAGAAAAGGGTTGATGTGAATTTGTCTAAAGAGCAGGATGTGAAAAGTATTGTTTCTATAAGAAAAAATCATCCTGGATTCACCAGTATGCAGAGAAAGCAACTTTATTCTTTTTTTCTCTGTCTCACTAAATAAAATCTCTAGCAGAACATACCACTCCTGATAATTACATGCTCAGCGATTGATGTTTTCACATTTCAAATGGTCCTACTCATTCAGTACCAATACATAGTCCAATCCATCATAAAAAGTCCAAATGACAAACATGTATCTGTTTAACGTTTCTTTTCTCCCCTAACTTGGGCTCACTCCAGTGTTAGGAGCCTGTAGTGGAGGGAGAAATGTGATGGCTTTGTTTCCTTCTCCTTACCTTACTTTCTCTTCTGCTACCTTGCCTAACAGATAGGGCCCAGGTAAGCTGATATTTGGAGTAGTGAATACAGGCTTACGCGTATGGTACACCAGAGATGGTGTTGGTACTCTCTGGACTTGGTGAATGAATGTTGAAAGTGGAATTGTCTTCCAGTAGGATGATAGTGAAGGTTACTCTTAGACTCTTTCTGGGGTCCTTTGGCCACTATTTTTTGAAGTGAGCCATTGGACTTCACCTTGTCTCTTGCTCTTGCTGCAGCTGCGTTTTCTCTCTTGATGGTAGTCTTGATCAAGATCCTTTTACAATAACACAAGCCTAGCATGTTCTTAAATCTAGTCCTTGAGAAATCCATGCTTTTGCTTTGTCATTGTAAAACACATAGATCGCTGTATCCTTGTTCAGTAAGCTACAACATACTCGTATCTCCTGAAATCCTGGGCTTAAATCGAGGTCTCAAAGGCTTTGTTTTGTTTTGTTGTATGGTTGTATGGGTGAGTGTGTGTGTGTGTGTGTGTGTGTGTGTTTATTCTCCTGAAATTCTCCTCCTCACTTGACTTAAGCTAAAAGATAAACGTCCTCTTCCTTTCAGCCACAGATGGTGATGGATAAATTGAATGTCATTCACATTATTCCCTTAAAATAAACTCTCTCCCTCCCCTCTCCCGTCTCATCCTTGTCCCTTTCTTTATATAATGGGTAATGCGTTAATGTCAGCAGAATAGTTTTGGGGCCATAATGGCAAGTATCACGTGGATGGTTTAGCATTGTTTTTAGAATGCTGTGAATTTGGGTATATGTGAGTTTTGGGGAAAGTTTTGCAACTATATGTTTGTTAATTAAATGAGGACTATAAAGTAATATAAAATTATGTTTCTGGAACATATTTTGGAAGCTATAAAGTCATCTGTATTTATTATCCACAGACATAATGTCATTGTTCAGGTCCTGCAACCTTCTTATAATCAACATACGTGGGCCCAGGGATTTTATGTATCTTCGCCTTCCTAGTTTCCGTGGACAATCATTCCTCATACAAAAAGAAGGAATTACCCATGATTTAAGATCTTTTCAAAGTGATCCCCAATAATGACATCTGCATTATTTTAGCTTGGAAATATCAAAGCAACAAAGATACAGACCTCTGCACAGTTGGCTGCATGTTTTGAAAGATAATGTTCCACAGGCTAGTAATACATCTCTACAGGCTGAATTATGGAGAGGAGGTGAGGAAAATGAAATGAAACCGAGAAGATAAGTAGAAAAGTTAAAAAAAAAAAGTAGTAAATTTCATAAGTCAGACGCAAATGCTAAAGAGCTTGAGTTTCTTATAAGAAATAGCACTGGAGCAACAACAGGAGGGAAAATATGTACCTTATGTGCAAAAATATCTTCTTCCTGGATTTCAGAAACTAATAAAATTTTAGTAGATTTTAAATGCAAAATCTTATTACCAAGTGTGTTTTCAATAACACCCATTATTATTAAAATTTTATATAAAAGTGAAAAATGCCAGCTATTGAAATGTAAGCATAATGTTTTTAAATTAAAATCTGTAATTCTTCCACCTAAGGTGCTGTTTTACAATGCCTTCTTTTTTCTTTCAAAATCTGTCTCACTCAATAACTGGCTTATTTCTAAGACACTAAACACAATGATAAGGAGAGAATAATTGTTCTATGCCTGATTTTCTTTGAAAAGTATGATGAATTTCAACAGAAGCTATTGTAAAATTGACTGATATGTTTGAGGATATTGAAGTATATGTAATACTTTAATATGAATTATTTTGACGTGTCACTTACTGGTAGTTATTCAAGCCTGGCATTTTCTGCTCTCAAATAAAATTGAGGCATATGGATTAATTTGAATTGCAGCTAATGTGTAATTCGTAAAGAAACTGTTCTGACTCAAAAGCCAATTAATGCATTTGCCTTACATATATAACGAACTATTGAAAGACAAATGCAGCACTCTTCATTACGTTTTAATAGATTCTAAATTCCCAACATACACTAAGGTTAGAATTTTCTCAAAATAGTGATTCTCAGTATAAATGTTACATATTGTTTCACTGTGCTTTGCATTAATATTTCTAAATCCTTAAAAGCAAAGGCAAATTAGCAGTAGTATAGGATTTAGGGCCTTAGATATTTAAGTTTTCCCATACTTAGATTGAAAGAAGTAATATATTTTTTAACAATGCAAATTATTTTTATCATTTTAGACTATGTCTTAGATTTTTATACATATTAGTATGTCAACATATAATTTAAAAGATATTCTAAGGTAGGAAAATTGTACAGGCAAGGCTAGAAGAAATGTATAATAGTTAATGTGGTCCCTTAGGGCTAAAAAAATCAAAAAGCCATTGGCACCCATGGGCCTAAAGGGACAAAGAGAGAGACTGATTAGTAGCACACATAGAAAATAGCCATAGTCAGAGCTGCTTGACAGGGGCTGCAACATTCAGTGGATGAATGTGGAGAATAAGTGGTAACTCAGCAGAGAGAGCAAGGGGGAGAAATGTTCAAACTTATTGTCTATTTGCAGAAGACATTGTCTTATATATTGATATGGTTTGCCTGTGTCTCCACCAAAATCTCATCTTGAATTGTAGCTCCCATAATTCCCACATGTTGTGGGAGGAACCCCAGTGGGAGATAATTGAATCATGAGGGCAGTTTCCTCCACACTGTTTTCATGGTATTGAATAAGTCTCACGAGATCTGATGGTTTTATAAGGGGAAACCCCTTTCCCTTGGCTCTCATTCCCTCTTTGCCTGCTGCCATGTGAGATGTGCCTTTCACCTTCTGCCATGATTGTGAGGCCTTCCCATCCACGTGGAACTGTGAGTCCACTGAATCTCTTTTTCTTTGTAAATTACCCAGTCTCAGGTATATCTTTATCAGCAGCATGAAAACGAACTAATATAGTAAATTGGTACCGAGGTAGTGGGGCACTGCTATAAAGATACTCTAAAACGTGGGAGCAACTTTGGAACTGGGTAACAGGCAGAAGCTGAAACAGTTTGAAGGGCTCAGAAGAAGACAGGAAGATGTGAGAAATTTTGGAACTTCCTAGAGACTTGTTGAATGGCTTTGACCTAAATGCTGACAATGATATGGGCAATGAAATCCAGGTGGAAGTGGTCTCAGGTGGAGATGAGGAACTTGTTGGAAACCGGAATAAAGGTGACTCTTGCTATGTTTTTTTTTGTTTGTTTGTTTGTTTTTGAGTACTCAGGCTGGAGTGCAATGGCGCGATCTCAGCTCACTGCAAGCTCCGCCTCCCGGGTTCACGCCATTCTCCTGCCTCAGCCTCCCGAGTAGCTGGGATTACAGGCACCCGCCACCACGCCTGGCTAATTTTTTGTATTTTTAGTAGAGACGGGCTTTCACCATGTTAGCCAGGATGGTCTCAATCTCCTGACCTTGTGATCCGCCTGCCTTGGCCTCCCAAAGTGCTGGGATTACAGGCGTGAGTCACCGCGCCCGGCCGGACTCTTGCTATGTTTTAGCAAAGAGACTGGTGGCATTTCGCCCTTGCCCTAGAGATTTGTGGAATTGTGAACTTAAGGGAGATGATGTAAGGTATGTAGCAGAACAAATTTCTAAGCAGCAAAGCATTCAAGAGGTGACTGGGTGCTGTTAAAAGCATTCAGTTTTAAAAGGAAAACAGAGAAAAGTTCAGAAAATTTGCAGCCTGAGGTGATAGAAAAGAAAAACCCAGTTTCTGAGGAGAAATTCAAGCTGGCTGCGGAAATTTGCATAAGTAACAAAGAGCCAAATATTAATAGCCAAAACAATGGGGAAAATGTCTCCAGGGCACATCAGAGACCTTTGTGGCAGCCCCTCCCATCACAGGCCCAGAGATTCAGGAGAAAAAAAATGGTTTCGTGGGCTGGACCCAGGGCCCCCTTGCTGTGTGCAGCCTAGGGACTTGGTGCCCTGCATCCTAGCCGCTCTAGCCATGGCTAAGAGGGGCCAAGGTACAGCTTCGGCCATGGCTTCAGAGGGTCCAAGCCCAAACCCTTGGCAGCTTCCATGTGGCGTTGAGCCTGCAGGTATACAGAAGTGAAGAATTGAGGTGTGGGAAGCTCTGCCTAGATTTCAGAAGATGTATGGAAATGCCTGGATGTCCAGGTAGAAGTTTGCTACAGGGGCAGGGTCCTCATGGAGAACCTCTGCTACGGCAGTGTGGGAGGGAAATGTGGGGTTGGAGCCCCCACACAGTGTCCTCACTGGGGCATTGCCTAGCCGGGGAGCCTACTTCTTGCATCAGTGTAATCTGGATGTGAGACATGGAGTCAAAGGAGATCATTCTGGAGCTTTAAGATTTGACTACACTTCTGGATTTTGGACTTGCATGGGTTTTTTTATCCCCCGTTTTTGGGCCAGTTTCTCCCATTTGGAATGGCTGTATTTATCCAATGCCTGTACCCCCATTTTATCTAGGAAGTAACCCCACTAATTTGGTTTTGATTTTACAGGCTCATAGGCAGAAGGGACTTGGCTTGTCTCAGATGAGACTTTGAACTATGGACTTTTAAGTTATTGCTGAAATGAGTTAAGACTTTGAGGGACTGTTGGGAAGGCATGATTGTTTTTGAAATGTGAGGATATGAGATTTGGGAGGGTCCAGGGGCGCAATGATATGGTTTGTCTGTGTCCCCACCCAAATCTCATCTTGAACTGTAGCTCCCATAATTCGCACGTGTTGTGGGAGGGACCCAGTGGGAGATAATTGAATCATGGGGGGCAGTTTCCTCCATATCGTTCTCATGGTAGTGAGTAAGTCTAACAAGATCTGATGGTTTTATAAGGGGAAACCCCTTCCACTTGGTTCTCATTCCCTCTTTGCCTGCCACCATGTGGGATGTGTCTTTTGCCTTCCACCATAATTATGAGGTCTTCCTAACCACATGGAACTGTGAGTCCATTGAACCTCTTTTCTTTGTAAATTACCCATTCGTAGGTATGTCTTTATCAGCAGCATGAAAACAGACTAATATATATATAGATTATACTAATGGATCTACAAATGTTATTAAAACTAAGAAATTAGTTCAACAAGATTGCAGGATACAAGATCAATATGTCCATGAACTAAGGCATTTGCATTATTAAGAAAATATTAGTATTTAGAATGTATTAGTACTTTCCAATTTTATTTACATATTTGAAGTAATCCCTGTCAAAACCTCAGATGGTTTCTTTACAGAAATTGACAAGCTAATCCTTAATTTTATATGAAAATTTAAGGGATCCAGAATCGTCAAAATGATCTGGAAAAAGAACAAATTTGGTAGAATCACTATTCCTGATTTCAAAACTTACCACAACACTACAATAATTAGACAATGCTATACTTATATAATGGCATATATTTGAGAATCCAGATATAAAACTTCACATTTATGGTCAATTAATTTTCAACATAGGTGCTGCAACAATTCAACAGGGGAAAGAATAGTGTTTTCAGTAAGGCTGGGACAACTGAAAATCCATGTGCAAAAGAACAAAATTGGACAACTGTTTTACACTGTACACAAAAATTAACTCAATATAGATCAGAGACTTAAATGTAACAGCTAATCCTATAGCATTACAAGAGGAAATGGGTGCACAATTTTTGTGATCTAGAATTGGGCAGTTGCTGCTATTCTCACCCCAGAATAACTTAACACCCACAAATTATTCTAAAATGTGAGTATTTTTAACAACAAAAAGCTCTGCTTTGCTCTATCAACAAATGTCACTTATGTTTGTAATTTGTGACACTTATTCATATAATCCAGTAGCTATATATTTTGAACATGTTTAATATTAGTACATTTAGTTATGATAATTCTGAAAACTATTTCAGATATAATAAGGATAGAGGTATTCATTGCTATTGTGCGGTTGACTTTCTTTTTGTCTTGTTTCAACAACTGCATACGTAAAGCCTTTAAAGAAATTTATTAATGAATGTTGTGAACTTAGTAAGAAATCAGAAAAGTTAACAAATTATCTATTAAAATGGTCCTGTTATCTAAGTTGGAGTACATTCCTTCATTATGAAGGCTTTTAAGTGCTATCATTTTAAACTTATTTACATGACCTCTTCTTCCTTTTCGGTGACAGCTAAAATCCACTTAAATTTAATATCCACTTGTGACTCTTTCTGAATCCACTGGAAGAGCTCCACATCATTTTCTGTACCAGCGAACAAGATGAACAAGCTGCATCTGATCCATGAAACTCAATTTCTGGGGCACATGCCCCCACCCAGCCCATGAGCAAAGACAGGGTCTTGAAATTGATCAATGACACTGGAAAGAGAAACATTCTCTTTCTCAAATTGGTTATGCTGTTTCTTTTTTCCCCTTCTATCAATGAATTATTCATTTTTCAGAGGTCATTTCTGCTAGTTCCATTTCTACACATTTGCATGCACATACACAAATTTATTATATAATTTTCCTCTTAAAGATTACTTAGGTTCTTGCTGTGTTTTGCTATCAGTGAATAATACTTTGATTCACACACAGAAGTTCATGTTTTCACACATGTTTAAGAATCCTTATAGAATAACATGCTAGAAGTATAAATTTGGGGGCAAAGAACAAATCTGACATTAATTTTAATGAGTAATGCTAAATTATCCCTTTTCAAGGAGAAGCTTTAACAATCTACAATTCCACAATAACTTCAAAGAGTGTGAATTTTTCTATGGCCTAGACAATACTGAGTATTAGGTCTTTCAGTGTTGTCAATCTAATGAATAAAAAAAGTTATAATGTTGCATTAATTTTCATGAGTGTTTGATTTGGAATATTTTTACATATTTGATAGGTCATTCATTTATTTTCTTCAAACATTTTATCTCTTTTTGTTTTGCGTTATTTGAGTATTTTTTATATACTGGTGATGTTGATATATTATCTCACATATTTTACAAAGCTTTTAGCTCTGTATGTCTTTCTGACATTTAGTAAGACATTAATATATGTATTTATAAAGCTATTTTTCCGGTGTATGTTATGGATTTTACATTGTTCTAAGATTATTTCAGTTTATTATCTTTAATTATCTTGAAGTGTATTAAAATTTCTTGAATTTTCTATATTAGTAGTTCTCATATTTTAGGGTGCATAGGAATTACCCAGGATGCTTGTTACAGCACAAATCACTGGGTTCAGCAGGTCTGTGATAGAGCGCCTGAGACAATGCATTTCTTTTTTTTTTTTTTTGAGACGGAGTCTCGCTCTGTCACCCAGGCTGGAGTGCAGTGGTGCGATCTCGGCCCACTGCAAGCTCTGCCTCCCAGGTTCACGCCATTCTCCCGCCTCAGCCTCCCGAGTAGCTGGGATTACAGGTGCCCGCCACCACGCCCGGCTAATATTTTTTTGCATTTTTAGTACAGACGGGGTTTCACTGTGTTAGCCAGGATGGTCTCGATCTCCTGACCTTGTGATCTGCCCACCTCAGCCTCCCAAAGTGCTGGGAATACAGGCGTGAGCCACCGGACAATGCATTTCTAATAAGTCTAGAACCTGCAGCTGCTGCTGGTTTAGGGCCACACTTTGAAAACTATATTTTCGTATAATAATTATTTAATATACAAATATTGAGTGTTATCTTCAGAGTTAGGTAGGATTATAGTATTTTATAGAAAAATATAAAGGAATGATAGCAGTATGCATGTTTTATTATTCATTATAATAAAAATTTTTCTACTATTTTATTATGTATTATTGCAGTAGGGCTCCAATGGTGTGAATCTTTCTCCTTTGCTAAGTATAATAAAATGTTTGTTTTTGTCTCTCTTAAGTATGTTTATAGTAGGTTTCTACCTGTGGCTTATAGTAATAGAGTTAAAATTTCTTATTTTTTAGTTTAAGGGTTTTTTTAATTGGCAATGAATACAACATTTTATCAAATTATTTTGACATTTAATAATATGATTGCCTTATTTTTTCAGTCTTTTCATGCGATGAATTATATCAATAGATTTAATAATGTTGAGACATACTTGTATAATGGAAGTTATCTTAGTTGTGATACTCAGTATTATTCTGGTATTTAATTTATATTTGATTCTGTTTAGTTCAAAACTGTAGTCTGAGATGTTACTTTGCAAGATCAAAAATTAGTATGCGAGAGCTATATATGTACATATATACATACATATATATACATATATATATATATATATACACACACACATAATTACAAGTATTCTGATTGGGGAAACGATTATTTTCTCACAGAGGAACTTGTGCTAGTTCCCCATGATACTACAAGATGTCATGCAGCAAGCTTCACACCACAGGAGAGGAGGCTCCAAGTTATGAAAATAGCACCTGTGCAGGAGCTACTAGCAAAACTGCCCATGCTCCCTGAGAGAGAAAGAAACCTTTGTTCCAGAATCTAAACAAGTTGTTTCTCAGAGTCAAGACATGTGTCACTGCTTTACTACCCTGAAATACAAACAAATGGATACGGGGAGATATATCTCTATATTTCTCTGGAAGCATCTGTCTCTGACTTCCAAGGATTATTTGCTATTCAATCAACTTTTAACTTAGGTGGCAGCACTCTTTGCTTAGAAAGCTCTGAATATGTAGATGCGAGGACTTATTCATGGAACATTGCCTCCCAACAGGTCCCAATAATTGTTAAACTGTTGAATCATCATGGCTTTTTAAAGAAACTGACAAAAGATAGAAAACTTGTCCCAGAAAACAAATCAATTTTCTGAAGGTTTTTAAGCTACTGAAGCTCACTCATAGATTCTTAAGAATTTCTACATTTGACTGCCAAGCTCTAAAACACAAATGTAGCCGTGCCACCTCCTTCGCACTCCCCATTTTCAAATTATTTTCCATTTTCCCAGGGTCTAATGAACTATGCACTATGTACTTATTCAGATTACTCAGTCTGGCACACATGGTCACCAACAGCATGGCTCCAATTAAACTTCCAATATGATTTCCCAGTAGAGCTGTTATTCTAACTATCCTAGTTTACCTCATTCTACTTGCCCGCTTTCATTCATCCTTTCTTCCTTCTTTTTCACTCATACCTATTAAAATTCTTACTAACTCACAGGCTAATTCTTACATAAAACCATTTCTAACATCTCCAATTGAAATACTACCCTAATTATTTTTAGTATCTATTAAAATAAGTTTCTGGCCTGCACAATATAGTGAGATCTCATCTCTACAAAAAAAAAAAAAAAAATTGTTAAAAATTAGCCAGGCATGCTGGCATACCCATAGTCCCAGTTACTCAGGAGGCTGAGGTGAGAGGGTTGCTTGAAACTGGGAGATAGAGGTTGCAGTGAGCCAAGGTCACGCAGCTGAACTCCAGCCTGGCCAAAAGAGCAAGATCCTAGCTCAAACCAAAAAAATAAATAGTTTGCATCCCTTGTATAACATTTAATGTAGTATCTTGGATTATAATTTCTTTAGTGCCTCTCACCCCCAGTAAATTGTAATCCACTTAAAGAAATGAGTCTTAAATTTAATTTTACTACTTGAAGTTTTTAGAAAAATAGCTTGTCCATAGTTGGAAATTAATCAATGTTTCTAAGGCATTATAAAAATGTTATGATGCTATACCAATCATGTGGTACTCATCTTCTCTCTTTACTCAAGATTTGCTTTCTCTGAAGAAAGCGGAATTGTGAACAGGTGTTGAAGGCACACATCATGAGATATTGTGGAGCAAAAGAGCACACATAAATATTGATGTTTATCCCATGTATTTATGGTTTGGGGGTTGAGAGAACTATGTTGATGTCAGAATCAACAGAGTTGGTGTTAAAGGGCAATTCCTTTCTATTTTCAGGCAATCTACACATCATGGTTAGTAGGTTTCTAAATAAACGTCAAGCTTGGATGTTTTGTAAAATATTAGTTTCAGTACAGTACTGTTACATGATGTTACATCAAAGATTTTGCATAGGTATCCATCTAGTTGCTCTACAGTGAATAATTGGGTGGGGGAGAACATTGTGGATGTTCTAATTACTGCACTTCATGTGTTTGCTGTATTTAGAAATTTGAATATTTCCAGTAAGTAAGCCAGGTATTCTGGATTTAAGTAAATACAACTTCAGCTTTAGTAGTTGTCACTGTATTTCCTCTGACAGTTTACTGTGTTTCTTTCTCTCTTTTAAAACTTCCTCTTCTACTTTAAGTACTTTATCCATTCTGTTTCTAGGACTTGTCATCCTCTGCTCATTCTCCACATCATTATGTTCTTTTACTAAGAAATTTTATTTCCAATCTCATTTCTTTTTACCCCAGATAATTTTTTTCCTAATAATTTTTTTTCTAGTTTTGATTTCAGCTGCCAAATATTTGATCCAAAATGGTTCTCTTATTCTCAGTGGTATTCGGATTCCTTCATTGAATTTGCCTGCACTGGAAACTAAACCAGTCAGAAGAACCCTTTGGTGGGACTTTGGTTCTGGATTTCATTCAGGGACCACAGAGCTGCTCTTGAACTCAAGCGTTCTCAAGAAGACACTTCAGTGCTCTGCTAGTAAAAACTGTGTATCCATGCAAGTTCAGACTCATTACATAAGCATTCCAATTTTTTTTGTCACAAAGAAAATCGTGCACATCTGCTATTTAAATAGTCTCTGGCTAAAAAAGTTGTTGCTTCTATATAAGAAAGCATAGCTTAGATATACATTACAGTGTTTCTTATTGTCATCCAACACACACACATTCTGTTTGCTTAATCCATTGCAGTCTCCTTCTCTGCCCCTTTTTACCCAAAGTTCCTTTCTTGGAGTGAGATGAGGGAATGAAGGAAGGTTTAGATTTAAATAAACAGACTGTAGGGGTTTCCTGAGGCTATCACATGGTGGATGCCTCTGCTATAAAACTTTGTCTTAATAAATAACATTATATTCACATGAATATTGAGTTAAATTGATTCATTTTGTGTGTCCTTTTAAAGATTGACTTTGGAAGTCTCCCTTTTTAGGAGATTTTAGAATTGTGTTGGAGAAATTGGAATTTCATTAACAACATATAGTCAATGCAGGTAACTGTTTCAGGTGCTTCCTCAAAGCAAGGATGACCCAGGAGAGATACAATCATCTTAGTGTGCTTTATGTGATTCATATGAAATTCAACCCTTTTGGAGTTTCAGTTCTTAGCAAAATACCACTTCCTGTTTTTGAGGAAAAAAATGGCATAAGAAGTCATATAAAAAGACTCATAAGGCCCTTGGACATCAAATAACTCTTACAAAACAATATTTTAATGAATTAAGTGTAAATGAATCAGAAACATGTGGGTTGAATTTCCCTTGAAATACCCATGGGCTTAAAAATTAAGGGGAAAAAAAAAAAAGAATTGCTTGGCAAAAAATCATGTTCATTTTATCGAGCTCAAGCCTTTTGATAAAAAAAAAAGAAAAAGGAAGCAGCCTTGATTTGGTTGACTGAATTAAAAATTTAAAAAAAAAACACGACCATAGTCTTTATTTGTATTTTTAAATTCTGCAAAAGCCAGGTTGCAGATATAATTATGTGTCTATTTGGGTGTCAGATTCATTAATGTTAGACCATTTTTCAAGGACGGTAACATTTTGATTAACCAGAATTCTCAAGTAATGGTTGTCTTTCCCAGGGCAGAAGTGGCAGCCAGAAGGAGAACTAAAGACTGTAGTTCAAATAAAGTTCATTAGAGCAGAAGTAAAGAAAACATGGTAATCATTCAGTTCACTAACCAAGAAGATCCAAAATCCAAAGGAGTAGTGGGCCCGGTTAGCTAACCACTGAACAAAAGTCTAGAAAAACAGTCATGCAAGGGCTGGAGCTCAGAAGATAAGGAAAGCTAAAAATAAGTGGAAAAATCTGTGTACTGAGGGGAAGATCTGGGATAAAAGAAAATGCTGACAAAAGAAAAATAAAAATTGCAAAGACTGAAAAACTTCGAGTGGCAACTAGAAATGGCCAAAGTACAGCAGGGCAGAGGGGTTGGAAAACTTCTAGAGATAGGAAAAGCCGGGCAGATATGAATATTCAATGCCGTATTGTGAACACAGATGTTAATATGAGTAAAAAATGTGAGTTGTTGGCTCTGCCAACTTCGTCATAGAAGCCATGCTACTCACTGCACCTGTAATGTGCTTAGGTTAGGGTGTCTTAAAATACCTATGGATGCACGCAAGATTATTTATGACTCATTTGCAGAGACATGTTTATATTCAGATTTATTCAGGTTTTGGTGGAGTGAAGAATTTGAATTTAGAGAGTCTAGGAGACCTAGTTTTCTGATAGGGAAAAAGCTGCAATTGGAAGAGAGAGTAAAGATGTTACATAGTAAAGAGAAGTTTGGGAGTCACCCTTCTCCAGCTTAGGGTAGCTCAGCTTCCCTCTGTAGGTGAGAACCTGTAGGTCAACCAACATAATGTTTAGTTCTTTCAGAAATATTTGTCCTGAACTCTTATATTAATAAACAGCTTGTTTTGTAAAGCAGAGATAGGTTAAAGTCTTTAAAAATTATTTTTATTTCCAGGAAATTCTAGTAAATGATAATAATTTGTTGATATAAATGTTACCTATTGATGACACCTATACACAAAGAAAGTATTCAAATTGTATAGAAAACATATCTATTGAGAAAGTTAATCTTTTTATTTAAATAGTATTTGTTTAAGCATAGATTTTAGTTAAAAGCCAAAAGTATAGCTTTTACTAGCAATTGTGCCATGATACTGTCTACCACCAGTAACAACCCTTCACCCTAAAAAATAATTTTAAAGAGAAAAAACCGGTAAAGCAATAACAGAAGTGGGCATACATTTTGGGGATAGTAAACTATATTTTGTCTTTCTAGTTTGTTAATTTAAAATAAAAATAACAGGAAAAGACAAAACTGAAATAAAGAATACATTTGCATATGATACAAACTCGTAGAAAACTTGAGTGCCAAGACACAGCTGATGATATTAAAAAGGGAATGATGTGGAACTCAGATCTAGTCATTGAGTCATAATTAACACTCTTAAATACAGATTTTGCCTTTGCCCAGAAAAGCAGGCAGTTTTTTAGTCTTTTTTTATTTTTCCACTTATGTTAAAGAGGTAATGGGAAGAGGTAGGGGAGGGTTATTTCAGGAATTTTTTAAGATTATATCAAGTTTTATCAGTAGACAGCCAGTTCGCTGTCATCCACCTGAGAGAATCATGGTCTAGTATTCCCACTCAGTGATTTTATTTTTCTGTGATCATTACCTTCAGCTATGTTCCATCAATCTTCCTTTCTTAACCTTCAGTGCCATTTGAGCAGAATCCAAAATGTTTTGGCACTTTTAATTACTAAAATCTATACCTTTTAAATTTTAATGTAAACTCAATGTAAAAATCAACTTCTCCTTTTACACCAGCCTGGATTTGAGCTGAAGCTCAAATGGTCACAGAAGGCTGCTGAAGTTGTCTTAAGCAAGGTCTGGCTCAGAGCTGTCTCTTCCTTGCCTTCTTCTGGGAGTAGCTCCTCCAGTGTGCTGGAGTGGAAGAAACGTGAGCCTACAGACTGAGTGTCTTGGCTTAACTGTTCTTGTGATCCTCTCTCTTACTGCCATTACTTCTCTCTCTAACACTGACTGGCCTTTGATAAACTCCAGGTCACCATGAGGTGGCAAATTTTCACATGCTGGTGAAAGAGCCCAGCAAGTGACTGAAGCTTAAAGTCTACTTTAATCACCTCCTGAAAGCTCTGGTAGAATGCCCCGGTTGCTAAAACTGTAACCTTTATGTGAGGGATAACCTCTTTGGGATTGTTATTTTTCTATAAACTTGAGATAGGCTTATATTTATTTAAGAATACTTTCATGCAGTTATATTACCCAGTACCCATCTCTCTTTGCTTAAATCTTTCATACTAAGATTTATACCAGCTTTTAAAGTTCAAGATAGAATCTAAATAATTTGATGAGTCTCGCCATTCAGGATTAGCCCACGGAGCTATCTCACCTATTTCACAATATGTTCTTGTGCTCTTTTTGAATTCTATTTTATTTATAATTGCATAAAACTGTAGGTGAATGACCCTGGATGTCATCACAGCAGCTTGGACAATGTTATCAGTAAATATGCAATATGTGTGCACTCACATGAGTGTGTACACATCTGAGTGTGTATGTATGTATGTGGGGGGGGCTTATATTGGAGATATGGCAAGGAGAGGAGGAGTAACAAACCAAGGCAAAATGAAATTATGCTGTGTAGTCATTTCATATCAGCACACCATTCACTATCTTTATCCAAAATTGCCTTTCGAAAAATTAAGTCTATTTAATATACTGGGAAGGGGACTTAATGAGTTGTTGTATGCAAATTCCTGATTATTTTCCCTCTACCATCAGCAACAGTTCAACAAAGTGCATCTCATCTTACTCTTAGGGTTGTTTAAGAACTTGATCCCTGGGAACACCTGTTAGTAGCATGGCTTAAAATTCTCTGTGTTGTTTTCTCCCCCTTTGGAAGCTGTTTCACCCAGCTGCTGATAATTAGAAAAACAAAGCAAATCCCTCTCATGGATGCTGTCCTCTGGCGAAAGCCAAGCAGCATAAAGCCAAAGAACACCGTAAGCCTTTTTGTTTTAAACGAGGAGGCACGCTGCACTATATTCCTCTTGACTGCAAAACCACAGGAATGGATTAATATCACTAACCACAAGAGACCTTTGTGTACGAATGTGGGGGGAGGGCATGAGAAGAATATTAATCTGTGATGTATGACCTTATAGTTTCTGCAAAAAGTTAAAAGCTGCATGTATTTGAATCAACGCATGATAAATGTATCAGCCATATAAGATGAATAATATGGCTAAATACCAAGAGCTGAGCTCTTTCCCAGAATTAACTATTTTTAACTCAGGAGGCTTTTCAAATATTATGCAGAGATGGACATTCAGTAAATAGAACAGAATTAAATAAGAATTCAAAAGCAAAGCAAAACTCTAGCACCAGATAAGCCCCTTCAATTAATCCTTATCTTTTAATATATTACATATACAATACATGTATGTCTGTAATATATTCAGTGATATGTATATATGACACTTAGTGAATAATTAAGAAAAACATTAAAATTGATATTTTATTGTGTTTAAATACAAGATGAACTGTAGAAGCAAAATGATAGTTTATGTGTCCTACATACTTTTAAAAGAAATAAATCAAGGTGCATTTTAGTAATTTAACATGCTTATAATACTTTTGTTTGTTGAAATAAGAATTTTCTGAACATCTAAAATATGCAAAGCATTTTAGTAGGTACTACGGATACTAAAGAAAAAAATAAAATGGAAGAGAAGCATATTTGTGAATATTTCTCAATAGTCTGGGATTCAAGATCTTATTCCAAGTTGCATTTCAAATCTTATTACTCTTCTACCTGTGTGACCCTCTCCCAGTACAACTGTTTAAAGATTCTAAAGTGAATCCTAGATCTTCAGCAAAATATATGCCCTTTGTATATAATACCTCCCTCCATCTTTAACTGTCAAAATTCTGCAGTCTTCAAGATGTGATAAAACTCACTGGTAGATTATTGCAGGTGGTCATCATGGTGGCAATTAGGGTCTAATCTAGGGTGATGAAAATTGAGGTAAAAATTAAGAAATAGATTCAATAGATTCTACTATATTGAAAAATGTAAGAGGTAGACATTAGTTATCCGTGAGTAATGAAGGGAAATCAGGTGTTTGTGATGATGAAGATTTCAAATCTGGGTGACTAAAGAAGATTAATGCCGTGAATACAAATAGGGATGTCAAAAATACGGGTTCAGTGTGTGAGACAAAGGTGATCAGTTTAGTTATTTTAAATGTAAAATGTCTATGGGACATCCTGGAAATATCATAAAAACATATAAAAATTAGAAGAACTTTAGTCTGGGCATGGTCATTCATACCTGTAATCCCAGCACTTTTGGAGGCCAAGGTGAGCAGATCACCTGAGGTCAGGAGTTCGAGACCAGCCTGGCCAAGATGGTGAAACCCTGTCTCTATTAAAATACAAAAATTATCCAGGCATGGTGGCATGTGCCTGTAATCCCAGCTACTCAGGAGGCCAAGGCAGGAGAATCGCTTGAGCCTGGGAGATGGAGGTTGCAGTGAGCAGAGATTGTGCCACTGCACTCCAGCCTGGGAGACAGAGCTAAACTCCATCTCCAAAATAAATAAATAAATAAATAAATAAATATAGGAGAATGTTAGAGCTGAGCTATAACTAAGCTTTATGGTGCATGGTGCAAATGCATCCTGCTGGAAAGCAATGCTTGAAATTATGAGACTCTGGAGGCCAACAAGAAAAAACATTGATAAACATTTATCTCTAGAGAACAAGAAAAGGTTGAGGAGCAAGCAACCAAGGGACTCAGAAGAAAAACTTTCTTATATTGAAGAGACTAGGAAAAGAGTATCAACAGCCACAGAGTTCAATAATGTTATTTACTGGCAGTCTCCAACCTTTTTGGCACCAGGGACCAGTTTCATGGAAGACAATTTCCCACAGATCAGGGTGGAGGGTGGTTTGTGGATGATTCAAGTGCATTACATTTGTTGTGCAGTTTATTTCTATTATGATTACATTATAATATAGAATTAAATAATTATACAACTCATCATAATGTAGAATCAGTGGGAGCCCTGTACTTGTTTTTCCGCAACTAGAAGGTCCCATGTGGGGGTGATGGGAGACAGTGACAAATCAACAGGTATTAGATTTTCATAAAGAGTGCCCAAGTTAGATCCCTTGCATGCACAGCATAGGGTTCACGCTCCTATGAGACTCTAATGCTGATGCTGATCTGATAGGAGGTGGAGCTCAGGCAGTAATTTGAGTGATGGAAAGTGGCTGTAAATATGCTGAAGCTTCAATATTAGGAAGCAGCCGGGTTCCTAACGGTTCAGTCCGTGGCCCCAGGACTGGAGACCCCTGTTGTATATGACAGGTGTCCAGGAATAAAAATAACTAATAGAAGATCACCACTCAGTGGAAACTGGTCAACTTTAAGGAAGCAAGTTGTAAAGAGTTAGCTGCAAAAGAAGTCATAGTGCTTGGATTTGAGAATGAAAATAGCGAGCAAGTCAGGAATTGTTGCGGGAAGTCAGGGACCCCGAACGAAGGGACCAGCTGAAGCCATGGCAGAAAAACATAAATTGTGAAGATTTCATGGATATTTATTAGTTCCCCAGATTAATACTTTTATAATTTTTTATGCCTGTCTTTACTGCAATCTCTGAACATAAATTGTGAAGATTTCATGGACATATATCACTTCCCCAATCAATACTCTTATAATTTCCTATGCCTGTCTTTACTTTAATCTCTCAATCCCGTCATCTTTGTAAACTGAGGATGTATGTAGCCTCAGGATCCTGTGATGATTGCATTATCTGCACAAATTGTTTGTAGAGCATGTGTGTTTGAACAATATGAAATCTGGGCATCCAAAAGGAACAGGATGGCTGCAATTTTCAGGGAACAAAGGAGATAACCATTGGGCCTGACTGCCTGCGGGGCCAGACAAAACAGAGTCATATTTCTCTTCTTACAAAAGTGAATAGGAGAAATTTCGCTGAATTCTTTTTCTCAGCAAGGAAGAGCCCTGAGAAAGAGAATGCATTCCCAGGGATAGGTCTCTAAAATGGCCACTCTGGGAATGTGTGTCTTATACAGTTGTAGGTATGGGATGAAATTAGCCCTGGTCTCCCGTAGCACCCCCAGGCCTACTAGGATTAGAAAATTCCTGCCTAGTAAATTTTAGTCAGACTGGTTGTCTGTTCTCAAACCCTGTCTCCTGATAAGATGTTATCAACAATAATGCGTGCCCTGTGGGACATGACACTTCATCAGCATTTCTAATTTCACCCTAGTCCAGTGATCTCGCTCTGCCCCCATTTGCCTTGTGATATTTTATTGCCCTTGAAGCTTGTGATCTCTGTGACCCACACCCTATTTGTACACCCCTCCCCTTTTGAAATCCATAATAAAAACTTGCTGGTTTTGTGGCTCAGGAGGCATCACATAACCTGCCGACATGTGATGTCTCCCCTGGACACCCAGCTTTAAGATTTCTCTCTTTCGTACTCTTTCCCTTTATTTCCCACACCGGCCGACACTTAAAGAAAATAGAAAAGAACCTACGTTGAAATACTGGGGGCTAGATCCCCTGATATCGAATAATACTTTATTCCTTGGGGTTTGAAAGTGAAAGATACTCAACAGAGATTTTCATAGCTTAAGGGGGACTGAATGAGATAGAAAATGTGATCCTTGTTACCTAAATATTTCCATTCCTAAAATTATGTTTGATAGTGAGTTTTCATACAGCACCAGCTCATATTCCATTTTTTTAATTTGGGGAAAAAATAACACCACCTTCTAATCCATACTCCCAATAACACAAAACATACTTCAACACCAGAAACAATCTAGCAAAAATTTGTGTAATACAATGTAACTAAGTGCCAATAAACTAATAATTTAACATGTAATGAACTCATTAGCAGGTATGTTTCAGTGTGATAGAAAAATACTATAGAATAATGGATATTGGATATATTTACCTCCATGCTGTAAAAACACATATTAAGATGTAAATAAAAATACAATAATCTGTTAAAGATATGTCTGGGTTGGACCCTTATTGAGGTACATTTCAACCATCATTTTTCCAGAAAGCTCTATCATTATTCAACCTCTTTTCCCCAGAAAGAAAGAATGAGTAACTCAGAGGATTTTTGTTTGCTTGTTTTTGTTTTGAGATGGAGTCTCACTCTGCCACCCAGGCTAGAGTCCAGTGACACAATTTCAGCTCACTGCAACATTCCTCTCCCAGGTTCAACTGATTCTCCTGCCTTAGCCTCCTGAGTAGCTGGGATTACAGCCATGTACCACCAAGCCCAGCTAATTTTTGTATTTTTAGCAGAGATGGGATTTCACCGTGGTTGCCAGGCTGGTCTCAAACTCCTGACCTCAATTGATCTGCCCACCTCGGCCTCCTAAAGTGCTGGGATTACAGACGTGAGCCATCATGCCTAGCTAACTCAGAGTTATTGATGTTAAAAAGAAAATAATAGTAATACTTGATTGCCTACATTTCACCAGGTACTGTTATACCATATCTTGTGTCTTCTAACAACTCCATGACATAAGTAACATATCATCAGCCTCATTTTAAAGATGAGGAACTTAAGACTCACAGTTTAAGTGGCAAAATTGTCCAAAGTCACATAGTTAATATATAAGAAAACCTAGATTTGAATTCTCGTATTCTGAGATGAAGGCCTCTTCACGTAACCCTTGGAATCCCTAACTAGTGGAGGAGGAGAGTCACCTTCTATTTGAGTAAGCCTGTCCTTTCAAAGGAGAATTAAATGTGATAACACACACCTGGCTCTACCTAGTTAGAAGACCAACCTCTGATACAGGAGCATTAGCCTCTAAAGTAAGCATGCAGTTAGAGGGGGGATGAGATGCTATTCCCTGAGACTTCCTACTGGCAAGCTGGCAAACTTGATGCCATGAGGGAACTGTCTGTAACATTTTGCCCAAGGTGGAAAGTTCAGTAAAGTGTATGTTTCTTAATGTTTTTAAAGTATTTGCTTAAATACTGGTTGTAGGGAGTAGAAAAAAAAGGACTAGAAGGCAGTGTATTCTGGAATTTTCCTAATGTGATGGAGGCTATAAAGAGAAGTTAGATTTTATTTTGAATCCATGTGGTCAGAGAAGACCTCATAATCTGATCTCTTGTCTAGTTTGGATGTGTCAACTCCCCACAGATGGTGGGGAGCGTGTTTGGATCCTGATAAGTCAGTTGCTGCTGTAGTGTGGACTACCCAAGTCAAAATCAAATCTTATCCATGTCTAAAGCAAATATTGGAACAAGATGAAAGAATTTGTGCACCTATAAAGATCACAGACATGACAATGTGACCCTAGAATAAGATATCATAAAAGAAGCCTTCTACAGTAGGAATAATATAAATAAAGGAGATTAAGTGTTTACAATAGTTCTTTGAGGGAGAGAAATGATCCTCTTGTTGGCACTGCATGAAACTGATTTTAATCACTGTAATAGGGGACATAGATAGATGCTTTATGAAAGGAAAATTCTATAATAGAACACTTAGGAGGAAAAATATTTTTTTCTGTGTGACTAGAAGGTCTCAGAAGAATCAAGTAATATGTTGTGTGGATGCTGGGTAATTGCTGTTTGATGAAAGAAAAGTTGGGGGTGGGGAAGGAGATGTTCTAAAGAAGAGCTGTAAAATCCAACCAGTTCAATTTGCTGCAAAATTGCTTCCTGTTATAAAGTACCAAAATTCAAAAAGGATACAGTTTGGTCTAGGGAAATCACACAAAACAAATATCTAAAATCCTTAAAAATTGCATTAGCCCTACACCACAACGAAAATAAAACACTGAGTCAGTGAGAAAATAAATCTACTTCTTATATTATTACTTTTCTTCTTGAAATTTGGCAAAATATACTGACAGTGTATTATTACCTCAAAGTATTCTGTGGGTTTTTTAAAATGTTTTCCTTTTAAAAAAATCAAAGTTACATTTTGTCAAATGAGTGTTATATAAGAAATATGAAGCGATATGGCTATAAGAGGAATACAAATTTTATTTTCACATCCAGATTCTAAGTTTGTAAAGAAATACTTGTACCATTTTTCTCTAATATTCAAGCAACTAACTTGCTACCCACTAACCTTGCAAAGATTAGTTAGCTGCTTCTGTGTAAGTAATGCAAATTTAAAGCATTAGCTCTAGGCAAATTAATGAATAGGTCTATCTGGCCAGAATCATAGACAGAAAAATCCTCATAATGATTAAAAAGAAAAGACTAAAAAAGAAGAGGAAAAGTAGAAGATGAATTAGATACAAAAGAATATTATATTACTGGCTTAGTCACTTATTCTAAAACCTACCCCTTCCATATGGAATATTGTACCAGGGCACCTGAATCAGATGTGCATAGACTCTGACACTATCTTGTCTTCACTTCACCAATGGAGTTCATTATGTGAGATTTGTAGTCCAAAACAACTCTCAGAAGCAAATCTTCGAAATATGCAAGAATTTGGTTTGGAATGAGTTAATTTCCATGCTTTGGCTAAAGTAGCAGAACAAGAAATGATAGGCATAGTACAGAGAATGGAGAAATTAAGCTCATTCCAGAAAGCAGCAAGCTCTACTAGAAAGAAAACTGAGAGGGTACGAACTTCTTATTTTAGGCTATCAATCGACACAGCAGGGCATTTTCACCTAATTTTATGGATTAAGGATTTGAAAATGAAAGCACGCTGAAGGGCTAGTTCTAAGAGGCAAAAAGGTTCAGTTTGCCCTGGATCCCGAATGGGTCAAAAGTTTTTATAGTTCAAGTAGATTCCAATAATCTGTTTTACTGTTTTAGGAAATAAAAATTAATTGTAAGAAATACATTTAGTAAGACCTCCAAATGTTTCCAATTACATGAGATATTACATTTAAACATTATGCATAAATACAAAGGATGAAAACCATGTATTGGTTCATTTTAGAATCTCTGTCATCCTATTTAGGAACGAGAAGGGAGAAGGATGGTTCTTTGGCCATCTAGTAGGGCCATCTACTGTGACCACCAATATGGACTCATAATCTCGGAATAATACAATGCATTACCTTTAGTAAGAAACAGAAATCTTGGGACGCTGAGGCAGGAGGATTGGTTGGACCCAGGGGTTCAAGAGCAGTCTGGGCAACATAGTGAGACCCTACCTCTACAAAAACAGAAAAAGAAAATCATCAGAAAATTAGAGGTAAATCTTCCAGGAGAAAAGAAAACTAATACTCAGCAGTGTCTTTACAGCAATCTAAATAGAAAGTTGATGCAAACCAGATTAAAATGACAGAAAATTATGTTGGGGGAAGAGGCCAGGCAAATGGGGATTTGCTTCCATTAAATATTTAAGGAATTAGTAACATTATTTTAAACACAGCAGACCAGCAGGTACCCTAGAACAGTATCAACCTAGAAATGGGCTGGAAAAGTCTTGAGAGCAAACTCATTTTCTTACTAACTTGTTTACTTAAGAATGAGAATGGAGGAAGGGCCCTGAGCTATGTTTGTAACGTATTTGTTTTTCAATATTAACTTAAATTCATTTTAGTAGATGTTTATAATTGATTTTTCAGTAGGTTTCTGTCATACCAGTAAATATATGTATATATGTGTGTATTTGTGTATAAATATACACATATATATACACATATATAGTATATAGATGTATATATATACGTATATATACATGTATACATATATACATATATATACATATATACACACACATATATATATAGTGTTTTGTCATTCATACATAAATCAGATTTTATGCTATGCACAAGTGTGAGTCAATGATTTAGAACCAAAAGCGGGCTGTTTACCCTATAAACGTAATAATACATCAAGAAGTGTGTTAACAAACTTGCATTTTCCTTGGTATAATAAGTGTTGGTGCTTCTAGTCAATTCTTTAGGAATAATGTCTTGAGCATAGTAGCTTTTGTTTTTGAGTATTTTATGTCAGGGGCTCTGGGTAGCTCTTTTTTAATGAACTGGCTATACCAGAAATATTAGTACTAAATAAATAATCATATAACTTAAAAATTTATTTGTCATACCTCTAATTCCTGGTTAGAATAAAAGTGTTTATAAAATTAAAGGAGCATGTGTTATTATTCCTTTTCATTTATTCGTCTACCAAGACACTTATTTTAGTGTGTTTCCCATAAAGTCAATTCACACGAAATTTGGCATCAGCATAATTCTGATCATGATTCTGAAATTTGCTTTATAAATAAAGTACTATCAATCATACTCCCAAATTTTAGAAGTAAAAAAAAAAAAGAAAGCTTTACTTGTTTTTCATATGCTGATAAACAGAATTAGATTTGCTTGCAATGACAGCTCAGTATAAATTGTATAAAGGATACCAAATATAGTTACTGGCCTTGTTGAGTTTAAAACCTAATTAAGAAAAATTATGCAAGCTATTTAAAATTGCCAACAGAGAAAAAATACATTTGAGTTTTAAGGGATTCAATTTAGAGCACAACATGATTTAATTTAGAACACAAAACTTTAAAATGCGGTCCTTAATTTCTCCATGTACTATGAGAGGGAAATTCTGTTATGAACCATGTCCATAGATTGCTTTTAAATAAACAATTTTATAATGTATGTGGGTGAATGAGTCCTCTTTAATGGCCACCATTTCCGCTATATTTAATTAAATTAAAGCAGAAAAGAATACATGCTTTTACTCATAAACCACTATCTGTGTTAGTAATAGTAGGAGATAAAAATAACCCCAAACAATAGCTGGTAGATATCCTTTAACATCTATTATAAACATAATTTTATATTTGAGAGAAAGGAGACACCACTGACAGATTTTTTGCTTGGAGAAAAATTAAAGGTTTTGTTTTGCCTGTATGTTTATTTATTTGGTTTGGTTTTGATTTTCCCTTCAGGTAATATATAACTAAGGATGTGTACTAAAGGTCTACTAAAATTTTATCTAAAATTTTGTAAAAGATACACTCAATATGTACATAAGAAGTACCTGACCTGCAGAAAAAAATGTATTAATTAATTAGTGTGATATTTTAAACTGAGTTTTCATAACATTAAAACATAAAAATTGAGAGCAAGAATAGTACTTACAGTTTTGCTAAAGGTTATTTTACAGTTTTTAGCCAGTAAAATTGAATCACTTAGTGCCCCGAAAGCAAAGAGTAATTTGCAAATCTCCTATGGGAGTATAAATTCATTGAAAGGAAGACCATGTCTCTCTCATTCACCTTTGAATGCTTGATAACTATGGTAGTGTCTGGCCCCCACCAGGGGGGCTGTTGAGACTCAACAGACACCACAAAGAACACTGCACACACACACACACACACACACACACACACACACACACACACACACACAGACGCACATACACACAAGTATTTGAATCTTTTTTTTTTCCTGAGTTTTTTGGTCACACACATGATGAAGGCAAATGCTGCAATAATTTCCATGTTGGCTGTCTTCACCTCTCAATTTATCTTTACTTTCCTCACTTAGCTAACTCTATTCACCTTTCAAGGCTCAGCTCAAAGCATTACATCCTCTGGGAATCCTTGCCTGTTTCATGTATTAGTAGTATACATGGGCTGTCACTCAAAGACTTCTCTGGCAAGTCCTTTTATCATGGCTCTTCTCTGACCGCATTTTTCATATCTCCTTCATCCTCCTCCGAGCTATGTGAGAGCAGAACCCAGTCTAGTAATCTGAACTTCGATGCTGTGTCCTGAGCTAATAACTTATTAGAAATCTTAAACATGCTTGAAAAGTAAATAAACTAGTGAAGCAGTTAAATAAATATGTACAATCATGTTTTATGACTTAATTATTTCATTAATTCCCAAATGAAAAGGGAGCATTACTCTCGGGAAAGATGTTTGCTGAGTAGTGGGAGGAATCATCTGTACAACTTCACCCCCAAATCATTGTCTCTATTTAGACATGTTCCCATGGAAAATATGGTATATGTGTAAAGGAGACATTCATAGAGGGAAAAACCATGTTGCATATAACTGGTTTAGATACTCAGGAAAAAAAAAAAAAGAAATGAGTGGAAATTCTCCCAACAGTCTTCCTACGAGTCTTCCCCATGAAAATCAGATTAAACTTGTAGTTTTTATTTTAATTTTATAATTTGCTGAGTATATTTCTTATTAGCATATTCTGAACAATTCCTTAGCTTAGAATTCACTTTATTTGTTCACTACTGTTTTTAGATATCAAAACTGGATTGATATTTCAGGTTTTTCTGTCCTTTTGCCAACCTTTACATCACATCATGTTTGTTACTGAACAGAATATATGACTTTTTACAGAATGGAGGCCCCATAAGGCCAACATTTGTGTCCATTTCGATCATTGTATTTCTAGTGCCTAGAACATTTTCTGAAACATAGTAGTAACTCAGTAAATATTTGTTGACTAAACTAATAGATTTAAAACCGAACAGTCACTGTAATATTTTTTCTATTACATCATGTATATAACAACATTTTAAGCTTTTTAAGATTGTATTATTTAAACTATTTGATTAAAGGAAATTCAAATGCTAGCAATTCTGTACCTTTTGGCTAACAGAATGTACCCGATCATTCGTACTTAATTTATACAAACCTTAGTTCAGTATTAACAACTTTATTTTTAAAAAGTAAATCATGAAATGTTCAAGACATGCAAAATCTATAAAAAGTGATGCAACAAATACCCATCTACCTACTTAGATTAATTATTTAAAATATTGTCTTCTAATAGAATTAAACATTCTATGTCACCTTTCCACACTACTTTCTCCAACATAAACACACACTATTGTGAATCTGGCAATTTTCATGTTCATGCATTTCTTTATAATTTCATATCATCACATCTATCCTCAATATGTGATATTGTTTATAGCTGTGGTTCTCAATGGATGATCCACAATTCAGCAGAATCATCATTACCTGGGAACTCATTGGAAATACAAATTTTTAAGCTCCACCTCAGATGTACCACATCAACTCCAGGGCTAGAGCTCAGCATCTGTGTGATTGCAATGCATGCTGAAGTTCAGAAACTCCTGGTGTATAGCAACACTTTGAGTCTAAGTAACATCAGAGTCTCTGTTCTAGCAGAAATAGCACTTATTTGTGACATCTATTGATCCATTTCCTTCTTGCTATATTTTTAAAAAGAATGAACCTCACAGCACGTTTTTGTTTTTGTTTTCCTGAGATGGAGCCTTGCTCTCTGTCACCCATGCTGAATTGCAGTGGTGCAATCTCAGCTCACTCCAACTTTCGCCTCCTGGGTTCAAGCAGTTCTCCTACCTTAGCCTCCTGAGTAGCTAGGATTACAAGCACCCATCACCATGTCCAGCTAATTTTTTTTTTTTTTTTTAGTAGAGACGGGTTTCACCATGTTGGCCAAGATGGTCTCAATCTCTTGACCTCGTGATCCACCGGCCTTGGCCTCCCAAATTGCTGGGATTACAGGCGTGAGCCATGGTGCCTGGCCACAGCATGTTTTTTAATTTTTAAATTGGAGGGATTGTTTCTTTATCAATTTATTATGATCTAATTTAAATACTCCTTTTAAAATACTTGGCTGATTCTCAAGTTGTAGTACATCAAGTAAGCATTTTAAAATGTCTTCTAATTTGACCATTCTACTCATAATCTTTATAATTATGATGAAAAACACAAGTCACTTGTTCAGTCATATCACAGCTTTCTTAAGAGATGAGGAAACAAACTTCTCAGGACAATCTCTTTGACCAGCTTTTCTCATTGGTGAAACAAAATGAAAGATTTCATTTCCATTTTTAATAATTTTGTTATTTCTTTTGCAAGTGATTGAAGCCAAGCAAGTTGCTAGACATGTTGTCACAAACAAGTTTCTGGCCATTTTGTAAAACAAAAAAAAAAGGACAGAAGTGCCCCAAATTCACCTTTTCTATCACCGGTCATGTCTTTTTTCATGTCCCTCTTAAATTAAAAATACATAGGAGGATGAAATTCCCTGCCTTTTGCTTGGAGGCATCATATTTTATGATTCTGTCCTTTTAATGCTTTGCATTTTCTCTCTGGGCAGAGAATTATATGAATCGATCGAAAGCAACTGCGATGATTCTTTTATAGTTTATTATAGAATAAAAAATCCTTTTGAAAGTAAAAGAAAGTGTACTTAAATGGCAACTGGTAACATTGCTGACACTTTTCCAACCTCTACCTCCTGGGTTCAAATGATTCTCCTGCCTCAGCCTCCCAAGTAGCTGGGATTACAGGCAACCGCCACCACGCCCAGCTAATTTTTGTATTTTTGGTAGAGACGGGGTTTCACCATGGTGGCCAGGTTGGTCTCAAACTCCTGACCTCGTGATCCACCTGCTTTGGCCTCCCAGAGTGCTAGGATTACAGGCGTGAGCCACTGTGCCCGGCTGACACTTTTCTATACTGATAGGAATCTTCATGATCAGATGTTGTCAAATACTTTTAAAGTTTATATATAACATTGTATTAATTAAATCATTTCAAGAGGCTGTACCTACAAGCATGTCTATAAGGACAATGGTCACATTAAACTCAAAACAGAGAAGAAATTTATTTACACTTGGGTGTATTCTAAGTAGACTATAGTAGGCCAAAAAAATTCAGAAGATAAGCTGACATAGTACGGACTCTGGAATGTGTCAAACATCTACTCTCGTAAACACACAGACTTTCAGGTAGGAGATATAAATTTCTCTCTCTGCTATGTCTATTATCTTGCCAAACAGCCCACTTAGTTGCATAAGCCCCTGCACTCTGCAGACAGCTTTTAAAAGAAACCTAGAGTATGTTGAAGTTCAGCTGTATCACTAACATTTCCATCACTTTTTTGAACTACAGCTTTAATTTTCACGACTCAACATAGAATCAGAATATACAAAAGAAGTTAAGACAACACAAAGTAACAGCAGTAATGTCAACAACATTTATACATGATAGATTAGATAGACAGACACACAGATAGATAGATAGATAGATAGATAGATAGATAGATAGATAGATAGATAGATAGATAGATGAGATAGGTAGATGGATGGATAGATGATAGATAGATAGATAGATAGATAGATAGATAGATAGATAGATAGATAGATAGATGGGATAGATATGATAGATAAGATAGATAGATGAGATAGAGAGAGAGGGATGGGATGGGATGGGATGGGATGGGATGGGATGGCATGGGATGGCATGGGATGGGATGGGATGGGATGGGATGGCATGGGAGGGGATGGGATGGGATGGCATGGGATGGCATGGGATGGGATGGGATTGGATGGGATGAGATGAGATGAGATGTATGTATATGACTCTGTTTTGCCTCGTCTGAAAAAGATGATCGCTCAGTCATGAAGCATTTATACTTCTGGTATTCTTAATATCAGAAGAATCCCATTAATGGCAATTAGATCAGAAAAACAAATACTCCTCTACCTGGATCCATACTTTCTGTATGATTTGGTTTGGTTTTCTGCCTCACTCCATGGCCAAGGTGCTAATTATGACTGATATGTGGCTCTAAAGGAGGAAAGGTGGCTACCATAAATTACATAAGCATAGAATTAAATAAATTATATTTTAAAAAGGTAAGAAAGACTCAAACTCATCATGTTCTAATTATTTTACTATACTTTATTATCTGTGTTCTTGAGGTTATGACTATCATATTCATGTGCCACAGTACTTTTTAAAATTTTGCATTCAGTGGCATCGTGTTGGTAGCTCGAAAGTGACCATATTAGAGAAATTTACACCACAAAAATCAGCAAATGCAACCTGTCAGAACTCCCCTTACTATATCGCCCCCTACATACATTCCAGAGAGCCTACTGTTTAACATTCACCAGCACATTATGACAAAGGATCAAAGCCAAGAAAGAAGTTTCTGGAAATTTGTAATGAACTCTAAGCCCAGACAAAGAAGCCCAATATTCTGCCAGAATAATGAAGAAAATAACATCAATTTGATTGATGTCCTCCTGGGTGACTTCTGAGAGAAGCTCAAACTATTTTGATTCATTTAATAAAAAATAGTTAACACATAAAGAAAAGTATAAGGATATTATAACTAAGCACCTTTTATACACCATATAAATTTTACAAATATTTGTTACTATATTTTATTTAAAAACTATATATGAGACCTCAAAAAGTTCATGGAAAAATATAATTAAAAGAATAAAAAATATAAATAGTATTTTTCTACATAAGCTCCAACAAATTCAAAATAAGTAAGTGATACCAGTGATGATACCAGCCATTTAGTCCATTCCTAAGAAAGTGAGTCCTGAGAATATAGTTATGTCAATGCCGTCGTTTCTCCATTATTAACTGAAGAAAAATTGGTGCCCTTTAAAGGTTTTTTTAATATTTTGAAACACAAAGAAGGAACCAATCAGAACTGTAATGCGGATGTCTAAAAATTTCCTATGAAAATACTCATAAAATTGCCCTTGTTCAATAACAGGAATGGGGCAGGAGGATTGTCGTGGTGGAGGAGGGCTCTCTGGTGAAGGTTTCCCGGGCGCGGGGGTGGTTTCTGCTAAAGCTTTGGCTAATTTTCTCAAAAACACTCCCATAATAAGCAGATGTTATTGGTTTTTGGCCCTCCAGAGAGTCAACAAGCAAAATGCCGTAAGAATCTCAAAGAAATCTTTTGCCATGAGTTTTGCTCTTGACCAGCCCAGTTTGGCTTTGAACAGACCAATTCTACCTCTTGGTGGTAGTTGCTTCAATTGTGTTCTGTCTTCAGGATCATACTGGTAAAGCCATGTTTCATCTCCTGTTACAATCCTTTGAAGAAATTCTTCATAATCTTGATCCCACCTGTTTAAAATTTCCATTGAAAGCTCTGCTCTTTTTTGCAGCTGATATGGGTGCAACAGTTTTGGCAATCATTGAGTGGAAAGTTTGCTTAACTTCAATTTTTCAGTCAGAATTGTGCAAGCTGAGCCAATTGAGATGTTTATGCTATTGGCTATTGTTTCTGCTGTTAATTTCAGTCCCCTTTATTTGGGGCACAAACAAGATGAATTTTTTCCTCAAAAAATGACATGAATTGTCTGCCCCTGCAGGCTTCATCTTCAATATTGTCTCGTCCCGTTTTAAAATTAGTTTTCCATTTATAAACCACTGAATCCTTTGAGACATTGCCCCCATAAACTTTTCTTAATGTATCAATCATTTTACCATTCTTTTATACAGGATCTACCATAAATTCGATGTTTGCTCTTGCTTCAACTTTAGCAGAATTCCTGTTGCTCTGATAGGGGCTCTTTTCAAACTAATGTCTTATCCTTCTCTTTGTGCTTCAAGCTAGATGCAACTAGATCCTGTTCAAATATGTTGTAACAGCTTAGTACAAGTTTATTTTGATGCAAAAAGTTTTTGAAATCCATGCATAGTATTTTTTCCATAAGCTATTGGGTTACACGTGGTATTTGGTTACATGAGTAAGTTCTTTAGTGGTGATTTGTGAGATTTTGGTGCACCCATCACCCATATATACATTGCACCATATTTGTAGTCTTTTATCCCTTGTCCCCTCCCACTCTTCCCCAAAAATCTCCAAAGCCCATTGTATTATTCTTATGCCTTCACATCCTCATAGCTTAGCTCCGACATATCAGTGAGAACATATGATGTTTGGTTTTCCATTTCTGCATTATATCACTTAGAATAATAGTCTCCAATCTCATCCAGGTCACTGCAAATGTTGTTAATTCATTCCTTTTTATGGCTGTGATATATATCACCATTTCTTTATCCACTCACTGATTGATGGGTATTTGGTTTGGTTCCACAATTTTGCAATTGTGAATTGTGCTGCTATAAACATGTATGTGCAAGTATCTTTTTCGAATAATGACTTATTTTTCCTCTGAGTAGATACCCAGTAGTAGGATTGCTGGATTAAATGGTAGTTCTACTTTTACTTCTTTAAGGAATCTCCAACTGTTTTCCACAGTGGCTATACTAGTTTACATTCCCACCAGCAGTGTAGAAGTGTTCCCTGTTCACCGCATCCATGCCAAAATCTTCTGTTTTTTGAGTTTTTGATTATGGCCATTCTTGCCAGAGTGAGGTGGTATCTCATTGTGGTTTGGACTTGCATTTCCCTAATCACTACTGATGTTGAGCATTTTTTTCATGCTTGTTGGCCATTTGTATATCTTCTTTTGAGAATCATCTATTCATGTCCTTAGCCCAGTTTTTGATGGGATTCTTTGTTTTTTTCTTACTGATTTGAGTTCGTTGTAGATTCTGGGCATTAGTCTTTTGTCAGATGTATAGATTGTGAAGATTTTCTCCCACTCTGTGGGTTGTCTGTTTACTCTGCTGACTGTTCCTTTTGCTGTGCAAAAGCTCTTTAGTTTAATTAGGTCCCAGCTATTTATTTTTATTTTTATTGCATTTGCTTTTGGGTTCTTGGTCATGAAATCCTTGCCTAAGCTGATGTTAGAAGGGTTTTTCCAATGTTATCTTCTAGAAATTTTTTTTAGTTTCAGGTCTTAGATTTAAGTCCTTAATCCATCATGAGTTGATTTTTGTATAAGGTGAGAGATGAGGATACAGTTTTATTATCCTACATGTAGCTTGCCAATTATCCCCGCACCGTTTGTTGAAAAGGGTGTCTTTCCCCACTTTATGTTTTTGTTTGCTTTGTCGTAGATCTTGGCTGTAAGTATTTGGGTTTATTTCTGGGTTCTCTATTCTGTTCCATTGGTCTATACGCCTGTTTTTATACCAGTACCATGCTATTTTGATGACTATGGCCTTATAGTATAGTATGAAATTAGGTAGTGTGATGCATCCAGATTTGTTCTTTTGGCTTAGTCTTGCTTTGACTATGGGGGCTCTTTTTTGGTTCTATATGAATTTTGGAATTTTTTTTTCTAATTCTCTGAAGTATGATAGTGGTATTCTGATGGGGATTGCATTGAATTTGTAGATTGCTTTTGGCAGTATGGTCATTTTCACAATATTGATTCTACCCATCCATGAGCATAAGATGTGTTTCCATTTGTTCATGTCATCTATTTCTTTCAGCAGTGTTTTGTAGTTTTCCTTGTAGAGGTTTTTTAACTTCTTTGTTGGGTATATTCCCAAGTATTTTATGTTTTTGTTTTCTTTTGTTTTGTTGTAGCTTTTGTTGTAAAAAGGGTTGAGTTCTTGATTTTATTCTCTGCTTGGTCACTGCTAGTGTTATAGGAGAGCTACTGATCTGTATACATTAATCTTGTATCCAGGACTTTGCTGGATTTTTTTTTTATCAGTTCTAGGAGGTTTCTGGTAAATGATGACATCGTCAGCAAACAGGTGACAGTTTCACTTCCTCTTTACTGATTTGGATACCCTTTATTTCTTTCTCTTGTCTGATTGCTCTGGCTAGGACTTTGAGTACTATGTTGAAGAGGAGTGGTGAGAGTGGGCATCCTTGTCTTGTTCCTGTTCTCAGAGGGAATGCTTTCAGCTTTTCCCCATTCAGTATTATGTTGGCTGTGGGTTTGTCATAGGTGGATTTTATTACATTAAGGTATGTTCTTTGTATGCGGATTTTGCTGAGAGTTTTAATCATAAAGGGATGTTGGATTTTGTCAAATGCTTTTACTGCATCTATTGAGATGATCACGTGATTCTTGTTTTAAATTCTGTTTATGTAGTGTATCATATTTATTGACTCCTGTATGTTAAACCATCCCTGCACCCCGGTATAAAACGCACTTGATCATGGTGTATTCTCTTTTTGATATGTTGTTGGATTCAGTCGGCCAGTATTTTGTTAAGGATTTTAGCAACTATGTTCACCAAGGATATTGGTCTGCAGTTTTCTTTTTTGAAGATTCATTTTGGAGCTGATTTCCAGTTTTATTATACTGTGGTCTGAGAGAGTGCTTGATATAATTTCAATTGTCTTAAATTTATTGAGGCTTATTTTTATGGCCTATCATATGGTCAGTCTTGGAGAAAGTTCCATGCACTGTTGGATAGAATGTGTGTTCTGTGGTTGTTGGATGAAACGTTGTGTATATATCTGTTAAGTCCATTTGTTCCAAGGTATAGTTTAAATCCATTGTTTCTTTGTTGACTTTCTGTCTTGATGACCTGTCTAGTGCTGTCAGTGGAGTATTGACATCCCCCACTATTACTGTGCTGCTGTCTATCTCATTTCTTGGGTCTATTAGTAATTGTTTTTATAAATTTTGGAGCTCCAGAGTTAGGTGCATATATGTTTAGAATTATGATATTTTTCTGTTGGACAAGGCCTTTTACCATTATATCCTGCCCCTCTTTGTCTCTTTTAACCACTGTTGCTTTAAAGTTTGTCTTGTCTGATGCAAGAGTAGCTACCCTGCTGGCTTTTGGTGTCCATTCACATGAAATATCCTTATTCATCCCTTTACTTTATGTGAGTCCTTATGTGTTAGGCGAGTCTCCTGAAAACAGCAGATAATTAGTTGGTAAGGTCTTACCCATTCTGCAATTCTTTATCTTTTAAGTGGAGCATTTAGGGCATTTACATTCAATGTTAGTATTGAAATGTGAAGTACCATTGCTTTTGTCATGCTCTTTGTTGCCTGTGTACTTTGATTTTACTTTTTGTTTTCACTTTCTAACTTGTATTTTTGTTGTATGTGTCCTGTGTGATTTATGCTTTAAAGAGCATCTGTTTTGATGTGTTTCCAGTATTTGTTTCAATATTTAGAGTTCCTTTTAGCAGTTCTTGTAGTGGTGGTTTGATAATGGCAAATTCTCTCAGCATTTGTTTGTCTGAAAACAACTGTATCTTGCCTTCACATATGATGTTTAGTTTCACTGGATACAAAATTCTTGGCTAGTAATTATTTTATTTGAGGAAACTGAAGATAGGGTCCCAATCCCTTCTAGCTTGTAGGGTTTCTGCTGAGAAATCTGCTGTTAATCTGATAAGTTTTCCTTGATAGGTTACCTGATGCTTCTGTCTCACAACTCTTAAGCTTCTTTCCTTTATCTTAAGTTTGGATAACCTGACGACAATGTGCCTAAGTGAAGATCTTTTTGTGATGAATTTCCTAGGTGTTCTTTGTGATTCTTGTATTTGGCTGTCTACGTCTCTTGCAAGGCCAGGGAAGTTTTCCTCGATTATTCCCCCAAACATGTTTTCCAAGTTTTTAGAATTCTCTTCTTCCTCAGGTACATTAATTATTCTTAGGTTTGCTCATTTAACATAATCCCAGACTTCTTAGAAGCTTTGTTCATATTTTCTTATTCTTTATTGTCTTTGTTGGATTTGGTTAATTCAAAGACCTTGCCTTCGAATTCTGAACTTCTTTCTTCTACTTGTTCAATTCTATTGCTGAGACTTTCCAGAGCATTTTGCATTTCTAAAGGTGTGTCCAAAGTTTCCTGAATTTTTTATGTTTTTTTTTTTTCTTTAAGCTATCTATTTCCATGAATATTTCTCCCTTTACTTCTTGTATCATTTTTTGGATTTCCTTGCATTGGGCTTCATCTTTCTCTGGTCCCTCCCTGATTAGCTTAATAACTAATGTCCTGAATTCTTTTTCAGGTAAATCAAGGGTTTCTTCTTGGTTTGGATCCATTGCTGGTGAACTAGTATGATTTTGGGGGGGTGTTGAAGATCCTTGTTTTGTCATATTACCAGGGTTGGTTTTCTGGTTTCTTCTCATTTGGGTAGGCTCTGTCAGAGGGAAGGTCTAGGGCTGAAGGCTGTTGTTCAGATTCTTTTGTCCCCCTGGGTGTTCCCTTGGTGTAGTACTCTCCCCCTTTTTCTATGGATGTGGCTTCCTGTGAGCTGAACTGCAGTGATTGCTGTCTCTCTTCTGGGCCCCACCACCCAGCAAGTCTCCCTGGCTCTGGGCTGGTACTGGGGGTTGTCTGCACAGAGTTCTATGATATGAACTCAATGGGTCTCAGCTGTGGATACCAGCGCCTCTTCTGGTGGAGGTGGTGGAGGGTGCAATGGACTTCATAAGGGTCCTTAGTTTGGTGGTTTAATGCTCTATTTTTGTGCTGGTTGGGTTCCTGCCAGGAGGTGGTGCTTTCCAGAGAGCATCAGCTGTAGTGGTGTGGAGAGGAACTGGCAGTGGGTGGGCCTAGATCTCCGAGATTATATGCCCTTTGTCTTCTGCTACCAGGGTGGATAGGGAAGGACCATCAGGTGGAGGTGGGGCTAGGCGTGTCTGAGCTCAGACTCTTTTTGGGTGGGTCCTGCTGAAGCTGTTGTTGGGGATGGGGGTGACATTCCCAGGTCACTGGAGTTATGTACCAGGAGGATTAAGGCTGCCTCTGCTGAGTCATGCAGGTTGTCAGGGAAGTCGGAGAAAGCTGACAGTCACTGGCCTCACCCAGCTCCCACGCAAACTGAAGGGCTGGTCTCACTCTCACTATGCCCCCGTAACAGAGTCAGTTTTTAGGCGGAGGGTGAGAATGGCTTGAAAATTTGCTGAATGCTATCCATCTCCCAGCCCCCAGAGAAAAGGGCTTTAGTTCCTCCCCCTGCCTGTGAAGTCTGCAGGCCAGATTCGCGCCCTCCCCTGAGTTCTGGCCAGGAGGCTTCTTGCCCTGTTCAAATGGTTACAAAGTTCAGCTAGAGAATTCCTTCTCCCTGTAGAGTTTTACCCCCTGCTCCTCTGGCCGCCCTCCGGATGGATCTTTGTGTTGCCAGGCAGGAATGGGCTGCTTGGGGACCCAGTGAGCTCCGAGGGCCTTTCTGCTGCTTCCTGTACCCCTGTATTTCGCTCAGCTCTCTGACTTGACTCAGCTCCAGGTAAAGTCGGAAACTTCTCCCACAAACACCTTCAGCTTCTCCAGTGGGGGTGTGTGTTCGGGACACTCCCTTTCCCACTTGCACAGTTGGGACACTCATAGTATTTGGGGTGTCTCCCGGGTCCTGCAGGAGCAGTCCGCTTCCTTCAGAGGGGCTGTGGGTCTTCTTGGGATTGCTACTTTATTCTTGAAGTTGATCTGGAGCTAAAATTCACAGTGCAAGCCTCCGTAGGTTGCTCTGCCTGGAGCTTCAATCTAGTCCTGCCTCCTGTCCATCGTGATCCCCTGAATCTCAGCACACATAGTATTTTTGATAATACATATTTTCCATGAAGTTTTGAAGATCCTATGTATTTAAATTTATTTTCACCAATTTTATTTCTCTTCCTCATATCCCAGAGTTAACTAATTTTCTAAACTTGGTGTTCAGTACTACCATTTTTGTTATTTCACACACTACATAAATATCTAATACAAAAACACTATCTTGTATTGCACTGACAAAATATATACGTATTTTTAGAAACTTCTTGTTTTTCATCTTTATTTGTAATAATTGATTCATGTTGATTCATAAAGCTTTGCTCAGGTATGGTTAAACAACTGCTAAATTCCAGTATTCTATTGTATGAAAACGCCAAAATTTGTCTATCTAATTTTTGACTGATGGTCATTTCTAATTTTGCCTCATAGCAAAAAGTGCTACAGTGAAAATATTTGCTTTATATACAAGTCTTTATATAAAAGTGCAGTGGATTCACTAGGCTACATACCTACACACACATACACATGTAATTTTTTACTTTTTGGGTTAGTGGATTTTTCCCTAGATTTGTGTTGCCAAACTGCTTTCTCTTATGTTGATACTGATTTATATTCCCATCAGATATGGGAATTTATTTCTTTTTTCTTTTCTACATCTGTATCTTCACCTGGTACAGTTACCTTTTTAAATTTTGAGGGAAATGGTTTATCACGTGTGCTTATTGGATTTTTCTCTTCTCATTAGCGAACTGATTTTTCTCCCTGTGCTAATTTAAATTTACTCTTTGGAGAATTACCTGTTATTTTTGTGAACATAAAAAGGTCAAATTGTCAAGGCAGACTCACATGGATTAGTGCTGTTATCCCATGTCAAACTTCACTGATAAGTACAAGGGTACAAGTAAACACAAGCCACTTCCAGAAAAGCAAGGAGTGGCCTGGGACATCTATGACAGCTGCCCAGATCCTTCCTTTTCTTATCATCACACTCTGTCCCAGGTTAATAAATAGGGGGACAATGAAAAATGTAATTTGTGTATTTAATGTTCATTGTTTTTAAATACCATATGCTTAAATTATTATATAACATATAAACATAATATCCCTATTTAAAATAGCAATTATAAATACCAAGATAGAAACCAACAATTCCTCTGCCTTCACACGCCACTCCTATTATCATAAACAGTTCAGTATGAATAGTTTTTCATATCCTTTCAATCCTACTAATTTATGAATAAATAAATTAAAACTTTACTTGGTTATATTGTTTCTAAACACATTAAATCCATACCTATTACAAAAATCTCTAGTTAGTAGTTTAGGTCTATATCAAATTTAAGAGAAAAAATTAAAAAATGCCTTCAATATGAATGATTCCATTGTTAATGATCATTACTTTTTTGTGCATATGTCCTTTCAAATGTTTTTAGTTTAAGCTTTACTAAAATATTTACTATGAGCTGAGTGAAATGATAAGTTTGGTTCAACTGGTAAATTGCTCTATTTTTGCTTAAGACAAACTATCTGATACTGTTCTTTATATTAAGACTCACTTTGTTAAGTGAGAGTTTTCTTAAATGGTCTGTTTCATATAAAATATCTAAATTGTTTAAAGCCCTTACTAAAGTTACTGTATAAAAGTAATTCATACGGACTACATTTCTTGACACTAATGGCATATAAAATAAGCAGTACAAATGCATGAAGAATGAGAGATTTTTGATAACTTGACTTAACGTTTCATAGATTCATTCTGTAGCTAATTAGTTTTTCTTAAATTCTGCTTAGTCTAGTAGCAACTGTGGGCATAACATTTTTGGCATCGCGAATCAGACATTCTAGATTAGTTGGTAATGATAAAATGACTTTTGGTCCTGAACGCTTACTTTATTCTACTTGTATACATCGTGCATAATATTTTTAAGAAGTAAAATATGCAATGAAAAGTATTCTACAGAATAAAAATTCTGGCAGTGAAATGTATTAACAGATATTTGAAGCATATTTTGTAAAATGTGTATTCCTTTGCAGAAAATATAAATTGACGTTATGATGTTCAAATACTATTGATCTTGTGTTGGGTTAAGATTTTTAGGAGTATAGTTTATAGCATTTCAAATATTTTTCTGCAAAGCCAGCATTAAGTTATTTCTAAAAGTTTGATCTATTTAAAAATGCTAAGATCTTGATTATTGGCTCTCTAAATCCTGCAGTTCAGGACATTTTGAACAAGCTGCAGAATTCTAAAAGACAGAATACGTATTGAGAAGAATATAAAATAGCCAAAAGCCAATGGGTTATCCTTATGCCAGTCATAGTATAAAGTATTCAAAAACACTTGTTTAATTTATGTTCCAGCTAATATTTGACAGTTATTACATAGAAACACATAATAATATGATTTATTTTATATGTGAAAAGATAACTTTACAACTTTATGAACAGCAGGTAAATTGAGGAAAGATGCTACTAGCAGTAAATATGCTCACAGTCAGACTGAAACCTGAGTCTCCTTTGAAAATTGATTATGGGCTGGGTTCAGTGGCTCACACCTGTAATCCCAGCACTTTGGGAAGGTGAGGTGGGCAAATCACTTGAGCCCAGGAGTTTGAGACCAGCCTGGGCAACACAGGGAGACCCCCTTCTATAAAAAATAAAAAGAGAAGAAAAGAAAAAAGAAAATTAATTATGGATAGATATCAAATTGGAAATTACCATTGATTAAATGGATTGTTACTGTTGTTGTCATTGTTTTCTCAATTAATTGCATTAATATGAGAGACTCCTGAGGGTACATCCTATGGTTTGGTGAAAAGAGCAAATATTAATAATTTGGGATCATAAGAACCAGTTGTATTTCTCAATAATAGTATAATTTCCAGCACACAGCATTGTTAAAACTAGAGTTATATCTGCAAAATACTAGCTATATTTCTATGCAATGTAGATATGTTGGAAATAAAACTGAAAAAACTTTGTAACTGCACTTGAAGAGCTTTCTGATCTTCTTATCAAGAAAGTTTTCTTAAAATGCTAATTAAAAGGAGCATTTAATCAAAGAATCCAATGTGCCTGGTGTGTAAGGCATTCTTTTTCATGGTTTTAAGACATTTTCACAAATGGCATCTATACACAAAACTGATAATGATGAAACATCTTTAGTCTGCCATTCTTTAAGAAATTATGGTATGAGTTCATACTTATTAAAAAATTGTCTATGATGATGTTTATTTCTGCTTATATAATCTTATGAAAATTGTATTAATAAGAGGGGATGTTTAACAAACCTATTTTAGAAGTGTTACATCAATTTCACTGCCTTTTCCTAGAGAATTAAGAATGAATGTGACATATAACGTCTAACCCCTAATTTGGAAATTAAATTTTCATATTTATTTAAGTTGATTTTAGTCCAAGTTTTGAAATGTGATTAGACTAAATTCATAATTTAAAATATTTTTGAAGGAATCCATTAACTGATCTTGTAACCAGGATTTTTGTGTGACAAATGATAATAGTTATATTAGGTATCTCTACAAAAAATATTGAGGATTTTTCAGTGTCATACAAGCCATGCAGTACTGATCCATGCTTTTATGAACCCCCTCAAATAACCTTGCTGCAATGGGTCATATACTGGGCTTCACTTTGAAGACCACCCAAAATCTCCATCTGCTCCACACAGAATTGCCATCCTGCTAGTATGTATTCCATGGTCTACAGCTGGTATTAAACACATTCATTCACGAAGCAATTCAATATGATAATTTTCATTTAAGTCAAAAGTAAAATATTATTATAGCAGTTACATTCACGATTATCCCAATTTCCAACAAATACTCCTGACAGCCAGCTTTGGTCTCATTGCCATAATATCAATCTCTATATTATCATTTCTAGAGACAGATGCACATGCTATGGCCATGACCATAATTCTCCTCTTTAGAATGCAGTGGCTGGCTTTCTGTGCAGCAGATTAGACACTCTATTAAGTCATATAGATGATAAATGATAAAAGATAGATAGATAGATAGATAGATAGACAGACAGACAGACAGACAGATAGATGGTAGATGGGGGTGGGGGAGTGAGGGGAACCAGGCTTTTGGTTATGAACCTAATCTAACTTCCTGTGTGACATTAATGTAACTCTCTATTGAAGAGTTTCTGTACTTTTGACTAAATCTCTCAACTAGAGCTATAATATTTCAAAATTTCCAGCTTTCTGACAAACTAGTTGAATAAGAGACCAGGTCTAAGAGCAGAGATGAGCTGTAGCCCTATGAGGAAAATGATCAAAATTTGGAAAATTGAATGTACTTAGAATAGTTGATTACAGATAGCTATATTCTTCCAAAATCTTCTTCAGTAAATAGACTTTTAGAATACAAATGTACTTTAAAACTTTCAATATATGTTTAGAATGATACAACAGAAATAAAAATCCTCATTCTTAACTTTAGAAATTAAATTCAGATTAGAGGGGTATTAATTAATTTTTGAAATTTTTGAGTCAGGAAAACTTTAGCAAAAAACTAGTATCATTTTATCACAATACAGATGAGGAACTTCAGCCTTAAAGATACTAAAATTTATGGCTAATGAATCAGGTCTAAAACCCAGATCTAATTACTTACCAGCTTATAACCAGAATCAAAATGTGTGTATTTATTATTTCTCCCCAATTCACACATTTTTACTATTCAATTTGTGGTTTATTTTTAACTTGTAGATAATTTGTTTTAAGATTAATAGTCTAGATATGAATATGCCTCTTTTAATAAGTATTTTAAACCTCAAAATATCATAACTATTTTATAATGCATCACAGTATTTAGGAGATTCTTTGAAGGGTTTCTAAAACAACTTTTATAAAAATAGTGATATTTGTGTTTATATCCACCTCCAAAACTACACGTTTGCTTATATTTCAGAATATTTTGAAAAGAAGAAATTTATAATAAAAGTAGCTGCTGTTCACAGAACATCACTGTGTATCTGACAGTGAGTTGAACTCTTGAGGAATGTGTGTTTTATTATTAAATTCTCACAACTTAAACCATGTTAATCACTGTTCCTTCCATTTTACATAGGAGGAATCTGCATAGATTAGACGAAAAAGTTAAAAGGAGTATGAATGAAAAAACTACGTGTACAAGATGTCCAAGATGAACAAAACTATACAATAAAGTTCATTTCAATATACAACATGTATTATATTCAACAAGGCTCAAATTTTTTGATAAAAGGAAACAGAGACCTCTTTTTCTAGCAGGAAGATATTTTTCTTGGGATGTTTTGTTTATGCTGGCTTGAATAACACTATGGTGAATATCATAAGATTAATTCATTTTTAACATCTCTGTAAAAGCCAAGGATGCAGTGTGTCCGTGGGGAATTTAAATCATACATTTTAACACACATATTAAAATTATGGATTCTCAAGTAATGATAAATTAACAGAACCCTTTGAGTTTTTTTTAATTATAAGGCATTTTTTGTTTGTTGGTTTGTTTCTGTTTTTTGAGACGGGGCCTCGCTCTGTCATCCAGGCTGGAGTGCAGTGGCGCGATCTTGGCTCACTGCAAGCCCCGCCTCCCTGGTTCAAGAAATTCTCCTGCCTCAGCCTCCCAAGTAGCTGGGACTACAGGCACCCGCCACCATGCCCGGCTAATTTTTTTGTATTTTTAGTAGAGACGGGGTTTCATCATGTAAGCCAGAATAGTCTCAATCTCCTGACCTCGTGATCTGCCCTCCTTAGCCTCCCAAAGTGCTGGGATTACAGGCATGAGCAACCACGCCTAGCCAATTATAAGGATTTTTAATTAAGAAAATTAATTTTTTTAAATGTGACTTTTTATTTAATTCTTTGCTAAATTAACTGTATACGGGCCTACAAGAAAAATATTCTGTTTCCATTCAAAGTAAAATTATTTGTAAAATATTAAGCCTACTAATAATGTCATCACCATTATTATTTTAAACAAAATAGGAGACTTGTGCAAAGACCACTCTCATCTAAAAGCCATGACCCAACTACCAATATGATTTTCTTTAAAAAAGAAATAAGAATGCTTTTACACTGTTGGTGACAGTGTAAATTAATTCAACCATTGTAGAAGACAGTGTGGTGATTCCTGAAGGATCTAGAACTAGAAATACCATTTGACCCAGCAATCCCATTACTGGGTATATACCCAAAGGATTATAAATCATTCTTCTATAAAGACACATGCACGTGTATGTTTATCGCAGCACTATTTACAATAGCAAAGACTTGGAACCAACCCTAATGCCCATCAATGATAGACTAGATAAAGAAAATGTGGCACATATACACCACAGAATACTATGCAGCCATAAAAAAGAGTGAGTTCATGTCCTTTGCCGGGACATGGATGAAGCTGGAAACCACCATTCTCAGCAAACCAACACAGGAACAGAAAACCAAACACTGAATGTTCTCACTCATAAGTGGGAGTTGAACAATGAGAACACATGGACACAAGGAGGCGAACAACACACACCAGGGCCTGTCAGGGGGTGGGCGGCAAGGACAGGGATAGCATTAGGAGAAATACCTAATGCATGTGGGGTTTAAAACCTTGATGACTGGTTGATAGATGCAGCAAACTCCCATGGCACATGTATACCTACGTAACAAACCTGCACATTCTGCACATGTATCCTGGAACTCAGAGTAAAAAAAAAATTTTTTAAAAAGGACTTTGCTCTGCTTAGAAATGGGAATAATTATGACAGAACAATATTAATGGAAAACACATGGTAGATATGAATGAACACTGTGAAACGTTAGGAAGCAGGGAATGAAAAATTGCCTCCTTGACAATAGTAAAATTTCAACATGATCCCTGAGAACCATCAGATTTTTAAATAGCATTTTCTCCCCGCTACCCTGCATAGGGTTTGAGTTTCTAGCAGGCTCCTAGGCGATGCGAGTGCTGATGCACGAGGTCACACTTTCAATAGCAAGAGTACAGGCACCACTTAAAGTAACAATTCACATAGATCTGTTTATGACTTAAAAGTTAATAAAAGTGTTCTATAGGAATGCTAGGAAAGAAAGAAAGAAAATTCTAAAGAAAAAAATAATAATTCCTATAGTCTTCAAAGTCTGAAATAATCATTCCCATATGGAGGCATTTCCTTCCAATTATTTTTGTTTGTATATAGTTAACTAATAGTTACCTATTTTGACATCTAACTTTGTTACTTAAGAAACCATGGGCATTTTCCCCATGTAAATATTTTTTTCATAAAACACCTTAAGGCCAACAGAATATTTGGCCATTTAGTTATACCATAACTTATTAGCCCAGTTTCTCTCCTGTGAAATATTTCGATTATTTCCAGTGTCTTATTAGTATAAATAATATGTGGGTAAATAATTTTAAAATTTCTGATTATTTTCTTATAAAAGGTTTTCTAAGAGTTGGATTACTTTGTCAAAGGATATGAATGGTTTAACACTCTTGAATTATATTGCATATGCTGAGTCTATCTCAGCATTATTGTTTTAAAAATATGCTTGTCAGTTGAATAAATGTAAACTAGTATTTTCACTTAGTTTATTTTATTACTAACATGCTTTTATCCATTTCAATGGCTCCTGTCCTGAGAACCAATTTATGTCTACCAAATTGTTTCTTATTTTAACTCAATAATCATGTTAGAGTTCCTTTTATATTAAACATAAATTCCTTACAAGTATTTTCCATTTTTGTCTTTTTTATTTATTTAATTTTTTTAATTTAATTTTTGTGTGTGTGTGTGACGGAGTTTCGTTCTTGTTGCTCAGGCTGGAGTGCAAAGGTCCAATCTCGTCTCACAGCAACCTCCACCTCCTGGGTTCAAGCAATTCTCCTGCTTCAGCCTCCCGAGTAGCAGGAATTACAGGCATGTGCCACCACACCCAGCTACTTTTGTATTTTCAGTAGAGACTGGGTTTCTCCATGTTGGTCAGGCTGGTCTCAAACTCCTGATCTCAGGTGATCCATCCGCCTTGGCCTCCCAAAGTGCTGGGATTACAGGCGTGAACCACTGGTCCGGGCCTTATTTATGTTTCTACCATGAAGAAAGTTTTGATTTTCACAGTGTTTTATATGTAGAAAGTCATTGCAAATTCAAAGCTGATTTTGTTATTTTATCTTAGATTATTGTGGTTTAAATTTTTTAAGTATGTAATCTAACTGTAATTGATCTTATTCATGTGTAGTTTGGACCTCATTTGATTTTGTTTCCAAGGTAAATTTTCAAACACATTTTGTTTAATAAGAAATATCTGCCTCATGAGTTTTGATGATTCTTAAATCATATATTAAAAATTTAGGAAAGCAGAAGTTGTCTCCGGACATTCTAATGGCTTTCACAATACATCTATAAATCATTGCGATGACAGGACACATTTAATTATGTCTAAAATATCTGGGGGTACACTTCTTTAATTCCAACTTTTCTTCATCTACTTTATAACTTTAAAATAAAAAAGGATCATTCTTTCAGATGAATAACCATATTATGTTAAAAGTTAAGAGTCTCCTCAAGACTATGAGTGGCTTTAATGTCATATTTAAACGTCATGTGAGTTTCCTATTGCTATGTAATTAATTACTACAACGTTAGCAGCTCATAGGTCCCAAGTCCAGCACAGTGTGGTTGGGCTCACTGTTCAGGCTGAAGTCAACGTGACAGCAGGCTGTGTTGCTATCTGGTGTGAGGATTCTTTTCCAAGTTCATTTCTGTTCTTGGCAGAATCAGTTCCTTGCAGCTGTCACACTAAAATCCTCTGTCGTTTTTTTTTTTTTTTTTTTTTTTTTTGCTGGCTGCCTACCATAAGTGTAAATTAATCTAGGAAAAAATAGGACACTTTAATAATATTTAGACCTTCATTAACTAGCTTAAGCAAAATTCAATATATTCCAAATTTTATATATATATACACACACACATATATATATTCATAATTCTTATAATCATGTTTGTACAGGTCTTTTATGTGTGCTGTACAGATTTGCTTATATTTTGCATTTGATTTGTGTACAGATATTTTAGTCTAAGTCATCAGTTATAAGAAAACTTCAGCATTTTCTCTCTTTCTTCTTATTCTCCTAATGCCTATCTGAAACCTTTTGGTAATTCATTTGTTTTTAGTTAGCTATCTTTAGTTTTCTAATATTAATTAAAATGTCCTGAAATAGTTATTTGTTTGCAATACTTAAACATAATTAAATTTCATAATGTAAAATATTAAAATATTAATATTATTAATATATTTAATAAATTTAATTAACTATAATAATAGTTATATTTTATAACCATCACATAATTATATTTACCAATGGCTACTGATTTCATATAGTTTTTCTTAACCATATTTCAAAAACTAACTTTCTAGTCCTACTTAAACCATTTTTTTCTTATGTTCTGCTTTGCTTTTTAATAGAAATGAGTATCTTTTTTTTACTTTCGACATCCATTGAAATGATCTTATAGGTTTTCCTTTAGAATTATTGGTGTTATAGTAGCAATTAATTTTCTAAAATTTAAAGCAAAAATAATAAAATGAACACTGTTTAAGTGTATAGTTGGATGCATTATGACAAATGCATAGATTTTTATACCCACTACACATTAAGCCTTTGTATACAATCCCCACTCTGTCATCCCAGCACCAGCAAACCAGAGATCTACTCTTAAATATCCTATGAATGGAATCACACTATATGTACTGTCTTGTGAATGTCGTCTCTCTGTCCACATAATGCTAATGAGATTCATCCACGCAGTCGCATGCATGGGTAGTTCATTCTTTTTCAATAGGAAGCATTATTCCACAATCTGCTTATTAACTCTCCTGCTGATAAACATTAGGGTTATTTACTGTCTTTTACTACGTTGTGTAAAGCTTCTAGGCAGCATCTTGTTCATGTCCTTGCGTGGAATTACATGGCTGTAGAGCAGGCATATGTTTAACCTTTCAAGAAATGGATTAATCTTCCAAAAGTAATTGTACCACTTTATACTCCCACAAGCAATGTATGAACGTTCCAGCTGCTCCACTTCCTAGCCAACACTTGGGATTGATAGTTGTTTTAATTTTAGGCATTCAAATGGGCATAGAATGATAGTTCAGGTTGCTTTGTAAGTATATTAGGGAAGCATCCAACTTACACTCGATGAGGTCAAGTAAGAATTTCTAAAGAAAAGAATATGTAAGAAGAATACTCAAACTGAAAGAAAACAATCTATTAATGTGTGATTCTTACTTAGCCATAGTGAATAGCTCTTCAGACATTTTTATTAAACTTGTTTTGGCACTATTTTGATTAGAAGTTTGCAGACTGGGTCTTTTGATTGTGCCAGTGTGTGCTTTTTAATGTGTCTATGTATGTTTACGTGGGTATTTAGACTTATGATAACTTCAAAAATGTATTTGATAACTTTCCATTTTTTTGCAGAAATATTCTTTCATTAATATTACATGCTTATGGAACTTTACCTATTGATTAAAGGTGAATATTAATATTATTTATATAATAAATTATAAAATATAATATGTATATTATAAATATTAATATAATATTCATAATAAATCAAATGGCATTTTATTATTATTTAAACAATACATTATTTTAAATAATATATTTAAATAAAACATTATTTTTAATATTTAAATAAAACATTATTTTAAATAATATATTTAAATAAAACATTATTTTAAATAATATATTTAAATAAAACATTATTTTAAATAATATATTTAAATAAACAACATATTTCAATACAATATGTAATATTATTTTTAAATGATAATTGAGGCTCATAAAATTAGGCAGAATAATAATTCTAGCAGTAGAAGGGCTTCAGTTTTTATTGATTTATGAGATAAAATCTTATATCCTTGTATATAAACTGTGGATGGAACACATCAAGACTTAAGCTCAAGTAAACTGTCAGTCACCAGTATAAAAAAAATGCTACTACGTATTGTGTTGTAGAATCTATAGCATACTTTATAATAGCTGCAAACCTATATTATTTCAGGTTCTCATACTACAGCCCAAAGTATCCTAGGGGAAACTTTTGTGACCCCATTACTTTCCACTCCCAAAGGATATTTGCTAAAATGATAATGATGATGATGATGATGACGATGATGATGATGACGACAATGATTTGAACTTAATAGCTTTAGATTGACTTAATCTAAAAGTATTTCATAACATTATTTTACTGATTTGGCCAGGACAAACTTTCATTTTGCCTCCCAGTAGTCTTCAGCAATTCAGAATATAGGATAGATTGTTGCCCAGATATGTTGTAGTCAAGACTGATTTAAATCTTTATAACATCTGATTGTATGAAATTAAATAAAAGCTTCCCCCAGACCCTAAAAGATCATTTTAGTAAACGGTGTAACTTTGGTGTCAGCATATGTAGTTATGCAATAAAGAGAACAAATTATAATTCCATAATCTCTCTCCGGAGTTAGGTGAATAACCACATCTGTGGTATAGGGAATGGAAAGATTACTTTCAATCTATTCTAAAGAAACTCTGCTCTAAAATATATCAAGCAAAAGTAAAATAAATTAATAGTTGATTATCATTCATTCAATAAAGCTGGTGTATAATTAGCAATCTACCTGAAATTTCCCCGAGGCATATTCTATGTGTTGCTGTTAGCATTATAAAAGTGTTACAATAAAGGATGCTGAAAAGAAATTTTCTTCCTTCTTTTAGACATCTACCCCTGGAGAAAGAGCCCAATGAGAAGTAATCTCTGAAGCCCAGATTTCCTAAGGATGAAGCTTCAGGAGAGGCCTTATCAATCCTGACAACAAACTTTTCTCGTCAATTTAGTTTCATTTAATGGAAGTTTTAAATGTGTAAAGTTCAGAAGGCTATTAAAATTGGTTCCAGCTATCTAAGATACACACACAACCACACACGCGCACACACGGTAGAGATAAATATGTTCGAAAATCCAGCTCAATGTTACTAGAAAATTTGATCAGAATCTGGTGAAATAAATAGTAAACTTACTAAAAATGCCAAATATCCCAGAAGCTGCTTAACATTTGATCAAAAGCTCTGTCCAGTCAATTCCTGCTTCTTTCAAAAATACTCTGCTGAAAAGCCAAAGGAGAAATGGGGCTGGTACCTTCAATATAGAGAATTCCAAGTAAGATTAGATCCCAGAAGGCTTAGTGTGGCTTTCTAGGACTCTCACTATTAGGCAGTAACCTACCATTCACCTCTGTTTCCCAGATTCACCTTGTTATACCTTATAACTTAAAATATAAATTCCAACAATGTACTGCACTCAAAAAAATTATTTCTCAATTTGTTTGCTCATACTATTGATTTTTTTCTAGAATCTAAATAATTGTGAATTAACTATGATAGCAGTATGCACAAACAGTAAGTGAAATCAGACCTATTAATTCTGAGAGGAAGGAGGTGTCAGGATTTTCACAGAAGAAGAGCACTAAGGCCAGGCGCAGTGGCTCATGCCTGTAATCCCAGCACTTTGGGAGGCTGAGGCAGGCGGATCAGGAGGTCAGGAGTTCTAGACCAGCCAGACAAACATGGTGAAACCCCGTCTCTACTAAAAATACAAAAATTACACGCCTGTAATCCCAGCTACTCAGGAGGCTGAGGCAGAAGAATCGCTTAAACCCGGGAGGCGGAGGTTGCAGTGAGCTGAGATCGCGCGACTGCACTCCAGCTTGGGCGACAGAGCAAGACTCCATCAAAAAAAAAAAAAAAAAAAAAAAAGCAAAGCACTAAATCTCGTATGTGAAAGATGAGTAGATTTTTCCTAACAGGAGCAATAAAAATTAGAGCTAAAAATAATTTCATGAAGCAAAATATTCAAAGAAGATGAAGAATGAATAAAGACAATTGATCTGGTAATTCACAAGCCAAGCTTCAGTAAGTGGTAGGATAGACGCTGATTTTTAAGTGTAAAATGAGCAAATTATGCTGAATAAAGAAAATTATTTAAAAATTGTCAAGAAATAACTAGAGACCCAGGGAAGACAATTTTCATTTTAAGGCTTAATAATGTTTGCAGACTGAAGGAAAAGATGCAGTGGAGGATGAGAGACCTTAGCAGGGGATTAAAATAGTGGAGCATTTTTGTGGCAATGCCATTCAATAAGAAGACAGCATTGGAAAGAAGAGAGACATTTATTCCTCCTAGGTAGGAAGCAAAAAGTAGAAATTTGTAAAGAAAAAAGTATTGGGAGATAAAGAAGAATCACAGGTGTAATCCTGAACATCCTAAATCAAAATTATTGTTTATGTATTTCTCCTTCCAGAAATGAAACTTGTAATAGACGATCTGTGGCTTAATAACCTTCTATCTCCAGCACCTGACGTATGGCAGGTCTCTCAATATATAATTAAGATATGGATCTATGGAGGTACAATAATTCTTGTTATATGAATCACTATTCCTGAAGTTGGAGTATATTGGCTCATCTGGGAATAGGGAAATTGGCAGTTAGTTGAGAGACCATTGGAACACCTGCTGAAAGAAACGTGATAATGATTCAAGGGGAGGAAAAAAAAAAAAAAGAAAACCAAGTGAGGAATGACCACAATAACACTAACTTGAAGTGGATGCAGTCGGCATATTTTTGAAAATGTTTTAAATCAACAACTTCTATTTGGAGAGCAGATGTAATTACACCAGACAGCAGAGATAATAAATAAATATCAGTGCAGTCACAGTGGTGTGGCCGGAGTATCAGTGCCTCGGTTGCTATGGGCAGCAGAAGACACAGATGCCTCTGGCATCCTAGCTGGCAATGAAGAAAAATAAACACAGAATTAGGCTTCAGGTTAGAGAATAACAGAATAATAGAGGTTAGGATTTAGACAGAAAAAAACAGGCTTGCTGGAGTTATGGAAGTGGGAGAGACGAAACAAGTGAAAAAGAACTTCTCTTCTTGTAATTTCTCATGTTCAAGGAAAGGAAATGTCAGCATTCAAAATTGCAGAGAATGAGAAAACAAATGTGATGATTTTGATCAAGGTCATGTTTATGCCGGTGATTAACAGATAAAATGAAGAGTCCTTGGCATCATAGGAGGGACTCTGAGCCAGAGTGCTAAAAGGACCATCTACTTAAATGATGGAGTTCATAATAAGATTGGAGTGGAGAAAAATTATGAAGCAAGTACTCAGAAAATGAGAATGTTAGGAGGTTACAGGTTGATGGCTTTAAGGATGGAGAGAATATACGTTATGATAAACATAAAAAAGTGGATGGTGGAACAAAAGTTGCCTGAAATTGGCAGCTGTGAGTAATTAATCTTTAACATCTCTTCCTTACTTAAGTAGAAAAAGGGCCTCCATCAAAATGGTAGTGAGAATTTTATCCATCAGAGACAACACACTTTCAGTTGCAGATGAGACATGGAAAATATTCTCACACAAAATGTGGTCAAGAAAAGGAGTAATAGTACTTATTTTTCTAATTGAATACATAATAATATTAATATACATTATCTGTAAATATTCATATTGATCATGGGAGAGGTAATCAGAATATATAATATTGACAGCTGAATTGAAATTAATATATTTTTCTAAAAAAATGAGATTATGGGTAATGAACCAATATTGGCTAGGTGAAAATTGTCTAGTTTTTACAACTAGAAATGCTTCCTCTCAAACACTTATCAAAATCACAGGTGTATTTTAGGCTGCTATATTTGCCAAATGAAAACAGGATACTGACATTCATACACACAAACATGCAAGCATATGCTGAAATTTTCATTCCAGATGTCTACAAAAGAGAACAGATAATACGAAGTTCGTTACCTATTTCAAGTTACCTCTGAGATTCCTTACGCTGAAGACAAATATTCTATTAAAAAAGAGTCCTTAAATAGGCCATAAGAACCCGAATCCTTTCATAAAGAGTGAAAGAGTATGGTTATTTTTGATAACAATTATTATCAAAATAAATTATTTTTACTTCTAAATTAGTACTGATTACATCTGAAGGTTTTTGTTTCTCTGATACCAGGATTTAAAATTATTTCAGAAAGCATGATTAGTTTTAGTGTCTGTAGATCTTTGCTGTCAGTGAATTAAAGTATTTTTGAAAAAGGAATATGTATTCCTGAAAAGTGATCTATACTTTATAGAAAATTACCTATTTGTGTAAATATAGGAAAACAGCTCTAACATTAAAATATGTGCATCAATTGGATTCAGAGTGTTGCATGAGGTTTCAACTTTAAAGAAGTATTTATAACATTTGGAGAAACAAAATTAACAAGAAAAAGTAAAACCAAAATATTAAAAATAAAGGTAATATTCCTCATCAGAAAATAAGAAAAAAATACCAACAATTGTGGTAATACCAAAGTGATTTTAAAAATACATTTTTTTTTTTTGTTCATTGGTTGTCTTGTTCAATTCAGTCAAACATAAGCCAACAAGATAAGACTCCACATAGATCTTTTTAAGTTACCAAGTGTTGTGTGTGCCGCTCTAACTGTCCATGGTTTCTGTTTTTTCTACTAAAATTCTAGCATACTAAATTCTGTATGGTATTTTTTCTAGCATTATCTCTGGAAAATTAGACCAGTGACTAATACAATTACTCTTTTAGTTTTCATAGATTTGACTATATGTCTGAGCCTGGAGTTGTTTGCGTTTATTCTATTTCGGAGTCACTCAGTTTCCTGAGTCTATAGATTAGTTTTTCACCAAATTTGGGAAGTTTTCAGTCATTATTTCCTCAAGTAATTGTTAAGCCCCATATCCTTTTTCCTCTCATTCTAGGACTGCAGTGACACAAACATTAACTATGTCATTATTGCTCCAGAAGTCTTTGAGGCTCAGTTTTTTTTTTTCTTATCTGTTTTCTCTCGTTGTTTAGATTGGGTAATCTCTACTAATCTACCTTAAATCTTACTGATCCTTTCCTCTGTCATTTCCATTTTGTGATTTTGTCCATATGCTGAGATTGCTATTTGGAATATTTTTACAGTACCTTGTTTAACATTCTTGCTCAATAATTTTAACATTTGTATCATCTTAGTGTTATAGTCTATTGATTGTCGTTTCTTACTTGATTTGAGATTCTCCTAGTCCTTAGTATGTCAAGTGACTTTGGACTATAATTTGGACACTACATGTATTATGACGTAAGACTAAAGTTATTACTTCGATCTTTTACTTAAGTGGGTATTCCACCTGTTTAGTTTCAAAATACATGTCCTAGCTCACTTTTGTTAGCTATTGTTCAAATTTCAATTTGGTTTCTAAATCCCCTGGAGTCCAGTATCCCCCAGTCACAGTTGTATGTGACTCAGGTGACAGGACTCTGCCCCACAATCTTCTCATCATGGACTGGGGAGACAGAGGAAAATTACTTCACTGCCACAGAGGATGGTGGAATTCAGAGTTCCAGGCACATGTCCATAGGGAAATGGCACTTACACATTAAAACTGGTCAGAAATGAATGGCAGAGTGACACCCACAGGCTTCAGTAGATAGCGGTGCCTCCTGATACTGGGATGGGGTGGAGAACAGGCTTACGCCCCATATCTCTGCAGGGATGGTGAGACTGCCTGAATACCATGGAAGAGGGAGATGGAAGTCTGAGCTGTGCACATAAGCTCCACTGGGGAGAGGTACAACCCAGTTACTGCAGAAGAAGGGAGAAAGTCAGAGGGGTCATAGTCTCTACGGGGAAGGAAGGCCATCTCATTCCTGCAGAAGGTGGGTAGATGTGAGTTCCACCCACAACCTCCATGGTGGGGGGATGCTACCTCCTTACTCCAGGAAGAGGGTGGAAGACAGGGTTCTATCCCCAGTCCCACAGTTATAGCACTCATTGAGGTGGAGATAGAACACATTTTTTTTCATAGTATTCCTCTTGAAGAAAGATAAGTATGGTTAAAATATTTCTGCTATGCTGGGTTACCCTTTTTCCTGGTACTTTCACTAGAGACAGATGATACAGAAGAGAAAGGGTGGGAGGGGGGGAGAGATATAGACCACAAAGAAAAATAGAAAGGTGAATAATTCCTGATAATATTAGATGAGGTTATTTATTAAGACCTACTTTACACATTTACTACAAGGTATAATTGACAAAAGGTAAAGATCATTTGTAATGAGAAACTTTCTGCCGCTTGTATAATACAGTGTCTGTACTTTCACCAATAGCTTCTCTATTTAACATTATGTGGTTCTAAATAATCTTTCAAAACACATACTAACCTGTTTCTCTGTAATATCATCTCACAGACAGATTTAAGGATAAGTTAAGTGTTTTAAAAATCTATTTATATTAAATTATATAAGAATGGAGGCAGGAAGACAGAGCTTGGAACATTATCTACAATTAGTGTCTTATATTGCCATGGTCAGAATGTTTGTGTCCTCCCCCAAATGTATATGTTGAAACCTAATTCCTAAATTTGATGGGGTTTAGGGAAGTGATTTGGTTATAAAGGTAGCAACTGTCATGAATGGAATTAGTGCCTTTATATGGGGCTGAAGATACCAGAGTTCTTCCCTTCTACTCTGTCAGGAGATAGCAACAAGCTGGCTATCTGCAACCCAGAAGAAGGCCTTCACCAAAACTCAACCATGCTGGCATTCTAATCTAGAACTTCCAGCCTCCAGAGCTGTGACAAATAAATTTCTATTATTTATAGGTCATCCAGTCTATGGCATTTTGTTATAACAGTCCAAACTGACTAAAACAACCACAAAGGCAGAAAATGCTAGTTTTCTACTAAATGGTCATAAAGAATTGAATAAGTGATCAAAAAAACATGAGACAGCTGTCTGTAAATTTCTGTACCCCCTTCCTCCATCGTAATAAAAATTTTTAGCTCTACATACAGATACAGGAAATAAAAAATACTTTCCAAATTTGCACCTGGGCATAGCCAAGCAACTAACACTTGCATTAGGATGTGGGTAATGGGTATGCATCTGCATTCCGGGAGATGCCCTTTGATAAGGTGTGCCATCCTTTTTTTCTCTTCCTCTTCTCACTTGTTCATATTGAACACTGAAGGGGCAGTATAGCATCTTGGGAAGCAGCAGAGTTACCATATAGACAAGTAGAGAAAACTTTTGACTTTGCAGAGTGGGGCTGTGTTGACTGCTTGACATTTTACAAAAGAGAAAAAATGAACTTCTATCATGTTAATTCTACTCACATTTGGGATTGTCTCGTGCTTAAACTCATAGCCGAACTAATACAGAAAGGAAGAGAGCATGAAGAAGTATAACATTTCTTACAGCTTCAGCCCAGTCTATCCATATGAGCAGCTGATAAGTCTATTGAATCATTTCATACCAAGTCACAGAAAAAAAAAAAGTGTTTTTCAATTGTTGTGTGGCAGTGGGGAGAGGTGGTAAGGGGGATATGTCACACTTCATTTGTTTTACAAGTATTTAAGAAATATGTCCACATATTTGATCCAATAGTGTATTTGAAGGAGAGTTAAATAATCAATATTTGAAATCCATCATTTCTTCTTGAGCATCTTATGTAATTCTAATAGTTTGCAAAATTGCTAAATATGAGTGAACTGATACAAAGGATTATCTTTTCTTAAACTAGATAAGTGATGATCCTAAGATGATCAATGTATGTCAGCATGGCTATTTCAAGGAAATTGTTTATGTTGATAAAAAGCTCAGACCTAAACCCAGCTTGAAGTCTTAAGTATTATTGAGATAATAAATGAAGAAATTCATCATTTAATGCATTTCATAACAAATAAAGGAAACTATTTTGCTTAATGGGTCTACTAAGTAAAATCCCACAGAAAGCTACATAGGACCTTGACATGTGATATCTGTTTATGGTAAAAAGAATGTAATAAATTAAAATCTGATGTGACTATATTCATGCTTTTTATACATTTATGAAATAAACTATAGTAAAAACCTAAATTTAAAAACCGTATTTCTAAAGTTAGATTTTTTAGTATTAAGTGTTGTCATGATATAATAAAGCTTCAATCAGTTTGATTTTTAAGTAGGTGTGAAAATTTAATATTATAAATTCATATCGGAATGAATTATTTATCCCCAGGGGGATCACACTCACATTGAAAAAAGAAGTTTTACTGTAATGTGGAATTACTTACTATTTTCTTCCGAATATGTTATAACCGTATTTGGCATGTTTCAAAGTTATATTTAATAAAGAAAATGCATGTTTCTATATATGCTGCTATGAATACAAAGTGCCTCAAAACTTACTGGCTTAAGACATCTCTATTTCCTAATGTTCCAATGTGTCAGGAACATAAGAAGGAATCAGCTGGACAGCTGTGCCCTGTAGTGTTAGCACCATTCACTCTCTCTCTTCACTTCACTGGAAGGTAGAAAAAGTTCACTCACATGTCTGGAGCCCATGTACTCCTTCATGTGTTCTCTTCCTCACCATCTGGGAAAATTGGGCTTCCTCACAAAATGGTGGTCACCTGGATCTCTTACATGACATCTGGCTTCCAAAAGGGAGTGTACCAACATAGGTGACACAAGAAGCTGCAAGCATCTTTAGGCCCAACCTTGAGAGGTACACAACGTCACTTCTGACCATTATATTGGTCAAAGTCAGTCTTCAGGCCTGTCCACATTCAAGGGGAATAGAAACCCCTTATTTCAATGAAAAGTGGCAAATAATTTGTGGCCATCTTTAGTCCATTATGCTATTTAGACCATATTTCTGATATGAAGTTAAACATATAAAGAAGCTACTACCTATATTTATAAATTAGAAAATGGAGAAGAAAAAGAACTTTCATTATAAAATTGTCTTGCCAATTTCTAGGCTCCTTTAAAAATATTGTCTATGAATAATATGAAAGTTTCAGAAAGCTGCTATTAGAATTTGAAGAGAATGCTGTAAGTATATGGTTTAAATAGTATCTTCCTACCAAAATGTCTTAAAAAGTGACGAGAGTAAGGAAGTTTATTGAACTAAGAAAAAGAAAAGCCTTAAAATAGATTGGCCAGTTTCTTCATTCATGCGATTATTTTTTCATTTATTCATTCATCCAACAAATATTTCTTGATATCCCATTGTGAGCCCAGGGATTTTGTTAGGCAAGGAGGCTGTAACAATGAAAAGAAAAATATTGTTTTGTTTTCTTAACTGTGCTTACAACTTAATGTTACAAATTACTCTAATGCATGAGATTATTCAGCTGAAGTTTTGATAATGTAAAACAACAAAATTCTTCGTATAATCTGTAAATGAATTGTATGTGAAAATCATTATATAAAACAATGAAATACAAATTCCTGGATGCATTTAGTTATTCAATCAAATAAGCATAATTTAAGATTTTGTTATATCCCTAGTGCATCCTAAATCTTCAGGCCAATGCGTAAACCATGTTTTCACAAAAACAGATGCCTCCCAGCACACAGGACAGCTACAGCTGCTCTGTAGCTCCACGTGGGACCGTCTTCTCTTTGCTTACCAGCCCATCCCCAGTTCCAAGAAAACATGAGCTTCTTAAAACAAAGTTGAAAATCTAGCGGCTTTCGAGTCAGCTGGCAGTGTTTCTGCATTTTTAAAGCAGGCTTGGATATCGGGGGCAGCTTAGTGTTCACTCTGTAACTGACCTCTCTGAGCCAAGTTCAGCGTGGTGTGAGTTATCAAACCTGACAGCCTTTTGGCAAGCCTTTGAAGGCTCTCAGGCCAGACTCCCTTCCAAGCTCAGCTGGGATCAATTAGGATAAATAATAGTTCCTGCAATTGTTAGTTTCTACCATGCTTTTTAAAAGTATTTAGTGTGCAATAATGCAATTTATGGCTTACCGGTACCACACTATCCATTCAAAACAAAATAAGATCAAATCGAAAGGTTAAAATGTCCTGAGAGTTGCAGAACGATACGCTGAGGAAAAAGTACCAGAGAGGCCAATATTTTGACCATTCTTTTCTCTCCACATTTATCTAAAACATAAGTAAACATAAATACAAAACTATAAGATTTCTTCAAAATCTGGATTCTCACCCCAACAGCAATATTTTGACAGTCTGGTTAAAACATAAACCATAAATACACACACATACACACACACACATACACAATCAAGGACTTTTAACTGCCCTCAGCAACCAAAGAGATCTGCTAGTAAACAATGCGGATTTTTACTTCTAGGGCAAAAAAATGAATTTAAGCTCAAGCTACTGGTGAATAGCAAACGGAAGGTACTCTATAGAAGCTAACAGAACAATAGCAAATGATAATTTTCTATAGCAAGAGTAATGCCATATTCAATAATGCTAATGTTCTGGCTTCATGTGAAACAAGTTTTGCTTTTACTGGGTGTTTCTCTTCATGTGGCCCAGGGCAAGGTATTGCAACTATTTCATGCTGAACTTTAAAACTCAACGGTTTGCGGCCGGGAGTGGTGGCTCACGCCTGTAATCTCAACACTTTGGGAGGCCGAGGAGGGCGGAATACGAGGTCAGGAGATTGAGACCTTCCTGGCTAACATGGTGAAACCCCGTCTCTACTAAAAATAAAAAAAAATTAGCTGGGCGTGGTGGCGGGTGCCTGTAGTTCCAGCTACTCGGGAGGCTGAGGCAGGAGAATGGCATGAACCCGGGAGGCAGAGCTTGCATCTCGCCACTGCACTCCAGCCTGGGCGACAGACCGAGACTCCGTCTCAAAAAAAAAAAAAAAAAAAAAACCAAAAAACACGCAACTGTTTCCAAGAGGTTTCTTTTTTGACCTCAGTTCTTCAGTTGCTACTGGAGTCATGAAACTCTCATGTCACTTCTTTAATGTAGGTTTGACTTCGGTCTGTCATAAAATGTTACTTCTTGTTTAAAACAATGTAAGTTAAAATGTTACTCTACATTTGCCTCGCGTTTTCTGCTTCACTTGGAGTCTTCTATTTTGGCCTCACATGCTTAAATTTTTTACAAGCAAGATTTATTGTTAATAGGAATGTCTGGGTTTTTGTTTCCTTTTTCATTCGGAGATAAAAAGTTATTTGAAGTCCTATTATAGAAAACTTTTACATAAGTCACAAGAATTAAGAATTTTTTTCCAGGTAGATTTTCCCATTAAATGAATATCTCTGTTAATTTAGAATGATAGTCAAAAATGGTATGAATACTGTGGATAAAATAATTTAATAATGTTTACATCCAAAGAGTCCCTTGAATGCAATTGATCGTTGGCTCCTAAAGTCAGCTAGAGTACTCTTTCAGTAATGTCCCTGGTAACTGCTAAGGATACAGTAATGCTTAGATATGCATCTTTGCTCTTCCAAAGCTAACTACTATGCCTAGATGACTTATGTGCTCCTCCAGCTCAACCTCTAAATTTACACAGTTGTTGGAACTGCGATTGAATGCCAAAACACAGTCCATTTTGTAGAGCGTATTTTAAAATGAGCACAATATATCATTTGGTTAAGTAATGCATAGAGTATTTCACTGTTCTTCAATATAAAGACTCCGAATATGGGGTGTGTGTGTTTGTGTGTGCACACATGTGCTTGTGCGTGTACACACTATTAAATGACTCTGAAGAACACGGTGTAACATATGTTCAAATTATCTTACAGATCTTTTTTTATTGCTGACTTGTAATTGAAAGCTAATGAAAAATATACTACCAAATTTAGGGTAGCAAAAATATTTAATTCTGCTTAACTTAACAAATATTTATAGCCTTAATATTTTCACAGTTTGAAATATGGGAGACACGAAAGATAGAAGGCTTAGTTTCTAGTCATAAGGGAATTTAGAATTCTCATGAAAATTTTCCATAGAAAAATAATAAAGAAGTAGCATTAAAAGATGGCTAATAATCCAAAGTGAGTGCTCACAAATAGCAGTTACCGTAGCAGGAAGAAGGAAGGGCTGATTATGGATTGACATATTTATGGAAGATCTCAATCACAAATGGATAATTGCCTCTAAATAATATAGACATGACTTTAGTGACAACATATTGTAGCATATTTTACTCCTGCAAATGATATTCATCAATTATGTTATCTTGTTTATCTATACAATTTTTCTTATATTTATTTCAATAGAAATCAATTATGCCCTGAGGATAAGAATCTTTGATGACTCACTATGTCTACTTTGCACAGATTTTCTAAAGGCAAACACCAATAGAAACCACTCTATAGTTCAAGGCTAGGTCCAGAGTTTTGGGTTAGAAGTGTTTGCTTGTATTTTTGTCAGTTTGTTTTGCTTTTTACATAAATAACATTATTTTTAAATTAGGCATATTTTTCTTTATTTTTTTCTATTAATGTAACTTCAATATTTTTAATTCATTCTTCAGTTTTTCTTCTATTTTTTATTTGGGGCTTAGTATATAACTTTCAAATTTACATGTTTATATAAATGCAATTAATTTAATATTCTTTAAAAATCTTTCTTCTAGTGTTTCAGCATTATCATTTTACTATTTAATGCTAATATATAAAACAAAATTAATAAAATTGTAAATCTATGATGTTACATCTTCTGCAATTTACTTTAAAATAGTTCAAAGTAAGCAGCGGCATGTGTATAGGTAGAAAAGTTAATTGCAATCTACAACCTAGAGCTTTTAGATCACACTTCAAAGATGTTATCTGAAATCCACATTCTATAATTAGCTAACAAAAGCACATAAAATATTACTAACTTAATGTACACCAGCAGGTAGTCTGATAGTTTGTCTCCGAAGATGGCACCAAAGGAGCCAGCCTTCCAGATTCTGTGCAGTTTTTGCCCACGAAGAATGGTGAGATAATTCTGTACCTACACTTTAAGAAAGGCTATTGATTTTTAATTTTGAGATCTTGGGAATGTTGAGCAGCCATAAAAGATGTCCAGTTACACCTGCTGGAGATACTGTGTGAGATACCCTAAGACCATGTATATTAGGGTTTTATAGAAGGACAGAACTAATAGGATAGATGTGTGTGTATATATATATATATATATATATACACACACACAGGGGAGTTTATTGAGGAGTATTGACTCACACGATCACAAGGTGAGGTCTCACAATAGGCCATCTGCAAGCTGAGGAGCAAGGAAGCCCGTCCGAATCCCAAAGCTGAAGCACTTGCAGTCTGATGTTCGATGGCAGGAAGCATCCAGCACAGGAGAGAGATGTAGGCCAGAAGACTAAACCAGTCTAGTCTTTTCACATTCTTCTGCCTGCTTTTATTCTGGCCGTTACTGGCAGCTGTTTAGATTGTGTCCACCCAGATTGAGGGTGGGTCTGTCTTTCCCAGTCCACTGACTCAAATGTTAATCTCCTTTGGCAACACCCTCGCACACACACCCAGGAACAATACTTTGCATCCTTCAATCCAATCAAGTTGACACTCAATATTAACCATCACACCATGTAACAAAGAGAAAGACACAGTTGTCTCCATGTTCCAGTTGAGCTTGTAACGACAGCCAATCCAGGCACTTTCTCAATGCAACTACATGAGAAATCCCAAGAGAAACAAGCAAAAAAATGAAGCGCATTGAGAAGAACCGAAGACTTAGCAATAAAGAAACAAGTTAAAGTAGGGAGAAAACAAACAAACAAAAACAAAGGAAACAAGCCATCATTGGAGGCTGAATGCATTACTTTCTCAGCCTGATAAAATGTATTTGCAGAAAAAAAAAAACCTTATGGTGAACATACTTAATGGTGAAAAAGCTCATCCTGCTTAAGATCAGAAACAGGGCAATAATGTCCATCTTTAGCATTTTTATTCAGCACTGCACTAAAAGACTTGGCCAGTGGAAGAAGGTAAGAAAAAAATAAATCAAAACAATACATATTTGTTTGCAAATGGCATAATAATTTATATACACAATTTTAAATAATCTGCAAAATATATCTTACAACCCATAAGTAAATTTAATAAGATTACAGGTATGTGGTAAATATACAACAGTCATATATTTTAATATAATAATAATAAACAATTACAAAATGAGATACAAAGACACATCTCTTAAAACAGTACCGTACTGGGTTAAATTCTCCTGCAAATTCATGTCTTGTGAATGTGATCTTATTCGGAAATAGGGTTTTGGCAGATATAATCAAGTTAAAATATGGTCATGCTAGAGTAGGGCTCGACCTGATAAAAAGAAAGAAATTTGGATGCAGAGACACCAGCACAGGGAGGGAAGAATACCACGTGAATACGGAGACTGAGATTGGAGGGATGAGTTGACAAGCCAAGGAAGACAAAGATTGCCAGAAAAAAATAGAAGCCAGTAGAAACATTATGTTGTTTAATTTTTAATTTTTGATTTTTATGGGTACATAGTAGGTGTATGCATTTATCAGTACCTGAGATATTTTGATACAGACATACAATGTGTAATAATCACATCAGGGTAAATAGGGTACCCGTCACCTCAGGTACTTATCATTTTCCTTGTGTTACAAATATTTCAATTATACTGTTTTGGTTATTTTTAAATGTATGATAAATTATTGTTGGCTGTAGCTACCATGTTGTTGTATCAACAGGTATTAACCCTATAAACCTGTATTTTTGTACCCATTAACCATCCACATTCCCCACTCCCACTATCCTTCCAAGCCTCTGGTAACCATCAATCTATTCTCCATCTCCATGAGTTCAATTGTTTTAATTTTTAGCTCTCGCAAAAAAGTGAGAATATATGAAGTTTGTCTTTCTGTGTATGGCTTATTTCACTTAACATAATGACCTCCAGTTCCATCCATGTTGTTGCAAATGACAGGATTTCATTCTTTCTATTGCTGAATAGTACTCCATTGTGTATCTGTACTGCATTTTATTTATCCATTCAATTCTTGATAACACTTAGGCTGCTTTCAAATTTTGGAAGCCAAAAGAATTTTTGAGGAAATCAACCAGACAATTGTCAAATTTATACGGAAACACAAAGGACCTTCAATAGCCAAAATAATTTTTAAAAAGAAAAGATTTTGAGGGCCTACAGGTTATGATTTTAAGATTATAAAGCTGTGTTATAAGACAATGCAGCAAAGCATTAGAAAAAAGATGGAACAGGATATAACTGTATTAGTCTGTTCCCTCACTACTGTAAAGAACTACCTGAAACTGGGTAATTTATAAAGAAAAGAGATTTCATTTGTTCACAGTTGGGAAGCTGTATGGGAAGCATGTTTGGGGAGACCTCAGGAAACTTTCAACCATGACGGAAGGTGAAGGGCAAGCAGTCACGTCTTACATGGCCAGAGCAGGAGGAAGAGAGAGTGGGGAGGTGTTACACACTTTTGAACAACCAGATCTCATAACTCACTCGCTGTCATAACAACAACACCAAAGGGAAAATCTGTCCCCATGAACCAATCACTCCCCACCAGGCCCCACCTCCAACATTGGGGATTTCAATTTGACATGATTTGGGTGGGGACACAGACTCAAACTGTATCAACACCCAAACACATATAGTCAATTGCTTTTTTGAAAAAGTTCAAGGACATTTAATGGGGAAAAAAGTATCTTCAATAAACTAGTGCTAGGACAACTGAATATCAGCCTAAAAGTTGTGTATCTATTCTTACCTCACCCCATCTACAAAATTAACTCAAAATGGATTATAGATTTAACATATGAGCTGAAATATAAACTTAACAAAAGAAAAGGTAGGCATATATCTTTATCATCTTGTATAGCACTGACCATGCGAGAAAAAAGAATAAATTGACCTTATATGGGACTTATATATTCAAATTTTACAAAAGAAAAAACTTGGCCGGGTGCGGTGGCTCACGCCTGTAATCCCAGCACTTTGGGAGGCCGAGGCGGGCAGATCACGAGGTCAGGAGATGTAGACCACGGTGAAACCCCGTCTCTACTAAAAAAATACAAAACTTAGCCAGGTGTGGTGGCGGGCGCCTGTAGTCCCAGCTACTCGGGAGGCTGAGGCAGGAGAATGGCGTGAACCCAGGAGGCGGAGCTTGCAGTGAGCAGAGATTGCGCCACTGCACTCGAGCCTGGGCGACAGAGAAGAGACTCCGTCTAAAAACAAAAATAATAAAAAATAAAAATAAAAAACATATTAATAATGAGAAAGTAAACTGTGATTTAGAAACTGGACAAAAAATTTGGACAACAATTTCATACAAGAAGGTATGAAATAAGTAAATAAATATAAACATACACAATATAATTGGCTGTCAGGTATACAGAAATTATAACTAAAGTGAAATATTACTACACAAACAGAAAATCTCATCAAAACAACTTTTGATGATTTGACATATAACTTTTTTTACTTTAAAATGGTGCAAAAGCAATACACATTCAGTAGAAAGCAGTAGAAAACCCTCTTGGGATGTTGGACAGTGGCAGGGAGCTAAGGCTTCCAGTCAGCCACAAGATCACCAGAGTAAACAAGAGATACTCTACAGTTTGCTGTGTTGCCAGATGATTTTGCTCAAGTGTAGAATAATGTAAGTGTTGTGAGCCTGTTTAAGGTAGGCTAGGCTAAGCTATGACGTTTGATAGTTAAAGTGTATTAAAAATGCATTTTCAACTTGTGATATTTTCAACTTAACAATGGATTTATTGGGGCATAACCCCATCGTGAGTCGGGGAGCATCTAGTACTAAAATGGCTAAAAGTAAGACCAACAATATCAGGTGTTAGAACGGAGAGCAACAGGAAAACACCACCAAAGAACTACCTGAAACTGGGTAATTTATAAAGAAAAGTTATTTATAACTCATAAACTGCTGATACATATAAAATATATAAAATGAAACAACTAATTTGCAAAAGACATTGTGGTATAATCACACAACCCTAGTTGGAAATAAAAGATATGAATTACTGATACCCCAAATGACACAGATAAATCTCAAAAGCACCACGCTGAACAAAAGGAGTCAGACACAAGAGCACACATCTATTTGAATCCATTTACGTGACATCTAGGACAGGCAGAACACCAGTCGACAATGACTGAATTCATATCCATTGGTGCCTGTGTTGAGGACTGGGGAAGATTGTCTACAGAAGAGCATAAAGGAACACTTTGAGAAGATAAAAAAGATCTAATTTTCAATTGTGGTGGTTACATTGATATGTACAGTTAGCAAAACTTATCAAAGTGTACTCTTAATGTGGTCATTTAATTATATGTAAATCATATCTCAATAAAAGTCAATTTCTTTCAAAAATACCACAAAAAGATACCACCAACAGGGAGTAGAATGACTAAAATTTGTTAAAGATTTACCATAAGTCCTTTCTGTTGGAGATTATGTGCAGTAACAAGAAACTTTTGTATATTTTGACTGAAGGTATAAATAGCACAGCTACTTTGGAAAACAATTGTTCTATTTAAAACAGTTTACATAATGTTAAAAATAAAAATATCACATGACTCAGTAATATCATTCTGATAAGAAAAATAAAAATGTATGTATCATAAGATCTGTACAAAAATGTTCATAACATTTCAAATATCCCCAAACTGAACACCCTAAATGTCCATTAACAGCTGAAGAGATAAAGAAATTATACTATATTCACATAATGGAATATTACTGAACTATAAGAAAAAACTCCTGATATATGCAACTGATTCATAGAGGAATCTTAAAACATTATGCTGAGGAAAAGGAGCCAAACACATAAGCATACAAATTAAATGATTCATATATATATATAACTCTAAAACATAAAAACTAAACTTTAACAATAAAAATCATACCAAATCCATACAAAAACCTACATATGAATGTCTATACCAGTTTTGTTATATTTTATTTTGTTTTTTGAGACAGGATCTCACTCTGTCACCCAGACCGCAGTGTGGTGGTGCGATCTCAGCTCACTGCAGCCTTAACCTCCCGAGCTCACGCAATCCTCCCACCTCAGCCTCCCAAGTAGCTAGGACTACAGGTGTGCGCCACCACGCCCGGCTAATTTTCATACTTCTGGAGTCACGGGATTTTGCCAGGCTGCTCTTGAACTCCTGAGCTCGAGTGATCTGCCACCTCGGCCTCCCGAAGTGCTGGGACTACAGGTTGCGTCACCACACCCTGTAACGGTTTCATTTTTAATTGTCAAAACTAGAAAACAACCAAGATTTCCTTCAGTGGAGGAACGGAGAAATAAACAATGGTATATCCAGACAATGAACTATTATTCAACTTAGGGGAAAGAAGAAGCTATCAAGCAAAAAATAAAAAATAAATGGAGGAAGCTTAATGCATATTACTGAGTGGAAAAATCCTATCTGAAAATACTATTAATACATACTGTATCATTCCAAATATACAACACTCTGAAAAAAAAAACAAAACTATGGTGCAGTAAAAGGATCTGTGCCAGGGATGAGTAGAGAAAAGAGATGAATAAAAAGAGGTGAATAAGCAGAACACAGAGTTTTATGGCAGTTAAACTACTCGAAACGATACTTCAATGGTAGATACGTCTCCCTGTATATTTGTCAAAAGCCATATAATATATAAACCAAGAGTGAACCCTAATGTAAACCCTGAATTTGGATGATATGATTTGTCAAGTTAGATGCATCAATTGTAATAAATGTACCACAGTGGTAGGGTATATTGATAATGGAAGAGGCTACGCTTATTTGGGGGCAGGGGATATGTGAGAACTCCCTGTACTTACTGCTTAATATCGTTGTGAAACTAAAACTGTTAAAAAAAAAAAAAAAAAGCCTATTTAAAAGGGGAAAAATCATTTTACGGTTGCCTGACAGAAAGCATTAGTCTTTTCTACAGAGTCATGAATGACACTTTTGGGATTATGGGAATGTTCTAAATGATTAGGGTAGTGGTTACGTGAGTGCATATATTTTTTAAAATTTACACAACCATACACTCAAAATGGATGAATTTTAATTACACTTCAATAAATTTGATTAGAAATAATTTCAAAGGCATATTTTAGCAGGGGGGGCATTAGGTAGACTTGGTGATTGTTGACTTAGAAAAAAAAAGATGTATTTGGAAATAGCAAGAATACAAAGCTCACAAGCTGTGCGTGGTATTGGCAGCACTCTTATCCCCAATGAATGACCCTCCCTTACGCATGCACTTCGGGCTATATCTTTCTTTAAATTTTCATCTTTTGTGGGTACATAGTAGGTGTACATATTTATGGGAGACTTGAAATATTTTGATACAGGCATACAATGTATAATAATCCCATCGAGTTAAATGGGAGTATCCATCACCTCAAGGACTTATCCTTTCTTTGTGTTACAAACAATCCCATTATACACGGTTAGTTATTTTAAAATATACAACAAATTATTGTTGACTGTAGTTTGAATGAGATCTTTGGGCCATATCTTTGTAGTGCTCGTCCACTTCATTTGACCCATGTTAAGACAGTCAATGTAATGTAAAGTTGAGGTTTGCATTACATTTCTGCTCTGGCACTCTTATTTGGCTGCACTTACTCACTCCAATGACTCTGCACTCAACAAAAAGAAATTCATTAGGCTGGAATTCTGTATAGAAGGGAGACAGGCCTGAGAGAGCTCCCTTTTCCTAGCCATCCTAGATAAGTCATTTGCAGATCATCCCCTAGCCATTTAACACATTCACATGTGAGGAAAAGATTTCCCCAGCAGAGTCCAGCCTAAATGTTGATCCACAGTGAATTCACTTTTAGGATGGTTTTTATGGTCTATGGAGTACTTCATATCAAAAATAATTTTTAACTAAAATGATTTTTATGTAATTTATACTTTCTCCTAGTAAACATATTTTGACATTATAATTTAAAAGAGATGGACTCAAGTGTTTAATGGGCCAAGATTTTCCTATATAGGTTAGAAATTTAGGGTTAGAAAAGACTGTTTTAAGCCACGAAGTTAAATTTTTGAATAAATTAATACCAACTGTGACTCATATTGTTGGTGTATTTTGCTTTACATCAATAAGTTGGTAGTAGATGTATGTGGAGTTAAGTCGTGGATGATTCTTCGGTTTAAATTATTTTCTTGTTTCTGTGGGATCCCATGACTTTCCAGACATCACTCACCTCTATTATCTTTATTTATATTTTTTTTTTGGCTTATTTCAAAGTAAAATGGTTATTTCTTACCCTAGTTGTTTCCCTCCCTCTCTTGATTTCTATTCCCTGGCCATGCTTTCACCTGATGAAACATGGTCCAGGGCTAGGCAAAATTCTGTGAAAAACAGTATTTGGTGTAATGATATTTCCCTTGAATTTTAGATTTCTAAGTAGAGAGCCTTGTTGTTAATATCTTCTTCCAGTGGAATCCATTAGACTAAGAAGTAATTATACCTTATAAAATAAAAATACTATCAAGTTCAAACCAATTTTTTTTTCTATTTTTTGATAAGAGGAAAAAGGGGGGCAGGCATTATTTTTAACCTGCTTTTATTATGAAATACTCAAAGCATAATAGCTGATGTGCCAAATAAAGTCTTTGGCAGATGATTATTAAAAGCACATGGATTCAAAGGGCTTGTAGGAGTGGAAAAATGACAAGTCAATATCAGATACATCATCTTCTTATGTACTTTACTCATTTCTATTACCCGGAATCATTAAGGATAGTATTCTTAAATGTCATGCTGCAAATTAAATTTTATCATAAACCTGATTTTAAGCCTTTAGTATTAGAAGGAAAAGCAAAAACTATTATTTTCTGACCACAATACTGAATACAAGTATTACCATTATTATTAACATATGTAGTGGTGATTGAGAAATTTTAAAATTAGTTTTTTGTAGTAAGCTACGCTTTTGATTTCTCAAGTATTTTCTACTGCTTCATGATTTAAATATTTGCTCTTCTTTAAAACACCCACTTAAAAAAAGTTACCACTTCTAGAAATGTTTAACTTCAAGTTTGTCACTTTTAATACTTGCCCATACCACTCAAACTTAGATTTCCTATCTGGCCTACTATTCCTCCAAAAAAACAGGGTATAATAAGAAGTGGTTGTTTCTTCTGACTGAAATTGAACATAGTATACAATACAGTATCCATTGCTCACCAATATAACCAAAGCAGAAGTAACCACAAGCTACCTGGGCCCTTCTTGTTGGCCTGTCAGAATATATGTTACTACCATCCCACAAACCACCATATAAACTAACTTCAGCATAGTAATAAAGTCAACCAATTCTGGTCATCTGAAAGGCTTTGACCCTAATCCTGATCATGCCAGGGGAAGGGATGGATGGTAAGGTAACAAGAGCAGAGGTTTGTTTCTGTCATATCAAATGGCTGTTAGAGAAAAAGTTAGGTTCTTCTGTAATCTTGAAGCTTAGAAGCTCCACAGCTTGAGGGCTGCACTCTTCTCCCAGAGCCTTTCATCCTACCCTGCCAGATCTCCTACAGCACTGGAATGAGTGTGGAGCTTGTGAGTTTTACCCAGTGAATGCTGCACTAAGAACCTGGGGTGGAAGAAAGGTGCTACTTAACCATTCATTGCTCTGATTTGTATGACTTATTGTTTATTACATATGTTTCATTTTTTATTGATTTCATAATGAAAGCTTACCTTAAAATTTATACTCCTCCCATCCATTTTTCTTCACTTTTCTTTTTTTCTATTCTATATATTTAACCTCATCTTTTTTCAAATTGTGAGTATTTTAAACAAAGAGTTATGTATGAATGAGAGAAAATGTGAGAAAGAGCCATGAAACTACAGATACTATAAATTTCCATTAAAAATAAAATATTTTATTAGTTTTATTCTGGTGTTGTATTGTAGTTTTACTGTAATAAAACCATATTATCAGCAACATCCAATAGCATTAGAATAACTTAAGCCTGCAAAGATAGAAAATATAGAGCACAAATATTCCACGGTGTTTAATAAATTATTCCAACCATCCATGTTTAAGCCAATGTTATTTTAATAAGAAATTTTCAGATCAGCTATTTACAAAGCATAAACTATTCCCATCACTTTTATTCCACGAATTGACCTTCACAGTACAGAGCCATTTCCACATTCTTTTATTTCTCTTGGAAAATATATAGTGATTATCAAGGTAGTTACTGCAAGAGTAAAAGATGAGAAAGTTACTTGAATATTACAAAAATAAAGTATCAATACATAGTATATGTAAGTTATTCTTATAACAAGCACACGTAACTTTGACAAATGAATCTCAAAATTGTCAATGGAAATAAATTTACATCAGGTGTCCTTTTTCAATAAATTATTTCAGGAACGTGAACTATTGTATTAAAGAGTATATTAATTCATCCTTTTTTGTCATTGCTTTTCCATGTTTTTATTGCTCTACCTTTCTTTGAGAGGCTAATATATAGAAATTGGAAGCTATTTTCCAATGGGCAGCATCAAATATCTTGGCTTATTTGCTGTTGGCATGGGGCTGGTCACATGTTCATGTTTTTCTTGGACTATTCAGCTGCCCCTCCAGCTTTGTGCAACATTGTTTTCCATGAATGAGCTTTGATTAAGATAATTTCATAGTTTAAACTATTATGTTGGAGAATTAACTTGTAACAATTTTAACATAAAATGATTTATTATAATCTCAGGATTGGGTATTGGTCGAGGTTTCTATGTCATCTCCAATTGATTGTAGAGATCAATCATAAAGAATGTAGGGGACAAGCAATAGTTTCCTTCCTCGACTATGACCCTTCCTGTCACTAGAAAAGATGGTCAAGGGGAAAGATTTAACAGAATAAACAGCATAGAATAATCCTAGAGTATTTTGATTTAAATTTTTTATAGTAAAAATAAACAAATGTAGAAATGTGTATTTCTAGATTTGCACAAAAGAACAAACAAAATTTATATAAACGCCTACAACAATAACATTATTTGCTTATATTATATCTAGCTAGGAATTCATAATGAGTCTTAAGAATCTTTTTTCCAAACACTGATATTCTAACTCTGTAAATCTTGATTTTGTTTAAAATTTCAAGGAACAGTTTGGATATTTTCGTACTTACACACATACTTGTGTGTGTGAAATAAAATAGTTTAAATTTTTATCTCACACATGCACATACACAAATGGATCATGTCAAGCTTTGTCTTAGAGAGAAGGAAAGGGAGAAGTGAAGAGAATATGAATAAAACTTTCTAGTTCTCTTTTGATTGGAGGAGTTGTTTTAATCAATGACTTCCTAGAGTTCCACTTACCAATTTAATAAGGTCAATACTTAATAAAGATAATTAAATATTCCATTAAAATATTAAAATAATTTGGGCGATAGTATTTCCTACTTTTCAAATTTGGCTAGAGTATACTTCATTATAAAATAATGATTGATAAGCAACAACATCACAAGTGTGGTATATTGAAACTGCCTACATCAAAGAAATAGAAGATTTATATGATGACTTTATGACTTAAAACAAATTCCTAGTTATAATTTGAAAGAGAAAAAATTACGTTCATTTGAATTAATAATTAATTACTATTATGATTAATCCATCTGTAATTGAAGTCAAGGAGAAGGGAAACTTGAATTACTAAAAGTCAAAATATTAGAATCGCCATAACAAAATATATTTTAACAATATGCCATACTGATTTTAATTATATCAATACATATTTTTCTATCAGAAGTCCTAAGAAATGTCTTCGTATCACTGAATTGCATTTTATTTCTAAGTACTAGCAGTTGTTTGCAAAATTTGTCCTATTCAGATTTTAAATTCCCCCTGTAGTCTTTCTTTCCCTAATGACTTAGGCATATACTAAATGTGCTATACATATACTGAAATGCCTTCATAATTCAAAATATGCATTATGAATCTCAACTATTAAAGTGTGTTTAATGTACACATAAATTCTCAAGGACTACTGAAATATGTGAAGTTATTTGATCCTCTAATAAGTATACGAAATCTCCATGTTTTGTAGTGTATCTGTTTTCTGTTTTATCGGTCAATTCTTAACCGTCCATTGGTCTGTTTTTTATAACCTGCCCTTTTTTGAAAAAGAAACAAAAAAGCCATGTTGGCTCAGTGAATTCTAATTTTATAGATTATATTAAGACAGTAGAGACTGAGGGAGCCTTCTTTCTTTATAGACTAACGCAATGTAATAAAAGAATCTGGAAGATCACTAACTTGCTCTGTGATCCAGACAAAGTTATTTAATCTACATGGCTTTGTTTTTTTATTGTAAAATAAATAGTTCTAACCAATAATGTCTCTAAAGTACCCTCTTTAACATAAAATTTTATGATCAAACTTTATTTTTCATTTTTTTATTTGTATAGATTTAAGGGATACACGTGCATTTTTGTAACATGGATATATTGCATAGTGGTGAAGTCTAGAAGTGATATAAATGTTAATCAGAATTAATACATATTTTTGCTCCTTTGAGGGAGTTAAAAAATGAATTAATTTACATATTTTAAAACAATGAGTGCAGAAACAAACAATAATTTGTATAGTTTACTAATTAATGTAAACTTAAAAAGGTAATATAAAAAAGCATTCCCAACTTAAGAGATCATCTGATGATAGTCACTATTTCAAATAATTTTGCTATGTTTTTTAGTTTCTTCTTTTAAAAGAAAATTATTTTTATGAGTACATAGTAAGTGTATATATTAATGGGGGCATGAGATATTTTGCTACAGGCATGCAATGTGTATTAATCACATCATGGTAAATAGGGTTTCCATAACCTCAAGCATTCATCATTTCTTTGTGTTACAAACATTCCAATTGTAGTCCCTGAGTTATTCCAAAATGTACAACAAACTATTGCTAACTTTAGTCATCCTGTTGTGCTTTCAAATATTAGATCTTATTCATTGTATCTAACTGTATTTCTAACCATTAACTATCTCCATTTTCCACCCCAACTTCCCACTATTCTTTTCAGCCTCTGGTAACCATGATTTTGCTATTTAGATACACTATTCATCTTTGCCAACTCACTCATGCTGGAGCTCTATTTATACTCCCAAACATAGTTTATCCAATAACAGCAAAATGTCATTTAGTTGTTGAACTACCCAATCCCCACATAAATTTTTGTCAAAGTTGCATTTTTAAAAGTGATTGACCATTGATTTTTTTTTCAAATATTTTCTTCACTTGGATCACAAGCAACAACCAGCCAGTGGAAAGTTTTGCAAAATTCTTGGCTTTCTGTACCAACCTAAGAGCAGATGGATATTTCCCCACTACAGATGAAACAAATGTTTCTTTTTGGATAGGTTTTCCCATTAAACAAACTTTTGCCATTGAAATCTATGTTTAGATTTGGTCCGTTGGGACATCACAAAGTTAAATAGATGCTTGCTGAAATATGTTTCATTTTTGCTGACTCAGAAACATGTTAATTGTTCTGTGAATTTAGTAACAATCAACAAGTATTATTTTAAAATAATTACTTTGTCAAAAGATGATACTTCTGATGTTTGATTAGTTTTGGCATATGAGGTAGGCTTCAATCTTACTGAAATTACTTAAGCTATCTGCATTTCTTTTCCCTGAATATGAATGAGTCTTTTCAACGTTTTTGGTGATGAACAGGATCACACTCTGCTCAAATCTGTTCAAAGAGAAGTCCAAGACTAGCAAAACACGTAACTGTTACTTAATTTAAAAGGCAAAACAAAACAAAACAAAACAAAATCTTTCAAAAGTTCACACCTATATTTATTTTGGGCAATTTGCCCCTTCTTGACCTCAGTTTCCTGTGTGTAAAATGATGAGTTTGCATTAAATGATTTGCAAAGTCTCTCCAGCCCTTAATTTCTAGGACTCTGTGACCCCATTTACAAGCCTCACTAAGCTAATCTACCACAGATGTATTCTTACTCACTTTCAGTGCCAATAAACATTAGCATTGGGAAACAGCTAATAACAAGCTAATGTTTCTGATGGTGCAAACAGAGATTGATATAAATGAAAGCACAGTTTGGTTCTCACTAGATAGAACTGAATTTGTTTAGTCATTCTTTTTGTTACCCATTACATATAAAGTTGGAATTCCCACCTAAGTTCAGTGTATTATGCCTGTTCTCTTTTCCATCTCCACTTTACTTTTGATTGTCTATCATATTCTGTAGATTCAAATGAGTTGAGAAAAGTACTGGTTTAAGGAAAGAATCATTTGTTCTTGTCCACACCTCATATCTTCTCTTTTCCCGTACCCAAATGCTCTGATGCCCCATGTATGGTTATAAGGCATATGCTTCTTAGAAGTCAATGTGGTTACAAGTTAAGAATGAAATGACACATGGCTAACCCTGCTTTTGCATTTTGCCTTCAACATATCCATTCTCTCCTTCTCCTTTGTCAGTAAACCTCATCAGACAAAAATATTTCCAATCTCAGAAAATTAAATCAGTCAAGATAATGCTTTCTCTTTCCAGAAACTATGAAATGTGCCCATCTCTCTTGCTCTGTGACTTAGTTATAGACAATAAGAGTAACAGGTAAGTCTGCTGAAGAACTGTGGGGCTGGCTTTACCTTCCCTAATGAAGGGAACCTTGATATACACCCCACTGACTTCTCCCTTCTCGTTTTGATACCTATAGTTGTAGTCACCATCTTGTGATCATAAAGAAAGGCCAAGAGAAAAATAGATGTAAAGAAGGCCTCACGCCATTGAATAGCTGAACCAAAATTACAACAACCATTCATATCTAAACTTTTCTTCATATCAGAGAAAATCAAGACATTTGTTTGTAGAAGATGCAGTGCTGGACGTCCTAGATATCCCCATCAGGATTGAGATAGTTATTCTCCCAGCCGCTATGAAGATTATGTGTTGATATCTCTCAGAGGTCAAGACCTCCTCCAGAATTATTATCAGCTGAGGAATGCTTCCCCATCTAAGGAGATGTGTCCTTCTTGGGGAAACCCACATCTAATGACTATTTGGTAGGGAAATATAACAATCTGAGTGACTCTCCTCAAAACAGGATAACTCTGAAGGGCCCTCTCTTCTGTGAGGCATCCCTCAAACTTGGCTGGTCCTTGTTATAGATAAAACTCACTCCAACTTTCCTTCTACCCAGAGTTCTGCTTCCTTAATTTCCCCTAAGGTGAAGCTTCTGAGAACACTCCCTGTGAAAAATTCTAACACTAGTCTCTGTCTCACAGCTTCTGACAGAAAGCAAATTACAATATTGTATAATGTACTTTTAGATTTTCTGTTATTTGTGGCCAAAATTATTATTATTATTATTTTGAGATGGAGTTTCGTTCTTGTTGCCCAGGCTGAAGTGCAATGGCACGATCTCGGCTCACCGTAACCTCTGCCTCCCGGGTTCAAGCTATTCTACTGCCTCAGCCTCCCTTGTAGCTGTGATTATAGCCATCCACCACCATGCCTGGCTAATTTTGTATTTTTAGTAGAGATGGGGTTTCTCCATGTCGGTCAGGTTGGTCTCAAACTCCCAACCTCAGGTGATCTGCCTGCCTCGGCCTCCCAAAGTGCTGGGATTCCAAAATTATTCCTAACTTGCACGTAAGTATACAAGCAAATTGGGAGACTGGTAAAACTAACTGGCAGACTCCCACAAAAGAGACTTTGTAGTGTGATGAAAACACATGATCTTTCCTGAAGGTTGGGTTCAAATCCAGGCCTAGTCGCTTGCCAGCAAGGTAAAGTTAAGCAAAATATATAAGCCTATTTTAGTCTTGTTTTCCTTAAGTGTTAAGAGAACTAATAATACTTTCATTATTTATTTAATTTTATAATTTCTGGTGACTAATAAGGAGGTAATATACAATGCATCCAACACATACAATCATTTGTTGAAAATTCTTTGTGAGGACTCAAAAAAGTAACACATAAATAGCATCTAACACGTATAGTTTCCACTCTATAAATAGTAGCTATGCTAGTGGATTAATTTTTTTTTTTTGAGATGGAGTCTCACTCTATTGCCCAGGCTGGAGTGCAGTGGTGCAATCTCGGCTCACTGCAACCTCCACCTCCCAGGTTCACACCATTCTACTGCCTCAGCCTCCCGAGTAGCAGGGACTACAGGCACCCACCACCACGCCTGGCTAACTTTTTTGTATTTTTAGTAGAGACAGGGTTTCACTGTGTTAGCCAGGATGGTCTTGATCTCCTGACCTCATGATCCACCCATCTAGGCCTCCCAAAGTGCTGGGATTACAGGCGTGAGCCACTGTGCCTGGCCACTAGTGTATTAATTTTAAAATTGTATTTATGAATGACACAAGTCTAAAAATATATTTCCAGATTTGAGTACCTAATAGTCTATTATATAAATAGCTGGTTTGCATTTATTATCTTTCATATTTCCACTTCATTTAAAAAGTACATACATGTGACCCAGGGTAGCCACTGGGATTTATGAAGAGGCAAAAGTGGGGAGATTTGAGAATTTAGGAATGTCAGGAGTGGGCATACACAGAGCTATCTCTGGGCACCCTCACCCACTTTGCACAGGCTTTTGCACAGTGGATGATTGTGCTCCTGGAAGAGATCCAGGGAGCACAAAGTACGAGACCTGCTTCTGCCCAAGAGGATCAGAAACTGAGACCTATGTGGGTCTCAGGGGATGGTACTAAACCACTCGTGAGAAATTCACCACCATAATCTCATCACCTCCCACCAGGCCCCACCTCCAAAACTGGGGATTATATTTCAACATGAGATGTGGGTGTGAACACAGATTCGAACTATATCATTCTTCCCATGGCCCCTCCCAAATCTCATGTCTGTCTTACATTTCAGAATACAAATATGCCTTCCCAATCATCTCCCAAAGTCTCAACTCATTCCAGCGTTAACTCAAAGACCAAAATTCAAAGTCTCATCTGAAACAAGGTAAGTCCCTTCTACCTATGAGCCAGTAAAATAAAAATAAAATTCTAAAAATTAAAAAAAAAAACAAGTTAGTCACTTCTAAGACACAATGATGGTACAAGCATTGGGTAAACACTCTTATTCCAAAACGGAGGAATCAGCTAAAAGAAAGGGGCTACAGGTCTTATGCAAATCTGAAACTCAGCACAGTAGTCATTACATCTTAAAGCTTCAAACCAATATCCTCAGACTACATGTCTCACATCCAGGGCACACTGATACAGGGGTGGGCTCCTAAGATCTTGCCCAAGTGCCACCCCTCTGGATTTGTAGGATTCTGCCCCAGAGGTTGCTCTCACAGGTTGTTATGTGCCTGCAGCTTTTCCACAGCAAGGGTGCAAACTGCCAGTGGATCTACCCAGTCTGGAGGATGGTGACCTTCTTCCACAGCTCAACCAATGAGAACTCTGTCTGTGGGATCTGACCCACATTTTCCCTCTGTACTACCCTGGTAGAAGTTTTCCATGAGGACTCTGCCACTTCAGCAGGCTTCTGCCTGGACACCTAGGCTTTTCTATACATCCTAGGAAATGTATGCAGAGGTTCCCAAGCCTCAAACACTCTTGCATTCTGTGCACCTACAAAGTAAACACCATGTAGAAGCCACCAACACTTATGGCTTGCACCCTCTGGTGCTGTGGCCTAAGCTGTTCCTGGACTACTTTGAGCCACTGCTGGAGCTGAAGCTGACAGGATACAGGGAGCCATGTCCTAAGGCTGTGCAGGGCAGCAGGGCCCTGGGCATGGCCCACAAAACCATTCTCTCCTCCTAGGCCTCAGGGCCTGTGATGGAAAAAGCTGCCCCTTAGATCTCTGAAATACCTTCCAGGCCTTTTTTCCCATTGTCTTGGCTAGCAGCACTTGCTTTCTTTTCACTAATGCAAATTTCCACAGCAAGTGGTCACTCAGCAACCTACTTGAATTTTCCCTGAAAATGAGGTTTTCTCTTCTACTATATGAACAGGCTTCAAAATTTCCAAACTTTTACAATTTGCTTCCATTTTAAATATAAGTTCTAGCTTTAAATCATTTATTTGCTCCTGCATATGAGTATAGGCTGTTAGAAGCAGCCATACCACATCTTGAATGCTTTGCTGCTTAGAAATTTCTTCTTCGAGATACCCTAAATCATTACTCTTAAATCCAAAGTTCCACAGATCCCTAGGGTGGGGGCATAATGCAACCAAGTTCTTCACTAAGGCATAACAAAAGTGACCTTTGCTCCAGGTCCCAGTAAGTTGTTTATTTCCATCTGAGACCTTGGTAGCCTGGACTTCACTGTTTACATCACTATCATTATTTCTGTCACCATCAGTTAACCAATGTCTAAGATGTTCTAGTTTTCTTCATCTTCCTGTCTTCTGAGCTCTCCAAACTCTTCCAACCTCTACCTGTTACTCAATTCCAAAGTTGCTTCCACATTTTCAGGTATCTTTATAGCAATGTCCCACTCCTCGGTACCAATTTTCTGTATCAGACCATTCTAATATTGTTATAAAGAAATACCTGACACTGAGTGATTTATAAGAAAAGAGGTTCAATTGGCTCATGATTATACAGGCTTTACAGAATGCACTGCAGCATCTGCTTCTGGAAAGGCCTCAGGAAGCTTCCAATCATGGCAGAAGGTGAAAAGGGAGCAGGTGTGTCTATCACATGGTGAAAGCAGGAGCAAGAACAAGAGTGGGGGAGGTGCCAAATACTTTTAAACAAAATAATCTTCTGATAACTCATTCACTATCAGGAGGACGGTACAAAGAGGATGATGCTAAACCATTCATGAGAAATCCACCCCCATGATCCAATCACCTACCACCAGGCCCCAACTCCAACATTGGGAATTACGTTTCAACATGAGATTTGGGTGAGGACACATATTCAAACTATATCACTGACCTTGAAGCCACTTAATTCCTTTATGCATGCCACCATGCTGTGCATGTAATAGTGAAGACTTAATTCTTCCTCTGAGTCATGAGAACTGCAGGGGCCAAAATATCAAAAATCATCTTTCACTTTTTATATTAAAACCAAAAAACAGGTTTCAGGAGGGTCATGTCTTAGAGTCTAGGGAAAGAAATGCTGTAAATTTTACTATGGATACAATGCTGACCAGAAAAAAAAAAAAAACTGTTGAAAAAGTGAAGCTCATTCACTGTAGCTGATGTGGCCCCAGTTGCTGTGTAATTTGCTTGTAAAACAAATAAATTTTCTCTTCCCTCAAGAATTTATGGTCTGATGGAGAAGGGAATCATTAAAGTTCTATGTAGTGAGATATCCCCAAGGGGTGTATTAGGCTTACCACCACTGGAATCTGGATAGATGAAGACAGAGTGGCAGGGAAGTCGTATTAAGGTTCTGTTTCTGCTGGGAGCCACAGGTCCTCAGGAAGCAACAAGTACTGGGCAGATTGATACTGTAGCTGGGCTCTAGCTCTATACCTCTAGAATAAAGGTTACAAACTAGCAACTTGAAAGCTAAACCTGGCCCACAGATATGTTTTATTTGGCTCTTACACTGTTTTAAAAAATATTACCAACATTTAAAACTGGGAAGTTTTATGAAAAAACCCAGACTTCTGGATTCTGTTGAAAAAAAAAATCAGAAGATCTGGCAATACTGAGCTGACATTCCTATATGACAACAATTGGCTGGATCTATGCAGCTTCTCTCCAAAAAGCAAAGAATGTGTTCTTGCTTAACACAGTCCCCACCACTCCCTCATATTCTCCAATCCTGGACCTGAGCGTCATTTGCTATGTATCGCCATTTGCCATGAAGTTTTACACTCTACAGAAATATAATTTTTTTGTAGAAGACTATGCTTTAATCAAGATCAGGATAATATAAAGTGAGATCTGAAAGTGGAAAAAAGATAAATGTCCAACAATGATAGACTGGATTAAGAAAATGTGGCACATATACACCGTGGAGTACTATGCAGCCAAAAAAAACGATGAGTTCATGTCCTTTGTAGGGACATGGATGAAGCTGGAAACCACCATTCTCAGCAAACTATCGCAAGGACAAAAAACCAAACGCCGCATGTTCTCACTCATAGGTGGGAATTGAACAATGAGAACACTTGGGCACAGGAAGGGGAACATCACACACCGGGCCCTGTTGTGGGGTGGGGGGAGGAGGGAGGGATAGCATTTGGAGATATACCTAATGTTAAATGACTAGTTTCTGGGTGCAGCACACCATCATGGCACATGTATACATATGTAACTAACCTGCACATTGTGCACATGTACCCTAAAACTTAAAGTATAATTTTTAAAAAAAGATATTTTCTTATCTAGGTGAGAAACAATCATATACATTTAATGCTTTTTAATTTGCATTATCGATCTAGCCCTGAATCAGGGGAAAATCCTCACTCTTTCTTGAAGTTTCATAAAGAAATATCAATTTGGTAAAAAGTCGACTTTTTTTTTCTTTGAGAAGGAGTCTTGTCCTGTTGCCCAGGCTGGAGTGCAATGGTGCAATCTCAGCTTACTGCAACCTCCGCCTCCCAGGTTCAAGCAATTCTCTTGCCTCAGCCTCCTGAGTAGCTGGGATTACAGGCAAGTGCCACCATGCCCGGCTTTTTTTTTTTTTTTTTTCTATTTTTAGTAGCGACAGGGTTTCACCATGTTGGCCAGGCTGTTCTCGAACTCTTGACCTCATGATCCACCCTCCTTGGCCTCCCAAAGTGCTGGGATTACAGGCATAAGGCTCCCTGCCCGGCCAGATGACCCTTCTTTAACTACATAATATTGACTATGGAATAGGCCTTGGCATGTAATAAGCGAATGAATGAATGAATGAATGAATGAATGAATGAGTTAGAACAGAAAATAATCGAATACCAACCCATTTCTCACACCGCATAAATCATGAAGGTTCTGAGGAAGGCTCTCTGATCTTTAGGTTGTAAAAGAAACGTGTATATTTTAAATCTCTGCAGGGATATTGACACCTCTCCACCAGCTGAGAACACCACACAAAATGTGATGGATCTTTGTTTCCAAAAGATGCCCATTACATTCTTTTATAATATCAACCAACAGGGACTTTGAAGGACATGTCCCAGGAATTTATAATTGAACTTGTCCTGTTCAGTTTTTTTTAAATCAAGAGCTAATAAAGACATGGACAATTTTCTTAACATATTTTTAGGTGACAGTATTTGGGGAAAGAATGCCTCCAAGCTAGATTGCAGGTTCAGTTTCCAAGACTAGAATTTTAACCACACCACTGATTTAGTTTGTAGGTTCAGTCCACACCATAAATGGAGATTTAAAAAAATAAAATACAGGAAACGAGAGACACGACTCAAGAAGAGAACCCTTAAAAAATATGTGGGGAAAAGCCCAACAGAAATGAATGGTGTCATATGGCCTTCAAGAAAACCTAAATAATGTTAAGGTATTAATAGACATATAGAATTTAAGGCTGGGCATGGTGGTTTATGCCTATAATCCCAGCATTTTGGGAGGCCCAGGTGGAATGATCATTTGAGCCTAGTAGTTCAAAAATGGCCTGGGCAATATAGTGAGAACTTGTCTCTGCAACAAATTAAATAATTAACTGTGATGGTTAGTATTGAGTGTCAACTTGATTGGATTGAAGGATGCAAAGTATTGTTTCTGGGTGTGTCTGTGCAGGTGTTGCCAAAGGAGATTATTATTTGAGTCAGAGGACTGGGAGAAGCAGACCTACCCTCGATCTGGGTGGGTGTCATCTAGTCAGCTGCCAGTGTGGCTAGAATGAAGCAGGCAGAAGTTGGAAAGAGCAGACCTGCTGAGTCTTCTGGCCCTCACCGTTCTCCCGTGCTGGATTCTTCTGGCCCTCAAACATCAGACTCCACGTTCTTCAGCTTTTGGACTCATGGACTTACACCAGTGGTGTGCCAGGGCCTCTTGAGCCTTTGGTCACAGACTGAAGGCTACACTGTCAGCTTCTCTAATTTTGAGGTTTTGGGACTCAGACTGATCCACCACTGGCTTCCTTGCTCCTCAACTTGCAGATGGCTTCTCACGGGACTTGACTTTATGATCATGTGAGTCAATTTTCCTTAATAAACTCCCTTTCATATATACACATATTGTATTAGTTCTGTCCCTCTAGAAAATCCTGACTAATACATTAGCCAAGCATGGTGGCATGTGACTGTAGTCCCAGTTGCTCAGGAGGGTGAGGTGGGAAGATTGCTTAAGCCTGGGTGGCAGAGGCTGCAGTGAACTGAAACCAACCACTGCCCTCCAGCCTGGGTGACAGAGCTCAAAAAAAAAAAAAAAAAAGAAATGTAAAGTGCTAGCCCTTCCACACTGTGTACGTGTCAAACCTTTTCCAGTTGGTATTTTCACATCTTAGTATTGCAAATGTTGGTATGCATGCACATGTGTTGTGTGTGTGCTGGTGGTAGTGGTGGTGGTGGTGGGGTGTGTGTGTGTGTGTGTGTGTGTGAAAAAGGCAATACAGGAATGGCAGAAGCAGAAATACGGAGTCAAAATCATGTCATAGGAAAAACATTATGTAAATTGGGATTTATTACTTGCACAAATGATACGAAAGCCATGCATAAGTTTTATTCAAAAGGATGATTAGGTTTAGAGTAATTGGATCTATTTCCTCTGTAGCTCTGAGAGGTAAAAGTAATATTAAAGAACAAAAGTTTAACATAAGAAATTTTTTTTCAAAATGGAATCATCCCCTCACCTAAAATAAATAGATAAAATAGACTATCAAAGGGAAATCATTTGTTGTTACTACCCTTTTCTTGCCCAATCGAGGCTTGGAGAAGTATCAGACTATATGATATTTAAGATCCCTCCCATCACTGGGAACTTGTCATTTGATGGAAATAAAAAATGAAAGAAAAATGTTTGGTCCTCAACCTTTTAAATCCAGACACTTGATGATTGTTACCACTTTACGTCAGATCGACCTTACTTTCATGGAAAATTGTCATTTTTTGGCCACTCAGCATCCAAACGAACTTTCTCTTTCTGAGATATTTACTCCCATTACCTCCCAACAGACTTGGCCAATAAGATGTTCCTGCCTAAGACTTTGAATCTGGAATGGGGAACACAGAGAACATGAGCAACGAAGAATTATTCACAGCACAGCACAGCAGTGCTGACAGCATCGACAGTCCTGTGGTGCCAGCAAGAATCCAAAAGAAGTGTCCTACATAAATTCCCTTAATCACTGACCATTTAATGAGGCTGATTCAGCCTCATACAAATTTTGTATGCTTCTTCATACAATTTTTAATTGTGCTGTAAAAGTTAACCAGAGACAATTTCTGTTGCTTGCACACAGTAAGTTGACTAAGCAAAAAAATTCAGGAGAGATTATTTTATAGAAGTCAATGCAAATGCATTAATTTACAAGAAGTGAAACTGCAAGTTCACTTTGCTGCCTTATGGCCAGCATATTCTCTTACAAGGGAAGTCTATATGGCAATCTGTGTTATGATCAGAAGATTTGGGAAAGATGGAATCTGTGAGAGAGTTTTATGACACACGGTTACAACTGATCACAGGATCAAACACTAAAACTCCAATATATATATTTATTCTTATTAGCAAAGCTTTTATGCTATGGAGGAAAAAGAAAAAGAAATAAGAAATTCTGAGTTTCTCTAAACTTCCAGTATGTGGATGAGTTAAAAACTATGTCATCTTGGATTCCCCATTTTAAATATTTCATAATAATGCATTATAATTGGTACATGTTAATATCAATTTTTTCTTTTGCTGTTTTTGAAGTGGTGTGAATCACCTGTAACAAGGTTTCCTTATCATCCATTTAATTATTGTCCTATAATATACTTTTCAATACAGCAACTACTTTTTATGTTTTGGGATTACTTTTACTATTGTTAGATAAAACCTATGGTTGATTGTGTGCCTCTAGAAGAACTTCAAAAGTACAATATAAATCTTGCTAACAATAACTCATTATGGTCAGTGGTTTTTCAGGATAGTTATTTATCTCAACTACTCATGATGTGAATGTCTTTTAAAATTTGAATAATTGCCCTCTCTGTCAGATACAATATTATTATATTTTTACTGATTACATTAAGAATTAGGCAAGATTAAAATTTTCTTTTTGCACCATCATTACTTCTTAAGAACTTAACTGTTGTTGAACAAATAGTACGTGTGTCAGTTATTAAATGTAGTCTAAATTCATGAAATAAGAATGTACATATAGCATAGTGGGAAAAACACAGGTTTTAGAATCATATACCATAGAGTTATGTTTCAGTAGTGCTACTAATGTATTCTTTGACCCTACGTCAGTCAGCAAACACAACTGAAATCAAGTGGTAACTCTATGTTCCTCCTTTGTGTAATAAGTATTTTTACATGTTTGAGATCAAATGATATAGTGTGTTAAAATTATTTATAAGCTAAAATATTTTATAAATAATAGCTGTACTTATTAAAAATTAGAGATTAATAAGTTGTTACATAAAACACACGTAAGCGATTCAATGTTAGGAAAATATATTTAGCTTTCTCAAAATTTTATTTCATAAAGCAAAGTTTCCTACATTAACTATCCAGCTATCTGTTGTGTTTTTCATCATCATCACAAATGGATTCAGACTGGCTACCATATAAAAACACTCATAAATTCTAGGAATGCCAGAAGTTCCTGTCCTCAACTATCTAATTGTATTCTTTAGATAACTTCACATATTATGAAGATAAATAACTAGCGATACAGCAGAACCCATGGTAAATAGCACTGAGTCATGCAGTTAATGAGCATAATGTGGACAGAAGAGAAAATCACTGTTGCTTCTGTCCCTTGGAGCAGGTGGACTTCAGCTGAAACTTGAGGGAATACTGTCCATTCTGTTTAGGAAGCATTGCTAGGAAGAGTGTATTGCCAGCTGCTTGTGTTTTTAAAGTCACTGCATGCATGTGTGGTAATTTGTTATGGCGACATTAGGAAACTCATACAAATTTTGATGTCTGAGAGTTATATACTGCTGTAACAAATATCTATAAAATGTCAAAGTGGCTTTGGAATTCGGCAGTGAGTGAGGCTAAGAGAATGTTGAAGGTCATCCGAGAAAAACTTACATTGTTTTGAACACATTGTTAGTAGAAATGTGGTTGTTAATGATTCTGCTAGAAAGGACTTAGAAGAAAGTGAAGAGAAGAGCATGGTAGAGAAGGCATAGACTGCGTTAGAGCATACATGAATCAGCATGAACAGACTTAGTAAAAATAGGGACATAAAAAGTACTATTGGTGAAGGCTTAGAAGGAAATAAAAAACACATTAAAAATTTGAAGAAAGAATTTCCATATTATATAGCGGTAGAAACTTAGCAAAGTTGTCCTACGTTCAGGTGAAAAATAGAACTTGTAAATGATGAAATTGAATACGTAAGTAAGGATATTTCCAAGCAAAGGGTTGAAGAAGCCGCCTGGCTTCTTGTTTCTTCTCATAGCAAAATGCAATGAGAAAGAGATAATTTGAGAAAAGAACCGTTTAAACAAAAAGAAACCAAGACATAATGATTTTGGAAATTCTCAGTTTATTCAGACTGCAAAAGATATTAAAATAAAGAAACTCAGTAACAGGGATAGATAATCTAAAGAAAAAGCCTAGGACACGGCTGTAGTAACCTTCTGTTTTTATACCTCAGCAATTTGCTAATGCCTCAAAAAGATCAAAAGTACTCAAATATAAAGGGCTCTTTGAAGAGATTAGATTTCCTCAATCAAACCAAAGAGCATCGAGGAAGCTTAAGGTTACTGTCCCTCACATATCTCAGCAGAAGGCAAAAATAGAAGACTGATTATCTAAGAAAGATCTCTGAAAGAGTCTCATATTATGGAGTGAACCCCTGTGGCATACATGGGAGACCCACTTGGTTCTTGAGAATTTTATATCAGGAGAAACACTGTCAGTCTGTATTGAAAGGAACAGAGAAAATACGAAATTAAAGAAGACTATTAAACCTCCAAAATTCTGGCAGGAAAGAAGCTTACACAGCTACTCAGTTGCAAAGATCTGCCACTTTTCATATACATGAAAGGACTCAGAGGAGGAAGCCACAGGTTTAGAAGGAAAAGCTAAAAGCAACATCGTATTAGTCTTGGATCTAGGAACCTAATTTCTCTAGCAGAATCTAGAAATGGCTTGGGACAAGTGATTGTTTTTTTACCTAGGATTTTCTCCCTCTTGAAAACAGGACTGTCTGTAACTATTATCCTATGCCTGCCCTACCATCATATTTCAGAAACAGGTAACTTATGTTTTCACTTTCAAAGATTCACAATAAAGAGAAATTGTACCTCAGAATGGATTATACCAGAGCTTTCCTCATGCATAAATTAAATAATTTAGGTTATGTGATTTGAAGCTTTTGAGTGGGTGAGGTGACATTTTGGATGCTGAGTTGGTGCCGTAGTGAGTCCAGAATTCTGCGGAACTTGGTTTCGGTTAATGAATTTTGTAGGTGAGATAGTCTTAAATCTTTAGAGTTTAGAAAGTGGAATGTCCTACCCAGCATAAAAATCCCCCAGTGATGTACATGTCCTAGTTCCCAGAACCTATACATAGGTTAACATATATGGCAGGCGTGATTACGATTAAATAATTTGATATGAGTAGATTATTGTCAAGGTGGTCCCAATCTCATCACAGCAGTCCTAATAAGCAGAAAACCTTTCCAGGCTTCCCTGTTGTCAGTGAACCAGGGAAGCCTGGTGTGTGGGAAGAACTCTATTCGCCATTGGTTGCTTTAAAGATGGAAGGGGCCACAAACCAGGAAATGTGGTTGGTTTCTAGCAGCTGGAAAAGGCAGGAAAGAGATTTTCCCCTAGATCTTCTGAAGAGAAATGCAATCCCACTAATACCTTGATTTTAGCTCAGTGAAACTTTTGTCAGACTTCTGACCTATAGAACAACAAGGTAATAAATTATTGTAGTTTTATACGACTAATATTTTGGTAACTTCAATGGCAGCAATAGAAAACAAATGCATGTAAAAATTATTGCCCATGAAAACTTTGTTTCAGTAATGTATATATACATATATCTCAGTCATATAGATAAAGAGGTACATACATACATACACATACATATATGCTACAGAAAGTTCACCCTCCTCAAAGTAGTATGCAAATGGACTGTACAAACTGAAACCATGAAAAGTGATTTTAATAATCAATGGGAAAAATTATAATTGTACCGTAATCTTTAATGATGTTTGTCAAGACTTTACAATCTCTCTTATTGTTGGTTATAAATTTACAAAGAATTAAAAGGTAATAAAACTAGTCTTACCTAGTACTCTTTAATTTAAAACACTTGAAACATTGAGGTTGAAGTACTTTACTTCTTTGTAAAAAACTTAGTATAAATTGTTGATACACTCAACACTTGGATGGAAATTGTTGGGTATTACTTTAAGGGAATTATACTAAATGAAAAAAAATGCAATCTCAACAGGTAACAAATTGTATATTTTCATTTATAAAATAGTCACAAGATTACAAAATTGTAGAGGAGGAGAATAGATTAATGGTCATAGGACTTAGTTGTTTCGGGGGAAAGAGGTGGGTATGATTATAAAGGAAGCATGGTTCCTATGCTGCTGGAACTGTTGTGATTGGAGTCGTGGCTACGGAAGGCTACATGTGTGCTAAAATTGCATAGAACTGCATATGTACATGTTTATATATGTTTTTATGTTTATTGTCATACAAGATGTTACCATTTGCAGAGTCTAGGTGAAGGGTACATGGGGGCTCCTTGTATGTTTTTTGAAACTTTCTGTGAATCTATACTTATTTTAAAATATAAATAAAATCTATCAACAGTTTTTGTCCTCTACTTCTTATTTATAACAAATGATACAGAGTGAGCATTTTTTTCTATGCATTGACAACTTCTCATATTCCTATCTAACCTTGGACCAACTCTCAAGATTTTATCCTTTGTGCTTTCAATATCTGGAAAAAAATCCTGAGATTTCCTTTCATGTGAAGGTTTTTCCTGACATCACTTTCTCTCAGACATCTTCATAACTGCCTTCACAATGACTTTCATTTATTTATTTATTTATTTATTTATTTATTTATTTATTTATTATCTTTTTTTGAGATGGAGTCTCACACTGTCACCCAGGCTGGAGTGCAGTGGTGTGATCTTGGCTCACTGCAACCTCCACCTCCCGGGTTCAAGCGATTCTCCTGCCTCAGCCTCCAGAGTAGCTGGGATTACAGTCGCCCGCCACCACGTCTGGCTAATTTTTGTATTTTTAGTAGAGATGGGGTTTCACCATCTTGGCCAGGCTGGTCTTGAACTCCTGACTTCGTGATCCACCCCTCCCTCGGCCTCCCAAAGTGCTGGGATTACAGGCATGAACCACCGTGCCCGGCTCACAACCATTTTCTTAATTTACATTAATAAGTTCATCTTCAATGAGTGTCTTTGACTACATACTAAAGTCTCTCAAACATCAGCTGTGTCAATATTTTCACCCTTAGCTATTTCTTCTATAACTTTGCTTACATTTAATTTAAATTTTACTTACAGTGTTACCACTTTTTTTTTTTCCTGCACATTTACCTTTGCTGACCAACTCATTTTTTTTGCTCATACTTTTGTTGTAAGCTGTCACCAACTTCCATCACTGGGAAATAAGGAGGGACACAACTACATGCCTTGGTATTTAAGGGTAAACTGAGTAACAGATCTTCATTGACCAATCACTGACAGACTTCGAAAGAAATGACACAATGACTGGTCACTGGTAATGATGTACAGTGATTTGTGCACTGTAGGGCTAGCAGTAAAGTTTGTCCTTTAAGCAATTTTTTCCAGGTAATATATCCTGGTAATTAAAATTTGAACCTTGTTGCCAGGGGACTGATGTTATTTAACTAAATAAGGCCTGATAATTGAAATCTGTGTCTATCAGAACTATAGAAAGCAAAGAGTTTCTGGCTATAGAGAGAGCTATATGTATATAAGTCCTGGGTTACAAAGTCAGATGCATTTTTTACTACAATTTTCAATTTTAAAAATTTGATAAACATTGGTAAAGATGGCATCTGAATAATGTTATTATCTACATTTCCAGTTACACATCTGTATTAGCTATTTTCACACTGCTATGCAGAACTACATGAGACTGAGTAATTTATAAACAAAAGAGGTTTAACTGACTCACAGTTCCACATGACTCAGGAGGCCTCCAAAAACTTACAGTCATGGCTGAAGGAAAGAGGAAGCAAGGCACATCACACTTGGTGGCAGGAGAGAGAGACAGAGAGAGAGAGCTGGGGGGTGGGGATCTGCCAAACACTTTTAAACCATCAGATCTCCTGAGAACTCACTATCATGAGAACAGCAAGAGGAATTGCCCCCATGATCTAATCATACCCCACAAAGTACCTCCTTTAACACTGAGGATTACAGTTTCAAGATGAGACTTGGATGGGAACACAAAGGCAAAGCATATCAACATCTCAAATGCACCTTATACACCAATCATACTATAAACATTTTCTGCTGCCCTGAACATACCTTGAGTTTCGTGAAATTGCTCAGGCTGCAATCTCCATCGGAACTTACATTGCTTATTTACTGGGTGAAGACTTTCTCATCTTTCAACATGTCCTTCAGGAATGTGCTCCCAATGACAGCCTTTAGGGGCCCTTTTCCCCATCGTTGCCATCTATTTAAAAAGGAACCAGCCTCATTCTACCCATCTGCCTTTTTCTAGTCAGTAGAAACTATGGGGTGAGTGTTCTTCAGCTTGTTCCCAGCAGTAGCGTTCAGACTCTCATTAGGAATTTTTAAAAATACTAACCCTAATATAAGTCATGGTCATACATGCATGGAAAACTCATGCTAGTCTGTCTACATATTTTTAAATGGGCAAAATGAGTGAGAAAAGAAGAATAAGCATGTATCTGTATTGTGTGCACACACAAGTGTTTTTTAAAGCAAAGTCACAAGATTATGAAAAATATTTTGACATGATTAAGGGACTGGCTTAAGAAAAAGTAAACATAAGAGAAAATTTATTTTTGGATGAAAAAATATAAACAGTAGGATTCTCCAGGGATAAATTCTATGGCCAATTTTAATACCATCTTAATTAAATGTCCTTTGGTGTCATTCAGAAACAGAACACTGGGTTAGACAAGCCATTTCGTTGGCCCAGTATGGCAATTTATTATGAAATCTTTCTAAAGGTTGGGCTGTAAACAGCCATGATGTGAAATATTAATAATTTTTTTAGCTATAACCAGAGGGATTAAGGTATTTACCAGAAAATCTATTATTAAAGATATGTCTATATGCAGAAGTGAATTTTTAATAATTCAATCACACTGATATTGTACTTTTTAAATTACGGTTATGAATTATAGCAGCTGAAATAGACTGCACCACCTTATCAATTCTACTTTTAATCATTCTTAATTATGCATCAATTATAGCACTTGTATTTAAAAGATATTGCTTAAATCTGACTGATTATCACATATTTGATCACCTTGAATATATCCATACTACAATAATTAAATTGATTTCTACTCTTTAGGAATTTTATCAGTTCTCAGGATTTTTAAGAGAATGAAAGATCAGCAAAAAATTAAGTAAAGGAAAATGATTTGGCTGGAAGCTTGCTATGAAATAGACTTACTGGGGAGAAAAAAGATGATTTTTCTCTCAGTATCTCTTCCTTTACTAAATGCTAAAATAAATACCTCAAGTCATTTTCTGCCTTCAATATTGTAATTGCCAAGATATATCTGCACATTTTAATTAATATTGTGGGGTACAATTTGCATACACTTTCCAATAATATCTTTTTAAAAGATTTCCCTTAAAATAAGTACTGTAGAGGAAAAAAATTTTCAAATTAAATACATATTCTTTTAAACAATTTTAAAGTATTAATCAGTTGAAATTATTTGTTTAAAATGATTTAATTAACGTATTAATTTAGTAACGTATTTATTTAGTAATACAGACTCAATCGATATTTACTATAGTAATTTTCTATCAGAATATAAACAACAGAAATATATTTCTCACATTTTGGGAAGTTGAAAAGTCCAAATCAAGGCGCCACCAAATTTGGTGCTTGGGGAAAACCTGTTTCCTGTCTTCTCACTATGTCTCCACATGGTGTAATGGACAAGGGAACTCTCCATGGTCTCTTTTATAAGTAGTCCCATTCCTGAGAGCTCCACCCTTACCACCTAATCACCTCCCTAAGTCCCCACATCTAAATACCATCTCACTGGGACTCAGGTTTTATTTTAATGTATGAATTTTGAGGACACACAAACATTTGATTTATTGCATTAAGGTTGCGTTATTTGACATTGGGTGTTTCATGTTTTATAAAGTATTCACAGAATTTCTTTAATGTATTAGATTTGTCTTTAAATTTTCTACAATTTGTTTAGTTTGTGAAGATATGTAGACAAATTTTATATTTTTTCCAGGAATAATCTCATAGGTGAATACAAATTGTAAATCCAAAGACTAACAAAACCTACATAAAATGTATCAAATCATTTGTTAATAATCTATGTTGATTTTTCTATAAAAAATTAAGAATGACATTGACACTCAGATCAAGGCCATATTCTCTACCAGTAATTCATATAAACAGAATCATAGCAAAACTATGTTTTGTAATTTACTACAATACATAAATTTCTCCCCAATTCAAATTTTTTCAACATGCATTGGACTTAATTGAAGGTCTTCATTACTTTTTTCTATGTTTTATTCATTCTTCACTCTTCCATATTATTAATTGTGCAAGACTTCATAGTTGTGATTAAAAATCAAAGCATTTAAAGGTTGACAGAGTAAATGAAAGTCTATATAAGCATCACTAATAAGTTTTCTTACTCTTACTAGGATAATTTTCTTTTGTTTTATAAGGCAAATGAAAGGATGGACATTTAGAAAACTATTGTGAGCCAGGCCCCTTTCTGTCATTGTATATAATTCTTTTCATCACAATGTGAATAGTTATTTTAATCTCTATTTTACTAAAGGGAATTCTGTCCTGCAAAATGTTTGCTGTTTGGCTCTAAAATGATATAGACCAGAAGACAGTGTGTCTGGAATCCGGGTCTCGGATCTCTGTGAATTCTAGGCTCATGTGTTTTTCATATATCACCTTTAGTGAACTGATGATATGTTTTAGAAGCAGGCTTAGTCTCTTATCTTTCATTGTGTTCTTCCCACAGAGGGGGGTAATGGCTCCTTTAAATTTAATACAATGTAATAGGCTTCTAGATTTAAATAATAAAACTGACTCCAGAAAATAAAAGTTTAGATACATTGAAACTGCTAAAGCATAACGCAAGGCATTTTGAGGACAACGGGACTCATCATTAATCCCAGATTATGACAATAATGTTAATTACAGGACAACAACAGAATGTGCATAGCACAGACTTTAACAGTGGACTTGAAATCAAGAGGACTACAGTATCTCAGAGGGAAAAAACGGAGCGTGGGATCACCCATTCCATCTTGTCTTAGTCTATTGGTAGATAGTGCTAGAACCTGGATGCCTGGATATTTGCTTTTCCAATCTTTGACACGGTCGTTTTCCTGGGGCTGTTTTATGTAAAGAGGGATGATATGAACATCTGGAAATAAGACGAACATCATCACATGCTGGGAGGGCACATCTTCTGGCACGTAATAATTCATAACACCTCCAGAGGAAATTTTGTTTGAAAGAGTTTTATTTGGAAAGGCAGTTTCCAATAATAAATTTTTTAAGTCCATGGGCATACAACTATTAACATTTGAAGTAAGCCATTCCACATACATTATGTTTAAATCGTATTTTATATGTATCCAAAAATGGCCAAGTTTCAATTCAACATGTATTGTTTGAGTTCCTTATTCAAAAACAAAATGAAACAAACAGCAACTACAACAAGAAAAATACCCAGAGGTTTCTTCAGAATAAGATGTGATTTATCTTAATGGAAAATAAGTTCTAAACTCTGTGCATGTGTGTGTATTTTTCAATTCTCCCTTAATTACCTTCTTTTTCCTTTAGAAAAAATAAAGATGAGAATGCTGTTTCATTTTACTTGATGAATGACTTGTCATTTCTTTCATTCATTCATGAAAATATTTCCTGGGGAGCTGTTAAGGGCAAAGTAAAGTTCAATACCTTGCCTCTGATAAAGAAGGTCTGGACTTTACAGTTAAGGAATTAATAGAAAAGAATCATACATACTAACAAATATAATGCACTATTCAATATGTTTTGTATGATTTCTTGAAAAAAAAAGTCTTCAATTTTATTGATGTAATTGCATGCTTCATTTGAGGTGCTAATTCTTCTCTAATTTAGAAACTGTAGAACAAATGTTTAGATGGATATGGGGAAGAAATACATACTGTTATTTTCTTCATAAATACTTGATTTTATTAGAATGAATGCTGTAAGATTATTTTGTTATATAAATACTTATAAAGAACTATTGCTTTTGAATAGTTTTCAAAGTCTGAAGAAGAACATTTAAAATAAACAGAGGCAAAAATTGTAGAGGATATATACACAGAACACTATCAAATAAAAGATTTTCTTAGAACTAGAAACCATAAATGCATATAAAAATGGGTCAGGTGCAGTGGCTCATGCCTGTAATCCCAGCACTTTGGGAGGCTGAGGCAGGCAGATCACTTGAGGTCAGGAGTTTGAGACCAGCGTGGCCAACATGTTGAAACACCGTCTCTACTAAAAATACAAAAGAAACACCGTCACTACTAAAAATACAAAAATTAGCCAGGTGTGGTGGTGGGCACCTGCCGTCCTAGCTTCTCTGGAGCCTGAGACAGGAGAATCGCTTGAACTCAGAAGGCAGTGGTTGCAGTGAGCCAAGATTGTGCCACTGCACTCCAGCCTGGTAGACAGAATGAGACTCCGTCTCAAAAAAAAAAAAAAAAAAAAAAAAAAATATATATATATATATATATACACACACACACACAAATAAAAGAAGTTTATATACACACAAACACATATAATGTTATATATATATTATACATATGTATGTATACATACATATACATATATGCATAAATATATATGGTCCTCTACTTATGATGGAATTACTTTCAATAAACTGATATGTTGAAAATACATTTAATGGCAATAAAACTCCTCATAAAGTCAAGATACTGTAAATTGAACCGTCCTAAGTTGGGAACCATCTACATTTTATAAGTTCAAAAATGAGGAAAGTCTGTTTGTGTATATATTTAGGGAGAGAGAAAGAGAATGAATGATTACCACTTCCTTAGTTGCTTTCATTTGCACATTTGCCACTCTGTAAATTTGTGTATAATAGAGTATGATAGTTGAGATTTGTCCTCATACAGTCAATGCTGACTTCCCTTTTTAAGTTATAGTGTGTTGTAGGTTGAAATGTGTACCCCTAGAAAGATATGCTGGAGTCCTAACTCCCAGTACCTCAGAACGTGATCTTATGTAGAGGTAGGATCTCTATAGAGGTAATCAAGTTAAAATGAGATTACTAGAGTGGGATTTTATTGAATATGACTTATAAAAAGGGGAATTTTGTGTCTTATAAAAAGGGGAATTTTGGACAAAGAGACAGGCACCCACAAAGGTAAGATAATATGAAGCAACACAGGGAGAAGATAGTCATCTATAAGCCAAAAAGAGAGGCCTCGAACAGCTCACTCCTTCACAGACCTCAGAAGGAACCAAGCCTGCTGACAGCTTCATTTTGGACTTCCAGCCTCCAGAACTCTAAGACCATACATTTCAAACATTTTTGTTGAAGCCACTCAGTTTATGGTACTCTGTCATGGTAACCGCTGCAAACTGACACACTTTCCCTAGCACACTCCTCCTCTACTCTAGAGTATTTGGAGTATTTCCAGCACAATGTTGGCACATGTCCCCTGCCTGGCCAAACAGAGCCTGCAGGCTGATAACTCCTCCCTAGGATTTCTTTTGTGACTGCTACCTCTTCCCCTGGGGTTTTTACGCTGCAAAAAGGGCACCCACAAGAAAGAAATCCTGGGAGGACAACTAGGAAAGAGATTAGAGATAAGAAAAGGTGAACAGAAGACAGGAAGAACAGAAGAAACCCAATATTGTCTGTCCTGCTGCTGCTTCTATCCAGGTTGAAGAGCCACACTTGGATTACTCAGCAATAATATATTGTTGGCCCTTAGATTAAGCAAGTTTGAGCTGGGATTCAGTCCTTTAATTAAAAAGTACGTGACGATTCTAACTAATACTGTATGTGATTGGTTAAGTGTCTTCCTTCTCCTACACTTAGGTATACACTCATATGCATACACACATGCACACTGGCAATGCTATTTTGGGAAGAAAGACTCAGTTTGGGTTGGTTTGAATTTCTATAACTAGTCTTCATGGTCACATTTCAGAAGATATTATGAGAGCTGAAAGCTGCTCTCATTTTTTTGGTTGGGTTTTTAAAAATCCGTTGTTTCTCACCTACTTATCTATGTAAGATGAACTCACTTTAAAGTTAATCAGTACTAGTGCTACATATGCTGCACTACTCAGTGAGCAGATGCTGATTAAGTGAGGCGCTGCTCCCAGCCAAGGTGTGTGCTCTGGAGAGTGGTAATAATTGGAGGCCGGTGTGTAAAGCTACGCTAGGGGGTGGGAGTGGGGGCGTAGGGGTGAGGACTTGCTAAGCCATACCTGCACCAATGTGATTAGTCTAGGGCTCAGCCTAAACACTGGTAAATGATATATATCATTTTGGTGGCCCAATACCCTGAACATCATGCTGTATATATAGCATGATGTTAAAATACCTTGCTGAGATACCAGGAAGCAATATCCCATCGCAAAGAAGTTCCCAGATTCTATGTAGCGCTTACAAAGTAGTTGGCCAAACCTGGTAACGATTTTTGTCCTTGCTTTTAAAAGAGAGAGTTGAACTTTGAGAAATTTTCTTCAGAGAATTCTGTCCAATGCAGGAGATGTGGAGGGTGGCCATTTTTGCCTCAAGCCTAGTGAGGGAATCTTCAATGGGACAACTCAGAGAGCTTGACATGTGTTTCCTATAATTGCTAGATGAGGTCAATTGATGTTGGGCTCTGCCTATCATATCTAACAGGTGAGGAAAAGGCAAGACAGCTGTTGATGGGTGAACCAAAGAAAGTGAGATTGATCAAGGGAGGTCCACACTCCCAGCTTCAGTACTGAAGGCGAGCACGCGCGCGCGCGCGTGTGTGTGTGTGTGTGTGTGTGTGTGTGCGTGCTCAGGAGGGATGCCCAAAGGGCAAACAGACTTGAGTAGAAAAACAGAAAAACTACAATTGCTGTCAGATGTGCAGGGCCTGAGAAAGAAGCAAGGGAGAGGCCAGAAAAGGGAGCATCTTTGACTCTAAGGGTAAGGAATGAAGACAAGAAAGGATTCACAGTAGAAACGTAGTCAGCTTCACACTGTTTTCAGGCCCAGAGGAGTAGGACACAAGCCCCTCCCCTCGCTCCCTGGATGCTGGCCTTTATGGGGGACGAAACCTCATTGCTATGGAGGAAAGTAGTAGAATTACAAAGTAGAGAAAGAGTAGTAGCAGCTGCACACTTGACTCGGATTGCCAGCTTCCCCCTCTGCGGCAGGTCTGAACAAGGAGAACGGATAAACCCTATCTTCAAAGTAGCTAATGTTTTAACTATTACACGGAAGTGGGCATTTTTATAACTAACCAAAGATCTTTTGATTACCAGAGAGTTGTAATATCACAAAAGGACTGTAAACATAAAATATATACTGCATAAATATAAAGGAATAGTGGGAAACAAAGAAGAAAAAGAAAAAAAAACATTAAGCATAATTGTTCCGTCTACTTAGAAGGAATTATCTTTCTATTTATTAGGTTGGTGCAAAGGTAATTTGTGCAAAAGTAATTGTGGTCATTGAAAGTAATGGCAAAAACAGCAATTACTTTTGCACCAATCTAATACACCATGGCTTCAAATATGGGCTTTATCCAAAAATAAGCATGAATAAAAGCAATGTCTAACAAATGTCTGTTGAATGATTATAGGTTCCTAATTAAATGAGATTATTTTAATTCTAAGCTTGATAAACCATACATGTATATCTGTGGAAATATTTAACAGTCATGAACTATATAATGACATTTTGGTCAACAATGTACTGCATATACAATGGTCCTATAAGATTATAAGAGAGCTGAAAAATTTCCATCACTTAGTGACACAGTAGCGATGGTAACGTCCTACACAGTTCAATGCATTGCTCACATGTTTGTGGTGATACTGGTATAAACAAACCTACTGGGCTGCCAGACATGTAAAAGTGGTACACACTATTATGTACAATATATAATACTTGATAATAAATGACCATGTTACTGGTTTATGTATTTACTATAGTTTTTATTGTTATTTTAGAGTGTACTTCTACTAATTAAAAAGAAAAACATTAACTGTACCACAGCCTCAGGCAGGAACTTCAGGAGGTTTCCAGAAGAAGGCATTGTTATCAAAGGAGATGACAACTCCATGCCCGTTATTGGCTCTGAAGACTTTCCAGTGGGACAAGATATGGAGGTGGAAGACAGTAGTATTGATGATCCTGACCCTGTGTAGTCTCAGGCTAATGTGTATTTTTGTTTTCTAGTTTTTAGCAAAAACAGTTTTAAAAGTAAAATTAAAAATGGAAAAAAGCTTATAAGGACATAAAGAAAGAAAATATTTTTCTACAGCTATCAATGTGTTCATGTATTAAGCTGTTATTACAGGAGTTAAAAGTTTAAAAAGTTAATTATAAACAAAAATGTTATGTATCTAATTTATTATTAAATAAAAATATTAATAAATTTAGTGTAGCCTAAATGTATAGTGTTTATAAAGTCTACAGTATTGTACAGTAATACCTCACGCCTTCATATTCACTCACTAGTCACTCACTGACTTACCCAGAGTAACTTCAAGTTCAGTAAAGTCTGTTCATGGTAGGTGCCCTATTAGAGGTATAACATTTTTTATCTTTTATACTTTATACTTAATGTACTTTTCTATGTTTACATATGTTTAGGTATACAAATACCACTGTGATATAATTGCCTATAGCATTTAGTACAGTAACATGCTGTACAGGTTTGTAGTCTGGGAGCAATAGACTTATATACACCATGTAGCCTCGGTGTGTAGTAGGCTGTACCAAATAGGTTTGCATAAGTAACACTATGTTGTTTGTACAGTGATGAAATTGCCTAACGAGGCATTTCTCAGAATGTATCCTCATCACTAAGTGACACATGGCAGTACTTGTTTTTTATTTCCTTATTTTTCTTAATTTTAGGAAGTTGTATTATTGTTAGAAAGCAAATTTAGTATATTTTGTGTGATATAATTGATATATATTACTTACAAAAATTGTTATAAAAGTAACACTTTAATTTTAAACACCCTTCTAATGCATGCTCAAAACAACTTTAGAAAATAATAAAGTATGGCAAATAAAATGATGGGATTTTACACAGTTGCATGACTTTTAGCCAGTGCTTAAACTTTTTGTGCTCAGTTTCTTCATCACAAAATCCAGATAATAATCATAACTATTTCATTAAGTTGCCTTGAGGATTAAATAGGTTCACACATCTAGAACATTTAGAATAGTGCCTATCATACAAAAAAGTGTTAGAGAAATGCTAGCTAGTATTAGTATAGCAATTATTTGCCTTATTATGTGTCTATATACTATACTAAAAAATACATGTCATACTAATAAAGAGTGCTTAAGTGTTGATATATCTATACTAACAAGATTTTCAAGAAGTGTAGGTGATATGATTTGGCTCTGTGTCCCCACCCAAATCTCATCTCAAATTGTAGTGGAGAGGTGATTGGATGATGAGGGCAGATTCCCCCATGCCATTATCCTGATAGCAAGAAAGTTATCAAGAGAGCTGATGGTTTTAAAGTGCGGCACTTCCTCAGTCTCTCTGTCTCTCCTGCCACGTCGTGAAGAAGGTACTCACTTCCCCTTTGCCTTCCACCATGATTGTAAGTTTCCTGAGGCCTCCCCAGGTATGCAGAACTGTGAGTCAATTAAACCTCTTTCCTTTATAAATTACCCAGTCTCAGGTATACTTTATAGCAGTGTGAAGATGGGCTAATACAGTAGGTGACAATGATTGATGATTTAAGGACTACAACAATTGTTATTCTTATACCTATTTCGGCATAGTAAATATTTTCTGACTCACTCATAAACTAAAACAGGAATTACAGAAATATTGCTTAACTCCATGAGAACAGTTTAAATTAAAACACAAACAGGATGTGTAGATTAATTACCACTAACAAAAACATTGTTTGCCTAGTTTGTTAAAAATGGAATGTAAAATAAGCAAAGAGGATTAAAATACTTAATATTATACAAATAGAATTCTTTCAAAATATGACAAAAATGTCAGAAAATATCTTTTAAATTTTATTTTTTAAGAAATCACCACTAATTTCCTTTTCTTCATAAAATGTTCCCTTTTAAATTGTTCAAGAAGCCGCAAAGCAAATTGAATACTTAATATACACCCTGATTTATTTATACTTTTTTAAAAGCTCTTTATATTTAAGGATAATCCTCCTTTTATAACCTGTGGTCTCTTATTTTTAATACATAATTTTGATCACTTGTTTTTAAAAAATGCCAAACTTTTAAAACATATAATCTCTTAACCTGATTATAATAAAAAAATAGCTTTGATAGCTTGGTCTGGTTATTAGAAATTTAAACTGTGCTTTTGTTTTTTTCATGCCATTTCCCTTTGACCTAATTTTTGACGTGTATGCAAATACTCAAGACCTATAAAACACATACGTCTTGAGAGTCAGTAGCTGCCTACTCCAAGTGGGAAAAGACTTTAGGAAACTGTTTCAATAATCACATTCATGGAGTATAGTGACACAGAAACCAAGTCTCACTACCTTTTCATGTGTTCTAGTTCTTTCCAAAGGGATATTTTGTAAAACTACATAAAGGGCAACTTATATGACTAGTATTTCCATCATCGAAGAGGATATGATAATCTCGAATATGAGGTCAGAATCCTCCCCCAGTCTTCTTCTGATCACAGAAGTGGTAAAAGGAGATAAACACACAGGACACTTCATCAGTAGCCAGGTGCTATTGTCTCAATACTTGTGCCCCTCCAAAATTCCTATGTTGAAATCCTACTTCTCCAAAGTGTTAGTATTAGGAAGTGAGGCCTTTGGGGGGTCATGATGTTATGAGGGTTCCACCCTCATAACAAAGAGACCCCAGGGAGCTCCTTGGACACAGCTGGAAGGCTTCTATGAGAGAAATGAGCCCTCACCAGACACTGAATTTGCCGGTACCTTGATCTTGGACTTCTCAGCCACCAAAACTGACAGAAATAAATTTCTCTTGTTTATAAGCCACCCAGTTTATCGTATTTTGTTATAGCAGCTCTAATGGACTAAGACACCATGGCTTGCAATCTGTTTTTGTAATCTTAATAGCACAAGATTCCACAATGCCTTTCACATATTCTGGAGGCTGAATACCTTACTCCCTAAGCTGCTTTTCCCTGGACTTTCTCCGATTTTGTTGACTTTGGCTTTTAATCTTACCACTCTGATGATGTGAGTAGTACAGGAAAACAAATAAACCACCAAATATCCAAGAAGAAATTTCTTCTTAAGCCCAAGCAGTAGCCTCAGTCACTCTATCCACATCTCCCTTCTCTGAGAGTCCTGTCTGTCTATCTCAACCTGGAGCCTTTCGAGGCGGAAGCCCTACTTACCTGAATGAATACTCAGGGCCAGGCTTCCGGTACCAGCCTCATCGATGAATTGAAGGGAAGAGAAGAGGGAAGAGAACCACAAAGGAAATCTCAAAGAAAAAGAAATAGGAACTAAGAAAAAAGTTCCACCCATGAAGGGTAAACTCTTTCTAGCTCTTTTCAATTCAAATACATCAGGTTGTTTTGAAAGAAAATACAATTAACCAGACAGGGAAAATGAAATCTTTCCTTTTTGTCACAGTTTAGAAAAGTAACTGCTATAACACACTGCATCAGAATAATAGATAGTATAAATAATTTTATAGACTTTGTAAGTAGAGAGTATTAGAACAATATTAAATAATCACTGAGATTATTACCTGTCCAGTATCCTTTATTTCTTTTGGAAATACTAGTCCTAATTATTGAGAAATTAATGACCCTCACCCCCCAGGACATCTGGTTGGCTGGCACCGCCCCTGCTCCCTGTGTGTCCACGATCTCCTGATGACTGAGGCAAATAGAACAGATGAACACATCACACAGCATGGCCACGATCATGTTAGGCTCTTTGCTAGAACTGTACAAAAGGAGGTGTTTGTTTTTCCCTGATGTTATTATTTTGGGAACGTAGGAGCCAGGAGCTTCTCATGCTGTTTTGTGAAATACTGTCTTAAGAAAGAGCCAATAAATGAGGAAAAATTAGTCAGAAAGTGAGACTCTGGATGCTGCCATAACAAAAATCAGCCCAGGACCAGGAGTTCTTAATTGTGTGATCCCATATATTCTTTTTATTTTTAAAAGTGTATTGAACATTTGTGTCTAAGACTGGTGAAGGAAGATTTCTATCCCTTAACGAGGGTCCTGACTGATATGGTCACCACTAGTTCCAGTGGAATTTTGTTTAATATCACAAGAGGCAAAGTCAAATTGGTTAACAATTATTTGAAGCCAATGATACAGTACATTTTATTTTCTTATATTAAGTTTAATAAATGCTATTAGCAATATGAAATGTATTTTTAAATAAGTTGGAAGATTCTGTTCTTTCATATTTGAAAGTAAGCAGCATAATTTCATAACTTTGGTTCATAATAGTTTCCTGTTTTCCAACCTGCCCTTGGTTTTCAAAACAGGCTGTTCATTTCCTTCAGGTAATTACATTTGAAACAATCCAAGAAGTTATCAGGATGACAGCATTACTTGCTTGATAATTGTTCCTGTAGAAATCACATCATGACTTTTTTCAGCATTTTTCCTTGAATTTTCACAAAAATAAATATCTTATGACTTTTTATGTTCAGAAAATCACTCAAATTATTTTCAAATATTTTGAAGTTGGAAAAATACAAAAAGACGTTTGCCAAATAAAGTGTGCTTAAATTTTTAAATGTGTGTGTTTTTGATGGAAACTTAATTCATATGTTTCTCATCCATTTACAATTAGCTGATGACAATGTTTTATAAGGGTTTGATATCAGTTATTTTCAAAAGTATCATTAAATAATTTATTTTTAACTATAGAAAGTTGAAAAAAATATTTTTATTTGCTTATTCTTTTTGTACATGTAAGTAACATATTGTTAGAAGACTAATCAATGTTTACAGTTTTCTTATATTCTTTATAAAACTGCTAAATAGTTAAAGTAATAGGAATAACAGTAGAAAAAGAAGCAATCAAAGGAAGACAGAACAATCTAAACCAGACGGGGAAAAAAATGAGAAAAATGTACAATAAAAGGAAACAGCCAAATGATCCAGCCCCAAAGGCAATTCTCCTAAACAATGCATGTTGTACAACCTTGCATATAAATTGGTTTTATATTTTCAGATGTGGAATATGAAGAATTTCTATTCATACAATAGAGAGCAAGTGCAGTTGACTCTCATACTACAGGGATTTGAACTGTGCAGATTCACTTATACGCAGACTTTCTTTCCTTCTGCCAACCCCAAGACAGTAAAGCCAACCCCCTTTCTTCCTCCTCCTCCTCAGCCTACTCTACCTGAAGACAATGAGAATTAAGACTTTTATTCACTTAATGAATAGTAAAAATATTTTCTCTTCCTTATGATTTAATTAACTTTTTTTGTCTGGCTTATTTGTTGTAAGAATGCAGTATATCACATATATAGCATAAAAATCAGTGTTCATCGACTGTTTATGTTATCAATAAGGCTTCCAGTCAACAGTAAGCTATTAGTAATTCAGTTTTTGAGGAGTTAAAAGTTATATGTGGTGTTTTTTACTATGTTGGCGGTTGGCGCCCATAACTAATGCGTTGTTCAAGGATGAACTGTGCCAGAGTTCTGAATAATTGTTCAAACAAACCACAGCAGGTCTGCAATCTGCATCTTTACTCCTCTCCTTTTGCTCCATCCTTTAACACATCTGCGCCCCACAGCTGGATCCAACTGAGTCGGACCCCCAAGTAGTACAAATATAAGATGAAATCTCACTTTGTGTTCAAAATTGTTGAACATATGTCCTGTAAGCTCTATGCAACTATTTTCTAACATTTAGATGTGAAAATTCAAGAAATACAATTGTCAAATGATGCATTCTATGAGAGCCAGAATAGTAATTGAACCTAATATCTCATTTGATGAGACAGTGTTTGCACCATTTGAAAAATAATATATTCTTCATAATTTCTCTCAATTCTGAAAATACAAGAGCATTACCACTAATACTTAGCAATTATCAACACTGCACATACCAGGCTTTCTGCTTGGTGTTTTGCATGTATGATTGCTAATCCTCCAAATAGCAGGAAAATTATGTCTTTTTAATCCACATTTTACAGAGAAGAAACTCAACAGGCTCACCCTTCCCAAAAGTTCCCAGTGATGACTGTTTTAGTAATATGGTCTTCAGAAATATTTCCTACTTTCTCAACATCCACACAGTATTGGCTATAAGGAACATATAAAATTAATAGGGAAGTGTTCCTATTACAAATCTAAGTATATGTATGTATAAGTATATACATGTGTCTCTATGTAACAAACATTATGCACAATACCTACCAAAGTTCTAGTGATCTTGTAGCTCTGCCACCTAAAACACAGGAGGTTCATGTCCATTGTCAAATTGGAGGGTCATGTGAGATATGTTCGAATCTAGGCCTGAAATTCACTTATATCACTTCCCTCCACCTCCTATTGGCCAGACCCAGGTATATGCTATGCTGAATCAAAGACATTGTCTCTTCAACAGTCCACTATTCTGGTTGCCAAACTATTACATTCCTTCCATGTTTTGAACATACTTTCCATCTCCACAAAGGAATCGGTTCTATTCTGTCCTATCTCATCATTGCATATGGCTGAAGACCAGGGTCATCAAGAATGTATAGTAGTTTCTCATGCATCTGGATATGGCCCCTGTTGGTCCAATGACCTATCAACTAAAATGGCAAGTTGTCTGCCACCACATACCTGACATGGGGGGAGAATACCCACAATAAACATGCCCAATCCAAAGGAGAAAGTCAGAAGGCATACAGCAGTCACTGGTTGGTGATATTCTGAAATCTCACTGAGTAGCTATTTTGAAAACACTTTACTTTAGGGTTCTGAGAGATTCTTGATTGGACCTTTGTCTCTTTTTCTGGGGAAAAATCTCCCTTACACATGTCCATGTAAACCCTAGGTTCTGATAAGGTACTCCTTGTCCGTGAATCTGCCTGTCCACATCTGAAATGGGAATTCCTTAGAAGGTGACCATCTCATGATAATGGAAACCCAAGTCTTGCTTTAGATGTGAAACAGCCAGATCTCCTTGACAATTGTTTAGAAACAACTCTCAAACTATGTTTTTCATCTCCTCTCACCCACAGCAAACATCAAAAAAGAAGGCTTCTGTGACCAAATGTGAGCGGAGGGAGCTTTTCCCCCCACCAAGCAACTCCTCAGTGGATACCAAGTGGGTATCCTCCAATTAACTCCAACACTATCTACCTGTCAGATCTCACATGTTGAGTACTCAGTCCCCTAAACTTCTCTTGATTTCAGACACCAGTCACAAATCTAAGCCTCCAGAAATTCCAACCAACTGGCTTCAAGTTGGGCCTTCCAAAATCCCCTCTTTGGGCTCAATTAATTCGCTAGAGTGGCTTACAGAACTTAGGAAAATACTTCTCTTTACTAGTTTATTATAGAGGAAATTACAAAGGATACAGATGAAGAGATGCATAGGGTGAGGTATGGGGGAAGGGGTATGGAGCTTCCATGCCCTCCCTGGGCTTGCCACCCTCTAGGAACCTCCACATGTTCATCTATCTGGAGGCTCCCTGAACCCCATCCTTTTGGGGTTTTATGGAGGCTTCATTACATAGTCACAATTGACAACCGTGTAGAAATGTGACTGGACAAATAACACATAATCTAAACCCAATGAGGCTTGTCTCTTCAGACTTTTCTTGGCCTCTTTGTGTAGCATTCTTTCTTCTAGGGTAGGAGCAGGGACCTTCTTTGGAATGAGAACTTTTTTTTTTTCTTTTTTTTGAGACAGAGTCTTTCTTTGTTGCCAGGCTGGAGTGCAGTGGCACGATCTTGGCTCACTGCAACCTCTGCCTCCTGGATTCAAGCGATTCTCCTGGATTCAAGCGATTCTCTTGCCTCAGCCTCCCGAGTAGCCGAGACTACAGGCACACACACACCACCACACCCAGGTAATTTTCGTATTTTTTAGTAGACATGGGGTTTCACCATGTTAGCCAGGATGGTCTCGATCTCTTGACCTCAAGTGATCCGCCCGCCTTGGCCTCCCAAAATGCTGGGATTACAGGTGTGAGCCACCATGCCCTGATGGAATGAGAATATTTTGAACTACAATCAGATTAGAGTCTTGCCTGTGGAAGAAGGACAGGAGAATTTCAGAGAGAGAAAGAGAGTTTCTGTTCCATGAGGTCTGCTCCTGAGGCCTAAAGTGCCCCAGCATTATAATAGAAGGGTATAAAAGGGGCTATGGGAGTTATCAACCAGGAATCATCAACAAAATCACAATATACTTCCGTCAAAAATGTAGTAGCCTTCTTATCTATGTACTTCCTGTCAGTTCCTTGTGACAGAAACCATACCCATTGCTCTTTCCTTGATTTAAATCTCAAGATTAATTAGTTCCTTGTTCCCATCATCATGTGTCTTTCTCAAAAGAATGTTGTTTACCTTAAGATGATCTGGTTCTCTGGTTCTTTAAGTTGTAACACCACAACAATAAAGTTCTAGGATAGAACTTTTTTTGTTTTAAAAAACGTATTTTTAAATGCCATGAAATTTAATGTGGCCCTCGGAAGTCTGAAGTGGGAGAATAATGCATTGACAAAGTTTACTGAACTGGCAATTCCTTTTCCTCCCACCTACAGTCTCCAAGCTGCCACTCTTCCTGCTCTCTCTGTCTCTCTTAAGGGCTAAAGATGCAATGTTTCTGGCTTCAGGGATCACTGGAACTATTTATTTCTTTAAAAATGGTTTTTATGTCATAGCACATATGATAAACCTTAATATTTCATGATACACTTAATGATATTGTACTGCATACCCAGGCTAATAGAAGAGGCTAGTCTCAATTTGCAGCAATAGCTCTGGCTGTGTAAGGCACTCACAATCAGATACAGTAGGGAATTTGCATCTTGGGCATATATGTCACCTGTACCCAGCTTGATTTGGGAGATTATGCAACTCATATCAACTTCAGGATAGCACTCACTTCTACAGAAGGAGGTAAAGGAAATGGATGGTCAGGATGGAATAGGAGGCTCAATTGTATTTATAGTGGTTTGAAACATGTTTACAAATTATTTGATGCTTTCTCATCAAATGACAGAGTTAATTTTCTCCCCTTGAATCTGATTGTCCTTACTGACTCCTTAGGAATAAAACATTGTTGAAATGATAGATGTGACACAGAAAGATAAGCCATACAAGATATTTGTAGTTTTCATCTTGTCTCTCAGAGCACTCACTTGGAGAGAAAGCCAGCTGACTTGTGAGGACACCCAGGCAGCCCTATTGAGAGATCCATGTGGGGAGAAACTAAGGCTTCCTAGCTAAGTCATGTGAGTGAGCAAACTTGAAGCTCGATTTCCCAACCCCAGTGAAAGTTTCAGATGACTGCACCTCTGGCCGCAAACTTGTGAGAGACTTCAAGCCAGAAGCATCCCACTAGGCAACTCCTAAATTCCTGAGCCTCAGAAACTGTGAGAAAATAAATGTTATGGTTTTACATCACTTATTTTGGGAGCGATATATTATGAAGCAATTCATTAACTAAAACAATATTTGTAATGTTTTATGCTCAGAAAATCTAAAGCAAATATGTGAAAATAGGATAAATTAGGGTAGGTGGCAGGTACATGAATGCCACTGAACCTGTTTATTTAACACTTATATTGAATTTACTATGTTTCCTTCATTGTTCTATAATGCATTTAATTCTTATGAGTACTCTATGTGAAAGATACCCTTCATTTTACAGATGAGTAAAATGGAGTCTAGAGAGATGCTATACATTGTCAAAGGTCACCAATGAATAAGTAGCACATACAGAATTCATACCTGGACAGTATTACTCTGTGGTTTCTAGTTTTAGCATTACACTATTTTATGGATTATAACAATGTCAGTTATTTGCAAATCTTTGAAATATTTCATAAATCATGAAAACTTAAATGATGAGATCCTTTTTTCCATCATTTTGATAGCCTTTTGTATATGCAAAGATTTATAATTTGTCTTTGTTAACTTTTTGGGCAAAAGGAGAAAAATTTAAAGATTAGAATGGAAAAAAAAGAAAATAAAAATAATTTTATATTCAGCAGCATATTAAGAAACTATTTGTTTATTTCCTAAAACATTAAGGCCAGAGTTTTTGCCTTCCATGGTTCAGGGGTGATTTAAAATTTGATGACTTTCTTCCTGAAAATCATATTTATGTGTCCTGTCAGGCCTTGAGCCCAAGCTAAGCCATCATATCCCCTGTGACCTGCACATACACATCCAGATGGCCGGTTCCTGCCTTAACTGATGACATTCCACCACAAAAGAAGTGAAAATGGCCTGTTCCTGCCTTAACTGATGACATTATCTTGTGAAATTCCTTCTCCTGGCTCATCCTGGCTCAAAAGCTCCCCTACTGAGCACCTTGTGACCTCCCACTCCTGCCAGCCAGAGAACAACCCCCTTTGACTAATTTTCCTTTACCTACCCAAATCCTATAAAACGGCACCACCCCTATCTCCCTTCACTGACTCTCTTTTCAGACTCAGCCCGCCTGCATCCAGGTGAAATAAACAGCCTTGTTGCTCACACAAATCCTGTTTGGTGGTCTCTTCACACGGACGCGAGTGAAATTTGGTGCCGTGACTGGGATCAGGGGACCTCCCTTGGGAGATCAATCCCCTGTCCTACTCTTTGCTCCATGAGAAAGATCCACCTACAACCTCAGGTCCTCAGACTGACCAGCCCAAGGAACATCTCACCAATTTCAAATCCAGTAAGCGGCCTCTTTTTACTCTCTTCTCCAACCTCCCTCACTATCCCTCAACCTCTTTCTCCTTTCAAGCTTGGCGCCACACTTCAATCTCTCCCTTCTGTTAATTTCAGTTCCTTTCATTTTCGGGTAGAGACAAAGGAGACACATTTTATCTGTGGACCCAAAACTCCGGCGCCGGTCACGGACTCGGGAAGACAGCCTTACCTTGGTGTTTAATCATCGCCGAGATGCCTCTTGGATTATTCACCCACGTTCCACTGGTGTCTGATCTCCGCAGGGGTGCCTTCCTTGATCATTCGCCCATGTTCCCTTGGTGGCAAGTCAATTGCAAGGACGCCTGCTTTGGCTGCTCACCCACGTTGCAGCCCAGGGCTGCTCCCCACCCCCTTCTCCGTGTCTCTACCCTTCTCTTTAAACTTGCCTCCTTCACTATGGGCAACCTTCCACCCTCCATTCCTCCTTCTTCTCTCTTAGCCTGTGTTCTTAAGAACTTAAAACCTCTTCAACTCTCGCCTGACCTAAAATCTAAGCATCTTATTTTATTCTGCAACACCGCTTGGCCCCAATACAAACTTGACAAAGGCTCTAAAATAGCCACAGAACGGCACTTTCGATTTTTCCATCCCACAAGATCTCGATAATTCTTGTCGTAAAATGGGCAAATGGTCTGAGGTGCCTGACGTCCAGGCATTCTTTTACACATTGTTCTCTCCGTACTCTCTGTTCCCAATGTGACTCATCCCAAATCCTCCTTCTTTCCCTCCCGCCTGTCCTCTCAGTCCCAACCCCAAGCGTCGCTGAGTCTTTCTAATCTTCCTTTTCTACAGACCCATCTGACCTCTCTCCTCCTCCCCAGGCTGCTCCTCGCCAGGCCAAGCCAGGTCAAGCCAGGTCCCAATTCTTCCTCAGCCTCTGCTCCCCCACCCTATAATCCTTTTATCACCTCCCCTCCTCACACCCAGTCCGGCTTATAGTTTCGTTCCGCGACGCGACTAGCCCTCCTCCACCTGACCAGCAATTTCCTCTTAAAAAGGAGGCTGGAGCTAAAGGCATAGTCAAGGTTAATGCTTCTTTTTCTTTATCCGACCTCTCCCAAATCAGTTAGCATTTAGGCTCTTTCATCAAATATGAAAAACCCAGCCCAGTTCATGGCTCGTTCGGCAGCAACCCTGAGACGCTTTACAGCCCAAGACCCTAAAATGTCAAAAGGCCGTCTTATTCTCAATATACATTTTATTACCCAATCCGCTCCTGACATTAAATAAAACTCCAAAAATTAAATTCCGGCCCTCAAACCTCACAACAGGACTTAATTAACCTCACCTTCAAGTTATACAATAATAGAGTAGAGGCAGCCAAGTAGCAATGTATTTCTGAGTTGCAATTTCTTGCCTCCACTGTGAGACAAACCCCAGCCACATCTCCAGCACACAAGAACTCCAAACGCCCAAACCGCAGCTGCCAGGGGTTCCTCCAGAACCTCCTCCCCCAGGAGCTTGCTACAAGTGCCAGAAATCTGGCCACTAGGCCAAGGAATGCCCACAGCCCAGGATTCCTCCTAAGCTGTGTCCCATCTGTGTAGGACCCCACTGAAAATCGGACTGTTCAACTCACCTGGCAGCCACTTCCACAGCCCCTGGAACTCTGGCCCAAGGCTCTCTGATTGACTCCTTCCCAGATCTTCTTGGCTTAGCGGCTGAAGACTGATGTTGCCGGATCGCCTCGGAAGCCTACAAGACCATCACAGACGCTCTAGGTAACTCTCACAGTGGAAGGTAAGTCCGTCCCCTTCTTAATCAATACGGAGGCTACCCACTCCACATTACCTTCTTTTCAAGGGCCTGTTTCCCTTGCCTCCATAACTGTTGCAGGTATTGACAGCCAGGTTTCTAAACCTCTTAAAACTCCCCAACTCTGGTGCCAACTTAGACAATACTCTTTTAAGCACTCCTTTTAGTTATCTCCACCTGCCCAGTTCCCTTATTAGGTGGAGACACTTATCTGCTTCCCTGACTATTCCTAGACTATAGCCACATCTCACTGCCGCCCTTCTTCCCAATCCAAAGCCTCCTTTGCATCCTCCTCTTGCATCCCACCTTAACCCACAAGTATAAGATACCTCTACTCCCTCCTTGGTGACTGATCATGCACCCCTTACCATCTCATTAAAACCTAATCACCCTTTACCCCTCCACTCAATACCAATATCCCATCCCACAGCACGCTTTAAAAGGATTAAAGCCTGTTATCACTCACCTGCTACAGCATGGCCTTTTAAAGCCTATAAACTCTCCTTACAATTCCCCCATTTTACCTGTCCAAAAACTGGACAAGTCTTACAGGTTAGTTCAGGATCTGTGCCTTATCAACCAAATTGTTTTGCCTATCCACCACATGGTGCCAAACCCATGTACTCTCCTATCCTCAATACCTCCCTCCACAACCCATTATTCTGTTCTGGATCTCAAACATGCTTTCTTTACTATTCCTTTGCACCCTTCATCCCAGCCTCTCTTTGCTTTCACTTGGACTGACCCTGACACCCATCAGGCTCAGCAAATTACCTGGGCTGTACTGCCTCAAGGCTTCACAGACAGCCGCCATTACTTCAGTCAAGCCCAAATTTCTTCCTCATCTGTTACCTATCTTGGCGTAATTCTCATAAAAACACACGTGCTCTCACTGCTGATCATGTCTGACTAATCTCCCAAACCTCAATCCCTTCCACAAAACAACTCCTTTCCTTCCTAGGCATGGTTAGTGCGGTCAGAATTCTTACACAAGAGCCGGGACCGCGCCCTGTAGCCTTTCTGTCCAAACAACTTGACCTTACTGTTTTAGCCTAGCCCTCAGGTCTGCGTGCAGTGGCTGCCGCTGCTTTAATAATTTTAGAGGCCCTAAAAATCACAAACTATGCTCAACTCACTCTCTACAGTTCTCATAACTTCCAAAATCTATTTACTTCCTCACACCTGATGCATATACTTTCTGCTCCCCAGCTCCTTCAGCTGTACTCACTGTTTGTTGAGTCTCCCACAATTACCATTGTTCCTGGCCCGGACTTCAATTCGGCCTCCCACAGTATTCCGGATACCACACCTGACCCCCATGACTGTATCTCTCTGATCCACCTGACATTCACCCCATTTCCCCATATTTCCTTCTTTCCTGTTCCTCACCCTGATCACACTTGGTTTATTGATGGCAGTTCCACCAGGCCTAATCGCCACACACCAGCAAAGGCAGGCTATGCTATAGTGCAAGCCACTAGCCCGCCTCTTAGAACCTCTCATTTCCTTTCCATTGTGGAAATCTATCCTCAAGGAAATCACTTCTCAGTGTTCCAGCTGCTATTCTACTACCCCTCAGGGATTATTCAGGCCCCCTCCCTTCCCTACACAACAAGCTCGAGGATTTGCCCCACCCAGGACTGGCAAATTAGCTTTACTCAACATGCCCCGAGTCAGGAAACTAAAATACCTCTTAGTCTAGGTAGACACTTTCACTGGATAGGTAGAGGCCTTTCCCACAGGATCTGAGAAGGTCACCGCAGTCATTTCTTCCCTTCTGTCAGACATAATTCCTCGGTTTGGCCTTCCCACCTCTATATAGTCCGATATCAGACCGGCCTTTATTAGTCAAATCAGCCAAGCAGTTTTTCAGGCTCTTGGTATTCAGTAAAACCTTTATATCCCTTACACTCCTCAGTCTTAAGGAAAAGCAGAACGGACTAAAGGTCTTTTAAAAACGCACCTCACCAAGCTCAGCCACCAACTTAAAAAGGACTGGACAATACTTTTACCACTCTCCCTTCTCAGAATTCAGGCCTGTCCTCGGAATGCTACAAGGTACAGCCCATTTCAGCTCATGTATAGACGCTTTTTATTAGGCCCCAGTCTCATCCCAGACACCAGATCAACCTAGACTGCGCCCCAAAAAACTTGTCATCCCTACTATCTTCTGTCTAGTCATACTCCTATTCACCATTCTCAACTACTCATAAATGCCCTGCTCTTGTTTACACTGCCGGTTTACACCGTTTCTCTAAGCCATCACAGCTGATCTCCTCGTGCTATCCCCAAACCGCCACTCTTAACTCTTAAAGTAAATAAATAATCTTTGCTGGCAAGGCTATGCTGAACCTCCTTAGGCACTCTCTAATTAGATGTCCTAGGTCCTCCCAATTCTTAGTCCTTTAATACCTGCTTTTCTCCTTCTCTTATTCCATTTAGTTTTTCAATTCATACAAAACCATATCCAGGCCATCACCAATAATTCTACATGACAAATGTTTCTTCTAACAACCCCACAATATCACCCCTTACCACAAAATCTTCCTTCAGCTTAATCTCTCCCACTCTAGGTTCCCACGCCGCCCCTAATCCTGCTCGAAGCAGCCCTGAGAAACATCGCCCATTATCTCTCCATACCACCCCCAAAAATTTTTTGCCGTCCCAACACTTTACCACTATTTCGTTTTATTTTTCTTATTAATATAAGAAGACAGGAATGTCAGGCCTCTGAGCCCAAGCTAAGCCATCATATCCCCTGTGACCTGCACATACACATCCAGATGGCCAGTTTCTGCCTTAACTGATGACATTCCACCGCAAAAGAAGTGAAAATGGCCTGTTCCTGCCTTAACTGATGACATTATCTTGTGAAATTCCTTCTCCCGGCTCATCCTGGCTCAAAAGCTCCCCTACTGAGCACCTTGTGACCCCCACTCCTGCCAGCCAGAGAACAACCCCCCACTTTGACTGTAATTTTCCTTTACCTACCCAAATCCTATAAAACGGCTATCTCAACCTATCCCACCCCTATCTCCCTTTGCTGACTCTCTTTTCAGACTCAGCCCGCCTGCACCCAGGTGAAATAAACAGCCTTGTTGCTCACACAAAACCTGTTTGGTGGTCTCTTCACACAGATGCGAGTGAAATGTACCATTATTGGTTGTCAGATATTTCCTTTTCTTTTTAGGAAGTAAAGTGCCTCCAGGAAAATCCACATCCTAACTGGTAAGAGCCTACTTACAACAAGTGCACCTTGACGGGAAGGCATTGATATTCGAAAGGAAGAGAAATTCTAGATACAATACAGAGTCTATTGCTTGAATCTATCTCTAAACTCAGACTTGGGTTAATCCAATGAAAAGTAGGAAATTTTACTGAAACCCAACAGATTTGCATTGCTATAAAACTCTGTAAAATGACCAAGTGCCAGGAGGCTTTATCATACCTTGGTTGTGGCAGAAGACTCTGGAATCCCAGGAACAGAGTATAATTTTGAGGGTATCAGAGCAAGAAAGGAAAGCAGAAAGCTTTGCTGTAATCTACACACACAAACACAAAGTGGTTTACTAAAGCCATCTGCAATTTCAAGGCAATCAGTACACTCAGTAATTCAAAACTGTTTATTGAGATCTAAGATATGGAAGCCAGTGTGCTGACTCCAAAGGTATAAAGGACCAGCAAGAAAGTAGACACTTTAACTGCAAATATAATGGAGTAGACAGACAGGTAATTAAAATCTAGTGTGATAAAGGATCTTCTTGAGAGAAATTATTATGTCTTGAGGGCAAGAAAGGGAACTAATTAAGTTTGCATTTTAAAAATTGTTAAGAATAGATGTAGGATGGGATAGAGGGTACCTTAGAGATGCAAGGATTGTGGAGGAATACTTTCATATGTTTTATGATGAATTGAAAGAAGATAATATTCTACTTCCTGTGCAAGTCATATATATGTTTGACACATTCTAAAGCAGACCTAACTTAGGGATCATTTAGATTTGAGTGGTAAGAGATAGAAAGTAATGAGGATAATTCTCATGTTTCTCACTTACCTAAGTTTTATTCTATTTAAACAAAGTAGAAATTAGTCATAGCAGGAACACTCTGAGTGTTCATAATTTTTTAAATGAGTGAACTCAGCAGCTTTGATAATATAATTAGACATATGTAACAATACCCATCTACCTGGGTTGGCTTTATAAAATGTAGATATCAATACTTGGAAAACAAGTTATCCTTTCATGTTTATTCATTAACAATAGTATGTCCTTCATCTTAAGTAGTCATACATCTTGCTCTTTCTTGATTGGAACCTTAAAGCTAAAAATGACATATGGACCTCTTTGTATCCATATAATTAACAACAAACAGATATAATTGTTTGAATAATTTTAACTACAGAACTGTGTTAATTTCAATTCAACTGAATGCAGAGTAGTAGACTAACAAGAAGCTCTTTAAGCTACAAAGAATTAAGCAAAACAATTATAAAATCAATTTGACATCGCAACAATGATACATATTTCTGCATTTCAGACATAGCTAGAATGGAGAACCACTTATAGGATAATAATTTACATTAAAATAAAAGGTATAATCAAATAAAAGAATAATAAAATAAAAATGCAGCGTGAAAATATAAGTAGGTACTGCTGTTTAATTATATGTTTTATGAAAATGCTTAATGTTTTAGAAAAATGAGAAACAGAAAAATTGCTCTTTTCATTCAATTTGTTGTAGATTTCTTTCTGCATTCTTTATGAGCTCTTGTAAGAGATATATTTCTGTTATTGTAAACGTACTTTGTTACTTTCTATCTAATGTTATAAATTTGCTTTATATGGTTTCAATGTTCTGAAATTAACCCTCTCTATGAGATTTATGATTATTTAGCAAAATTTTTATCAAAAACATCCACTCATTTATATTTTCTTGGAGGGGTTTAGTTTCAAGGGCCCCTTTAAACATTGATAAAGGTCATTAACTTACAGGTAATATCTTACTTTTTAATTGGTGTGTGTGTGGGTGTGTATGTGTGTGTGTGTGTGTGTTTCAGGGGAAGAATTGTAAAGTGAACATATTACTTCCTCTCCTGTGGCTGGACTTTGATTACTATTGGGTCACTGAAGGAAGTACAAAAGCGTGTTCTTGGGCGAAAAGTAAATTAAACCCACAAAGATGTAGTCTACAAGAATTAATGGTGAAAAAAAATCAAGGAAGATTTTTGATAAGCCTATATAAGTATTAATCATCAAAATGATATAAATAAGCTGGGTGGGTCTAAAAAATCTATACTCATTTTGTCACATCATTCAAGAGTAAAATAGATATGTTTAAATTTACCTTATAGTTTATTAATAATGTATGTATTTTAAAATTCATCTTTAAAAGTATGGATATAGAAAGTGTAACACAAATAAGTAAAGTTACGTAGTAGAATCAACCAAATTATTTTACTAGATGAACAGAAAATAGTTTGTATTAATGAAAAGCAATGGAAATCAAGGTAAGTAAACAAAGTATGACAAAGAGATTCAAAATACCTCTATAAACATGATAAAAATAAATGAATTAGGCTGGGCATGATGGCTTATGTCTGTAATCCCATCCCTTTGGGAGGCTGAGGCGGGTGGATCACCCGAGGTCAGGAGTTCGAGACCAGCCTGGCCAACATGGTGAAAGCCCGTCTCTACTAAAAATACAAAAAAAATTTAGCTGGGCATGGTGGCAGGTTCCTGTAATCCCAGCAACTCAGGAGGCTGAGTCAGGAGAATCGCTTGAACCTGGGAGGTGGAGGTTGCAGTGAGCCGAGATTGCACCATTGTACTCCAGCCTGGGTGACAAGAGTGAAACTCTGTCTCACAAAATTAATTAATTAATTAATTAATTAAATGCACGAGTGGGTGAAAAAAAGGAGAGTTGTAAGATCTAAAGTATAACATGCTCTATATAAATATTTTGAACGGAATAAAAATACTATGTTTTTGTTGGATACATGCATTTGGAATACCTGTACAAAAACACGGTAGGAAAAATACACAGCAAATACTAAACAACACTTACTCTTTAGAAAAGAAAGATAAAGAAAAATTACTTATAGCGGTTTATGTTATTTAGTAGTAAGTTAACTTTTACTAATTCTGGGTGATTCAGACATGCGTGCTTATTATGTTTTATATGTGCGTTTCTTTGTGTTTCAAATGTTTCACAATTACAAAGGTTGATACTGTGTACCTTAAAATGTAGACTAATCTTACGTAGATCTAAAAGACCTAGGTATCATCCAGGATCAGAATACCTTTTGTTTCGTTGTTCTGTCATCCCTTTAGTGTATGGTACTTGTTTACTTCTTCAAAGATGGCCTCTAACCAGCAAGAAGGAGGGAAAAAAAAGATGTAATAAGAAGCTATCTTTTAAAGACATGACACTTCAGTTGCAGAGATCATTTTTTGTTTATAAATCAGCAGCCAGAACTTAGTCATTTGATCAAACTTACATGCAAGGAAGGCTGATAGAGTCTTAAGCTGAGTGAACCAGTGTTCCGATTAATACTTTGTGGTTCTATCACTAATACACCGAACAGAAGGATGAAAACTGCATAAGCACATTTGCATTATAAGCACATTTTTCAACAAAATCATTAATACAGCGTTTCTAAAAGCATAGGCTTGGACCACAGACTGTTCAGAAAAGTTCCCTTTTTCTAGGGGTAAAGGAGGTATAATTTTATGCTTCTGGGTCAGAATGTTTTAGCAAACAGCAGTTTAACATAGTAGGACTTTATGCTTATGCAAACTTTATCTCACCACCCTCCTCCCAGAAAAAAAAAAAAAAATCAGCATGCTGAGTGCTGAGTTTTAGTTTTAATAAGCAAAAATCAGCAGCCCAGCAGCCTTTAACGGGCTTGAGGGACAAGTGTGATTATTTTTACAAGGATATTTCATGAATTAAATGAAAAGAATCATATTATTCCTGAGCACCAATCTCCATGAGAAAGAGCAAAACTAGAACAGGTGAGTTATTCCCTCTCCAGAGCAAATTTTATTTTAAATAAAAGCAGTGCCCCATAATTTAAGTAGGCAATTCAATTCAACTTTGATTCCTTAGAAGAAACTGAAGATTAACTAATGTACTATTGTATTAGTATCGGTAAACTTCTTAAGGAAAAACGCTATTGAATGTGTCAATATTAGATTACCTTCATTACATTGTTAAACTCATAACCCTGCTACAAAAGAATCTCAGCTGGACAGGATGTTACAATTTGTTGCATTGTTGTCATCAAATAAAAACCTTCCTTGAGCTTCCATGTGTTGGTGATGATAGCAGCTACTCTGATTTCAGCCATCTAAATATGGTCTGAAATTTTCAGACCTCTTGACTGTCCAATGTATGTGTCACTTATGAAGAATAAGGTGAAATTTTAAATTTATTTAAAGTCTAGGTGTCCATAATTTGGTTGTAAAATATGATTATTTTCTAAAAGTTGCAAGTGCAATACTACAACTTTTTAATATATTTTTAAAGTTTAATTACTAATAGCTATTTTCTGCCTTCAAGAAAAATATCAAAAGCAGAAAGTGTACCAAAGGCACAAGAAAGTACTGATGTGTTTTAAGACAGCCAAGTTCTGCAATTTCATGTTAAAGTTTTGTGAGTTGAAGTTGGCTTAACACAGATATTTTCCAGAGAGGGAGAATTGGCAGATATGAACAGACTGGCATGGTACTAATGAAAAAATGAACTGGTTCAAGTGGTTGGAAAGTAAACAATATGTGTTTGTATGTTATTATCCATTAATGATCCGAGAGGTATAATTGGAAGCTACGAATGACTTTCATAACTTAAAGAGTAAATGAGTTTCCTAAATCACGTGTTACATTGTACTATTCAGTTGAGAGAGCCTTCTCCTATTTGAAAATGTGAACATTATATGAATGTATAATTTTAAAAGTGGAAAAGTAGTGCATGTTAAATATTAAATATTAAAATTTGCATAATTATAATACAGTATTTCTTTCCAAGTATCTTGTGAAATAAAAATTTAAAAATTTTACTCAATGTGTTATTTTAGGTACAAGTCAAAGCTTCCAGGTAGTTCATCAATAGTGTGGCGTACTTTACAGTAATTTGAATGCAATTACGCAAAACTGCTATCACAGCTTTGGAAGACATTATGTGAGAGAGCAGAAAAAAAATAAAATAATTTTCTAAAAGACATAGTGAATGCTAGAAAACTAATGAAGACTTCAGGTGCATTTTAAGCTGTCCTCAAAATGCTAAGACATGTTTCTATTTGCAAACAGCAGCAAAACATATATAACCAATTTTCTCTTATTTCAAACAATTTTAGTGTCACACACACACCTTCCATAGAAAATCAATTGATATTTTAACTTACATTTATTCTTAGAATTAGCTATGCTTGATTATAGAAACATTATTTTGGTTTTGGAAAGCATCAATAATAAAGCCCTCCCTTTTCTCCATGAAATTGATACTGGCTCTCTGAAGCATGAAGATTATTCTTAAATAATATTCCTGTGAGTTTAAATAAATTTCATGATAATGTGGCTTAATAAACCATGATTTCCCCTTCTAGAAAACACAATTCCTCCTGGAGGGTGAATAATTTAGCATTGCTTAACACACATTCTCACTTTAAAAAGGAAAAACTGAGTACACATTCACTGTGCATCTTATTTCAGTCTTTCAACAATGAGAGAGAAAACATGATGATGGATTTAACTGGCCAGCACTACAAATCCACAGGATTCAAAATGTACCATAACTAAGAAAGTCACAAGCCAGGAGGCTTAGCAAATCCAGTGGGTTCCATGACTCTTCAAATATTTTCAGAGAGCTTATCGCTTAAGCTCATAACCCTGATATGTAAAATAGAAGAAAAATTCTTGGCCCTTCTTTCCAGAGCCCATTCAAAAGTGTGGAGAAGAGTAGTCTAGAAGTTACGTCAGTTGAAACATTTCAAATTTCTTTGTCTCAATGTGAAGCAGAGCTAGGAGGATTCGCTAACCTTCATTTCAGAATTAATATTCCCAGAATGCACGTGTTCTAGATATGTTGATTACCTGTGCTAAGAAGAAATGTAAAGAAAGGCAAAGCATGTTTAAAAGTTATAAACACATTCTGGTTCCAGGAAATGAAGAAAATTTAAAAGGCACATATTAAGAAGTAAGATTAAGGGCTGAAAGCAGCCAATTATCCCACTGTAATATTAATACATGAAAATTTTCCACTATATATATATATATATATATATAACTACTTTAACATTTTTTTTCCTTTTAACTCTAAACATTTTGTCAGTTTGTGTGGGAAAAAAATAGACCTGCCACAGCTTACTGTGGAACAGCTATTATTTCCATGAGTTTTGATTTACCAAATACGTAAATTTAAACCTAGTTTTAAAACTAATTTAATGGTGATGGTCCATTTGTATTTCTCTAGCTTGTTTACTAAAGACATTGTGTTAATGTTTAAATCTCATTTCTCATTTTAAAATGAAACTCAAAAGATTTACATCTATGGTGGTATTTTTAAAAATATGCACACACAAAACCTTTATGAAGCCAAAAATAATTGAACAATTATATTTCTGAGAAGCTGCAGAACAGTAGCTTTAATAACGGGCTTTAAGCTTTAATTTGCCAAGTTGTTTTAGTACCCAAAGAAAGATATGTACTCCTGAAACTTGCATTTAAGATTCTAAGATTGACTTCTTTCCTTTAAAATGCAGGGCTATCAGTGTTGCTGTATTAATGGTATAATAAGAAGGGAAAAGTGTCAGTGAATACAGCAACAGCCAAACCAGCTCAACTAGGATTGCAGAAAATGGTATCTGCCTTTAGCTTGATCGTGGTAAACATTTTATTCAAGATCAAACTTTTCAAAATTCCAATTGGTCAAATAAAAGAAGAAATTGATCCTCACTGACTTTTGGAGGATATAAATAAAAAGAAAAAAGATACCACTAGACTCAAATAATTCACATTTCACTCATCCACTGTCAAACTTCAATTAATGAATATTGTTGAAATTTAATGTGTGAACAAATGTTTATATAACTTCTTATGAAAGTTAAAATTTTTACATAGAATATTGTATCCTTTTCAAATTTGTCTCTAGAGTAAAATACAATAGAAAATTTCTTGTATATTTATGTACATTTTTGTTTTCAAGGCTGTAGTGCAATGTACACTTCTAAAAGAATTTGGTGTCTGCATAAACTGTGTCTACATGGAGAAATCTCCAGTTTCAGAGAATATTTGATGAAAAAATGTAAAGGTAAACTGGATAAACACAATTACATGAATAATTCTAATGGATAAAATAATAATGACTAGGTAAGAAGTGTAATTCACCTGAGGGTTGGTAGTACCTTGTGCGATCATCATGTTTTGGGATGCATTACTAAAGGAATCTTTCAAGATTTTATTATTTTTCTTTTCCTTTTTTTCTTTTCTCTTCCTTCCGTTCTTTCCTTCCTTCCTTCCTTCCCTCCTTCTCTCCCTCCCTCCCTCCCCTCCTTCCTTCCTTCCTCCCTCCCTCTCTTTCTCTCTTTTTTTCTTTCTTCCTTTCTTTCTTCCTTTCTTTCTTTCTCTTCCTCTCTTTCCTTTTCTTCTTTCTTTCCTTTTTTTTTCTTTCTTTTGACAGGGTCTCTATATTCCAGGCTAAAGTGCTGTGGTGCAATCATAGCTCCCTGCAACCTCTAACTCTTGGGCTCAAGGGATTCTCCCACCCCAACCTCTCAAGTAACCTCTCTTAAATTGCCCTTTCTTAGTCTTCTCTGTGAATGATTCTCCCTCTGAGTGTCGTTTGGATGTTGGACTTCTTTTCTCCTCTACTGAGTCCTATTTCAGGTCTTCTGCCTAGTATTTAAATCCAACTAGCCTGCACCCTACTAGATAATGTTACTTGCTGAAAATAAATTAATAAATAAAACAGTAAAAATGAACAGGTTATAGAAAAAAATGATGAGAGTGACTGAGACAACTTACAATAAAGTGATAAAGAAATGCCTCTTTGGGAGGGACCACTTAAACATGGGCCAATATTATGTTACTCATGTGGCTCACATCCATAGGAAAATTAGAAGCAACATAAAGAATGCTGGCAAAATCCCCAGGGTAAGAGTGTATATGATGCATCTGAGCCAAAAAGTATCAAAAAAAAAAATAAAATAAAATAGAGCAAAAAGAGAGCAAAAGAAGAGTGCCATGAGAAGTTGAGAAGGCATACAGGAGCCAAGATCATGAAAATCTTGAAATGAAGGATGTTTGGTTATACTCCAGTAGCACCAGAAAGACATTAACGGGGTTAAAAAATAAAGTGTAGCAAATGTATTCATTTATTAACTCATTTGTTTTTTCCAAAGAAATTTGCCTCATTCCTATGTGCCCAGCACTGGGTAAGTGCTGGGGCTATGATGTAAAAAAACAAAAAACACCATTTTGTTCTCATGAAACTTACAGTTTAGCGAGGACTGGAATATTAAACGAATATACATATGTAAATCCAAACTGATATTTGCTCTGAATGAAAGAAATATGGTTTCAAAAGGATTATAATATAGAATCTGACACAGATTAAGAAGTCAGGAAATGCATCTTAGAGGAAAGAATCATGAAGCTGAGATCTGGAGGATGTGAGGAGATACATGCGCTGTCATCACTGTTGTACAGGGAGCATAGCACATGTGAGATGCTAAAAGAAGGGCAATATGGCCCAACTGCAGAATATAGAGGTTATTGTAATGTGGGACAAGGCTGCAAAAATACAAGAAAAATCATAATATGCCATATAAGCCAGGTAAGAATTTGGTTTTTAGCCTCAGAGCAATGGGAAGCCATTGAAAGGTTTTAAGCTGTTAGTGAGATAATTGGATGTGAAAATGCGATGGCATGTTTCCAAGAGATTGAAAGGAAACCAGATTGGATAAAGAGAGACTATGATAGAGAGATTATTACCAGTTTCAAGGCAGGAAATAATAGTAACCTTGTTCAAGATGGTAGCAGTGGATATGAACGAAATGGACAAATTCTACCTATGTTTTGGACAGTATTTACCACCTTTATTTCTAATCACTCTCTGTTAGTCCATTCTTGCATTGCAACAAAGAAATAACTGAAACAGAGTAATCTGTAAAGAAGAGAGGTTTGGCTGGGTGCGGTGACTCACACCTGTAATCCCAGCACTTTGGGAGGCCGAGGCGGGCAGATCACCTGAGGTCAGGAGTTAGAGACCAGCCTGGCCAATATGGTGAAACCCTGTCTCTACTAAAAATACAAAAATTAGCTGGGTGTGGTGGCAGGTGCCTGTTGTCCCAGTTACTCAGGAAGCTGAGGAAGGAGAATCGCTTGAACCTGAGAGGCAGAGGTTGCAGTGAGCCGAGATCATGCCACTGCACTCCAGCCTGGGTGACAGACCAAGACTCCGTCAAAAAAAAAAAGAAAAGAAAAGAAAAAGAAAAAAAAGAGGAAAGAGAGGAAAGAAAGAAGAAAAAAAAAGAAAGAAAAAGAAAGAAAGAAAAAAGAAAAGAAAGGAGGGAGGGAGGGAGGAAGGAAAGAGAGAAAGAAAGAGAAAGAAAGAAAGAATGAAAAGAAGAAGAAGGAAGGAAGGAGGGAGGGAAGGAAGGAAGAAAGATTTAATTGGCTCACAGTTCTGCAGGCTGCACAGCAAGCAAGACACTGGCATCTGCATGGCTTCTGGGGAGGCCTCAGGGAGCTTTAATTCATGGAAAAGGCTAATTCAAGGAGGAGGCTAGTCACATGGCAAGAGTGAGAGCAAGAGAGAGAGTGGGGAGTTGTTACACACTTTTAAACAACCAGATCCTATGAGAACTCACTCACTGTTGCAAGGACAGCACCAAGCCATGGGGGATCTGCTCCCATTACCCAAACACCTCCCACAGGCCCCACCTGCAGCACTGGGGACCACATTTCAACATGAGATTTGGGCAGGACAAACATCCAAACTATTGGAACACTCAACTTCTTAGACATTTTTAATAGCCCCTCCTCTATGAAAATTTTAATACAAAGGTATAAAGTGTATCTGATTAAGTAGTGTGTGTATGACTGTTCTTTGTACATTAAAACATTTTTTTAATCCCCCTCCAAAAAAGTACCAATTGTAATCCTCTGAGGGCAGTATATAATTCATGGAGGCTACATGCTTTAGGAGTGATAATTCAACAAGTCATGGCAGTGGTTTGAACATAGGAAGAAAAAGGAAGAGACTGTCAAACTTTCTAGCTTGCATAATTTAATGGTTTTACTTTTTTGAGAAAAAGAATACCAGAAATGAACTAGGTTTAAATGAGGGCAGGTAAGATAGTTTTTGTTTCAGCATATCAAGTCTGAATTGTTTTTGAGAACTCTAAATAAAACTGTTGGTAGGAGATGTTTTCCCTTTCGTTTCTGGCACAAGCAGGGAGTGCAGCTGCAGAGAAGATGCCTTTGTAAATCATTGCATTTCTGAAGGCAACATCTTCCCACTTACAAAGTCTGGAACTGGAAGACCTAAGCAGCCCTGCTGATACCAGTGGAATTGGAAATGGAATGGAGTGAGAATGAAAGAGAATATTTTGACTGGCAGACTCCAGTCACAGAGTCTGAATCAGGGAAAGAAACCCCTTGTGTAACTGGTGTGAGATGGTATCTCATTGTGGTTTTGATTTGCATTTCTCTGATGGCCAGTGATGATGAGCATTTTTTCATGTGTCTGTTGGCTGCATAAATGTCTTCTTTTGAGAAGTGTCTGTTCATATCCTTCGCCCACTTTCTGATGGGGTTATTTTTTTCTTGTAAATTCATAGGTAGGAATTGAACAATGAGAACACTTGGACACAGGAAGGGGAACATCACACACAGGGGCCTGTTGTGGGGTGGGGGAAGGGGGGACGGATAGCATTAGGGGATATACCTAATGTAAATGACGAGTTAATGGGTGCAGCACACCAACATGGCACATGTATACATATGTAACAAACCTGCACGTTGTGCACATGTACCCTAGAACTTAAAGTATAATTAAAAAAAAAAAAAAAAAAGAAAAGAAACTCCTTGTGTATCCAGGGAGACTTGGGAGTAAGGCCAGGTTTTGTGTGTGCATGTGTTTTGTTTTTTGTTTTTTGGGTTTTTTTTTTTTTTAACTCTCTTGAATAAATCTGGGAGTTGATGGAAAGAATAGATTAAATGCTAAAATCTTCCTAATGTCTTATTCTGGTAGTAAAGAAGTAAAGAGGTTATAAAAAATTAATATCAATGGTGTGGAAACAGTTGAAAAATAAAACATCTTGGAGGGGGTTTGTTTTTTTCTTCAATTTTCATCGACAATAGAGAACAAGCTTAATTTGACTTTTTGGAATAGAAGTTATGGCTCAAACATTTAAAAGCATAGTTAGAATCTAAAAAATGAAACAGAAAATGAACTAATCAAGCAAGCAAAGACTATATAAGACAAAAAGAAAATTGACAACATAGTAAAATAAATTATAAACACAAAAAAGATAAAAGGACTAAAACAATTTCACTTACAATACAAAATGAGAACAGGCTAAATTCTCTAAAACTTAAAACAGTGACTTTCAAATTGTAATTTAAAAAATACTGCCATATTCTCTATGGTTCCGTATGTAACTATGTTTGCTTACCACCCATTAGGCTATTTTACAATTCTCATGCAATGGTAATACAACTAAATATTTTAAGGAGACATGCAATTGCTTTATGATCAATAGAAACAATAATCCCAGAGGTTGTCTTCTTGATACTTTATAGCTATTAGTTATTGTAAACAAGGCCCAAAATGTTCATTTATACCTACCACTTTGAGGAAAAGGGGACTTAACTTTTTCAGGATTACCTTTCTGATAGGATTTTGTTATGGAAGATAACAAAAACCACTGAATTAACTTGTTTCTCTTTTCAGCTATGGAAATGGGCTTGATCATTATTATTTTTTAATTCTTACTATCTTTATCAGTTTTAATCTGTATGTGTGATGTGACATACTGTTATATTTATATAACAGTGATGTGATATACTGTTATAGAGATACAACAGCATATTAATATGTGTGATGTGATATATTGTTTTATTGATATACTTTTCTTTTTTTCAAATGAGACATTTGTTTAATGTTCTATAGGGCAAAAAAACCTATAGTGTTTGGGAATATTCACATTTCTGTACTCAAGATGTGGAAAATAGTTAATATATTTTGTATGCATCATTGACTGTTTAAGAGTTTGAAATGAATGTGTATTAACTTTGTAATTATATTATTTTAAAAGAATAGTAAACAAGTATTTTAAATGCTTTACAAAAAAGAACATGAAGTTACTAGTTGCACTTGTAAGTTCTTAATAAGTGACTGTTCCTTAATAAGTGACTGTTAACAGTATATCACATCACACATCAAATAACTTATCAAGTCACTTATCTGTGATATTGTTATAATGGTATAACAGCATATATCACATCACACATACACAACAGTATATCACATCACACATACAGACTAATCTTAAATTACAGGATTCTGATTGCATCACTTATCAAGAATCATTACTTTGGAAAAATTGCTAACAACATAATTGCCCATAAAATACATACCCTATCAAGGACTTGAAGAAAGCCTTAGTCAAATATCACCAACACCCAACAACTACATTCTGGGATTTGGCTTAAACATGACTGTCTTACTTTCTTTTAAAAATCTAATACATTGTTATTACTGTAGTCACCATGTTGTACAATGTATCTCTTGAACTTATTTCTTCCAGTTGAAATTTTGTATTCTTTTACCAACATCTCCCCAAATGCCCTCACCCCTCCCAACTTCTGGTAACTAACATTCTACTCTTTCATGAGTTCACCTTTTTTGGATTCCACACATAAGTGAGATCATGCAGTATTTGTCTTTCTGTGCCTAGTATATCTCACTTACCATAACATATCCATGTTCACCCATGTTATCACAAGCAATAGGGCTTTATTCTTCTTTAAGGTTAGATAGTAGTTTATTGTGTATATGTACCATATGTTATTTATTTACTCATTTGTTGATGGACACTTAGCTTGATTCCATATTATGGCTATTGTGAATAAAGCTGCAGAAGTTTTATTCTGCACATAGCAGTGCAGATACCTCTTCAAGATTTGGATTGCATTTACTCTCTCTCTCTCTCTCTATATATATACATATATATCGATGATAGATAGATAGATAGATAGATAGATAGATAGATAGATAGATAGAGATAGAGATAGAGATATATAGTAATGGGATTGCTGGGTTGACCATTATTTTTAATTTTATAAATGTTACCTATATTGGATACCTTTTCTGGTCCAACTATATTCTATACAAACAGACAAACAAAATAATCAAAAACCAAAAATGCTATTGGAGTAGTCTGTATAATTGAAAAATATATATATACTTATATTTATTTTGGAGGGAGTTGTATTCGTTGTACAACTGCTAAATAAGGAAAGATTTTGAGTTGGTCTCACTTCAGTAAAAGACTCACTTACCTGGATGTTTATCTGATATGTGGCCAAGTGTCTGAAGAGTTAGACAAGATAAAAATCACAAGAACACACGTTTGTGGTTGAATATGGATAGTTGCCATCTGACTGTAATAATGAATAGAAATCAGAGTTTTGCTACCAGGTACTCTGCTCGTAGTAATCACAGTAGTTTGTATGTGTACAATGATGAATAGTGTTGTAGTTGTTGGCATTATTCTTATTCGGATGTTGCTGTGTATTGACTGTCACATTGTATCAGAGGACTAGCTTCTATGTATAGTGTGTAGTATAATGTTTGAGACTAAAATGATTCTAAAGAGCACCAATGTGTTTCTACCATTCAAGAAACCTTTTTTTTTTCTTTGCGTCTGTGAGACATATGAGAAAATCAATAAATTTACTTTCTTGGAAAAATAAACACTTCCTATGTAAACAAACATAGACCTTTAGAGCAGTATAAATTGTTTGTGAAAATAGTTTAATTGCAGCAAACACACAGAAAGGATTAACTTATTTTCAGATTTGGTAGTTGCTACTGTGCATGTCTTTTTTTCTTTTAATCTACACCAAGAAACCCAGATTCAAATGCTTAGTATTATACAATATTTGGTAGTTTTTATTTTTGATCAAATCTTTAAAAGCAAGAAATTTTTAGAAGGCACAAAAAGCACAAACTGTAAAAGAAGAAAACAAAAACAAAAAAATGACGTTAGTCTTAATCAAACTTAAAGATTTCTTCTCTTTGTAACATGCTGTTAAAAATGAAAGCCTCAGACTAGGACAAACTATATTCAATACATCTCAAATATATTTGACAATGCACTTGTATCTATAATGTATAAAGAGCCCTTAAAATTCAATAAGAAGACAAAACAAGTTTCTTTTTAAATGGACAAAGATTGTAAAAGACAGTTCACAAAGATAACAAATAAGAAACAAACAAGCCTATGAAAATAAGTTCAACAACATTATCCATCTGATAAATGAAAATAAAAATCTAAATGAGATAATACCACAGACCTATTAAGATAGTTAAAGTTAAAAAGATTGACAATACCACATGTGAGTAAGCATATAAACAACTAGATTTCTCATACATTGCTAGTGAGAATGTGAAATAGTATAATCACTGACATTGTTTAGTTCTGTGTCCTCACCCAAATCTCGAACTGTAATCCCCATGTATCAAAGGAGGACCTGGTAGGAGGTGTTTGGATCATGGGGACAGTCTCCCCCATGCTGTTCTTATGATAGTGATTGAGTTCTCATGAGATCTGATGGTTTTATAAGGGGCTCTTCCCCCTTCACTCACTCTCTCTCCTGCCACCATATAAGACGTGCCTGCTACCCCTTCCTCCATGATTTTAAGTTTCCTGAGGCCTCCCCAGCCATGCAAAACTGTGAGTCAATTAACCCTCTTTTCTTTATAAATTACGCAGTCCCAGGCAGTTCTTTATAGTAGTGTAAAAACAGACTAATATAGAGAAATTTGTACCAGGAGTGGGGCACTGCTATAAAGATACCTGAAAATGTGGAAGCGACTTTGGAACTGGGTAATAGGCAGAGGTTGGGAACAGTTTGAGAGAACTCATTGGGAAATGGAGCAAAGGTTGCTCTTGCTACACTTTAGCAAAAACACTTGCAGCATTTTGCTCCGGCCCTAGACATCTGTGGAACTTTGAAATTGAGAGAGATGATCTGAAATTGGAACTTATACTTAAAAGGGAAACAGAGCATAAAAGTTTGGAAAATTTGCAGCCCGACCCTATGTTACAAAAATAAAAAGCCATTTTCTGTGCAGAAATTCACCTGGCTGCAGAAATTTGCATAAGTAATGAGGAGCTGAATGTTAATAGCCAAGACAATGGGGAAAATGTCTCCTAAGGGCCTGTAAGAGACCTTCACAGTAGCCCCTAATATCACAGGCCTGGAAGCCAAGGAGGGAAAATTGGTTTTGTGGGCAAGGCCCAGGGCCTACTTCTTTGTGCAGTATCCCAACTTGGTGCCCTGTGTCCCACCCACTCTAGCTCTAGCCATGGCTAAAAGGGGACAAGGTAACACTTGAGCCATTGCTTCAGAAGGTGCTATCGATAAGCCTTGGTCTCCATGTGATGTTGGGCCTAGGCGTGCACAGAATTCAAGAATTGAAGTTGAGAAACCTCCACATAGATTTCAGAGAATGTATGGAAATGCCTAGATGTCCAGGCAGAAGTCTGCTGCAGGGGAAGAGCCCTCATGGAGAGTCTCTGCTAGGGCAGTGCAAAAGGGAAATGTGGAATTGGAACCCCCACACAGAGGCCCCACTGGGGCATGCCTAATGGATCTGTGAGAAGAGGGCCATCATCCTCCAGATCCGAGAATGGCAGATCCACTAACAACTTGGACTATGTGTGTGGAAAAGCTGCAGACACTTAATGTTAGCCCAGAAAGCAGCTGCAGGAGCTGTACCCTGCAAAGCCACAGGGGCAGAGCTGCCCAAGGATGTGGGTGCCCACTCCTTGCATCAGCATCCTCTGGATGTGAAACATGGAGTCAAAGTAGATTATTTCAAAGCTTTAAGATTTAGTGATTGCCCCATAGGATTTCTGACTTGCATGGGACCTGTAACCCCTTTGTTTTGGTCAATTTCTCCCATTTGGAATGGGAGAATTTATCCAATGCCTGTACTCTTTTGGAAGCAACTAAATTGTTTTGTATTTGTATCTTGGAAGTAACTAACTTGTTTCTTATTTTACAGGATTATAGGCAGAAGGAACTTGCCTTGTCTCAAAAAAGGCTTTGGACTTGGACTTTTGAGTTAATGCTGAAATGAGTTAAGACTTTGGGGGACTGTTGAGAAAGCATGATTGTGTTTGAAATGTGAGGACATGAGATTTGGGAGGGGCCAGGGGCAGAATTATATGATTGGGCTCTGTGTCTCCACCCAAATCTCATCTCTAACATGTTGGAGGAGGGACCTGAGGGGAGGTAATTGGATCATGGGGGCCATTGCCCCCATGCTGTTCTCATAATAGTGAGTAAATTCACATGAAATCTGATGGTTTTATAAGGAACATTTCCCCCTTTGCTTGCTCTCTCTTTTTCCTGCCATCATGTATGACATGCCTGCTTCCTCTTTGGCCATCATTGCAAGTTTCATGAGGCCTCCCCAGCCATGCAGAACTGTGATTCAATTAACCCTCTTTTCTTTATAAATGACCCAGTTTCAAGAAGCTCTTTATAGCAGTGTGAAAATGGACAAATACGACCACTTTGGAAAAAGAGTTTTGTAGTTTTTTTTTTAAAAGTTAACTATGCTGGTATACAAAACACCTAACCCAACTGGAGCAAATATGACACTTCTAGTAGTTATACATAAGAATTAAGGGGAAGAGGAAGTTAAAGAGTGGTTGATTCATGGGTACTAATATACAGTTTGATAGAGGAAATAAGACAGTGTTTGATAAATCAGTGACTATAATTTATAATTATTTTATATATCAAAATTGCTTGTAGAGAATAATGCAAATGTGCCTAGCATAAAGAAAAGACAAATATTTCAGGCAATGGATGTATCCCAATTACATCTGCAAATTTCCTGTTACCATGGTAACATATTCACCGGTTTCTGGGATTAGGATATGGACATTTGGCAAGGAGGAGGCATTATTCTGCCTACCAAACATGTATGTAACCATTAAGATTTGGGGTCATATTTACTGTTACAGCATAGCCTAGCCTATTGTGATTAATAGAGAATAATGCAAATGTGCCTACCATAAAGAAAAGACAAATATTTAAGGCAATGGATGTACCCAATTACACTGATTTGATATTTATCAAATGCAAGAAGTTTACGTGAATTAACTTATTACATGTATTTCGAAAATATTTACATCTATTATGTATCAATAAAAAATAAAATTTTAAAAATAGTTGTGAGGAGTTTAGTCATCTGGAGCGTGGCTGTGTTTTGTAATGAGGATGTAATAATGAAATAAGGATAATGAGATATATTGAGAATTTTGGGGTAGATCAACATGATAGAACCACCATTTGCTTCAAAAGTTACTGTATGTATTTTTATTTTTATTTTTTTGAGACGGAGTCTCTCTCACTCTGTTGCCCAGGCTCAAGTTACTGTATGTATTTTTATATACATTTTTAGGGTATACTTTTTACAAAGACCACTGGGATTTATTTTATATTTTGGAATAAACAAAAGTAGTTCTATTCTCAAATGTATAACTAATTTGTTTAGGATCTATTTTAGGTTGCTTAACTCTTTGGCATGAGTTTGCTTTTGTGTAAAATAGGTATTTTAACATATTTCTTATCTTACAGAGTAATTGTAAAGGTGAAATAACATGCTGGATATGTAACTGGCTTGAAAATTATAAAATGTTGATTAAATGCAAACTATTGTATTCAAACAACTATTAATTTTATCAATTTCATTTATATGATTATTAAGAATATTAAAAGGTCTAAAATAATTAAATCTAACTGTGGTCATTTGCCATTATTAATTATTAGGTAATAGACACCATAATGACTAAATAACTCAATCTGTAGAAATAAAAGAGGAATAGATATTACTTATATACTTTTGAAAATGTTTGCTTTGGCTTTATTCCAGTCATCCTGGAAAATAATTCTGCATAGGGTAAAGTTGCAAAGATTACTGAAAATCTGCTTTTTTAAGTGCTTCAGGACTGTTTTTCTTTAAACCCTAACACTTATTTTATAAATACTCCCTTGGTCACAAGAGGTAATAATTATTGCAATAATAGTTTTAAGTTCTGTAATATATACCATATGAGAAAACAGGATGTGTCAAAAACAGAAATCTCTTCAAGAGGTGAATGCTAGATCACCCTTTTGAAATCATGCTTCAATAGTTATCCATATGCTTTAGAGAAAAATTTGGCAAGTTTATTAAAATCAGTGGGATAGAGTCACCTAATTTCAGATATGCTGAACTAGACATTGTAGTTTGCCAATTATATTAAATTATAATTAGTAAAAATAACAATGCTTTAAGGTTTGGGCAAAATCCAAAGACTCACAAATGTTGAAATAACAAAACTGGAGATTGAACATGAAAATGGTTCTCAAATTATAACAATGAATTATGAATTACATTGTTCAGGTTTTACTCAAATGGAAACTCTTTGGCTGCTTTTAGATACTGATTTTTTAGTAAATAAAGTGTTTAACTAAAGAGTTTTGAAAAACCTGGGACACATTTACCATCTTACTATAAACCCAGCTGATTAAGACATTAATTTTTGAGGTAATAAATATATGTAGCATAGAACCCTTCTCTAACACCTAACACATATTATGTCCTATACCTATCTATTTAAATGTCCATTTATTCTTATACAACTGTGCACTCCAAAGAAAGGACTGGTGTTCTATTCATCTTTGTATCTCTATTCCCAGAAAAAGTTCAATAAGTGCCATAATCCCAAGTGTAAATAATGTAAATCAACAGCCATTTCTAAGCTTGAAGGTTTGGTGCTGAACACTTTACACATATTACCTAATTGTATCTTCATATAAATGCTATGAAATATTTAATGGTTTTTCTAATTATTTATAATGATGACAGGTAAGCATAAATATTACATATTCACTTCAGATTAAACTTTAATACTATATTTAACATCTATATTTTAAAAATCAGCATAATGAACACTGTGGAAAAATAGTTACATTTTAATAGGTAAAATTAAAAGTAATGGCAAAAACCACCATTACTTTTATACCAACCTACTATATGATTCTGAGAAAATCAACTTAATGAAATATTTCAGAAAGTAGAGAAAAGACATCAGAAAGATCAAATTCTAAAGGATAATACAAAAGGCAAAGGAATGCAGATCAATTCTAAGAAAAGTGGCTGGGCATGGTGGCTCATGCCTGTAATGTGAGCAGTTTCAGAGGCTGAGGTGGGAAGATTACTTGCCATGAGTTCAGGGCCAGCCTGGGCAGTCTAGTGAAACCCTTCCTTTATAAAAAAAATTAAAAATAAGCCAAGTGTGGTGATGTGTACCTGTAGTACCAGCTACACAGGAGGCTAAAGCAAGTGGATCGATTGAGCCAAGAACTTCGGGGCTGCAGTGAGCTAGGATTGAGCCACTGCATTCCAGCCTGGGCAACACAGTGAAGCCCTGTCTAAAATTAAATTAAATTGAAATATATAAAATAAAATAAAATCATAAATTACTACTGGAAGAAAAACAATCAGACATGTATTTGTGTTGTAATCTTCATAAGAATAAACTTCCTGTATTTGTTTTCAGTTGTTCCTATAACAAATTATCATAAATCTATAGTGAGTTAAAAATACAAAAAAAAAAAAAAAAAAACCCCACATTATTATCTAACAGTTCTGGAGGACACCAAAAGTACAAACAGTTCTCACAGAGCTAAAATCAAGATGATGGCCTATCTGCATTGTCTCTGAAGACTTTAGAGGACAAGATGTTCCTTGATTTTTACAGCTTCTAGAGGCTGCCCACATCTTAATTCATGAGCACATTCCTCCAACCTCTGCTTCTATAACCACATACACTTCTTGACTTTGACCTTCCCATCTCCCTCTTAGGAGGATCCTTGTGACTATAGTGGGGCTACCCAGGTATGCCAGGATAATCTCTTCATCTCAAGATTCTTAACTTAATCACATCTGCAAATTTCCTGTTATCATGGTAACATATTCACAGGTTTCTAGGATTAGGATATGGACATCTTTGGCAAGGAGGAGGCATTATTCGGCCTACACATATTTATGTAACCATTAAGATTTGGGGTCATATTTACTGTTAAAGCATAGCCTACTCTATTGTGATTAACAAACTAATCAAGTTTTATTCACCAAAATGTCAACATGAAAATCTTTGTAGATATGCAATGGCTCAAATATGCTATGATTATTCCCCCTCTTAAAAACATACAATTGAAAACATACCTTTTTATTTGAGAAATAAACAAAAATTTCCAACTCAATACTGTAGCCATGGTTTAAATGGACTTATCAGGCATGGACCTCAAATTTAAGAACTGGTGTGCAACAGCTCACCCAATTTTTCTTTTACTGCTTTTGTTTCAGTCCCCACACCAAGAGTATACTTGCTAGAACATATTCCTCTGTTCATAATTTTCCCTGACTTTCTTATTTTGACAAGTATGAAAGAACAAACAGCTGGTGTGTTCTAGACTCAGAATTGCTAGATCGAATTTGGCCTTTCAAATGGTTGACAGAACATTCTTTTGAAGAATTTCTAAATAAAAATTGTCATTCTTTTTCCTCTCAGTGTTTTATGAGGCAACATAATGACTATCTACTTTGTTGAAGAACCTAGAGGTAATATTCTGCATGTTCAAATCCTATGGTAAATTTCCTGCTCACTGAGTTACAGTCATCGTCAAAATACTGAAATCTGTGGCAGCTATCATATGTTCTTTTATTATTATCTTTCCACATATTTGCTTCTGTTACCATATTGGTCAGAGCACGTTAACTACTTTAGCAAACAACTCCAAGTCTTATTGGTTTCAGACAATTTAGCTTTACTGCTAGTTCATGTCATGGTCTGAAGCAGACTGGCACTATGGGAGTATGTACCAGTGAGCTTAGCCAGCCATAATAAGTACCACAGATGGGGGAGCTTAAACAATAGAACATTATTTTCTTACAGTTCTGGAGGATTAGAAATTCAAGACAAAGATGCTGGTCAATTTGATTTCTAATGAGGGCTCTCTACTTGGCTTATAGACAGTTGCCTTCTCACTATTTGACGTGTCCTCAATGGTGGAGAGAAAGACAGAGAGAGAGAGATCTCTTTTTCCCTTTTCTTTTGTTATTCTTATTATTAATTTTTGTGGTTATATAGTAGGTGTATACATTTACGTGGTACATGAGATGTTTCAATACAAGCATGGAATGTGAAATAAGCACTTATGAAGAATGGGATATCCATTCCCTCAAGCATTTATCTTTTCAGTTACAAAAAATCCAACTATACTCTTTATTTGAAAATGTATAATTGTTATTATTGACTATAGTCACCCTATTGTGCTATCAAATAGAGGTCTTATTCATTCTAATTTTTGTACCCATTAACCATCCCCACCTCCCCCTAAATCCCGCAGTACCCTTCCTAGCATCTGGTAACCATCCTTCCACTCTCTGTGTTCATGAGTTCAATTGTTTTGATTTGTATATCCCATAAATAAATGAGAACATGTGATGTTTGTCTTTCTGTGCCTGGCTTATTTTACTTAATATTATGATCTTCAGTTCCACCCATGTTGTTGCAAATGACAGGTTCTCATTCTTTTTTTAAATGGCTGAATAGTGCTCCCTTGTTTATAAGTACTACATTTTCTTTATCTATTCCTCTGTTGATGGACACTTAGGTTGCTTCCAAATCTTAACTCCTGTAAACAGTGCTGCAACAAACATAGGAATGCAGATTCTCTTTGATATACTGGCTTCCTTTCTTTTGGGTATATACTCAGCAGTGGTATTGCTGGATCATATGGTACCTCAATTTTTAGTTTTTTTGAGGAATCTCCAAACAGTGCTCCATGGTGCCTGTACAAATTTACATGACTACGAACAGTGTACAAGGATTCCTTTTTCTCCACATTCTCACCAGCATTTGTTATTGCCTGTCTTTTGAAGATAGGCCATTTTAACTGGGGTGAGGTTATATGTAATTTGTAGTTTTGATTTGCATTTCTTTGATGATCAGTGATGTTGAGCACCTTTTCATATCTATGTTTGCCTTTGTATGTCTTCTTTGAGAAATTCCTATGAAAATATTGTGCCCACTTTTTCATTGAATTACTAGATTTTTTACTACAGAATTCCAGATCTAGAGGATAGGCTTTCAGTTATTCCCCATTCTTTATGATAACTAGCTGTGAGTCCGTAGAATATGGCTTTAATTATGATGAGGTATGTTTCTCCTATCCCCATTGATAGTGAATGGTCTTTCTAATGTATGGTTGCATTTGGTTTGCGAGTATTTTGTTGAGTATTTTTGCATCAGTATTCATCAGATGTATTGGTCTGTAGTTTTCTTTTTTTGATGTGTCTTTGTCTGGATTTCATATCAGGGTAATCTGGGCCTCATGGAATGAGTTTGGAAGCATTTCCTCCTCTATTTCTCAGAATAATTTGTGTAACATTGGTATTAGTTCTTCCTTAAATGTTTGGTAGAATTCAGCAGTGAAGCCACCAGGTACCGGGCTTTTCTTTACTGGGGGACCTTTTATTAGAGCTTCAATCTCATTACTTGTTATTGGTCTGTTCAGGTTTTGGATTTCCTTTTGGTTCAATCTTGGTAGGTTGCATGTGTCTAGGAATTTGTTTATTTCTTCTATATTTTTCAATCCATTGGTATATATTTGCTCAGAGTAGCCATTAATGATCCATTGAATTCCTGCAGTATGAGTTGTTGTGTCTCCTTTTACATTTCTGATTTCATTTGAAACTTATCTTTTTTTCAGTTAATCTGACTAAAGGTTTGTCAATTTTGCTTAGGGTTTCAAGGAAGCAACTTTTTGTTCCATTGATCTTTTTTGTTCTTTTTTTCATTTCAATTTTATTTCTTTCTGCTCTGATCTTTATTATTTATTTTCTTCTACTACTTTTGGGTTTGTTTTGCTCTTGATTTTCTAGATCTTTAAGATGCATTGTCAGATTGTTTATTTTTCTTCTTTTCTTATAAGGCCACCAATTCTATCACATTAGGGCCTCACCCTAATCTTAATTACCACCTAAAGACCTATTTCCAAATACAGTCCCTATGGGGGTTAGGGCTTTAACATATAAATTTGATGGGGGTGGGGGTAAGTGACAACATTTAGTCTATAGTGGAGTGAAAGGGTCTACTCCATTAGAGTTTAAATTCTGGCTCCTTAATGTTTGTATTATCTACCATTTTCTCAGACATCAGAACTCTTTACTACATCCTCATCATTGTCTGCAGTAAAGGGATGTGGAGCACCATGGGATGGCCCAGAAGAATTTAGATCCTACCTGAAAGCAGTGTGTGCCACTTTAACCCACTACATAAGTCTGGCTAGAACCCAGACTTGTGGCCACACAAGAAATTCAGTTGAGAAATTCAGTTTAGACATGGAACCAAGTAGAGAAGAGAAAATAGGCATTGATGTATACCGGCAGTCTCTGCTTCCATAACTCTTCTTTAAAAATATGTATATTTAGGAAGCCACTAAAAAAACTATCAGAACTAAGAAATGAACTCAACAAGCTTGCAGAGTATAAAGCAATAAACAAAATAAATTTTATTTCTATTGATGAATAAGTAACAAAATTAAGAAGATAATCCCATTAAGAATAACATAAAAATAATAAAATCTTTAGGAATGAATTTCATTAAAAAAATTCAAAATGAATACAGAAAAATCAACTGTATTTCTACACACTAGAAATGGGCAATCTAAAATGAAATGACAAAAATGATTTTATTTTCCATACCATCAAAAAGAATAAAATACTTAGGAATAAATGTAAAAAAGAAGTGCAAAATAAATATTGTAAAAACTACTGAACACTGTTGATGAAAACTGAGAAACATCTAATTAGAAACACTCATGTTCATGGATCACAAGACAATATTGTGAAGAATGGCAATACATTTCAAATTGACCTACAGATTCAGCAAAATGTCGATCAAAGTAACTTATGGCTTTTTTGCAGAAATTGACAGGCTAATCCTAAAATTCACATGAAAATTTAAAGGTAGCCAAAACAATCTTGAAAAAGGAGAACAAAGTTAAAGGAGTTTCACTTTTTCATTTCAAGACTTATTTCAAAGCTACAGTCATCAAGACAGTGCTGTAGTGGCATAAGAATAGACAAATACATTAATATAATCTAATTAAGAGTCCAGATGTAAACCCTTACAATTTGCAGCCAATTTATTTCAAACAAGGATCCCAACACAATTCAATGGGGAGAATAACAGACATTTCAGCAAAAGGTATCTACATGCAAAAGAATGAATTTGGTCAGCTTCCTTATATTTCAAGTGGATGAAATCTAAATATAAAAGCTATAAAATTCTTGAAAGGAAACATAGGCATACATCATGATTTGAGGTAAAAAAAAGAAAAAATGATAATTTGAACTTTATGAAAATTGAACTTTCGAGTTGCAAAAGAATATCATCAAGAAAATGAACAGTGGTCCATTTTTCACTGCTCCATGTGCTCTGTTGCAGGAGATCAAGATAACTCCACCACAGCGTCTGTCACCCTGTGACCAACAGGTAGCCAAAACAATCTTGAAAAAGGAGAACAAAGTTGGAGGGCTTCTACTTTTTACTTTCAAATCTTACTGCAAATCTACAGTAATCAAGACAATGTGGTACTGGAAGCAGGGAAATGATGGCCAACTAGAGACAAAAGATGCAAGCTTCCCTCAGAAAGATCAAAATTATAAGTGAATGGTCATTCCAGGAGTGGAAAGCTGAGGAAAGAGTGCTGAAACCTGTCAGACAACCCATGGGAAGAAGCTGGAGTGCAGAAAGGGAAGGCAGCAAGAATCTGGCAGAGATTGGACTCCAGGGAACCTGGAGTCCCATGCAAAGGATAGGGGTGGGTATTCTTTTCTCTCCTCTCCCCTGCAACAAACTGCTGACCACTGAATTGTCCAGGAGCCTCTCTGCCCTCTTGAGCCCAGGACTCAAGGACTACTGTCCTTGACAATTTGCGAGCTTCCTGGGGGCAGAGCACCAGGTGACCAGCTCCTGCAAGTGCACTAGCACTCCGTCATACCCAAATTGAGGCAGCAGACACTGTACTGGTTGTGCCTCCATCAAGGACAACTACCTGGGGAATCTCAGGGTTGCCTTATCCCCAGATGCCCCACAAATGTTCTCCAGAATCTGCTCTGGCTTTGGCAGTCATGGGGGACCAGTGATTCCCTGGAGATCTAGCCCTTAGGATGGACAGCCCCTAGGGGAGGGGAGCGTGCCTCACCAAATCCCCCTTGGGATAAAGGAATCACAGCATAGTGCAGTTCTCCCAAGAGGGGAAGCATTGTTCTGTCCCAGCTGTACTAGTTTGTTCTCACACTGCTAATAAAGACATGCCTGAGACTGGGTGATTTATGAAGGAAACTGGTTTAATTTGACTCACAGTTCCACATGGCTGGGGATGCTCCACAATCATGGCAGAAGGTGAATGAGGAACAAAGTCACGTCTTACATGGAGGTAGGCAGGAGAACATGTGCAGGGGAACTCCCCTTTATAAAACCATCAGATCTCATAAGACTTATTCACTATCACAAGAACAGCATGGGAAAAACACACTTCCATGATTCAATTACCTCCAGCCAGGTCCCTCCCACAACACGTGGGGTTATTACAATTCAAGGTGATATTTGGGTGGGGACACAGAGGCAAACCATATCACCAGCAGACAAGCAGCACTAGTGGCTGGGAGCAGACATGGAGAGGGTACCACCTCTTACTCCCTCACACTGCTGCAGACACAGCTGAGGCCTTTCCTGCTGGGGGCTGGCACAAGTGCGCTTAGAGACAGCCTTTCCAGTGCTATTCATGGCTGCTGCACCCAGGTTGAAAGTGTGCTTGTGGTCCTGGGTGTCAGGAAGTGTAGGATAATCTCCTGCTCCCTACACCAAGTGGCAGCATTCCTGCCATCGAGGGCAGCTTCAGAGCTCCTTTTTTTTTGGATTGGGGGGAAGGTGTTCTGCCCTGAGTCCATGTCAGAGGTAGCCACAAGAGGGGCATTTCCCACAGACCTCAGATGCATTGAGGCCCAGAGAGAAAGGACAGGGTATATCTAAACTGAAGTTCATGAGCCCTATTCACTAACAGGGGCCTGATAGTGAACTAAATCATGTTTCTTCCTGCTCAGGACAAAGAGCTGAGACAGCCCCTTCTCTCTCACCCCAGACCTCAGTGCCTCCCACCAAGAACTTCCTCTGCTATCCTGTCGGGGTGGGTGCTTCCACTCATCATCAGTGTTCCCGATGGCAAGCTAACCCTTGCTCTTAAATCACCACCTACTGGACTGGAGACCAAACTGCAATACCAAATAAAAACCTTGCTGACAGAAGGCCACAGTACCAGGGTACAAAAGAAGCTTCCTGAGACACCTGCATTCCCAGCCCCACAGAAGATAGTGAGTCAGCTCATCCACCCAGTACATAGCTACAACAAGTAGAATTTGAGGAAGCCATGAGGCAAAAGCTATCTATAACAAATGAACCCACACAGAGCCTTGGTCCCCTGAAAGCACCCAGAAACAAAGCCAAATGATCACATACAACATACATTACAGTCAGCCCCTCAAGGGAGAAACATTTTTTTTAAAGTCCCAATTAAATGATAGCAATTCCAAAAATAAGAAGTGACAGCTTCTTCAGATGAGAAGAAATCAGCACAAAAACTCTTGACAATACAAAAAGACAGAGTATTTCAACACCCCCAGGGAACTATGCTAGCTCTATGGCAATGGATTCTAACCAAAATGAAACTTCTAAAATGGCAGATAAAGAATTCAAAATGTGAATTGTAAGGAAGCTCAGTGAAATCCAAGAGAAAGTTGAAAACCAACAGAAATAAACCAAAAAGGCAATTTAGGATATGAAAGATGTGATAGATATAGGTTAAAAAAAAGAAAAAAAAAACAGAACCTCTAGAAATGAAAAATTCAGTGAAGAAATTTCAACTTACAATTGAAAACTTTAACAACAGATTAGAACAAGCAGAAGAAAGAAATGAAGAGCTTAAAGACCAGTCTTTTGAATTAACCCAGTCAGACAAAAGTAAAGAAAATTGAATTTAATTAAATGAACAAAGACTTTGAGAAATATGGGATTATGTAAAGTGACCAAACCTATGATGTGTAGGCATTTCTAGGAGAGAAGGGCATTATATAATAATAAAACATTGAAAACAACAAGCAGATTCAACCATCTTAAATAGATAAGCACCCAACCCTGGAGCACATGGATTCATAATACAAATACTATTACATCTAAGAAAAGAGATAGATGGCAATACAATAATACTGGAGAATTTCAACATTTCACTGACAGCACTAGATAGATCACAGAGACAGTAAATCAACAAAAACAAAAACAACAAAAACCTCTGGACTTACACTGTACTCTAGACCATATGGACCTAATATTCATTTGCAGAACACTCAACCCAACAAACACAGAATATACATTTTTCCCATCTGTGCATGGAACATTCTACAAAATTCATTGTATGCCTGGCCATAAAGCAAGTCTCAATAAATTCAAAAAAAATCAAAATCTTATCAAGTATCATCTCAGACCACAGTGCAATTAGAAATCAATACCAATTAGCCAGACGTGGCAGTGCGCACCTGTAGTCCTAGCTACTTGGGAGGCTGAGGCTTGAACCTGGGAGGCAGAGGCTGCAGTGAGCCAACATCGCACCACTGCACTCCAGCCTAGGCGACAGGGTGAGACTCTGACTCAAAAAAAAAAAAAAAAAAAAAAAAAAAAAAAAAAAAACAGAAAAAGAAATCAATACCAAGAGGAATTCTCAAAACTACACAAATACATGAAAACTACAACACTTGCTCCTCATTGGCTTTTGAGTAAATAACTAAATTAAGACAGAAATTTTAAAAAAATTAAATGAAAACAGAGATACAACAGACCAAAACCTTTGGGATACAGCCAAAACAGTACTAAGAAGAAAGTTTATAGTGTTAATTGCCTATTTTAAAAAGATAGAAAGATTTCAAATTGACAACATGATATTGTACCTCAAGGAAACAGAACAACAAGAACAAACCAAATCCAAAGCTAACACAGAAAAGGAATAACAAAGATCAGAGAAGAAGTAAATAAGATTGAGACCAGAAAAATGATACAAAGAATCAAGAAAATGAAAACTTGGTTCTTCCATAGAATGAAAAAAATTGATAGACCACAAGCTAGATTAACCAAGATAAAAAGAAAGAAGATTCAAATAAGCACAATAAGAAATGATAAGGGTAATATTACAACTGATAAACTGATACCACAGAAATACAAAAGCTCATCAGAGACTACAATGAACATCTCTCCATCTCTACATACACAAAACCAAAAACCGGGAGTAAATGGATAAATTTCTGGAAATATATCAACCATCAAGAATGAATCAGAAATAAATAAATATCCTGAACAAACTAATAATGATTAATTAAATTCCAACAGTTATATAAAATCTCTCAACAGAAAAGCCTAGGACCAGATGGATTCATAGCTGAGTTTTACCAGATGTCAAAGAGGAGCTGGTACAAATATTTCTGAAAGTATTCCAAAAAATTGAGGAGAAAGGCTCCTCCTTAATGCATTCTATGAAACCAGTATCACCAGATAACAAAATCACTCAAAAACACAACAGAAAAGATAACAATAAGCCAATATCCCTGATGAACATACATGCAAATATTCTCAACAAAATTCTAGCAAACTGTATTCGTACATTTTCACGCTGCTGATAAAGACATACCTGAGACTGGGAAGAAAGAGAGGTTTAATTGGGCTTGCAGTTCCACATGGCTGGGGATGCCTCAGAATCATGATACAACAGATCATGGTGGGAGGTGAAAGGCACTTCTTACATGGCGATGGTAAGAGAAAATGAGAAACATGGTAAGCAGAAACCCCTGATAAAACCATCAGATCTCGTGAGACTTATTCACTATCATGAGAACAGTATTGAGGAAACTGCTTCCATGATTCAGATTATCTCCCAAGGGATCCCTCCCACAACATGTGGGAATTATAGGAGTACAATTCAACATGAGATTTGGGTGGGGACACAAAGCCAAACCATATCGTTTTACCCCGACCCCTCCAAATCTCGTGTCCTCACATTTCAAAACCAATCCCTGCCTTTCCAACAGTCCCCCAAAGCCTTAACTCATTTCAGCATTAACCCAAAATTTCACAGTCCAATGTCTCATCTGAGACAAGGCAAGTCTTTTCAGCCTATGAGCCTGTAAAATCAAAAGCAAGCTAATTACTTTCTAGATACAATGGTGGTACAGGTATTGGGTAAATACAGCCATTCCAAATGGGAGAAATTGGCCCAAACAAATGGGCTACAGGGCCCATGCCAGTCCAAAATCCAGCGAGGCAGTCAAATTTTAATGCTCCAGAATGATCTCCTTTGACTCCAGGTCTCACATCCAGGTAATGCTGATGCAAGAGGTGGGCTCCCATGGTCTTGGGCAGCTCTGCCTCTGTGGCTTTGCAGGGTACAGCCTCCCTCCCAGCTGTTTTCATGGGCTGGAGTTGAGTGTCTGTGGCTTTTCCAGGTGCACCGTTCAGGTGGATCTATCATTCTGGGGTCTGGAGGCTGGTGGTCCTCTTTTCACAGTTCCACTAGGTGGTGCCCTAGTAGGAACTCTGTGTGGGGGCTGCAACTCCACATTTCTCTTCTGCACTGCCCTAGCAGAGGTTCTCTATGAGAGCCCCACTCCTGCAGCAAGCTTCTGCCTGGGCATCCAGGTACTTCCATACATCTTCCAAAATCTAGACAGAGGTTCTCAAACCCCAATTCTTGACTTCGTTGCACCTGCAGGCTCAACACCATGTGGAAGCTGCCAAGCCTTGGGGCTTCCACCTTCTGAAGCCACAGCCTGAGCTCTACATTGGCCCCTTTCAGCCATGCCTGGAGCAGCTGGGACACAGGGCACTAAGCCCCTAGAGTGCACACAGCACAGGGACCCTGGGCCCTGCCCACAAAACCATTTTTTCTTCCTAGACCTCTGGGTCTGTGATGGGAGAGGCTGCAACAAATGTCTCTGACATGCCCTGGAGCTATTTTCTCCATTGTGGCTTGGGGATTAACATCAGGCTCCTCATTACTTATGCAAATATCTGCAGCTGGCTTGAATTTCTCCTCGGAAAATGGAATTTTCTTTTCTATCACATTGTCAGGCTGCAAATTTTCTGAACTTTTATGTTCTGCTTCCCTTTTAAAATCGAATGCCTTTAATAGCACCCAAGTCACCTCTTGAATGCTTTGCTTCTTAGAAATTTCTTCCATCAGATACCCTAAATCATCTCTCTCAAGTTCAAAGTTTCACAAATCTCTAGGGCAGGGGCAAAAATGACACCAGACTCTTTACTAAAAAATAACAAGAATCACCTTTGCTCCAATTCCCAACAATTTTCTCATCTCCATCTGAGACCACCTCAGCCTGGACTTTATTGTTCATATCACTATCAGGCTTTTAGTCAAAGCCATTTAACAAGTCTCTAGGAAGTTTTACACTTTCCCACATCTTCCTGTCTTCTTTTGAGCCCTCCAAACTGTTCCAACCTCTGCCTCTTACCCAGTTCCAAAGTCACTTCCGCATTTTCAGGTACATTTTCAGCAACACTCCACTCTACTGCTACCAATTTACTGTATTAGTCCGTTTTCATGCTGCTGATAATGACATGCCCAAGACTGAGAAGAAAAAGAGGTTTAATTGGACTTAGAATCCCACATGGGGAGTCCTTAGAATCATGGCGGGAGGTGAAAGGCACTTCTTACATGGCAGCAGCAGGAGAAAATGAGAAGGATGCAAAAGCAGAAACCCCTGATAAAACCATCAGCTCTCGTGAGACTTATTCACTACCATGAGAATAACAGAAGGGAAACTGCTCCCATGATTCAAATTATCTGTCACCAGGTCTCTCCCACAACACATGAGACTTATGGGAGTACAATTCAAGATGAGATTTGGTTGGGGGCTCAGAACTAAACTATGTCACAAACCAAATCCAACATTACATGAAAAAGAAATACATCACAATCAAGTGGGTTTTTTTCCAGAGATGCAAGGATAGTTCAACATACACAAATCAATAAATGTGATTCACCATATAAACAGAATTTAAAACAAAAACCACATAATCATCTCAATAGATGCAGAAAAAGCATTCAATAAAATCCAACTTCTCTTCAGATATAAACACTCATCACATACAAATCAGTAGAACTTACCTTGAAATAATAAGGGCCATGTATAACAAAAACCACAGCCAAGATCATTCTGAATATGGAAAAGTTGAAAACATTCCAAATAAATACCTGGGACAAAAGAAGCCGGTACATTCATACCACTCTTATTCAACATGATATTGGAAGTCCTAGCCAGCGTAATTATGGAAGAGAAAAAAATAAAAGGTATTCAAATTGGAAAAGAAGGAGTCAAGTTATCTCTGTTTGATGATGACCTTATCTTATAGCTAGAAAACCCCAAAGATTCCTTCAAAAGACTCCTAGAATTGATAAATGACTGGTAAAGTTTCAGGATACAAAATCAATCTACAAAATCAGTAGTATTTATATACACCAATAATGTTCAGGCTGAGAGCAAAATCCAGAATACAATCCCATTTACATGAGCCACAAAAAAAATTACCTAGAAATATATTTCACCAAGGAGATGAAAGAGTTCTACAAAGCAAACGGCAAAACACTGATGAAAGTAACCATACTTGGAACAAACAAATGTGAAAACATCCCATGTTCTTGGGTTGGAAGAATCAATATCATTAAAATCATCTTACTGCCCAAAGCAATATACAGATTCAATTTTATTCCTTTTAAATTACCAACGTCATTTTTTGCAGAATTAGAAAAAAAATCCTAAAAATCATATAGAACCAAAAAAAAGAGCCCAAATAGCTTAAACAATCCTGAGCAAAAATGGACTAAGCCAACAACATCACATTACCTGACTTCAAATTATACTACAAAGATATAGTAACCAAAACAGCAGGGTACTGAAACAAAAATAGACACATAGACAAATGGAACAGAATAGAAAATCCAGAAATAATGCCACATACCTACAACCAACTGATCTTCAACAGAGATGACAAAAATAAACAATGTAGGAAGAACACCCTATTCAATAAATGGTGTTAGAAAAATTGGTTAGCTATATGCAGAAGAATGAAACTAGACCCCTATCTCTCACCATATACAAAAGTTAATTCAAGGTCGATTAAATACTTTAATGGAAGATCAGAAACTATAAAAATCCTAGAAAAAAATCAAGAAAAAACTTCTCCGGACATTGCCTTAGGCAAAGAATTTATAACTAAGCCTTCAAAAGCAAATGCAAGAAAAATAAACAAAAGAAATTTAATTAAACTAAAAGGATTCTGCACAACAAAAGTACTAATTAACAGAGTAAATAAATGAGCACCCTACAGAATGCGAGAAAAAATTTGCGAATTATACCTCTGATGAATGACTAATATCCAACAACTCAATACCAACTCAACAAGAAAAAAACAAATAACCCCATTAAAAAATGGACAAAGGAAATGAACAGACATTTCTCAAAAGAAGACATACAGGCAGTCAACAAACATATGAAAATATAATCAGCATTACTAATCATCAGATAAATGCAAATTAAAACCATAGTAAGATACCATCTTACAGCAGTAAGAATGGCTATTATTAAAAGTTAAAAAAAAACAGATATTGGCATGGATGCAGAGAAAAGGTAATGCTTATACACAGTTATGGGAATGTAAATTAGTAAAACCTCAATGGAAAACAGTATGGAGACTTTTCAAAGAATTAAAAATAGAACTACTAGTCAACCCAGCAATCCTACTATTCGGTTCTACCCAAAGTGAAATAAATCATTATATCAAAAAGACACCTATATTAGTATGTTTATTGCAGTGCTATACTCAATAGCAAAGTCTTGAAATCAACCTAAATGTCTCTCAATGGTTGGTTGGATAAAGAAAATGTCTCACACCATGGAATGTACACACACCATGGAATAATATACAGCCATTAAAAAGAATAAAATCATGTAATTTGTAGCAACATAGGTGGAACTGGAAGCCATTATCCTAAGTGAAATAACTGAAAAATATAAATTTAAATATTACATATTCTTAGAATTTGGATCTGAACAATGGGTACAAATGGACATAAAGATGAAAAAAATATACATTGGGGACTCTAAAATGGGGCAAAATGGGAGACGGAATGAGGGTTAAAAAATTACCTATTGGCACAGTGTTCACTATTTTGGTGGTGGGTACTCTAGAAGCCCAAACTTCACCATTACACAATATATTCATATAACAAACCTGTACATGTATCCCCTAAAGCTAAATTTTTTTTAAAAAGAATTATTTATTTAAAAAAAGAAAATGAAAAGAACAACTACAAACCAAATGGGATAAAATATTTTCAAATTATATATAATTCAAAATATGTAAATAATATATAAACTGACTTCCCAATTTATTCTATGTATCAAATATTACACTGATATTAAAACCAGATGAAGACATTAGAAGAAAACTAGAGAAAATAACTTTAGCCAATATAGACGCAAAAATCCTCAAAAAAATCCTAGCAAACTGAATATAGCAATACATAAAAATATTTATACACCATGACCAAGTGGGGTGGCTATAATAAACAAGAGACAATCAATCACAAGTGTTAGCAGGAATGTGGAGAAGCTGAAACAACCATATATTGCTTGTGAGAATATACAGTAATGCAGTCACTCTGGGAAACAGTTTGGCAGTTCCTCAAAATGCTAATCTTAGTTACCGTCTGTTTCTTTGGTTGAGTAGTGTTTTTGTGTGTTTAAACATATTTATGTTTAAAAGACAAGTTACTTAATGACATTTGATTTTACACTAGGTTCAAACAGTATTTGTAATTCATTGTGGATAAAATTTGCTATTACTAGAATGTTTTGTGATTTTTTATGCAAAAATGCATTTCAAGTTCACCACACAGCTTAAATTTACATCATTAACTTACAGAATACAACTTTTAATGCATTTTATATTGCCTGCATACTGCCAGTACAAATTTTCCAGAAAGTGTTTCTAAAATTATTAATGTAAGTTATCAGATAGTCTAACTTAATCATGTAGAGGCATCAAAATTCATGTTATTTACAAAGTAGTCTAATTTCCTCCAAAATACAAATATTAAATCAGTATATTATATTCAATAAAACTATAACCTCATGTTAGATCTCAAACTTTTATGTGTTTATATAAATATAGAAACATATATATCTATATATCCTTTAGTTCTAGCATTAAATAAAGATAATTGCAGAAAGCCTTTCTGCTAAGATCTGGAACACAATAGGGATTCACACTGTCTCCACTGTTATTCAACATAGTACTGAAAGTCCTAGCCAATGCAATCAGACAAGATCAAGATATAACGGGAATCCAAACTGGAAAGGAAGAAATCAAATTACCTTTGTTTGCAGATGATATGATCTTATATTTGGAAAAACCTTAAGGCTCTAAAAGAAAACTATTAGAACTGATAAACAAATTGAGTAAAGTCAAAGGATACAAAATCAACATACAAAAATTAGTTGCATTTCTATATACCAAAGTGAACAATGTGGAATGGAAATTTAAAAAGTAATCCCATTTACTGTAGCCACACAGAAAATTAAATACCTAGGAATTAACTTAGCCAAAGAAGTTAACGATTTGTTTAATGGAAACTATAAGACACTGAAGAAAGAAATTGAAGAAAACATTGAAAAAAATTGGAAAATAGTATATGTTCATGGATTGGAAGAATCAATATTGTTAAAATGTCCAACAATGTTCCAAAGCAATCTGCAAATTCAATGCAATCCTTATCAAAATATCCATGACATTCTTCACAGAAATAGAAAAAAAATCCTAAAATTTATATAGAACCACAAAATACCCAGAATAGCCAATGCGGTTCTTGGTCAAAAGGTGCCAAGAACATACACTGGGGAAAAGGCAGTCTCTTCTTCAACAAATGGTGCCAGGAAAACCGGATATACACATGCAAAAGAATGAAACAAAATACCAATGAAACCTTGGTATTTTGATAAGGATTGCATTGAATTTGTAGATTTATTTGGAACATTTTTGGACATTCTAACAATATTGATTCTTCCAATCCATGAGCATAGACTATTTTCCCATTTTTCAGTGTTTTCTTTCTTCAGTGTCTTATAGTTTCCATTATACAAATCGTTCACTTCTTTGGCTAAGTTAATCCCTATCTCTCACCATATACAGAAAGCAAATCAAAATGGATTAAACAATTAAATCTAAAACCTCAAACTATGAAACTACTACAACAAAACATTGGGGAAATTTCCAGGTTATTGGTCTGATCAAAGATTTCTTGAGCAATACTCCAGAAGCACAAGCAACCAAAGCATATATGAACAAATGAGATTACATCAAGTTAAAAAGCTTAAGCTTAAAAAGCTTTAAAAGCAGGAATATGGAGAAACTAGAACAACCATATATTGCTTGTGAGAATATACAGTAGTGCTGTAGTGTGCAGCAAAGGATACAATCAACAAAGTGTAGAGACAACTCACAGAATGGAAGAAAAGATTTGCAGACCACCCATCTGAACAAGAGATTAATAACTGGAATATATAAATAGCTCAAACAATTCCATAGGAAAAAATCTAATAACCTAATCAAAAATGGGCAAAAGATTTTGAATAGACATTTCTCAAAAGAAGACATACAAATGGAAAACAGGCATACGAAAAGGTGCCCAACATCACTGATCGTCAGAGAAATGCCAATCAAAATTACAATAAGATATCATCTCACCCCAGTTAAAATGACTTATATGCAAAAGACAGACAATAACAAATGCTGGCTAGGATGTGGAGAAAAAGAAACCCTTGAACACTGTTGGTGGCAATGTAAATTAGTACAACTACTATGGAGAACAGCTTGGAGATTCCTCAAAAATTAAAAACTGAGCTACCGTATAATCTAGTAATCCCACTGTTGGGTATATAAGCAAAATAAAGAAAATCAGTATGTTGAAGAGATGTTTGCACTTCTATGTTTGTTGTAGCGCTCTTTACAATAGCTAATATTTGGAAGCAATCTAAGTGACCATCAAGAGACAAATGGATAAACAAAATGTGGTACACATACACAACGGAATGCTATTCAATTATAAAAAAGAATGAGATCCATTCATTTGCAACAACATGGATAGAACTGGAGGTCATTAAGTGAAATAAGCCAAGCACAAAAAGCCAAACATTGCATGTCCTTCCTTAATTGTGGGATCTTAAAATCAAAACAATTGAACTCATGGACATAGAGTGTAGATGGATGGTTTCTAGAGGCTGGGAAGGGTAGTGAGGGGTTGGGGAAAAGTTTGGGATGGTTAATGGGTACAAAGAAAATAGGTAGAAAGAATGAATAAGACCTATTATTTGATAGCACAATAGGGTGACTACAGTCAATAATAATTGTAGATTTTAATATAACTTAAAGAGTGTGATTGTATTGCTTGCAACTCAAAAGATTAATGCTTGAGGGGATGGATACACCATTCTCCATGATGTGCTTATTTCATATTGCATGTCTATATTAAAACATTTCGTGTTTTTCATGTTTTTCATCAAAACATTTAATTCATCCTATAAATACATACACCTACTATGTACTCACAAAAATTGAAAATAAAAATAATCATATATTTTTGTAGGTATATAAGCTCATGAAGTTATTTTAAAATCTACAACTTATTGATTTATACATATACACCATGGAATACTACACAACCACAGAAATGAATGAGATCATGTCTTTAAAGGGGTATGGCTGGAGCTGGAGGTCAGTAGTCTCAGAAACTCACAGGAACAGAAAACTAAATACCATATGTTCTCACTTATAAGTGGGAGCTAAGTAATGAAAATACATGGACACATAGTGGGGAGCAACACACACTGGGCTTATTGGAGGGTGGAGGATGGGAGGAGAGAGAGGATCAAGAAAAATAACTAATGGGTACTAGGCTTAATACCTGGGTGATAAATAACCTGTACAACAAACCCTCATGACACAAGTTGCCTTATGTAACAAAACTACACATGTAGCCCTGAACTTAAAATAAAAGTTAAAAAAAGATAATTATACCTTTAAAAATTGTTATAAAATGATCAATAAAAGCTCTCGCCAGTTGCAATTGTTGCTAGAGTTCTTTAATCAATAGAACAAGAACTGTTGTACTTTATTAAATACCAACATGGTAAAAGTTTATATTTTTATTGAGCCTTGCCACATAGACAAAGCATTCATACCAATCATCTCATTTGCTTCACTCAATATTCCTATGAGGCAGGGGTAGCATCTAATATTTTTATTTTCTACATAAAGAAGCAGTTTCACAGTAGTTTGACGATTTATCCAAATTCACCCCGTTACATTTTGGTGAACTGTGGAGGAGGGAGGATAACTGAACTGCCTTCTCTCAGATCTACATTGTGCCCATCTTTAGCTTTACTGCATTTTTCAGGAACTTACATTGTTTATGAAGCCCTTGGCGTCAGGTTTCCAGGTTGGATCTGAAACAGAAGGCTGGATGCAATGATTGTAATTCTAGAGGCAGGAGATAGGGCATTTCCCTTTCTCTCTTCTTCCTGTGATGTCTCTGGTTGTAGCTGCTTCCTCTGTGCCTCTAGCTCTTTTCTCCAGCCCATCACTCCTATTTACAAGCAGCTGGGAGGCAGCCATGATTTCTGGATTCCAATGGTAACAACACCTGCTCTCACTGACCTTCAGGTGTGATGTTAACAGCTTCCTTGTTGTTGCTGATTTCTGGGTGGCCCCGCTCTCAAGTCTTTTCCCCAATTCCTGTATCAAATAACCTCAGTTTGAAAAACCTAAAGTGGTTTTATTTTTCTGCCTAGATCTTAACTGCTATTTGAAAATATACCAATAAGCTTTCCATATTTCAAATTATTAATCTCAACCCAATGTTTCTATTTCATGAAATAGTGTTTTTCCATCATTTGCTTAGAATAAAAAATAGCTATATTTTACTGTCCTTTATTCCTTCTGTATTACTGATGTATACTCTATGGGCTTACTACGATTGTGTTGTATTTGAGTTTCTTAAGGTGTTTTTCATTACATCCCTTTGATTATAATAAAAGTTAATGTGATAAACAAAATGGTCAATGTAGTGGTTAAGATAAAGGACAGAATATAATTCCTCTCTGCCTCTCAAAAGCTGTAGGAAGTTGAGTTACTTTGTCTCTCAGCTTGGTATTAATAGGAATAATAGTTCATATGACTGAGAATTATTGTGAAGAATGAATGAATGAATATGTGAAAAGCACATGATGTATTGCCTGTTACATAGCACTAATAAAAAAGTAGAAATTTTTAGCCAGGTGCTGTGGCTCACGCCTGTAATCCCATCACTTTCGGAGGCCAAGGCAGGCAGATCATGAGATCAGGGGATCAAGACCTTCCTGGCTAACAGGGTGAAACCCCGTCTCTACTAAAAATAAAAATTAAAAAAAAATTAGCCAGGCGTGGTGGCACGAGCCTGTAATCACAGCTACTCGGGAGGCTGAAGCAGGAGACTCGCTTGAACCCAGGAGGCTAAGGTTGCAGTGAGCTGAGATCGCACCACTGCACTCCAGCCTGGGTGACAGAGTGAGACTCTGTCTTAAAAAAAAAAAAAAAAAAAAAAAGTAGTAATTTTTAAAGTATTATTTGAGAATTTGGAGAAAACAGAAAACATAAAGATTATTGTGACTGACATAATTATGAATCTAGAACCATTTATTTTGGATTGTGAGAATTTAAATCGTTAATTAATGTATATGTGTACATGTATATAGTGTGTGTGTATATGGCTGCAAATAATATTTATGTAAACATATAGCATTATATAACGAAATTTTAATCCACTTTTGTAAAATCTTTCCATTTTAAACTTCAGGAATTTAAGAAAAAATAATATGCATCTAAAGTTTTAATACCTTAAAAAATACATTACTTGATTAAAACAAAATTAATTTCAGGCCAGGTGCAGTGGCTCATGCCTGTAATCCCAGCACTTTGGGAGGCCGAAGTGGGCAGATCACGTGGTCAGGAGATCGAGACCATCCTGGCTAACATCGTGAAACCCCATCTCTACTAAAAATACAAAAAATTAGCCGGGTGTGGTGGCAGGTGCCTGTAGTCCCAGCTACTCGGGAGGCTGAGGCAGGAGAATGGCGTGAACCCGGGAGGCGGAGCTTACAGTGAGCTGAGATTGCACCACTGTACTCCAGTCTGGGCAACAGAGCAAGACTCTGTTCAAAAAAAAAAAATTAATTTCAAAGTGTTTGCAAAAAAAAGCATTTTACGAATGCCAAATGTATTACTGAAGAACAACAAAATAATTCAAGTAAAGGAGGATTTTACTACCTTGGATTTATTATAAGAAAATGCAAGGGTCTTCAGCTATGGAGAAAACCCTGGGAAATATAATAAATTAGACAATCTCTTTATGTAACTCTTTTGCTTTTTCTTTTCTTTTTTTTTTTTTTCTTTTTTTTTCTATTTTGAGACAGAGTTTTGCTCTCGTTGCCAGGCTGGAGTGCAATGGCGCGATCTCAGTTCACTGCAACCTCTGCCTCCCCGGGTTCAAGCGATTCTCCTGCCTCAGCCTCCCGAGTAGCTGGGATTACAGGGATGTGCCACCAAGCCTGGCTAATTTTGTATTTTTAGTAGAGATGGGGTTTCTCCATGTTGGTCAGGCTGGTCTTGAACTCCCGATCTCAGATGATCGGCCCGCCTCGGCCTCCCAAAGTCCTGGCATTACAGGCGTGAGCCACCACGCCCGGTCCTATGTAATTCTTTTGCTAGATGAGCTAGATTAGTGCATAATAGTGATGATTTGGTTATTTCTGAAGTACTGCTTCTTTTGTCTGTTCCAGTGTTGTGTCATAGAAGATCCTTTGACAACCATTTGCAGAAAGTTCTTTAAAACAACAACAACAACAACAACACTGAAAATGGCACTTGGGAAAAGATGCCTTTTATCTAAGGCTGGAGAGAAAGAAAAGTCCAAGAACATGGCAGAATAAAACAGAGGCTTAGGGACAAGTCTACAGATGGAATCAGCCAGAAGCAAATTCTATTCTTCCTGCATCAAATACAAAAGAAAGTAAAAGTGATGAAGCCAAGGATCTATACAACTATGAAAATTCATAGTAATTGCAGGAACTATCCCAAAAAGCAAACTTGAAAGCAACTTCAAGTTCTGAATGACAAAATTTAGCAGTCAATTGGGACACTGAATTAATAAAAGATTTATATTATGCAAGCTACAGCTGACGTCCACATTGTAGAAACAAGCGCTCTCTTCTGACTCGTTCCAAGTATACATTATTTTTAAATCATGTCTTAAAATTTAGCCAAAATGGAACTCGAGAGAGCATTATGTAAATCTCACTTCTTGTTTCAATTCCCTCAAAAGTCCCTAGGTCCCATATCAGTAAAGGCTACATATGTGGAATAAGGTTTATAATGTATATAAAACAGAAACCTTCACTGTAACAATAGAACAATAGTCATCCTTGATTTGCTGCTTTATAACCTACCTACTACGTTTATGCAGGGTTACAGCGGGGCTCTGTAAATAATCCCACAAACTCCAAGGAGTACGAGTCTTTGTGTGGAATTCAAGATGTTAATTTTTTCTTTTCTAACTAAATTAACTCCACATGTTTTTTGCTGCAACTAATCTCTTTCCTGTGGAATTAGGCATGGTCTGACTCATTATTTACTTTTTGAACATGACAATTTACTCCAGAGTAGTCCTCATTTCACATAGCCTCAGGCTCCTAGGCCATTTATGTGCACCCAGCATTATTGCTGATCTTTGTAGTTAAGATGTGGATTCTGGAAGGAAATCATAAGACCACCAATATCCAGACTAATGCAACTCGGCCAGCCATCTCGTCAATGGCAGGCTTTAGATAGTATGTGTCTGGGGAGAAATAATTTCTAAGGTGTCTACAGAACTTTAGGACTGATAAAGTTCTCCCAAACATTCCTAAAATGAGTAAGATTTATATTAATTGAGACTGTCCTAAACATCAGACCTTTATCCTTACTTACGATATTGGTAATCCTAACAATGATAAGGTGGAAAATATAACCCATTTTCAACATGAAGAGACACTCATACAGCTAATAAGTAACAGAGCAGAGATTCAAAACCAGCTTCTTTGACGCCAAAGCCAATGCTTTGAAATGAAGCATTTCCATCATTTCTTTTCAAAGTAGCCTGTGGCAGAGACAAGCAGAGATCACTGTGACCCCTCAGAGTTATAAACCAAAGCTCATAAAAATAAATTGACTTATTAAGGCCTCAGAGCTTAGAGATAGAATCTGATCCACAGCCTGACTATAAGGATTCTCTGTGCTGTGCTTATTTATTTTTTCCACCATTAAATTTACTTAAATCATTTAGCTGAAGGTCCAACTTAGGACACTATGAAGTGTTCTTAGGTAGAGAGGAAGGATAGTGGAAGGGAGAGAGAAAGGAGACGAGAGGTGAAACATGAATTTTTTAAGTGAAGAATCTATGTGCTATTTGTTTTGTATCCATAACACCGTAACATTCATAGTAGGTAGCATGGTGTCCTGAACATAGCGACAATAGACATTTAATGACTATATAAGTTAGGTGAATAAAAATAAGAACCCGTTTGTAATTTTTTTCATCTATTTGTTTTCATAATAAAGACCTCATTTTTTATTATGATGATTGCCTGAATATCTGTATACCTTGGTTTAGTTCTGCCCCACCTTTAATTTCAGCTGTGTCACAGTGAATTGCTTTCACCTTCCTGAACTTGATTTTTCTCATGAATATAATATAGAAGTTAGATTAATTAAGTTTAAAATGCTTTCAAACTAAGGTGTATCTGACATAGACAATCTTTTTCAAAAAATGTTTCGTCGTAGGATGACAATCTGGTAGTGAAATTTCCAGCCATATGCAGATATTGATTATATTATATGTGATCTCAAACGTTTCCAGCAACTTGGTACAAGATAGCAACAAAACTTCTGATGTTCTTAATATTTGCTAAGCACCTGTTTATTTTTCATTTATTCTTTATTTCAGCAAGGAATTATTGAAAGACCCCTATGTGAAAGTGCTGGATTAGAAGAATTTCAAGACAACAATGACTGGTGTTCTGAATTACACACAAGATGCCACAGAAGGGAAAAAGATGTGTTTAATGATATTTCTCATTCAACAGGATAGATAACATTTGGACTTGAAGGGAGAGTAGCTGTTCTCTTGCAGCAGGTAGCAAGAGCTGGCCAGCCAAAAGGGCAGCATGTCATGATAACTTTGGGGGATACCAAATTTCTCAGTATAGCCAGTGCAGAGGGGGTTAATGAGGGTAGAGCAGATAATGCTGAGCAGGTAGGCAGGCCCAAGGCCTAAAGGATCCTCTACACCACTCTCAGTTTTTCTATCATATTGTGGGTTATAAGCAATTACTTAAGAACTTTTGGAAGATGAGTGACATAATTATATTTACATTTTGAAAAATCAATATGGCAGTCAGTGGAGGGATGAGGAATGGCAAAGTGGAAAGGAACCCAGTCGTTGAGATAGATAAGGTGGGAAAACCTGAAGGTCTCAACTGAGATTGTCACTTAGGCACAGGAATGATGCATGAGACTTTCTGCCATACTCAACCTGATCCAAGCTTCCCGTCAGGTGTCATACCAAAGAATAGCCTGGTATGTTTTACATTAAAATACATTTTCTGAAACAAAAGAAAACGTGAGAAAAGCCCAATGTGTGAGTAGGTAACAACTAATCAAGTAATTAAACCAAGGCTTTGAGAAAATATCACCATGCCATCGTCTGGATGACAAGAATGTGGTTGCAGATACCTTAAGTCAGAGTGAAAAGTATGGAATACTGGATTGGCAAGGAACAAACTCGGAAAATATACTTCTCTAAAAATAGACGCATTGTTCCTTATTTGCTGGGTCCTTTAGGTACTACTTGATTTGGAAGGAAAGAAATAGATGTGTTGCATATTCTTACAGATATTTTTTTAATGTAAATAGATTTTTCTTCATATTAGGGGAATGTATTTGGATTTGAAATTCAAATACATTTTCAAATTTGTGCCTGAACCATCATCCATCTGGTTCTCCTCCTCACACCCACCACACACCTACCTCTGTATCTCTCTCTTAATGTTTTTATTTCATTGCTTTTCTGCCCAATGGATCAGAACCTCTAGAACCATACATAAATAAAAGATCTAGAGCCTGCCTTAACCGTGGTTTTCCCCACCTCCTATAATGCCTTTGCAGTTGTTCCAGAAGCTGCTATTAGTAACCCCCTCCCCACAAACCGTTGTAATTTCTCTGCTATAAGAAACTTATGAGCATCCATATCTTTGCTCTGGATCAGAACAGATATGTTGATAAACATTTCAATAATTAAAAAATGTAATTTTATCAGAAATAAAAAAAAATCATGCAGGTGAAAGAAAGGCAGATAAATAAGACACAAGAAATGATTGTGTCTATCATGAAGAAGTAGTGATCTGTGTCAGGAGAAAAACACACCATTCCCATACTTTATTTTGCCCACAAAGTGAATTTGACACACTTAAATGTGTCAAATGTGCATTTGACTATAGTGCAAATGCACTATAAATGTGCATTTGACACACTTAGTTTGACTACATATAATGGATTAGATAAAAAGAGGTAGTTTTCTAAGTACAAAGTAGAAACCATGATTTCTTTAAACTGGGTATAAATTGGAAAAAAAAATACTCAACAGAGTGTTGTGGTGTATCATTAATATTTTAGGAAATTTCTAATATTAAACTATTTCTAGTTTTAAGAAGTTTAGACACAGAAAAACAATACATATTTATATAATATCTTTTCAAAGTATTTCATCAATATTTTAATCTCGTTAACTTTTCTCCCACTTTCTTAAGAATCAAAATTCCTTTTTAACTTTAATTCGAGTTCATGGGTACATGTGCAGGTTGGTTATATACGTAAACTTGTTATGTATGTAAACTTGTGTCACGGGGGGTTGTTGAACAGATTATTTCAACTGTTGGTACTAAGCCTAGTACCAACAGTTATTTTTCTTGATCCTCTCTCCCTCCTCCTACCCTCCACCTTCTGATAGGACCCAGTGTGTGTTGCTCCCATCTATGTGTCCATGTGTTCTTAGGATTTAGCTCCCACTTATAAATGAGAACATGTGGTATTTGGTTTTCTGTTCCTGCATTAGTTTGCTAATGATAATGACCTCCAGCTCCATCTATGTCCCTGCAAAGGACACCATCTCATTACTTTTATGGCTACATGGTATTCCATGGTATATATATGTAGCACTTTTTTTTATTTAGTCTATCATTGATGGGCATTTAGGTTGATTAGAATCAAAACTCTTAACTAACATTACTCATTTCTCTCTTTGAGGTTAGCATTTCAAAAGGTTTTGGCCAATTTTCTTTTCAAAATAATAATGTTTGTCTATAAGTTCCTCAAGCCCTCTAACATCTTTTTAAATCTATAAATGCCTTTCAGTGTATTTTCATGCCTTTTCTAATGAGATTCAGACTTTGAAAAAAGATTCCTGTTGGTATCAAAACAAACCTAAATAAAAGTATTCTCTTTCATTATTTTATGATGATTCTAAAATTATATCTATTTTACTTACCATCATTTTGCTTGATAATGCCCAGCTGATTTGATTATCATTTCTTGTCACAGGTAGAACTCTGAGGGCATAACCATATTTTATGCTCATTCCTCATTTTAAGTTGGTTATTTTCATCAAGCACTATGAGTTTAATCACTCTGAAGTAAGGTAATAGATGAGTTTACTGAAAACACAATTCATTTCCTAATTTTGCTGGCCAAACGATACTACTCCATGTTCATAAACATGAAACTCTTCAAGGGATCTGCTTCAAGGGGAGGCAAGATGAATGTGCTCTTGGGAGTAGGACATTTAGAGATACGGTAAATTACCTTGTCTAGGCACTGGCCAAGTGGTGCTGTGGAAAATCTCCAGGACATCTCAGCTGCATGAGCTAATTTGTCTCCCATGGACTTGTCTCTCAATGGCTTGGCTGTGGGCCTACTAAAGGAAAAAAGAAATTGTGTTTTTTACCTTCTCTAAAAATTGCACATTATTTGCACTTTTGAAATCTCATTTTGTTTCCATTCAGTGGTTATCAAAATTATTAACAAAAGCCAGATGACAATATTAATCATATTAAAGACTGTGTTTAATTTATATTTATAATGCTCATATAATGTCATAATGTTCTATGACTATACTACATAGGCCTCCTACAGATGATCAAATCTTTAGGTGAAATGTTTATTTTTTGTTTGTTTATGAACTGTCAATAGCCATCCATGTGCTGTTAAAGATAAAGGTTTTGCAGCCCGGCTCAGTGGCTCACGCCTATAATCCCAGCACTTTGGGAGGCTGAGGCGGGCAGATCACGAGGTCAAGAGTTCAAGACCAGCCTGGCCAACATGGTGAAACCCCATCTCTACTAAGAATACAAAAATTAGCTGGGCATGGTGGCAGGCGCCTGTAATCCCAGCTACTCGGGAGGCTGAGGCAGGAGAATCTCTTGAACCTGAGAGGCGGAGGTTGCAGTAAGCCATGATCGCACCATTGCACTCCAGTCTAGGCAACAAGAGCAAAACTCTGTCTCAGAAAAAAAAAAGAAAAAGAAAAAGATAAAGTTTTTTATAATATAGGTTGTTATAAAGAAAACAAAGAAGAATTATAGAAATATCTTTCTTATTTTGACTTCATAAAAGACAGCTTACTATATGTAACTCACTAGAGTTGTTAGACATCCCTAACAAGAAAGCTTGAGTAAGTCACTTAGTTATTTTAGAGTAGGTATGATTATTTAAATAATTTAAAGTTTCCTGTTGTTTTAAAGAAAAGATTTGTATCGTATTTTTTTAGAAAATGACTTTTCATGTAAGAAGGTCAATAATATGGCACACTTAAGGTAATATTCTCTATCATTTATTTTTTCATTTGACTTCTATGCTATTTAAAAATACAAAAAATAATAGTTTTGTATATGAGCATTTAGAAATGCTTTGGGATGATTCAAAATTTCCAAATCTTTCTACAAGTCAGGACTTTCAAAAGATATGAAGTAAGTACAGAAGTTTACATCATTCATGCATCTGACATTGAATCAGATACTAATCAGAACCCTGGCTGAGCTGTCCTATAGCTAAGGGTTCAGCTGTTATGCATTAAATCAATTCTAAACGCACTTTTTCCAACTTCTTCCCATCCAAATCTATTTAATTTGTCGTGTGTCCTTCATTATATAAGAGAGATTTTCTGAACAAATTCTCTGGCTTGAGAGAATCTGTTCAACATATTTACACTAACGTGTTAGTGATTGGAAAAAAAAGCCAATGAGATTCAACCAATTAAATGAAAGAATTGAAACCTCAGCTACTGACTCAAATTATTTTTGAATCGAGGGAATTTGCAGGATGAGCTTCCTGATGTCCTAGAATTGCTATAAGTTAATTACCCACCTGTAAATAAGAATATCTTCTTCAGGTATATAATAATGAAAGTAAAAAAAATAGAATTTTTCTTTGGTGCATATTTCCCTCTTACTGTTCCCTGGGAAAAGTTACTATATTCCAGGACCAGATTGTTTTACTTTGCTGTCTTTTCTAGCTCTAGAGTGATTTCAAATATTGGGTGTTCCTTCAAAGGAACAGAAATAGTACCAATTCACAATGCCATGCATTTGAGATATAAATTAATCAGCAGGAATTCATCACATTGTAATCTAGAAGGATAGGGCAAATCGTAGCTCATAATTATCTAGAATTCCAGAAGAAATAGGACAGAAATAGGAAGCAAGAAGACAAAAAGCAGTCTTGGTTCTCGTATCACTAAAGAGTTTCAATGGCACGTGATCTCAAATGAAACCTGGTGGCCATTGCTCATGTGTTGTGTTCCACAGTAACTAGAGGGGTGCACATTTGGTCTGGAGCAATCTTCATAGAAGAGGGGACTAAAGCCCTAGAAAGCACGAGTTCAACTGGCTGCAGCCTGCAAATCAAAAGCATTCATTGAGAAAACATTAAGAACCCATGTACACAAACAATAGGGCTTAGGTATGGTTGCCACTCTAATAACAACTAAAAGAAGTTGTATGCTTCTCCTAGATGATACAAATTTTTTAAGTAATATATTTTCTCATTTCTTCTTTTGCTGCCAGAGTGCTTGGAGCTAAATCTGTAGGCATAATTTTAGCAACCATTTAAAAAATTATGACATATATATTTTTATACAATTTTTTCCTGATGTGTTGTTTGTATTTCTATTTTTTAACATCCTGAATTATGTTTTTCCCCTATTTACTGCTTGCATTCTAATAAACTGCTTCCATTGTTTTTGTAGAACTAAAACAAATATACTCAATCATATAACAGTCAACAAAGAAATAAATACACAATAACAAAAGGTTTGCTACTCATCCCTTGCTTTTCTGCTTATTTACAATGATTCAGAGAATGGTTAGACTAAGGAAACGTGACCAAAATTAGCAATATTTATTTAACAATAAAAGCCAATCCTCTACACTCCATTAGCTCATCGTAACTATAGAGAGGATTATCTCAAAGTAGACAAGTCTAATGTGCAATTTAGACTGTACATAACTAAAGGCACAGGATAGAACTGGCTTTTATTTTCTTCCTGGCGCATTCTCTAGTCAGCCTTCAATCATGAATACTTGTAGAGAGAAAACTTTACACAAGCCGGAGGCAATTGCTGAAGGTGGAGACTCAACCTTTGACTTCTGCCATACAGAAGTGACCAGCCTGAGAATATAGAGATTTCTTACCAATAGAATACAATGTAACAATTTTTAAATATTAATAAAATGCTGGAATTTCATTTCTTTCTCCCAAATGTTCCTGCTTTGCCTTCACGGAACTTCTTGATTTCCTGTCTCCCCTTTTCCCTCTCATCTTACTCCAAGACTTTTGTAAATAAACAGCATAATGGAGAAGACACTTTCTCATAAGGATATTTTTTAGTTGACTATGGTTGCATAACAGCCAACAGACCAAAATATTTCATCATCAAGAATGTCCAAGTGGCTGCCCAGAACCAGGAGAACTGATATGGAGTCGCATGAGATAATGTTGGCTGACTAAGGATGAGAATTTGAAAACTCCCTGTACCCTCGGGCTAGCTTAGAAACAGCGATGCTCTGCCAAGAGCTGGCTTTAGAGCTGGGCATATCTACATTGGAATTTCAACTCTGCCACTTCCTCTTCATGGAAACTTAAACATACCCTTTAATCTCTTGGGGTCTCAATTTCCTCATCTTTAAAATTAGCATAATCCCTTTTGGGGTATTATAAATTAAATACTTCCTTATAAGAAACTTCAAATATCTGAGAAATATGATTTCAAAATGATATACTTGGGATTATGTTCTGACTCACTGGAAAAATACCTTCTGTGTACAAGCACTATACCTGCTGCCTGGGATAAGAAATAAAATTCATGCTCTCTGTCCTCAGGTAGCAAAAGCTAACGTAGAAATTTGACTTATATATAACTACAGAACTGCTCATCAAATGTTTGAAGCAATTTTAGAAGTCAGGGATAGCGTTTGATGGTATTATGATCATTTTGCAGTCAGGAGGCTAGGAAAGCTTAAATCCTATGTCACTGTCAAGAATCTCTCCCAAGTGGTTACTAAGTAAGGCAACGAATGAACAAAACAGAACAGGAATAAAGGTCATTTTGTTGGTTGCAAGATTCTGCAACTAATTCTGCTGGTGAAAAAGTAAATTGAAGCCTCTGACTTAGGCTTTAAGTCAGAAAGGGACCTCCTAAACACCTCTCTCATGTTAAGACGTCACATTTTAGATATTGAGAGCAGAAGGCTCAGGTATACCTGCGTGAGAGAAAAACATATAGCTGGAGGGGTTTTTTTTTTACCCATTCAGACACAGCATGAAAGACAGAGAAAGGCCACCAAAATTTAAGAGGACTTCCTAACATTGCTTACCAATTCTACAACACAATACAAAAAAAAAAAAAATGACAATGAGAAGTTCCAGACCTAGACTCCTCACTTTGAAGATATAACCAGTGATTGTGCATGCAATGGCAATGTCCTCTAGTAATTGTGTGCAATCAATATCTATGAATTTGAATAAGCAGGTTAATCTTTTTTCCTTGGGTTGGGAATGGAGCTAGCAAGAGGAAGTTGCTAAGAATTAGGTGAGCATAGGTAGAATATGCATAGGGAAAAATGGCAAATGGTCTTTCCTCCAATAGGACACAATGTTGGTGTAATTAATTATCTCCCCAAATTATACCTTGGAATTTAAAATTCTTAGCAGGAAGATATCTACAGAACTCAAAACATTTTGTGTGAACTCCAGTACATGATGGGATTTGTCCTTAAAAGGAATAACTACTAAAACTAGACTAAACATTTACTGTAGTTCAGTGCAGACTTTAGTCTAGGAATAGTTCTAAATGGTACCCGGAGTAGCGGGGGAACTGATGAAATTAATCTATACTATCACAAAAATTAAAGTCCTCTTGATATAAATGAAAAATATGTTTGTAAAAAATTGCAAGACACACTAAGTTTTAGTGTTAGAGATTGTGAAAAAAGATACCAGAAAAGATCCCATCAAACATTATGCTGAAATAAGGATATAACGTGTATGAGTGGCATTATACTATCAGAATAGGAAATGGTATCAGATTCACAGATTTTGGGAGCCAAGATGGTGAGAATAAATGTATTCCAACTGCAGAGGAATATCAATAAAGTAAGTAAATAAGATTTTTGTGTGTGTGGAAAGAGGGTCAGACACCTGAAAAGAGGCCATAAAATATGAATAAACTTCAAACAAATGACTCACCTCTACAGCAGGTTGAGCCAACTTTCCTCATCAAGGAGACCTCAAAGTTGCTTCAGAGCATCCATGCAAGTTGCCTTGTAAGGTCTTGTTGATGTGCTCCCCCTTCCGCCATCAGATCCTCTTGGCCCTGCCTGATCCCTGGGGCCTCCATGGCTTGTTCTGTTTTCCATCTGCAGGGAACCCAGTAATGACAAGTGCTTGTCTTATAGTTATAAATGCCTTGGCTCCACTTCTATCAATTTATCTACTAAACACCACCAGCTGTGTCCCTCTTGACCTGAGATGAGAACTGTCTTTAAGCCAGGCCTTGATTGTGCCTCTCTTGTGGAGCTGGACATTCTGGTCCAGGAGATGCTTTATGCACTGAACCAATGGCCAATATATGATGGTGTGTACCCATATGCTAGACTACTTGACTCCAATATCCAAAGGGCAGATGTAGGATTGGCCCCACTCATCTTTTCCATTGACCTGTGTATTAGTCAGTGTTCTCTAGAGGGACAGAACTAATAGAATAAATAAACATATATAATATAACATTATATATATATGGGACTTTATTAAATATTAACTTACATGTTCACAAGGTCCCACAATAGACTGTCTGTAAGCTGAAGAGCAAGGAGAGCCAGTCTGAGTCCCAAAACTGAAGAACTTGGAGTCGAGTGTTCAAGGTCAGGAAGCATCCAGCACAGGAGAAAGATGTGGGATGGGAGGCTAGGCCAGTCTCTCCTTTTCACATTGTTCTGCCTGCTTTATATTTGCTGTCAGCTGATTAAATTGCCCACCAGATTAAGGGTGGATCTGCCTTCCCCAGCCCACTGACTCAAATGTTATTCTCTTTTGGCAACACCCTCACAGACACACCCAACATCAATAATTTGTATCCTTCAATCCAATCAAGTTTACATTCAGTATTAACCATCGCAACTTCACCTCTTCTCAACTTGAACCCATACACATCTCCTGAGATCATAATCTCCAAATAAAGATAATAATAAGGTCGTAATTCTGCCTGATATAATACAACTATCCTTCATACAACTGGAAATGCACCAATCCCCAACCCAAATACTAATACAAAAAGTTAACAATATTTAAATGCTGATATGAAGTCAATAAACCTTATGTCACATGATAAAATAAAATAAAATAAAAATATTTTCTTAGTACAAGTGTATACATAGACAAACATGTTTTTAACAAAAGAAGAATGAAATTCTCATGAAAATTATAGTCCTTGTTTCCACAGCTGGTAACATGGTTGGAGCTCGTATTGATGACTACCTTCTTCTACTATCCATTCTGTATTCCCTTTGCCGTCAGAAAGCACTTCAGCAGGTCATGGTTTTTTTCCTGGAGGAGTGACCCAAACCTTCACTCCTGAGGGGTCTGGGCCATTTGTAGTCCTGCCTGGAATGGACTGTTGTAGTTTCCCACTGACTTTAATCACAGGGCATGGTAATACTAAGAGACACCCTAATGGATCTCTTGCATTCTATGCAAACTCTTCCTGACTTCCATTATGCAGTAGTAGACTGATTTATCTTAATAGTCCGGGTCAATCAACCCAGCCAACGCTGTAACTCCCTTCTTAGCCTGTTGACTCAAAGGTAGCAAGAGCCCAAAGTGTCCAGGTGGCAATCTTAACTTCCAAATTAATGGAATTGTTGTTGTGTCTCCTGGTGGCAGCGTTCCTCCCTCCGGAACTAAGACCTCTAGGCCAGCAGAACGTAATGTCACAGGAACAGGAAGCAAAAATTTTGCTAGTGAATCACTAGGGGTGATGGTGAGTGGTGCCGCTTCCACGTCCCCCCCCGATTGCTGGACCCATGAAACCTGGATATATAGGAGAAACACCACCATATATTGGACACTGATTCAGAGCAAACTCAGTCTTCAGGAGAACTTTGCCCAGCCCTGCAAAGTATTGTCACTAGTTGGAATTGTAATTGTGATTTCAAAAGGCCATTCCACCATTCTCTCAATGCTGCTTCAGGATGATGGGGAACAAGGTAAGACCAGTGAATTCCATGAGCATGGGCCCACTGCCATACTTCTTTAGCCATAAAGTGAGTGTCTTAGTCAGAGGCAATGCTGTGTGGAATACCATGATGGTGGATAAGGCATTCCATGAGTCCACAGATGGTAGCCTTGGCAGAAGCATTGCATACAGGATAGGCAAAGCCATATCCAGAGTAAGTGTCTATTCTAGTGAGGACAAACCTCTGCCCTTTCCATGATGGAAGAGGTCCAACATAATCAACCTGTCACCAAGTAGCTGGCTGATCACCCCAAGGAATGGTGTCATATCGAGGGCTCAGTGTTGGTCTCTGCTGCTGGCAAATTGGGCACTCAGCAGTGACCACAGCCAGGTCAGCCTTGGTGAGTGGAAGTCCATGTTGCTGAGCCCATGCATAACAACCATCCTTGCCACCATGGCCACTTTGTTTATGGGCCCATTGGGCAATGACAGGGGTGGCTGGGGAAAGAGGCTGGGTGGTGTCCACAGAACAGGTCATCCTATCCAATTGATTATTAAAATCCTCCTCTACTGAGGTCACCCGTTGGTGAGCACTCACATGGGATACAAATATCTTCATGGTTTTTGACCACTCAGAGAGGTCCATCCTCATTCCTCTTCCCCAAATTTCTTTGTCACCAATTTTCCAATCATGCTTCTTCCAAGTCCCTGACTATCCAGCCAAACCATTGGCTACAACCAATTAATCAGTATATAATCACACATCTGGTCATTTCTCCTTCCATGCAAAGTGCACACCCAGGTGCACTGCTCGAAGTTCTGCCCACCGGGAAAATTTTCCTTCACTGTTGTCCTTTAGGGATGTCCTAGAAAGGGGCTGTAGTGCTGCAGCTGTCCACTTTCAGGTGGTGCCTGCATGTCATGCAGAACCATCTGTGAACCTGGCCATAGTCTTCTCTTCCTCTGTCAAATGATCATAGGGAACTCCTTCTGAGGCCATTGTTGCAGGCTGGGGAAGAGAAGGCAGGGTGGCAGGAGTGGAGACCATGCAAGGGGAGCCAGTACAAGTTCCAAAACTGAAGAGCTTGGAGTCCAATGTTCAAGGGCAAGAAGCATCGAGTACAGGAGAAAGCCGTAGGCTGGGAGGCTAGGCCAGTCTCCCCTTTTCACGTTTTTCTGCCTGCTTTACCATTGGCAGCTGATTAGATTGTGCCCACTAGATTAAGGGTGGATCTGCCTTCCCCAGCCCACTGACTCAAATGCTAATCTCTTTTGGCAACACCTTCACAGACACACTCAGGATCAATACTTTGTATCTTTCAATACAATCAAGTTGACCCTCAGTATTAACCATCACAACCTGTTTGCAAGTTCTGTATTTTTCCATTTCTGCAAATTTAGGCTCTGCTTGACCACAGGCCCCAATTCCCAGTGTTTAAGCAGAGAAATGCTAGGTGACACAGAGAGGTCTATTGAGTTACCTGTTCATAACAACTGTACCTTCTCTCGTGAGATTATTATGAGGATTGAGTGCAATAATACCTGTAAAGGCCAAAGAAAAGGACTTAACCCAGAGCAACTATTCAGTGGGTGCTAGCTGCTATTCTTAGAATACTGAAAATGTTGACTTCATGCTTAAATGACATCAATTTGGCTCATGTGATGTTCTTAGCTCATTCAGAACGTTGTAAACAATTACCCATTTTCTTTTGGTTCTGCATATAGCTAGAATTTTTTTTTATTTCATTCTTGAAGTCGGTCTTGCTTTTTTGCCTGGGTTCCTGAAGATTTTTTTTTTAATCCTGGAATGTTGATAACTTGCCAAGATATGTCCAATACAAGTCAGGTTTTATGCATACTTTCTGGAAGATAGTGTTTCTCTTTGACCTAAAAAAAAATTAGTCCTTCCTTCATGTAAGGGAAACTTTCATCTGTTATATCTTTCAGTCCTAATTTTCTATTTTTTCTTGGGTATTATATCTCAGGGACAGCGATTACCATTAACTAGGATTTTCTTTTTCAAAAATATATACTTACTACCTTTATTTCCTTTAAACTCTGTTTTTTCTTTACCTTTGAGCATTGTAAGTTTTTTATATTTCCCCTATTTTTGTAACTTAATATTTTCTCTTGACTTCATTCCCCCCCCACACACACACACAATGCAAATTTAAATGGCTTTTTCTTATAGTTAATATGTGCAACTTTGATAGCATCACAGCTTTAAATTTTTACTTTAGAGCTGCTTCTTTTTCTATCTTTTCTTTTACCAAACTACCAATTGCTATATCACCTCCTCTACTCAAAACACACTAACACACACAAACAATTGATTATTGCTGAAAACTAGACTATATTCTATTTGTTAGGACTTAGCTTAATGTCAGTTAGAACAAATATTTAAATGAGACAATAGAAAACAGTTCGTTAATTTTATAATTAATTTTAAAAGAGATACATTATTTGATTAATGCATACATGAATAACTAACTTTATTTAATAATTTGTCTGGAGTAACTCAACATAAGTGCTCCAATGTACCCCAAATTTGCTATTTTGTTTTGCTTCGTAAATCAGAATAAAAGCTGTCAATAGTAAAGGTAAGTCACACAAAAATATTAATTGATCCAACACTTATAAAGTCAACACTTCATGTATTTCTAATGAATCACATTAGTTTTAAAATCTATTTAAAAATATATTTAAATTTGTATTGTTGGTACCACATAAAGTAACAAATAAAATTCAAATTTTGCTGTCCTTCCAAATCTAAATAATAGTATATATAATGTAAAGGCAAATACTTGAGTTACCATTAAATAATTGTTAATACATAAATTTCTCCTTCTATCTATTAATCCCAGAAACATAGAACATTTAAATTACAGAAGAATGTAAAAGAAACAACAGAGGTCATTTTGGATGTACTTTCTTCTCCATTTATCAGGAAATGAATTATTATAAGTATTATAAACAAGCAACTCTGATTACCAAGTAAATATGATCATGTATGAAGTCACACTTTATCTTATCTATGGAAAATTTCTCTCACTCAGTAAGTAGTAGGAAGGGATACATATTTCACTAATCAAATTTGAAGAAAGATTCTGAAACCTGATGATTGTTATTTTTATTAGGATCTATCTAAATTCAGACATTCGTGGCCAACACTACTAGTGTCCTGACAGATGTCTATTCTTCTTTCTTTTAATCAGAGAATTCTACTTTTCTGGGAGTTAGAAATACGCCCAGTTTAAAATACTTAGCTTTGCAAAATTCAATGCCACTGGAGTAATCATATACCGTGCTTCTTGCCAACAGGATTTAAGAAGTCTTTGAGCGTGACTTCCCTTCAAGTTGGTGAGAAAGTTTGCCTCAGTTGACAGTTACACACTTAGCCTTTAAGCTTTTGTCCTTCTCTCTCCCCTTGGAACACAGACATGACGGGCTGAAGCAGAGAAGCCTGAGGTTGAAGGCCATGTGCTAAGGATGGCCGATTGAGAAACTGAATAAAACAGGGGTATTTCACATCTATCATTTGCCGTGTTAGCCTTGAACACTCCACTTCCAGGCTTTTGTTATATCTAAAATAAACCACTTTCCAGTTCAGCCTCTGCTTACCAAGTTTCCATTACCACACATTCAATGCAGTCATGACAGAAAAATTTTATACTGGTTTGTTTAATTTTTTTTCATTTATGATTTATCAGTAGCATTCATATGAACTTTGAAACAAAATCTTATTATTCTTTTCTCTAATTCCATCTTTCAACATTTAAATTTTGCAGATATGGCATTGTAATAATCCCAATGAAATTAATTCAAGCTGAAACAAATTAAGTTATTTTAAAACTTCAATTTGAAAAAAGATTGTACGCTATTAAATATGAAATGATGACTATAAATTATACAAAGAACTTTTGCTTTTCTAATTCTATGTATAAACACTGGCATAAGTACCTAACGATGTTTCCTTTTGGGAAGTATCAGGGGTGGAAAGGGATGGCATAAAACTTATTCATTCACCCAGTGATCCCTGAATGATGACTACAACAATGAAAGAGGCTGAGTGATGAGCAAAAATTTCAGGGAAGCACCGCAGAGATAGGAAGAGTATTATTTTTTAATCTTAAAACTCTCTCTTTATATGGGCTGATCTTTGTGACTTAAATATTAAAACTATGACTTGTTCTGGGCTAAAAGACAGCTTGAAAAATGCTAGCAACTCAGCAGTAATAATGACTTGAATGTCCATATTACAGAGCAGAAACTGAAAATACTTCCCTACCCTGTTCAATCTCACCCATGAAATTTCCCTCAATATTTTCAACAATTAATAATAAGGATCAATATATGTAAACCTGTGCTTGCCCTTAATGGGGAAGACACTCTTCCTATTGTCAGATGATAGCAAAAGCCCATGCCAAACAGTGTAAGGACTTGTAGGATCACAGATCCTCCAGATTAACAAGAACTGTTGAGCTCAGGGGCAACCCATGCAAAGAGAGGGCCTGATGCTTCCCCAGGCTAACAGAGACAAATGTCAGGGTGTCGGCAGAGTGAATTGCTCCTTTGCAACATAATGAATATAGGCTTTGTTACATAAAAATCAAATCATGCAAATGCAGTGCTTTCATCAAAACGGAGAAGGAAGAAATTAACTTAAAAACCTGTTACATATTGTCTTGCCTTATTCCATATAATCAGCATTCATTTCTTATTCTGAATTTCAGTAAAGTAAATTTGGTTATTTTGTGGAGCATGTTCATTCATATCCAAAAAAAAACCTTCTGTTGTTTTCTTCAAGTTTTATAAACAGACCCTTTTCAGATATCAGACTATTTGATATCTTGACTCTTAAACTCTTGACTAACTTAAAGTTAAGATTCTGACATCCTCAGTGGGATAAAAACTGTAAGTGGAGGTACTTGTAGTGATTTCTATCAACTAATCTTATTTGTCTAATTGTGCCACTTTTTACTAAGCTCTTTCAATCCAAGTACTTTATTCTCATGACCTGAATAAGAGCTCTGTGAAATAAATACTATCAATATTTTATTTTACAATGAAGACCCTGAGGCACAGAACCCCAATAACATAACGCACATAGCACTTTCCATTTCAGGAATTAGAGGAAGACCTAATGTCTATATTGCCAGAAGTTTTTATCAAATTGAGATGGGAGGAGAATTTCGACACCACTTTTGATAAGACAACCACACTTTCTGAATCATTGAACTATAACCAGATTTCCTGCTTGCCTTAGCCAGTATCAAGGATTTACCCATGAAAGCAGTTTTAGAAGCCATATCTTTTGAACGTTCACAGATTTATCGCCGTCTGTTTCACCTGAGTAGCACCTCTGAATGACTTTATAAATGACATTGATAGATGACATGCCATAGGGCGGATGGATTGTCAAGTACCTTTATTGCAAGAGCATTCTACTCAACTTTCTAAGGCAGTGACACATATTAATATATCTGGAAATGTGCCAGACAAAGATTGAATGAAAAGGGAATTTCTATTTCTCTCTTGGTTAACCATTAAGTTCAATTAATGAAAATACCATACCTCATGCATTCCAGTTAATCAAATTGTACCTGTATTCAAGCATTTAATAGCAATTATAGCAGTCAACACCTAAAACATTTAGGTGAACAAGAATCTCAAACCTACAGAAAACTTGCAAGTATGGTAGAAATCACTTTTTTCTGAATTATTTAAAAATAGTTGCCAACCTGATGTTTCATTACACTCAGATATTTGTGAAAATTTGTGTGTGTGTTCTACAGAAAAAGGGATTTTACAAACAAATAAAAAAGAAATAAAGGAAGAGAGGAAATGAGAGAAAGAAGAAAGGAAAGAAAGAACAAGAAAGAAGGAAGGAAGGAAGGAAAGAAAGAAAAAGAAAGAAAGAGAAAAAAGGAAGGAAGGAGAAAGAAAGAAGAAAGAAAGAAAGAGAAAGAAAGAAAGAAAGAAAGAAAGAGAAAGAAAGAAAGAAAGAAAGAAAGAAAAAAGAAAGGAAGGGGGAAGGAAGGAAGAGGAAAGGAAAGGAAGAAAGAAAAGGGAAAGGGAGGAAGGGAGAAAGAGGGAGGGAGAATACATACTCATAATATAACCATCAATATCAGGACACTAATGTTGATACCTTACTACAGTCTCATTCTCAGACCCTGTTCAACTTTTACCAATTATCCCCATAATATCCAGTGTACCGAAAAGTCCAAATCAGAATGGCATGTTATGTTTTGCTGCCATATTTCCTTTAGTCCCCTTCACTCTGACACAGCTGCTCAGTTTTGCTGACTTTCATGACCTTGAACTTTTGAATATTACAAGCATTAGCTTTTGTAGAATTTATCTCAATGTGGGTTTACCTGCTGTTTTCTTGATATTAGATTCAGGTTAGCATCTTTGGTAGGCATAAGACAGAAGTGATGAGGTGTCCTTTCATTCTATCACATTGTGCCCAAGTTTGATTTGTCTTCTCACCAACTTCCTATTACCTTTATCACTTGACTAAAGTGATATCTGCCAGGCCTCTCCATTGTATTCTCTATCCCTTTGCAATTAGTATTTTGTGGGAAGTAAACACCCTGTTCCTCAGCAAAAATTTCAACTTATTCATTTACTTATTGTATTAGTTCATTTACATGCTGCTGATAAAGACATACCTGAGACTGGGCAATTTACAAAAGAAGGAGGTTGATTGTACTCACCATTCCACATGGCTGAGGGGGGCTCACAATTATGGCAGAAGGCAAAGAGGAGCAAGTCACATCTTACGTGGATGGCAGCAGGCAAAGAGAGCTGGAGCATAGAAACTCCTGTTTTTAAAAAACATCAGATCTCATGAGACCCATGATTCAATCATCTCCCAACTGGGTCCTTCCCACAACACGTGGAAATTACGGGCGCTACAAGATGAAATTTGGGTGGGGACACAGAGTCAAACCATATCATTTATTTATACCTATACTGGTTCATAGTTTCCAATTTTTATTAGGTGGGTTATAATTATTTAACAAAATTTTTATTTTAATCTTCAAATGAACCTTTTTTGGGCCAGTAGCAGTTCTTTCAAGGTGCTTTCTTTTTCTTTTGCCATGTTTCCAACATTCCTGGCTCAACAAGATATACCAGGTTCATCTAATATTTGCCCTGCTCCAACACTGGAATCAGTCATTTCTCAAGAGCCCCTGGAGAAGCCAAGATCTGGGTGTACAGTGTGTGCTTATTGCTTTTGAAGTATTGCTACTCCAGTCCTTCCAAGTGGAAGGAAGCCTCGTGAATATATGTATACACACACAAACACATACACACATGCACATACAGACACACACACATATACAGACACAGAGTTTTACATCTATATGTATTTCTAGATCTAGCTATAAATCCTGAAAACCGTGAGTTCATACCAATAACTAATTCCAATCTAACCTCACAGGGCCTATTCTGGTTTTCTTTATTTCTTTCCATAAATGCAAACTCCTTCTCCAACAATGAGAAACCCAGATCTCATTGTGCTTACATATTTACCTATTTGATAAGATGCCCTGTATATAACCAAACTCCTGCCTCTGCCATGACCCCTGATCCATCCAGGTTTACTGCTTACCCAACCCTGGAAGCCTGGGCTGCCTGCCACATGAAGTCCCTTATCCCCTTGTAGAACACTTGCCAGGTAACATACAGGATGCTCAGTTAAATTTGAATTTCAGAGCAACAACGAATTATTTTGTAGTATCAGTGTGTCCCAAGAAAAGTTATACTGCTTATATGTATAACTATTATTTCTTTAAAAGCATCAGTATAGTTTCATTGTTTATCTGAAGTTTAAATTTAACTGGGGGTCTCGTGTTCTGACACCACAGTTCAGGCTTCTCTTAGCATAGGTCCGACTTTGTATTCACTTGCTGCTCGCTTCATATACATGTCCCTTCCCTTCACCTTAGCACTCTGGCTCCCCCAGCTAAGCTGACCCTCTGTGAGACACAATTTCTCATTCTACTGTGTGCTGTGACACCCTGCACTGAGTTGGGCTGTGACGTCCAGCCAGCCTGAAATTCGCCAGGCCCTTCCTCAGCTCCGCCACCTGGTCCAGGGCAACCCACCCGTTACGGGCTGTCCTCTCACTCTGAAACCTCACCTTGAGCCACTACACCTCTCCCCAACTCCCTTGTGGATGTCTATGTCCTGCTTCACCCAGTATTTTTAGGACCCAATGTTCAGAGAGGGAAAGAGAGGGAGGAAGGAAAAAGAAAGAATTCTGAAACATATTTGAGGATAGATTGCAGAGTTTAACACTAAGTGCTCATTTCATGATAATAGATCATCATGAAAAACACAGGAAAGTTCTACTAACAGCAAGAATAATTTATAATTTCTATTTGCTTCCAAAAACAGAAATAAAAGGTCAGAAGTAAACCGTTTTGGACTGTTTTTCCCCAAGTGTGAATAGTAATAAGCCTGCTTTGTTAGGAGAAAGAAAAAAATCAAGACGGAGGGGAGAAGAGGAAGAGAAAGAAAAGAATAAAAGAGAAAGAGAAAAGGAAAGAGAAAAAAAGGGAGGGAGGGAAGGAAGGAAGGAAGGAAGAAGGAAGGGGAGAGGAAAAGAGGGGAATCTATTATGTATAATGTTAAACATTTAAATGGTATGAAATGCTTTAAAACACTAAAATTTTACATTTTATTACTTGAATAAGAAATCTACACAATCTGGTAGATGAGGCAGGGAATGTTGCCTCCCCTATGTATATATTTTTTTCTTTTTCTTTTGTTACAAATCTTTATTTTATTTGTGCTAGCAAAGTGCCCAGACCTAAGTGATAGTAGACAATTTATGTAATCTAGTGAGTCACAAATGAGACAATTCTATACCCCTAGGGAGTGGTTTGAATACTGTGGATGTATTTTTGGTTTCAAAATTATTGGGAAGAGGAACTAGCTTGGTGAACATGACATGAGACAATCTAACATACTGAAGAATTATTCATTCAAAACATCAAAAGTGCTTCCATGGAGAAACACTGGTATAAGCCTAAAGCTGCACTCCACCCCTAGTTTTCCATCCTTTCTAGCAGCTTACACATGGCGAGAGTACCCAGTTCTAATCAATGAAACCTCAAAGGAAATGTGAAGTTGCTCTAGGAAAGCTATTTGTTTCTAATGAAAGATGACATCATAGAACTCACCATCACTTTCCACTTCTTTCTTCTTCGAAAGCAGCCATCTGTGTCCAAGAGAACTATAGAGGCACTAGATGTTGCACTGTTAAGAGCTGAGCCAAAGCTGCACCTCCCTTCCTCCAGCTACGGAAGGAAAATAAATCCTTACTTGTTTAAGCCACAGAGGTCAGTTTTTCTGTTATTTTCAACATAGCACATTCCTAACTAAAACTATGGTATTTTTATTTCAAGAAGAGAACATTTAAATGTTCGGCTTTCAGGGATCTCCTGATTAGAAGAGATGACTACGAACTCCCCTTTCAACCTATCTTGATGATCTATATTAGATGAGGTGACAGAGGGAGGGAGGAGAACTAGAAACAGGGATATCTCCTAGTTTGGTATAAATGCAAAGAAGACTTCATTAAAGGCTTATTGAATGGTGAATGCCTTGAATGCTGCCTCTTAGTGCCCAGTAGCCCGAGGGCTATGAAGCATGTGAAAGTGACATAGAGAATTTATTCTCTAGGGGCTAAAGGACCTATCTGTTAATAACACTTTCTAACTGCTTGACATTCAGCTAAATACTTAACCTAAGATTCCTCAGTTACATGAAGGTAATAATGGTTGCTACCTCAAATGGCTCTTGTGAGGATTAAATGAGGTAATGCTTGTATACAGTGCAAAGTATAGAGTAAGTATCAATGAAGGTAAAATACTGGTGATTTTTCATACTCTCTACATAATTTTAAATTGTGTTTCTTTGGTTAATTACTTTTGGCTGTTACTTTTTTTGTTGGTAGTGAATTTAAGAACCATGAGAAGAATGTTATCCAGCAAATGCTGTATACTTTAACATGCTTATAAAGACTTTTTAAAAGTAGCTTCATGTATCCCTTCTTCATTTTTATAGTGGCAATTTAAGCTAACTAGCTGGCATTTTATCATGCATTTACAGATCCACAACTCTAGTAAATAAAGTTATCAGACAGGAATACAATTCAGAAATATATTTAAAGAGCAAAGCTTATTTTTCTAAGAATTTTACTTTGTTGATTTAAAAAAACAATATTTTATTGTCTTATCTAAGTGAATTTCATATCCATGACAAGTTTGTTAATGTTATTTAATCCCCTCAGCATATCAATTTAAAGATCAAAGGTTAAAATTTTATAAAACAAATTGTGAGGTAATGCAATGTCAATCTTGTAATGTTTTATGAGAATAATGCAATTAAATTATAATATATAAAATTCTTACATTTCTAATCAAAGCTTCATAAAATGAACATATTGTATAGAGTGATTACAAACTGAAAAAACAATTTTCTTAAATAGAAGATGTGACAGAACATAGTTAAGAGGATTTACTAGGTAATACATTTTGAGGACTTCTTAAAACAATAAACTACACATCTTTAATATTTTTAAAACTGCCAGAAGTCTGTATTTAATATAGGATCATGCTGTATTTTTGAACCTCTGTTTTGTTGTAATGATATCATACTGAAATGTAATGCAAAGTAAAATGTATACAATGTAAAACGCAAGTCTTACATATGTTGCTATTGGATACACTGCTTATAAAGCTAAGGATAAAAGATAACTCTAAACTCTGAGTCATACAACAGTTATAAAGCAAATATGCACATTTATATCTCAAAAGATAAAATTGCAACTGTTACTAAGCAGGAGTAAATTCTTTGCTGAATCATCCTTATTGCAAACATGTTTTGTCATTAGTGGCTAGATTGCCCAATTCAATTTTCCTACGTATCAATCAGTGCCTAACGTTTTAATTTTACTAACCCCTTTGGAACTATTATCACATCCTAATATTAATGCCAATTGTAGTAATTGTGCGCTAAATTCCCTTTGCCTCTAAAACATATCTTTTCCATAAATGTATGTGAACATTTCTGAAGACTCATTTTTACTAACATGTATTTTATTATATAAACAGAAATATGTATGACAAATATATAAAATAACAGACATTAATCATACATTAAGATACTATTATAAAACGGAAATATTTGGAAATTCACCTTAGAAGTTTTAAAAGGAGTTGACAAAGAGTTTAAGTTTGTTTTTCTACCAGTCTGTAATATTTATGAAGTCAGACAGATCTGTGTTCTCCTGTATGTAGCCCTAAACACCAAGCCCAATGCTTGGAATTTAATAGAGGACCAATGAGAATTTGTTGAATTGAAACCAATTGATCCTTATTATGCTTTCTAGAAACAGGGAAAAGAAAAAATTTGAAAGACTTGGTAATTTCTCTTTCACAAAATGATCATTCAAGTAGATATTAATAGAAACAGCTTTCACGATTCCCTAATCTTTTTTGCCCTGGCAGGATGTTGTCTATTTCCTTTCTTTCCAAACTCCATGCCATTTCATAGCTCATCTCCAGAAGTTTCTTTATGCTAGGGTGATTCATGGCCCAAGAGTCTGTTATGATTTTCCTTACCTAGGGCATTACATTAGAAAAAATGAAGCTTAAAATCACATTAATTATATGATATTAAATAGACATAGCTACATTTAAACAATGATGTATACATTATGATTAAACTATTTGACTTATTTACTTGTGTTGCCAGGGTTTGGAAGAGAATATGCAACAATTAGAATTATGTAATGTTGATGGCATTATGATAATTTTTATCCCTACTGCTGCACAAACTTATAATTAAAGTTAAAACAATTTCTCTATGCCTGGTAACTACTTCATATTATTAATTTATATGGAGTTTGAAATCGATCAAAAGCCATCTACCTGTCTTTTGCAAATAAACTGTCCTTAGTCCACCTCTTTACACATCCTGGATTTATATAGCTAATGTCTTCAAAATAGTATAGGATTTCACATTTGAAGTTTAATTTTCATATAGTCAATTTTATTTCAGCCTATGGATATCCTTTTAAATATTCTTACAAATTAGCTATCCCTTCTAGCTTTGGGCAATATGAAAATACTACATGTAATTTATTTAAATAAAATAACACACATGCACACAAATAAGTTAGATGAGGCCACATGCATTTCATCTGTCTTAGCCAGTTTGGACTGCTATACCAAAATACCATAGACTGAGTGGCTTAAATTATAGACTTATTCTCACACTTCTGAAGATCCAGGTGCTGCCGCATTTGGTTTCTGGTGAGTACTGTCTTCTTGGTTTGCAGACAGCCAGCTTCTGGCTATATCCTCATGTAGTAGACAAACAGAATATCTTTCTCCTCTCTCTTCTTATGAAGGCACTAATGCCATTTATGAGGGCTGTACCCTCATAACTTAATCACTCCCAAAAGACTCACTTCAAAATATTATCACATTATGGATTAGGGTTTCAGCATATGAATTTAGGGGGAACATAAACATTTAGTCCATAGTACCATCTGAGGATGCTTTTCAAGTTGATAATGTTCAAATTTTCATCTCTCTGTCCTTGCAAACATTATTTAATCAGTCTATATATTATCAGCTTATCCACCAATGATTTATGAGATTGTATTTCTGATTAACTTATCAGAAACCAAGATACTCTATCATGGTTATTGTTTTACCAGTTAAGTAAGACTTACAGACATAACAACTATGAGATAGTCCAGGTCTATTTAATAGAAAAGAGCTGCACACATATTCTGAAGTAGTTTGCTAACCTGAATTTGCATAAGAATCCACTAAATAAGCTTTAGAGAGCTGATGAGAATCCACTAAATTAGTTTGAGTGGATTCTTACGTAATTTCTAAATGCAGGTCTCAGGACACCATCCCCAAAATATGTTGATTCAGTAAACCTGTGGGGTTAATAATGAATCTACATTTACAATAGGGACTCCACTTCCCTAGGTTTTTTGTACATGATTGATCCTTGAACCATACTTTTGAAAAACACTGGAAGTTATATATTATGGAAGGAAAACAATATGTACTAATTTCAACCCAGAGAACTATGATGTGGACACATCTGAAGTGCAATATCAATAATATTTAATATGTATCCTACACAGTGAAATAGAAAAGAACAAATAATCCAACAGGGAATATATACTTTTATATTATGTGGTAAGACAACACATAAAAATAAAATAAATAAGATGTGACAGTAGAAATAAAGTTTTTTTCACATAAACCTTGGTTCAAGAATATAAGAAAATAACTAAGTATTAATATGTAAAAATTGCAAATGTTACAATACTGCAAGCAAGATTTCTAACCATCTTCTGGGTATGTGACTTTTACTTTTCTGCATATGTGGATATGTCAACAACTGGAATGGTAATGTGCTTTTCTTAGAATTATAAACAAGTTATGTAACAGTTTGGTGGTCCAAAGACATCCTCTAACATGTGTGGGTCTCTAAAGATACGATTTGGCTGTCAAGCCTTTTCTATTTATAGGAAAATAATACATAACGTATAAATTTCTAAACAGTATTAATTCTTTTTGCTGACATTTACCTATTTGTTTTTATTCAGTTTTATCTTTGCAATTTCTTACAAAATAAAATATTTTTCATTTTTATGTTGCCATGTGACTACATCTGAATATCAAATTTTTCCAAAATAGTAATCTGATTGTGTAACATCGTGGCTTAAAGCCCTTCAGATTCTTCACATGACTCTTAAGATGATATCCAAATTCTGGACATGACCCACAAGACCACTGCCAGCCAAGCCCTCCAGTCGGCCCTCTCTGGGTTCTTCATACCAGCTCTCTCCAGCTTAGCCACAACTCATCAAGATCTTGGTATATAACAGATACTGTCCCTAATGCATTATGGAACAAATCACCTTCAATCCCTGCTAAAGATGTTCCAGATAGAATGAATTTTCTTTTCTTTTCACAAATTGATCATTTGAAAAGAAAAGGAAGCTTTGCCATGTTTGTCATGTCACACAATACCACATCAGTTACGAAATGATGAGGCTCAGATTTGAACTCAGACAAGTCTAAATCCAAAACCCTAATTCTCACCATTGCATTACGGGGCTTGCTCTTTGAATTTTCAAATATGCCTTCTTTCTCTATTCTTCAAAGTGTCTGGAAAACTATCCTTGTTCCCAGAGCCTCCTTCACTGGCTAATTCTACCCCCAGTTCCTCTCAGGCAGTCTAGACTCTGTGTGTACGTTCCCATGTTACAAAGCACAATTCCTAATGGACTGTATTGTAATTGTACAGTTAGTTGTTTGTATCCCTCAAAAGAATTTTGTATGAAGGCAGAAAGCTTATTATTCACCAGAATCTCCAGACTGTCTGACACTTGGCATATAATAAATGACAAATAAATGTGTTGATTGGTTCGTTGAAATCATGAATGAATGAGGCTTTTGTATGAGAAAGTGTCAGAAATAACGTTTGTAGATTTGCTTGAAAATGTTGCGCAACTTAAAAATTGTGTTGGGATCTGGCAAGATGGCCGAGTAAGAATAGCTCCTGTCTGCAGTTCCCAGTGAGATCAACACAGAAGATGGGTGATTTCTGCATTTCCAACTGAGGTATCCGGTTCATCTTATTGGGAATGGTTAGACAGTGGGTGCAGCCCACAGAAGGCGAGCAGAAGCAGGGTGTGGTGTCGCTTCACCTAGTAAGTGCAAGGGACTGGGGAACTCCCTCCCCTAGCCAAGGGAATCTGTGAGGGACTGTGCTATCTGGCCCAGATATCACACTTTTCCCACAGTTTTTGCAACCCACAGACCAGGAGATTCCCTCGTGTGCCTCATCACCACGTCCCTAGGTTTCAAGTGCAAAACTGGGCTGCTGTTTGGGCAGACATGGAGCTAGTTGCAAGAGTTGTTTTTTTTTTTTTTTCATACCCCAGTGGTGTATGGAACTCCAGTGAGACAGAGCCATTCACTCCCTTGGAAAGGGAGCTGAAGTCAGGTAGCCAAGTGGTCTCACTCAGCAGGTCCCACTCCCACAGAGCCCAGCAAGGTAAGATCCACTAGCTTGAAACTCTCGCTGCCAGCACAGCAGTCTGAAGTCAACCTGGGACAATTGAGCTTAGCAAGGGGAGGGGTGTCCACCACTACTGAGGCTTGAGTAGGTGGTTTTCCCCTCACGGTGTAAACAAAGCCACTGGGAAGTTTGAAATGGGTGGAGCCCACCACAGCTTGGCAAAGCTGCTGTAGGCAGACTGCCTTTCTAGATTTCCCCTCCCTGGGCAGGGCACCTCTGAAAGAAAGGGAGCAGCCCCAGTCAGGGGCATATAGATAAGACTCCCATCTCCCTAGGACAGAGCACCTGGGGGAAGGGGTGGCTGTGCGCGCAGCTTCAGCAGACTTAAACGTTCCTGCCTGTCAGCTCTGAAGAGAACAGCAGATCTCCTAGCACAGCGCTTGAGCTCTGCTAAGGGACAGACTGCCTCCTCAAGTGGGTCCCTGATCGCCATGCCTCCTGACTAGAAGACACCTCCCAACAGGGGTAGACAGACACCTCATACAGGAGACCTCCTGCTGTCATCAGGTGGGAGCCCCTCTGGGATGAAGCTTCCAGAGGAAGGAGCAGGCAGCAATCTTTGCTGTTCTGCAGCCTCCGCTGGTGATACCCAAACAAACAAGGTCTGGAGTGGACCTCCAGCAAACTCCAGCAGACCTGCAGAAGAGAGTCCTGACTGTTAGAAAGACAACTAACAAACAGAAACAATAACATCAATATCAAGAAAAGGGACACCCACCCAAAAACCCCATCCAATGGTCAATAGCATCAAAAATCAAAGGTATATAAATCCACATTACAGCACATTACAGCTGTGGTGGCCATGGGGCAAAACTCCTTCTGCCTGCAAAAAGCAGAGGGAAAAGTAAAGGGAACTTTGTCTTGCACCTTAGGTGCCAGGGTGGTCACAGGGGTGTAGGGCACCAAGCAGCCACTTGGGTTCCCTGATTCCAGGACTTGATTCTTGGATGACACTTATGGACCTGCCCTAGGCCAGAAGGGAGTCCACTGCCATCTAGGGTGAGTCCCAGGCCTCGCAGCATTCACCACAAGCTGATTTTTAAAACCTTGATCCTTAAGGGAACATAGGTGGTAGTCTGTCAGTACTCTCTGTGGCCTGGGGTGGTGGGGTCTATGGGGTGAGGTTCCTCTGTCTTTGAAAAGGGGAAGGAAGAGTGGGAAGGGCTGTGTCTTGTGGTGTGAGTGCCAGCTCAGCCACAAGGTAAACTTCTAAGGTTTTTTACTCTAGTCCCTGACTTCTAGACTGGACTTCTAGACCCACCCAGAGCCTGGGAGACCTTGCCGCCCTGAAGGGAAGAACATAAAATAGCATAAAATCTGAATACTGTATTTGTTTCCAGAAATGTACTTCTATTATTCCTAGATGTGTGTCAGCCAAGAACTTATCTCAGAAACTGCTTATCCTTGCAATAACAAAGGGGAAGTTTCCTCTTTAAAAAGGAACATTGGGCTAAGATGATATACTCTGAAGACGTAAAAATGGCCTGGTGTCTATTACAAATAAATGAAACACCAGAGTATTGAATGTAATATCTTCTGGTGTTTAGGTCTTAATTTCTAATATGAGGTGCTTTTAAAATTTTCAAGCTATGTTTGATGCAGAAAATTAAACTTGACACATTAAAGAATACCAACTCACTTCGGACCTCTTAAGAAACATGTATTCTTCTGTAAGAAGCAACATGTGAATCAAGTTTAAAAGATTATGAACATTTTGGACACTTGCCACTATGTTTGAACAACTTTGAAAGTCAAAAATGACCATACTCAACTAACTACAGTAGTATGCACGTAGGAATTAGATTGTTTTAGTCATTAATTAACCAATAAGTAAAATAATATATTATTTACTTTTACCTTTTATAACATTGTCAGTCACCTTTTTCAAATATCAAGTACTTTATATTTCAAAGTATGTCTTACTTTCTAAATTTATTTTCCTATATATTTAGCAATGCTTAAGGTTGTTTGCGTAATTAAGAACCACATTACATCTCTGTGTGTGAGAGAGACAGTGATATAGCTCAAATTATTCAAAGGTCAAACTTGGACAGAACCAATATTAATGACTTTATCTATCTTATTTATTTTTTACCAAGTATTGAATTTTCTGTTTTATGTTAGCCCTCACTCTGTGGTGAGACATTGTAGCACAGTCATTAAAAACATCAACGCTGGTACTAAACAACCTGGGTTGGAACTGCTGCTCTATAGCTCATTAATTGTGCAATTTGAGAAGTTGACATAATCTTTCTGTGCCTCAAATACTCAATAGTAAAGTGTAGATAACAATGATGCCTATTGTCATATGGTTGTTGTGAAGATTAAACAAATTAGTATAAGTAAAATTGACTCAAAAAAATCTAGTAAGTAGTAGATTTTTAAGTAAGTAGTACATACATATAAAACATAGTAAGTTTTATATGTTGTTAGTTATTATTTTTCCTATTTGTACATTTAAAGTCATATTTAGACATATTAACTATTATTTATAAAATTTAATATTTCAATATCAAAAATTTTAAGATACGAAAAAAATTTCTCTGTCTAGATTATAGATATAGATAATCAGGATGGTTTCATGCAAGAAATAGCATTCTTCCAATGTTGGATTGATTGCTATAGAAAATGGGCCAGGCATAGTGGCTCATGCCTGTAATCTCAGCACTTTGGGAGGCTGAGATGGGTAGATGGCTTAATCCCAGGAATTCGAGACCAGCCTGATCAATACAGGGAAGCCCCGTCTCTATAAAAATTAGCTGGGCGTGGTGGTGTGCGCCTTTAGTCCCAGGTAACCAGGAAGGAGGAGGTAATCTGGTAGGAGGACCACTACCAGATCACTACCTCCCTAGCCCAAGAGGTTGAGGCTGCAGTGAGCTATGATCACACCACTGTACTCCAGCCTGGGCAATAGAATGAAACCCTGTCTCAAAAAAGAAAAGAAAAAAAAAAAGAAAGAATAAAAAATGGCTTTGTCCAGTCTCTTAATTATAGTATGTGAAATATGTAAAATGTATGAACACAACATACATGATTATCCAATCACTCTTTAACAGCGGTACTACTTTTCAGTTATCATAAATTCCACACTTATGTAATATTTGTGGTTGTTTTAAAAGTTGACCCTTAAAAATAAATGCCCAAATGATCGCTGACGGAGCCAGACTCCAGCACATACCCAATTAAGTGAAGTGTTTCCCTAGGTGCTGGGGTAGGAGCAAACATATTTCTCTAGCCCCTGAGAGAGACAAAGGTTTATAGAGTAGGTCCAGATGCTGAACATAAATGAACGCTCAATGCACCATGGCATGATTAGGACAATTCATAGACCAAACCAGCAGCCAGGAGTGGGGCAAAAGCTCAAGTTTGCACAGATAACAAATAATTGACAAAAATCTCATTAAACATTATTGCTTGAAAGACAAAAAAAAAACAACCCATATTGTATTACATAACTTATCCAAAGGCCTGCCAGACATCCTTCAAAGTCCTTGCTTCATTCTTGGAACTGTGACACTGAGAGGACTGAGGCTGAATATTCCAGAAGTCACTGAAGCACATCCAGATGCTCTTCATTGCCACCAGCCGTCCAACTCAGCCAGAAGGCAGCAACATGGGAGTCAGAGAGAGTAGCTCTCCTTATACTGTTCTCTTGCTTTAATGTAGAGCACGTACAAAGAGGTTATATCACACACACACACACACACACACACACACACCCATCTCTACTAGTCTGTCTGTTGAAAGCATTTATAAAGCTGATATTGAATTCACAAATTCCACACTGGCAGCAAATGGGCAGAACTGTGAGTCAATACTCTAGTGGTCCCAGAAGAAATACTGAAATGTCATTTCTTAGGTCTCTTTTCTTCACCAATCATGGCTATTATATTAAATTCCTATTAGTAGCATTGAAACTACTCATACTCCATTATATTACAGCACTGTTAAAGATACTGAAATATATTGAAGTTTTACCTTGACATTGCTGTAGTGTCCAGATGTTAAAAGAATTTTAAATAGAAATGTGTTAATTTGCTGTTATATGTAACTCTCCTACATGTACTTCTAAAAATCACTTTTGTGTCAGCTAATGTGTATGGTTATTTAATGTTGGTTATTTGAGGTTTCATTAAACTGATAATATGTCATAATATTTTTAATTAGAAAAGTAGATCTAAAGCTTGAAATTTTAATCAGAAAAAGAATACAATTCACAGATTTTATTTAATATTTAATATAATTTGGGAGGTTATAATTTTGCATATTAGTGGAATATACAAGTATTCTTAGACAACACTTTATGGATAGAGAATTAATCCTCTACCAACATTATGTTGCTCATATATTAGATGAGGATGTTCTAAATGGTTATATAGTGACTTTTCCCAGGGTACAACTTATGATCAAATATTTTTGGACAAAACTCTTATTTTTACTTTTTTAAAAAGAATAAATACTTCAACTTCTTCCAGAAAAAAAAAATCCAGATCAAGTGGCATGCATGGTACAAAGTGAAAAGGAATGGCTGAAGAGAGCCTCCTAAAAAGAAGCTAACGTCACATTGGCTCTGTCTTTAAAATCACTAAAGGAAACAAACAGCAGACTTTACAAGGAAAAGGAAAACATAAACTGCTTACATAGAATATCTACATTTGGAAGGTGCTGAATGGACAACTGGCTTAGAAAAACATTATATTTCATGAGTATTACCCCTGATGTTCATAATTTCATAGTTAAGCTGTTCCCTCTTTTGATTTTATGCAGACATTTCAAAGTGAAGTGCATTAACTATGTATGCAAATATGTGAATTCTTGTCTGTGTATGTGTGAGAGAGAGAGGCAGAGTGTGTGTATGTATGTGTGTGTAAATATGTACACAAATGCTGTATATTAAAATGTTTTGAACTCTGTTAATTCAGGCACTAGAATGTCAGGCAGAAGAAAAGAAAACTCAATCCACAACTGTTACTCTAGGGTCATGTTTACAGTTTTTCCTTATAGATTAAAACATGCTCTGTGTCTGTACAAAATATATTTTCACATGTAAGACATTACAACAGGAAAAAAGGAGCAGTTATGTAGGCATATTTTGCCAACAGTGGTGTTAGAAAAAAATAAAAACTAAATAATATGGCAGTTGCTAAAAACATTTCTGCAACCTTGCCAAATAAAGTTTAGGAATATGTCATGTCTGCACTTGAACTGTTTGTTCTCAAGCTCTCTTGGAGAATGTAAGCATGGCCAAATGTCACAGCCTCAGGCCCTGGGGACTCTGCTCACACTCTTGTAATGAAAACATGAAAAAACTATGAACAGTCTTCACATGTCCCTCCAAAAATGACACGTTTTAGTTTTGTCTTCAGTGATCCAAAGTATTTGACATAGAAGATAGATAGTAGTTCGTGGAAGTTTTGAAACAATATAATGGAATTCTTCGAAACTTCATAAAGTGCTTTGAGTAAATTGTTGTGTTCATCTTTGCCATATATTGCGATTTTATAAATAGAAGCCAGGAAGCATCACTCAACTTAGTAATGCATTAATCAAAGCTGACATTCAAAATAGGTAAGTCATATTGAGTAGGTTCAATATGCCAGAGATAAATGTAAATTCTAAGAACTTCAAGTACCTTTTTAATATTAACTGCTTAGTTATTTTTCACATAGTCAATAACATTCTAGTCACAAAAGCATTTTGGCTTTGCTTTTTAAAATCTTACATGAAATAAAAATTTAAAATCATGGTAAAAAATGAATTACATTAAACATTCCTAATATATAAATGCCCTCATAATTTCATAGCAATACTTACATTCTTAGAGACTTTGACAAAGAAATCTAGAAACAGATTCAAACTCTCATACCATCTTCCAGATTTTCTCTGCCTCAAATCTTTTAGGTATTCTACATGTTATTTTAGATTGATGCTATTATTAACAAATAATAACCCAGTCTAATATTAGGTAATTTCATATTTGCTATATATTTGAAATATTTGTAATCAATTTGAAAAACAATGCAATAACTTTTATCAGCGATTAATATAACAGACAAATTTATGTTTTTAAGAATATAATATGATTGAGCTTTTAGCAAATCAAATGACTCACCTAATAATTTTTAGGGGCCTTACAACACAAATTATTTTCAACAACAGGTCCCTGAGTATAAAGATAATAACCACTGCAAGATCTAGAATGTTATTTTCATTATAACATGTAATGAGAGGGAAGATATATACCTGGCTTTTCTGATTGTCATAGATACTGATTTTAAGAACATTCAGATCCCAGTCATTTGTACATAATAGTGAAGGAAAGAACAAGGACAATTTATATGAGCCTCCTGCCTCCTCCCTCCTCCACAGCCTGTTCTCCTTACTTTTTTCTTTCTCTCATTATCTATGTTGGTCATACTGAACTGCTGGCCTAAATATTTCATATCTCCCTTGACTCCAGTTGCTTTTATCTTGGCTTGTAATTTTTTTCTCCCTTTATTGTTTATATAATACATTTTTTCCCCAATAGTCAAATATTATATACAACTTGTCCTGAACTCACCACATGACCTTTCTCCCTTCCCATCCCAGCACGTTGAGCTAACTTTTCCCTCTTTGGTCATACAACAACTTGAGCAAAGGAATAAACACTTCGTTTCATGTATGTTGGTTTGCATGTCTGTTTACCTACCAGACTGTTGGCTCCTTGAGGACAAGGGCATTTCATTCCTGTATACCAGGAGCATTGGGCAGTATATGGCACATGATAGGTACTCAGTTGACTGAATGGAAGTTCTTTCAATAATTGAAGGAAATTTCTTGGACTACTGTCTTGGATAACAACAATTTGACAGAACTACTTTTAGGGCAACGACCATATTGCTCTCATGTTACTATCATGTTTTCTTAGAAGTTCAGGAGAGTTGATCTATTATTATTTTTTTCCATTAACATTTGCTTCTTAACTGGAACCCATATTGTCTTTTTTTCTCATTGTTAAAAAAAAAGTCAAAAGAATTTTGTCTTACTGCTAACCTATCTGCTCTTTCCCCTAACAAAATGGCATTTTCTAATCAACCTTAATCCAATATATTTCTTCCTCCTCTTCTTCCTCCTTGTTTTTCTTTCTCTTTCCAACCAGTAAAGTTTCCTTGTGTGCTAGAATACGTTCCATTTTCCCTTACACACGCACTCTCTACTTTGCTCTGCTCTGTCCCCAAAAGGGTCTCCATTATGAAGTTTGTCCATCACCAACTCAAATAACATCCCCAAAAAGGAGACTTATTCTAAAGTGAAGGAAACAACAATGGGTTCATAGCCATAAATATTACTGGTCTTACCACATGCTCCAAAACCCAAAAGGTGCTGGCTTGATATAACAATGTTATGGCCAACTAAGAACTAAATTAACTCATGAAATGGAGAGCAGTCTGGTTGAAATTTTGTCCTACAGGATGTTATATGACTTAAACTAGCTCTTATTATATGGAGCCATCACTCCCATTACCAGAATTTATAGGAAAAGCCACCAAAATATGAGTCTGAGGGCCATTCTACTATCACCAAAATAACTCACTAAAAAAAAATATTTACTTCCAGTCCCCAAAACCTTTGGTTAAATGGGTTTGGAGTCATAGTCCTTAAGAAAGAAATACTTCCACCAGAGAACACAGTCATAGTCTGTTTATTTTCAAGCTGAGACTTCGTCTTGGCTAGTCAGGGCTCCCCATATGATTGAACCCACAAAAAGAGAAGGAGGTTACTCATTGACTGAAGTGACTGATTCCAATTCCCAAGATGAACCTGGGTTTCTGCTACACAATTGGGACAAAAAGGCCTATGCATGGAGCCCAGGGGATGTACTGGGGTACTTCTCAGTACCTTCTTGCCTAAGGGTCTTGGTCAGCTATAGAAATACAGTAAAGATAGGGACCACCATGGACCCAGATCATTCAGGATCACTCCAGCAAGTAAAGAGTTCCATTCATCTGAGCTGCTGGCAGAAGTAAAATAACACAGACTGAGTAGTGGAGAAAGGAAGCTATAATTATCAAATTTAGGCCTCATAACTAGCATCAGAAATAGGACCACAGTGGGAAAATGTTATTGTAATTATTTTTCACTTTCCCTTTTCCTCACTTTCCGACCTTATCTGAGAACACTGGTGCTGCCTTCTGTTTTAAGCTTCAGATGAACAGATCATTGCATTGCTAGCAACACAGCTGCTGGGAATGTATGTTTGGCACATAACACTCCATCTGGACAAAATACAAGAGTACAGAAGGTGAGTTCTGCTTGATACTTCCCATTTGACCCTCCTGATCTGCTCTCCATCTTCCTCTACCCTGCCCTGTGTTCCTACAGGATAACCAGTGTAAAAGACATCAGTGAGCTCTCTTGCCCTTTGACTCCCAGTGGGGTTCAGTTAATGGGAGTCATCAGAAGGTCAGAGGAAGGGAAAAGAGTGGGATGAATATTTATTTCCCCTTTTCCTTCCTGTGGGTTGATTTCATGCACCTACCAAAGGCCACAGCTCCTACAAGACAAACTTTTCATCCATTATCTGTTGGTTTCTAATAACCATTCTTTTTTCTTATCACTTTAATGCCTTTTAAGGCCTTGGGGTATAATACTTCCCCATTTTTACCAGGCCCAATGGGATTACTCTATCTTACATTGATTTCCCTGTACTTGGTCCAAACGTTTGGAAGTAATCACTATTTATTAAACTTTCTTCAGTTACCATCTCTTTCTGCCAAAAAAAAACCTGTCTGATACACAGACGTCAACATCTGCAAATTGTGTCCATAACTAAATGATAATTATCAAATATTACTTTTCCTTTTATAATATATCATACAAAACAATCATTTTTCAATATACTATTAAAATGAGTACAAAGGCATATTACCAAAAAAAGTAAATAGATCCATGAAAGTGCTAAAAGTTGAAAAGAGTTTCTGCCATGAGAAGGTAAGAAATGTTGACTTTAGAAAATATTAAGGGTGTAGGGTTGTACGGAAGGATAACCTAGATCAAAGGAACCACATCTTAATATATGCATGGATGAGGGTTGCAGGTGATTGAAACTTTTCTCAGTGATAAAAATAAAATAAAATAAAATAATGGCTTTAAATGTGGAGTTTTTAGTTACAGAGATCAGGAAAGAGCTTGAGATGACCGTGATAGAACTTAAGTAAAGATTCATTTACAAAGCTTCTAAGTCATTCAGCCTCTACCCCCTCCTCAGCATGTGCAGGGCAGCTGAGCATAGATGCTTCTCCAGCTGAAGAGCTCACCTTTAATCTGAGCAGAAGATTTTTCTGAATGTCTTACAGTGGCAGCTGTAGTCAGTGAGAGGAGTAGAAAACAGAAGAGGATGGCTCTGAATCTCCTCAATGGAGCTAGTTATTGAGGACAGAAAAGGAAAAGCAGCTCTACCTGAAACAAAATTAATCAAAGTACACCACCCCTGAACTAAGTCCTCCACCCTATGGTATTTCTAGCCTGCAAGTTCTATAGCCTCATAATCTAAAGGTAAACTTGCCTGACAACTGGAATGGCTCACAATCAGGCCTCTGATCACCCAGGAGGGAGCCTTTAGGGCAACAGACCTACAAAACTGCAAAGCAAACCCTGCTAGCAAAGGGATCAATCAGCATAGAAGCTAATTCACAGATATGAGTGATACATTAGCTTCAACAGTTATAAAATGTCAACAGAGATAATGAAAAAATTGGAATAATGTGTTTAATCCATGGTAGTAAACTCAGATTTAGCACATATTGCATCTCTAACATAAAAACAGGCTGACATATAAAAGAACAATAAAAGAACATAAAATAATTATTGGAAATGAAAAGTATGAGTGCTAACATTAATTTTAAAAGAATCAAAAGGAATACTTAATAAAGTGGGTAGTCCTTGATTAATAATTTGGATGATAAAGACAAGGAAATATTCCAGAATAGAAAATTTAAAACACTAAGATATTGAAAATGTTAGGAAATTAAATGCCATTGATAAGAAAGTATAACATATACCTACTGGAGAACCAGAAGAAAGAAAAGAGACAAATGGTGAGTATAAATAATTACAGAAATAATAGAAAACAAGTCTATAAGAAGAATATTTAAATTGAAGGACACCATGGATTATCGGAAAAATGAAAGCCAGAGAGATAATTCTGAAGTTTCAGAATTCAAAACACCAAAAGAAAATAATAAAATACGTTGCAAGAGAAAAAAAACACAGAGAAAAGAGAATCAGATTGGCATCAGACTTTTCATTAGTACCACTGCATGTCAGGAAGAACAAAAAACAGATTTAATCTAGAATTCTAGATTAAATTTTTAAAGATTTAAAAAGAAAATATTTTAGGCTGCAAAGCTCTAGTGTCCACAAGTATCTTTTGAATATATATATATATACACACACACAAACATACATACACATACATATAATCTAGGTAAACAAGAAGTTGGACAATGAGAGAATGATCCAAGTGAAGAGTAATGTGAAAAGAAATCACAAGGTGATTTGAACAGTAGGTAATATAGCACCAAAAATTCTTCAGGAAGAAAATAGGTCTCATTCCCTAAATTGTTTGATTAAGTCACCTCTTAATGATAATTTAAAGATACATATATATAACTTCTTAAACAATAAAGGCAAACAAAAGATCCAAGTAAAAAAACCAATTGTTCAAGAATGACAGAGTCCAAATATAAAGAAACTTTACTTAAATTATTCTGAAAAATAGAGGAGGAAGGAATACTTCCAAACACATTATATGAAGCCAGGATTATCCTGACACCAATACCAGAAAAGACACATCAAAAAAAGAAAATTACAGGCCAATATCTCTGGTGAATATTGATGCAAATATCCTCAACAAAATACTAGCAAGGCAAATTCAACAACACACTAAAAAGGTCATTCATCATGACCAAGTGGGATAAATCCCTGGGATGCACAGATGGTTGAATATACACAAATCAATCTGTGTGATACATCATACTGACAGAATGAAGGACAAAAGCCATATGATCATTCAACTGATGCTGAAAAAGTATTTGATAAAATTCTACATATTTTTATGATAAAAACTCTCAAAAAAGTGGGTATGGAAGAAATATATCTCACATAATAAATGCCATACACAACAGACTCATAACTCGTATCATATAGAATGAGGGAAAAACTGAAAGCTTTAGCTAAGATCTGGAACAAGACAAGGATGCCCAATGTCACTATTGTTACTCAACATAGTACTGCAAGTTCTAGCTAGAGTACTCAGACAAGAGAAAGAAACAAAGGGCATCCAAATAGAAAAGGAACAAGTCAAATTTTCCCTGTTTGCAGATGATGCGATCTTATATTTGAAAAAACCTAAACACTCCACCAAAAACCTATCCCACTGCTAGGTGTGTACCCAAAAGAAAGAAAATCAATATATCCAAGAGACATATGCACTCATGTTTATTGCAACATCATTCACAAGAGCCAAGATTTGGAAGCAACCTAAGTGTCCATCAACAGATGAATGGTTAAAGAAAATGTGGTACATATACACAGTTGAGTACTATTCAGCCATAAAGAGAATGAGATCCCATCATTTGCAACAACATGGATAGAATTGAAGGTCATTATGTTAAGTGAAATAAGCCAGGTACAGAAAAACAAACTTCACATGTTCTCACTTATTTACAGAAGCTAAAATTAAAACAATTGAACTCATGGAGATAGGGAGTAGAAGGATGGTTACCAAAGGCTGGGAAGGTTAGCAGGAGGGTAGGGAGAAGCAGAGATGGTTAATGTGCACACACACAAAAAATAGGAAAAATGAATAAGGCCTAGTATTTGCTAGCACAACAGAGTGACTATAGTAAAAAATAATGTAATTATACATTTATAAATAACTAAAATAGCATAATTGGATTGTTTGAAACACAAAGGATGAATGCCTGAAGTGATAGAGACCTAATTTACCCTGATGTAATTATTACGTATTACATGACTGTACCAAAACTTCTAACATACCCCATAAATAGATATGCCTATTATGTGCCCACAAAAATTAAAAATTAAAAAAGAAATATGAAGACACTGTTTTGAGCAACTGAATTAAAAAGAAAAAATAATTCATTTGCCATTGAATGAACTTAGCACAAATTGTGAGCCCAAAACAATACTAGAATGTTTTATATATGTTAAATAATTTAATTCTCATAATAGTCTTGAAGTAAATATTTATGATGTGATAGTAAATGTACAGACAATGAAACTGATGCTCTAGACATTTAAATTTCCTTCCCAAGGCCTTCCAGATAATAGTGAAGGGAATGGGGTCCAGTGCCCAAAGACAAAATGGGCTCATTGTTTAATGTTAAGATTCCCAACACTAATTTTTTTTCTACATTTTCAACTTTTGTTTTAGATACAGTGGCCACATGTGCATATTTGTTACATGGGAGCATTGTGTAATGCTGAAGTTTGGAATATGGAATCCATCACCATGATAGTAAGCATAGTACCTGATAGATAATTTCTTAACCCACACCCCCTCCCTACACCCTCTAGTAGTCCACAGTGTCTATTGGTCCCAGATTTATGTCCATTCTGATACTAAATTTAAATTTAATTTGAATAACCATTTGTCAGGATATTTAAAGCATTCCTTATCAAGGGAAAAGTTAGATTCAAACATTAATTTTTACTCATTTAATTATTCAACAAGTATTAATTGTGTTGATATCATGGGCCAGACAATATATTCATAACACAAAGAAAAATAAAACATCTCAGCCTTCAAGAAGCACATAAATTAGTAGATTATTAATCCAAGATAGATGCATGCTTAAAATAAAGTTCTTTATCATTAGGCTCTTATCCCTGCTCATTACTGCCTTAGAGATTTTTGAGCCTTTGATCATGGTATCCCCACATTAGCCTTCCAGATAATTCCATGAGAATACCTACAGCCCAAAGATGTTTTACACAAAGGAAAAAATAGTTTGAATCCTTCAACATGAATCATTATGGTTTAGATTATTGAAGTTTTCAATGCTTTATAATACCACTTCCAGATCTTTCTTATTCCATATAACACTTGTGAATAGGTACACTAAGAAGAGGCAACGGGCTCACAGGACTGAAGAAAGTCAGAAGAACGTGAAGATGGGAAAAGAAAGATGTTCTTGTAAGTTACATGCTCAGCTATGATCTAATAGAAGAAGAAGAAATTAAAATAATTGTTTGTTGTGATATTTGAAAACTCAGCCGGTAACCCACCATGGGGATTTCACCACATTGTCTTCGGGAATACCTGAAGTTCCTGGTTCTGTAATACATTATTGAGGCATTTAAAAATTAAGGGAAATTGCATGACTCAATCTTTTCCAATAATGTTAGTTGGTGTAAAAAATAACATAGATTTTATTGTGGACACAAAAATTCCCAGAAGTGACATGCTTGCAAATAGTTACACTTTCAGTCAATTGATTTCTTTGAATTGTAGGATTTAAAGGACTCAGTAAGCATGAACAGGAAAAACAGGTAAGTCAGTAAAATATTAACCACTGTGTTAGACTGGGAATGACAATTTTCAACAATGTTTTATGCTTCGTTAGTCAGTTAAATTCTCTATCAACATAGGCTTAGCAACCAGTTGAAAACCATGATCACATTCTGGAAATTCAGATTATGAATACTAAAGATACAGTCTCTTTTGTCATAATAGGCGACAGGTATTCCTTAAAAAGAGTAAATATAACATAGAAAAATACAAGTCCACATAAATAATAGAGAATTTATGGTTTAATTTTCTAAAGAAACCATTTCTTAATTGAGTTGGTTGTTATTTTTGTTTTTGTTTACTGTAAAGTTTATTCTTTCATGATTTAGTTGCTTTATATAAATGACTAGAAAAAAATGGAATGATCAGTCTTTTGAGAATTAGTGTATCATCATGTACATATTTGCCCTCTAACTTATAAAGAATTTTATGTGAAAAGGCAAGTATTTGTGTACCTAAAGCATGTGATAATCTTGGCTCACTAAGTTGCCATTAAAAAGAGCAATTTAATATTTCCTAAACCAAATATTTCTTATGCATCATCTCATTGAAATCTATAAGCTAGGTATTATTATTATTCTTCTTTTATTCTTACATTGGCAAATAAGAATCTGAGGGTTCAAAGACCCTTTACCTTGTCAAGTCCACACAACTAGCAAAAGATGAATCAGCACTCCATCTCAGGCAGTCAGAATTCAGAACTGAAGCTTTAAAATATCATGTATTATTGAGATATGTTCTCAAGCCACACAAAACAGTGGTAACTGTGATGTAAAAAACCATCTGCATAGAAGTATGTTCTACTAAAAAATTCAGATGCACACACATGCATAAACAGAGTTATATATATCCATATATACACATGCATGCATACATACATATACATATAGGAAAAAAGGCTAAGACCAAAATAGTAATCACTGTTATAACTAGATGGTGGGATTATAGGTAACCCCTTCTATTTTGTTTTCTATGCTTTTCTATAGGTTTTCAACTTTCTACAAAAAAATACTTAGTTTTATTAACTAGCTCAGATTAATTGAAATCATTATCAATTTTTTCTTATAATGCTAATAAACTTTGGATATAATCTATGACATCAATATATGATTATAATAATACATGAAAAGGTTTTATCTTCAATCTAGTAACTCTAAGTTTAATAACTTTGTTTTGAAGTTATGGGGGTTATTAAGAAATATTCTGGTCTGAAAACATTGCCGCCACCTATAACTTGAGTACTCATTCTAGGGAATAAATATTATTCAACTACAACTTTTGCTAATATTTTATTCGATTTCAAACAGGCATTCTTGAATTGTATTCTGTTTTCTTGAGATTTAGATAAGATAAAATATTTCACCACCACTTCACAGGATAAACACAATAAATATCAGCTAAGTATAGCCCATATACATCTGAAAAGGAATATCAAAAGTATCCAGTATTTATTTTTGAAAAATTACATTTTTATTTTTCCCTTCACATTTTTTCAGTTGAATAGGAACTCTCTTAATGGAATTCTGTTTAACCATTTGCTCACTCCTCTCTATTCCCCCATCACACTTCCTGTGCTGGTTTGCTTGCAGACTGCTCCCCTCCTCATTTTAGTGGTAGCTCCCAAGTCAATTGTTTTTCCTACATTTGTCATTCTCTTCAAAGCTGTTATCATAATCATATACATTAATTTACATATGAACAGATTAAATATAATTGTGAAAATTTGTCATTTCAATGGAAAAAAGATTAAATAATTTGGGAAAACAAATATAAAACAAAATAAAAATGAATTTCTAAAAGAATTGATTTTAATTTTAGATGTGGAAAGAAGACAAGTGCAAAAGTTAGAGAAAAAATTAAAACCTAGAAAAAAATCTGTGCTTAAATTTCTGGGCAATATACCTAAATTCTTATTCTACTTTTAAAAAATGTCAATCAATGTCTTCTATAGACATAACATTACTATAATGAAGATAACATATTTTAAATATACTTTAAATATGTGACCTAAAATAACCAGTATTGTATTCAAATACTTGGTATTCTATATGTGGAATCAGCTCCCTTAAACTTATTTTTTTTATACTTGGTATTCTATATGTGTGTAATCAGCTCCCTTAAACCTATTTTTTTCTGGAAGCATGCTTATTTTAAAGCACTAATTTTTGTTTATATCACAAAAATAAATGTATCATATGACATGTATGTAATTACAGTAAAATGGATATGAAATTAATATGATGTGATGAAATTCAACTCAATTAAAATAACAAATTTAAATATACCAAACATGACTGAATTATTTATACAATGCTAATTACATCTGTTTTACAAATTTGATTTTACATTTTACTTCCAAATCCATCATAAGTTTTACAACTTAATAAACACTAAAAAGAATTCCTACACAGGTAATTTTGAGAAATCACAAAATATCATGAAAGAAGTCTTGTAAATTTATACATCAATGAGCATTTCAAAATGTATTAAATTTAAATGAACACTTGCCCATTTGGATTTAAAAGAGATATCCAATCCACATGAGTTCAACATATCAGTGACAGTTTTAAGGAAAATTAACTCGAATTCAGTATGATTTTCAACAATTTAAGAACAGTTAAAACTTTCAAAAAACATGTAAATACATCCATTATCAAACTAATTGACTTGCCACCATTCACGGCATTTTAACAACTAAACTGTTCGATAAAGATTGCCATGCACTATGATTGGTTGTCACATCAAATTCTAAACACTCGATTCAGAAAGAATCTCTGGGTTTTGTTTTTGAGAATATCTTTGAAACGAAACAGTCACCACACATATTAGTGATTCTCAGAAAGTTATTTGTACTATGCGATTCAATTTTATACTTCTTTAAGTGGTATTTCCCAAAGTGAAAGTCACTCTGCAGTACATGTTGTCTAGATCAACATTGAGAAAAAATGAATATACCTCTTTTTTTTCATATCCCCAATCCACTCTCCCTGAAAATAAACTTAAGAGTAAGCAGATATATTCAGTGCTATGGGGGAAAATATTGTAGGTAGGTTAGTTACACGTAAGAACTACTGCTACAAATAGTGAGATGGACATAAATGCCTTTCCTGTTTTATTTCAGATGGATATTGGAAGATTAGAATGAGAAAAAAATAGATAAAAGACTGTTGAAAAAAATACGTAGTCTACGTATAGTTAAGAAAGAAGAGATCAAAACAAAAGAGCATGTCTCAACAGATGCTGGAAGAAAGTGCTAAACAGGAAAGAGCTGTGGCCCATATGGTAGGCTACATTCGCACTGTAAAACGAAAAGTTCTTCACATGGAGTATGTGTGCTTTGAGATGCCAAAGAGTGCATTAAGATATCTTGGCTCTAATTGGGGCCTCTGTAAATGTCAGTACATTTATCATGTTGTTTAGGCACCACACTATTTAAAACCACAGCAAAGGATTATCTCCTTTTGGGTTGGTGTTTGGGGTCAAAAGCTCCTCAAAATTGTTTCAAGATTCAGGTTACTCTTTATTTTACTCAGTCTTAATCAGCATATGAGACTCTCTGGTCTCTTTCACAAAAGAATAATTTAAAGTACTTAATTAATGATTTATTAAATGTAAAGTCACTAAGTTTATTGATGATCCTATCATTAAAGAATAATGTGGGTAAAAGGGCAATGCATATAATGAAATTAGGCTTCAAGAAAGAATAAAAAATGAACTACCTTTTAAAGAAAATCCAATAGTTTATGAGAAGCATGACAAAATAAATAAGTAAAGGTACGGTGATAAGAACCAAATGGAAAAGAGAAGTCCATGTGCATTTGCCAATTTTATAGGAAAGTCGCCAACTGTAAATGCAACAAGGGATCTGAATGAAAGGCTTCCACACTACTTATTCCAGTTGCAGTACGTTATGGCTGTGGTTATTAGACAACTCTTCATGTTGGTACAATTGAAGTTTCCATTGGGCATTTAAGTCATTGCTGAAGTCATAAAAATTAAAAACAATCAAAATGAGTTATCATTATATATCAATGACAATTCCTATTTAATGAATGAAATGTAATTTTCGTCTGCTTTCTAGGTTCCAGGCTGGTCTACAAGGCCAACTATAAGGAAGGTGTGTGATTTCATCTGAATACAAAAATTAAAGTAATAACATGAGGAAAATCTCTCTTGGCTATCCGTGATTACATTTTCTCTTCTAAAAATAAAGCCGATGTTAACTGACTTGTCAATTATCCTGAACATTTCTGAGTAAAATTTCAAGCAAATTAAAATGTTTCTCAAAGTTTATTCTACATTCAGTAAAGCAGATACCACAAGTTACTAAAGTAATTAAGAAAATTGTAATTTATTTGTGTGGCAAGACCTTACACATACAACCATCTGATCAAAATCATCTAAGATATATGATAAAAAATGAAATTCCGATAGTGAAAATAACCATGGTGAAATATGGAAGTATTATCACGTCATCCATTTTCATGCAGATGGGAAGCTAAATCATAGGGTAACGAGCAAATCAAAATCAGAAATAAATAAAGAGGAAAGAAGGCAAAGTGTTTAGTTACGAAGAGATATGTGTGAACATCGCCACATTGTCAGTTTATGGTGACGTGAACACATCTCAATTCTAAATTTGTATTTTTTTTTCTTTTTTTCATAAGAAACTCCACAGACTGCTTTTAGAAGATTTGGCAAAAGTAGACACTCAATAAATATTTGTTGAATGAAATGAATTTTTACTAGCAAACAATATATACTCATTGGGGAATGTTGCATGCAGACTTTCACTGTAGCAAATGATACATACTGAGCTAAGTAAGCCTTTTCTGGAAAACTTAGCTTTGTCTCAATTAATTTGCCATAGTACTGGCCCAATCATACATCAAAGCCTCTCACATGTGGCATTTTGCTTCCTCTTCCAGAGGGTCATTCTGATCAATATTGCTGAAAATAGCTTATTTCGTTGTGTATTTCAGTTCTAGAGTTGTCAGATAAAATACAAAAAAAAACTAGTTAAATTTGTATATGAGTTAAACAACAATACTTTTTCAGTATGTCTCATGCAATACTCAGGATACCAGTCAGTAGTTGGAACTTTTTACTGAAAAATTATTCATTATTAATCTTAAATCCCAATTTAACTAGGTGTCCTGTGTTTTTATTTGTTAAGTCTGGTAACCTTATTCAAGTCAGTATGCAGGCTGTGCCTATAAACTTCACTGAAACTGACAGCATCATGAAACATTTACTGGCTCTGTCTTCTGGGGAAGAAAGTCTAGTCAGTGGAGTATTGTGACTGGTTCCACTCTTCTCACGCACTGTAAACATGTTTAAAATGCATTCCTTTTTTTAAATAATATTAATGTAAAGCTAAAGATGTTTAGAAAAAAACAACGGGTTTCATAGTGTCTGTCTTTTGCTGTCAAATCATCTCAGTGTGTGGCAAATGGATGACCTTTCAAATGTCTTAGAGAGACATAAACCATGTTTTTCATCTCAAGATCAGACTGAGAAAAAGGGGGAAAATGTGTTAACTCCATGTGTGAAAAAGAAGAGAGATGGGAGTGGAACTTAATTACATAAACTTGTCATAGAATTAATTCATCATACTCAGTACATAGAGATATTTTTCACAATTTCAGAACATTCTGGAGTGTAACTAATTGAAACATGACTCATTGATGAGCAGTAATTCCAGTCATTCCGGCCACTGCATGAGATATTGTTGAAAGCAAGTGTACAGCCAGAAAATGATTATTCATATACTATCAATGGAGTTGTAGCTCACTTAGCAATTAAGAGTCATTTTTACTTCCCAATCTATAAGCGTTTCTAACGCATCTTTGAAGGTTTTCTGTAAAACTTCCCATAGAAATATATGAGGAGGAGGTATTTTTCTGTTTCGAATTTTATTTTTGTAGCATACACTGTTCTCAATCCATTGCCTCCACATTAAAAACACAATTCAAATGCTTGAAACAATACTCTGCACTTATTATGCATACATTTTTACCATATAGTGGCTCCTTATTATGATTTTGACTTTGCCTATAATGGACTGAACTTATTTTCCCAGAGGAGAAGATAGCAAGGAAAAGAAATTTTTTTTAAATTAAAAACTCCAAATTATCCCCCTCGTCTTGCATGTTTGTTCCATCCTTATTATGGATATGGGACAGAATTATCACTTTCTGGAATGTTTTCACTTAGTGGAGTATTGTGCTGTGGACACCCTGACATATTTCAGGGCGTGTTTTGAGCCTCTTTTGCCTCCTCCTTTCAGCACGCTATGCAGATGTGCCGCTGATGGCATTTCGTGACTAACTTTCAAGTCTACATTTGGTCTTACACTGTGAAAAAAAATACATTGTTTTATTAGCTTTGATTTTTAAATAGCAATAATGAAGTTATAATTTCACCTATGCATTTAAGGTATATTTCATCCAGAGCATATAATCACTTAGTAGTGTTAACCAAAATGAATGTTAAAGTGCTTTAGAAATCTATGCAATTCAAATAAATGCTAAATCTACCTTCAATGGGGCTAAACTCACAGGCCCATAACAACTACTTATATAGCACTTACGTTGTATTAGTTATTACAAGTAATCTAGGGATGATTGAAAGCATATGAGAAAATATACATAGGTTATATGTAAATACTATGCCTTTTTAAATTATTTATTTGTTTGTTTGTTTGTTTGTTTATTTTTTGAGACAGAGTCTTGCTCTATTGCCCAGGCTGGAGTGCAGTGGCATGGTCTTAGTTCACCCCAACATCTGCCTCCTGGGTTCAAGTGATTCTCCCGCCTCACCCTCCTGAGTAGTTGGGATTATAGGTGTGCGCCACCACACCCATACTATGCCATTTTATATAAAGGACTTGAGCATTCACAGATTTTGGTATCTGTGGGGGTCCTGGATCAATCCCCCATGAATGCCAAAGAACAACTATATATACTATGTTCGAGGGCCATTTGTAGATATTCAAGATGCATAAGCAAATAAAGACAGGAATTTCTATTTTCATAAAGCTTCAGGTCTAAAAGCCACATATGTGAAATCAAACCAAAGGAACACAGTTAACTTCCCCACTAGAAAGTCAACCTTTGGAAGATGATTTTTTTCCTCTACCTCCAAGAATAGGGTATAAAACAAAGGAAGGACTCTATGTACACTTGTTGAATTAATCTGCATATCAAGACAGAATGTAATGCAAATACAAATCTCTATTCTGTCTGGGTCTTATACATCATACCTATAAAAAGTTGATCACTAAAATGCCTTCTGCCAAACACTCTGAAATACTATTGTCATATTTCTGATTACCACTCTGAAATACTATTGTCATATTTCTGATTACCCCTTATTCTTGAATATATATAAACACACACACACACACACACACAAAAGTAGTTTCATTCTGCAAGAATATTAGACAACACAAAATGTATGTGTCAAGGTGAGACAAATAGAGGCAAGGTATCAGGGCTGCTTAACACCTAACATGACACTTAGATTGTTTCTTTAATGTAAGATATAAGCAGACCTTTCACATAATGTGGTAACAGCAGAATTAGCTTAGTAGTAATCACCATTCCTGGAAAGATAACTCAGAACAAATAACTGAAAAATTCATCATCTTTTATGAGAGAGGACATCATTTTAGAGCTAGGATAAATATGGATATTGACTAGAGAAAAGATAAAACAAGTGTGGTAACTTTGTGCAGAACCTATTCATATCAGGAAGAGAGTGGATATTTTTGTGAGCCTAAACATATTTTTGGACCCAAAAGCAGAATTCATCTAAACAAAAACCATTGTCATGGCTGGTTCCATATAACAAGTGTAATATGTCCTGGAAAGTAGCCTATGGTAAGAGTGGTTGCCTGATCCAGTTACTGTGAACATTATTCGGTGAAAAGTTCTGCCTAACAAATGCATTCACCAGTCCTGCTATGGAGGAACAGGTCTCTAAAACAAAGACATTGTTTCATATTATCATTCTTGGATTGGTGTATCTGAATATAATATAAGCTATTCTTAAACAGGCTTTTAAAAAATATTGAGTTGAGATTTGGGGAGTTGAGGTTTGAAGAGAATGAAGGTCTAAGGCACTCATAACAGTGGAAATAACTTCCTTTAGGGACTAAAAGTCTAATGTTTGTAACAAAAAAGATATTTGGTGGTAAAACTAGAATAATAAAGATATAATATAATATAATATAATATAATATAATATAATATAATATAATATAATATAAAACTGAAACTGCACATTTTAGCAATCCTAAACAAATTTTTAAAACCATATGGGTCTATATGAAATGTTTAATGTAGGTCCTTACTAAAATTATATTTATATGTGAGGAAGTAATTTTGATGCTTTCATCAAATTCGAAGCTGCCCGTATACACAGAGCTCTTATTAGCAATGCAAAGAGTATGAAGACATGTAAAGAAACATGCACTTTCAGTAATACAGGATGGAAACCGAGAAGCACTGTTAATAATGAGTATGAGGGAGGAAGTTGATCCAAATTTCAGAGGCTTTGGAACTGCATAGGAATGAGTTTTCAGGTTATTAGTTTCATTGCTCACTAACTAGACAGCCTTGAGAGCTTAATAATTAACCAGAGTCTATTTATAGTATTTTTAAAACATGGTCATTCCTAGGAGTTCTGGGCTGTTTATCATACTGCTCTGAGTTGACAAGGTCATGCAGAATTTTCGTGTGAAGAGAGACTGTAACCTCAAGGTCCAAATTCCCTAGGCTGTGTTGGAGGTACACTGGTATGAGAAAGTGATAACAGAGCAGGCTGGGCTTTTTATCTTCCCCAGATCCTCTGGAACATCTCTTTGAAGGCCTTTTTACCTAGGTGCAATTTTGTCCCCCTTCCATTAAAGATTACTCAATTATCTCAATAGCTTCTACTAGGGATAAGTGAATTTACCTCAGCCTTCTAAAAGGAAACCAGACTCCTACAAGTTGCTAAAATACACTTGCTAACCCATGACCAGGTCACAAATAAACTTGCTTATAAAATTTATGTGGATTCTTCGCTTCACGTGTCGCTCCTCTACTCCACTTTGAGCCTTCTTCTACTAACGTGTTTTCTTTTTTTAATAATGAACATCTGTGACAGCATCTTTGCCAAAATAAATAAAATTAAGAAGATGATTCTGTGGGTTATGCTAAACAATTTTTTAAACAGGTTCAGATTTCTTCTGAACGGAGTACGAAATAAATGTCTCCATATGCTGGTTCCTGTTTATTATTGTGTGTGAGAGAGAGAAAGGCAAAGCTAAGAGAGAGAGTTAGAAAGACAGACCATAATTATAGAGTCATTAAAAGTTACTTAACACAGTTTTATAAGTGACTTCTTAATTAAGAAATGTTTTCAATACAAAGCAGTCCTGCTTTCTCATTCAATAAGTTTTGATGTATATTTTCCAAAATGTTTTTATTTCTGTCATTAAGAGGAAAGCCAGTCCATTTTGGTGTTGGACTTGCTGGAAGTGTTGTGGCCATCAATGTTATCAGTTTTGCTCCTGGCTAAAGTAAAATCCTGTTCTTCCTCTGCTGTGCTTCTTTTCTGGCTTTACATGCACAAAACAGACTGTACAAACACGTCAGGAAAGGACAACAAAAGGCTAACTCTTTCCATTGCATCACAGATTTGAGACAATGAAGACAAATGTTGATTAATCCACGATGCTTCAGAACTATTTTGTCTGATAATAATATTTACACCAGCCTTCTTCGCTTCCTTTTTTTCAAGATGTATCTTTTCTTTCTTTCTTTACCTTCAAACTATCTACTTCCTTTGGTTTTAGATTTGTTTGTCATTAGCAGGACAAAGTTACAGTTTTATTCTATTTGCTAGCCTAATCTGCAAATCTTTGTCTCTAACAGGAGCATTTATTAAATTTTCCTTTAATGTTAATACTCCTTTATCTAGGCCTGAGTCCCTGCTCCTAATTGGTGACTTCTCTATCTTTGGCTGGTCCTGTTTATCTTTCTCTCCTTTTTTCCTTTCCCTTGGTTAATTTTTATTTTATTTTTTATCCTCTTCTACTGGATCTCTTTCCTGCTTCTGATTTCTATATTACTGTTGTAAATTTTAATTCAATCTTTTTTAACTATATGACATTTTATTATTGTTTTATAAATGAATATCTGTTTTGATTAGTGATTCTTACATTTAGATAAGGAATTCTCAAAACTGACCCCAAGGAATATTTGGCAAAACACAGTGACATTACTGACTGCCACAATTGGGAGCTAAGGGTAAAAGGTGATACTGGAATCTAGCGGGAGAGGAAAAGAATACTGCTAAATGACTTGCAATAAACAGGACAGCTCCTGTATTAGTCTGTTTTCACACTGCTAAAAAGAACTGCTGGAGACTGCGTAATTTATAAAGAAAAGAGGTTTAACTGACTCACAGTTCCTTATGCATGGGGATGCCTCAGGAAACTAACAATCATGATGGAAGAGGAAGCAGGCATATCTTACACAGCAGCAGGAGAGAAAGAGAGTGAGCAGGAGAAATTACCATTTATAAAATCATCAGCCCTCATGAGAACTCACTATCACAAGAACAGCATGGGGGAAACTGTCATCAAGATCCATTCACCTCCCACGAGGTATCTTGTTAGATACATGGGGATTACAGTTCGAGATGAGATTTGGGTGGGGACACAGAGCCGAACTATATCACCTCCCTACAGCAGAGAGTTCCTGGCTCAAAATGTCAATCACACTGATCTTGAGAAACTCTGGTTTCAGTTTAGCCATATTTGCCACTTTCTTTGCATTTCATTTTTCTTGCTTCCCATACTTTACGTCTGAGCTCACTGTCCCTCTACATGAATCAAGGGTATATTCTCAACAAACTCAGTTTTTGTTGTTGTTCTCTCTCTCTCTCTTTCCTTCAGCTTCTTTTAACTTTATCTTTATCCTTGAAATTTATTTTGCAAAGTATGAAATTATAGAACGGAAGTTTTCTTTGGGTTACACATCAACTGTGGACAAATAAGCTGGCAACTTAGTACTCACTCATTTGAAAGAAACCTTCCCTTTTATCTCTGACTGTTATGCAGCTCTTCCTTCAGGTATTTGATGTACTGATGTGCACTATGGTGTATCACAGTGTAGATTTCTTATTATTTTTCCTGCTCGGAGTTCACTGGGCTTTTTGAATCTGCGAACAAGTATATTTAATCACTTCTGGAAAATTCTTAACTATTACTTCTTCTTCACATTTTGCCACTGTTTCTCCCCTCTCTACTCTTCTTAAAGACCAATTAAACATGTTGGAGCATATTCAGAACCTCCATGTCTCATAACCACTTTTTCATGTTTTCCATCTTTTTTGGCCCCTTGTGCACCATTCTGGATATAGATCCTAGATTACTAATTATCTCTTTAATTGTAGTATTCTGATGTTCAACCAAACCATTGAGATTTTTCTGTTAGTTATTTGATTTTTTATTTCCAGAAACTCAATTTTTTTTTTTGAGATGGAGTCTTGCTCTGTCACCCAGGCTGGGCTAGAGTGCAGTGGCACAATCTCAGCTCACTGCAACCTCCACCTGCCAGGTTCAAGCAATTCTCCTGCCTCAGCCTCCCAAGTAGCTGGGACTACAGGTACATGCCACCATGCCCAGCTAATTTTTTGTATTTTTAGTAGAGATGGGGTTTCACCATGCTGGCCAGGCTGGTCTCAAACTCCTGACCTCGTGATTCATCTGCCTCAGCCTCCCAAAGTGCTGGGATTATAGTGGTGAACCACTGTGCCCAGCCCCCAATTTGATTTTTTCCCCAAATCTGCTATGCTTCATTTCATATTTCCCATTTCTTCCAGATTTTAAAGCTAGTGTTTTATTTCTTTAAAAGAGTAAGAATAGTGAATTTTTATTATCTGTAATCACTACATTTAAAATACATGCAGATCTATTTCTTCTGTTTCTTTTTTTTTCCTGCTGTTTCTTGCTCATGATATTTTGTTTTATTGTGTACTCAGTTGTCTTAGAAGGATATGCCCATTTTACAAAAAGAATATTTACAGGACTCTTTAAGGACTAGATGAGGTTGCCCTCCTCAAGATGATTTGGCTTTGCTTCTAGGTACACTAAGAGTCTGAGAATTCTTCAATTCAAGTTCATAGTTTGAGGACACTGAAAACACTAATCTCAGGATGTGAATGCAAAACTTCAGGGACTGTTTTCTACCTTTCTTTGTCTCCTAAGCTCATATATGCCCTAAGCGTGTAACTCTTTAATGACCCAGCTTAATGATGGGAGGGTCTTTACTACATTTCCCACCTTGATGGGTTCAAGACCTTGATTCTTCAAGGCCACAAATATGAAGCCCAAATCTACTTAGATCGTTCAATGCCTTTGGGACAAAAGTGGGTTTATTTCTACGTGCCTGCTCACATATCTGGACACCTGCTTCCCCTACAATTTTGTCCCAGTTGCTCCTCATTGGCTAATCTAATCTTCAATACTTTTAGAGACATTTAAAAAAAATACATGTTCTGTACTATTAATGGCTTTTACAAAAGGATGTGCTCAATAACTAGCCAATATTAAAGTAACTTGTTAAAACATGGTGTCTTATATGTAATGCTCAGTGAATATCTACAGCTTGTCGGTGATTAAAATTTCTAATATTCTTGACATAAAGTCATTGTATGATGCACTAGGATGTTAGGAGTCTAATGGATAACATTTATTATGACTTAGAGTTATTATGAAGGTTAAATAAAAATTAAACAAATTGCTATCCACATGAATATATTATGCTTATGTTGGCAAAGCTAAAAATTTGGTATCTCACCTAATGAAAATATTAACAATTTCAGTTAGCTTTTGATGTAATAATAACAGATATCATAGAGTTGAGGTTTGTCATACTCCAGGTACCTGTATTATCTCATTTAATCATCAAATCTATCTCTAAGAAATAGATCATTTTACAGAAGAAAAACAATGGAACACAAGGAAGTTAAAGTACCTAAAGTCACACAGCTGGTAAGTGACGAAGACAGAATTAGGCCTCAAGACTATAACTCTTGAACCCATGATCTTAACTATATGAAATTACTTTATTTCCACATGTTGGCTTCTATAGAATCAATTTTATTTATAGGAAGCTGGTAAACAATTAAGTCAATGACAAAAACTTTTAACATTCCTAAAATCCCTAATAAATATAAATCCATATTTTCACTTTGTCCTGGAGGACTTACTTGCAAAAGAAATGGATCATTCTTTTAAAAATTTAAGTTTCATTCCTAAGAGACCTTATTTAATTTTATATCTCTGATCACCAAAATATACTAAGATCATTAAAGTTGAATAAAATTAAATCATCATTTCAATAGTCTATTGATAATCTAGATTTCTGTTTTATGATTGATCAGCAGAGTTTTTTTAAGATTATGATTTATAGGAGAACATTCAAACCTTCAAAGGAATCTTTGTAAAGGAACTAATCAAGCAGAATTAAACCTCACCACATAAAGAGAAAACTTTCTGAGTCATTAGTTCAATAAAATGACAGTTACATAAGAGAAGCCTGAGTGAATTGTTATTAATTGTAGCCAAGAAACAAAAAGTTACACATCATGGAAAAGAAGAGTGAGCTGCAATGATGGTTTCATTTTTATTTATAAACATAGCAATCCCTAAAGGGCTCAAGTTGATTAGAAATCGTGTGCATGTGTAATAAAAAGTGAATTTTTCCCCAAGAATTTGGCATCTAACAAAAATTTTCAGTGCTTTAAAGAATAAGAAAAGGGTAAAGGAAATACAAAGTTCAATAAAATTTTCCAAACCTTTTCTCAAATCCTCAAATACCAGGGTACTTGAATTAGTTCCTGTCAGTTGGCTGATGAGTGAATTGGGATTGTTTTGAAATCAATTGTTGTCAACAGACTCATTAATTTCCCAAGAATTGGTCAACGATTTACTTTTTTTTTGAAACGCATTAATAAAGTTGACTAAAAGAAATTGGATTTGAGTCATGTTGATTTAAATAACAGCTATTTTTTTCTATGAAACTTTTTAGTAGTAAGTAATCTAGAAGCATAGGCAGTCACTCTTTTCTCAGTTGAAATAAACCTAAATATATATTATAAACTTTTTCCTATAGCAATATCATAATATCTGATGAATATATTTGATTTGCCTTTAGTCATTAAACTTTTTCTTTTGACTCCATCAACTTCCAGATGGTGTATTTATTTAAAAATCAAAATAAGCACTGAAGTATGACTAGGAACACAAAATCCAGTTTTTTTCATTTTAGAAAACATAATGCCCCAAATTACTGCTTTTTCAGAGAAATAAGAATCCACTAAGCCGATACATTTACTTTGAAAAACCAACAACCTCAGTCAATAATTTAAATAATTTCAGGCCGGGCTCGGTGGCTCACACCTGTAATCCCAGCATTTTGGGAGGAGCAGGCGATCGGATCACGAGGTCGGGAGATCGAGACCATCCTGGCTAACAAGGTGAAAAAAAAAATAGCCAGGCGCATTGGCGGGCGCCTGTAGTCCCAGCTACTCGGGAGGCTGAGCTTGCAGTGAGCCGAGATCGCGCCACTGCACTCCAGCCTGGGCGACAGAGCAAGACTCTGTCTCAAAAAAAATTAATAAATAAAAATAAATTTAAAAAAATAATAATAATTTCAATAATTTCAAAAGATGATTTAATTATATCAACAGCTTTGGGAATGTTAAGAACATCTACATTTGTTGCTGTTATTTATTATTATTTGGTTTTGTTGTGTTAAAGCAAACTAATATGCCCTGAGAAAGAGTCTGTATTTCTATATTTGAGTCCTTGTGGACAAACTGTAACCTAGCTTAACAGGCAGAAAAGATTGAAAACCTAACTTAGGAGTATGCGCCTATAACAATAGCTGAGTCTTAGCCCATCCCAGCAGCCATACTTCAACCACTCATAGACTGCTGAGTGTTCAAACTGTGTTCGAATAAGGCAAACGCCAACCTGTAACCAATCCCGCTGTTTCTGTACCTTACTGCCAATTTCTGTCCATCACCTCCCTTTTCTTGTCTACAAATTTGCTCCGATCACGAGCATCCCTGGAGTCTCTCTGAATCTGCTGTGATTCGGGGGGTTGCGCCATTCGCAAATCATTCATTGCTCAATTCAACTCCTTTAAATTTAATTCAGCTGAAGTTTTTCTTTTAACAGTTGTTTGATGTTTTTTAAATAAAGAGGTGACCAGATGATCAGGTTCATTTCCAGTGGATATTTCCTTTTCTGTGTGTGGCAATTGGAAGATGGATAACTAGTGAGTTCCTGTGAGAACTGTCAAAATGGCATTGCTGTAGTTTTATGAAAGCAAAAAGGTGACATTTAAGATCACATTAAATTCAAGAAGAATTGTCTATGAGTCCAATTTTTGATTTCTTGCAAGTAACTAAATAAGGTATATTTTTTATTTTTGGTTTTAGTCATGTCTCTGGTAGAAGACATTCGTGGTATAGCCACAAATCTCCAATTCAACACCCATCATTGCTGAAGCTTTCCAAGACAGATGTAGAAGAACATTCAGACAAATTCACGTGGCTCATACCAATATGGTTTGGTCCTAAAACCCCATGAAACAGGTGAGTTGTGCCACCAATGACTTCCAAGACTCTTGTTTTGCTCCTCTAGATTTATTGTTATCCTATAAACATCTTTGGTGTTTTGTCCTTATAGCCACAACCTCATATTTACATACATATAATATATGGAGACTCCAAAATATGAACTCTAGGAAAATCACCCATAGAAACATGGAAAGAAATTCTTCACTTCAGCTACAGCAGCTGATCTAAGCTATCCGTCACTAACTTTTTGTTTGTTTGTTTGAGAGAGTCTCGCTCTGTTGCCCAGGCTGGAGTGCTGGAGTGCAGTGGCGCGATCTCGGCTCACTGCAACCTCCACCTCCTGGATTTGTCATTCTCCTGCCTCAGCCTCCCGAGTAGCTGGAATTACAGGCATGTGTCACCATGCCCGGCTAATTTTTTTGTATTTTTAGTAGAGATGGGCTTTCTCCATGTTGGTCAGGCTGGTCTCGAACTCCCGACCTCAGGTGATCTGCCCACCTTGGCCTCCCAAAGTGCTGGGATTACCAGGGTGAGCCACCACACCCGGCCTGAAGACTGATTTATTTTAAGAAATTGGCTCATGTGATTGTAGGGGCCAGCAAGCCTGTCATCTGTAGAGCAGGTCAGAAAGCTAAAACTTCAGGTAAGAGTTGATGTGGCAACCTTGGGTGTAAATTCCAAAGGGCAGCAGGCTAGAACACAAGGAGAATTTGTATTATTTCATTCTGAAGGAGAATTCCTCATTCAGGAATCCTGTTTTTGCTCTTGGGGCCTTCAAATAATTATAGGAGACCCACCCACATTACGTAGGGGAATCCACTTTACTCAAAGTCTACTGATTTAAATGTCAATCATATCTAAAAAATATCCACAGCAATAACTAGATGGTGCTTAACCAAACACTGGGCAACATAACCTGGCCAGGTTGACACTTAAAATTAACCATGACAATATGTTTTTGAAAAAGTGTCATAAACACTCAATAAATGCTTTCTAATAAATATTTAAAATATATAATTCTAACATTACTCTTTAATATATTTAGCAAATAAAATCCAGATACAATGCACTAGCTTTTTTCCTATACAAATAAAATTTAAAAAAAAACTTTGGTTACAACTATTTAAAAACAGTTTATGTAACTAAGCCATTAAAAAAATAGTTTTACAGCCAGCCATGGTGGCAGGTGCCTTTAATCCCAGCTACCTGTGAGGCTGTGGCAGGAGAATCGCTTCAACTAGGAGGGAGAGGTTGCAGTGAGCAGAGATTAGGCCACTGCACTCCAGCCTGGACAACAAAGCAAGACCCTATGTCAGAAAAAAAAAAAAGATAAAAAAAACAAGAAACAGACATAGTTATAGGTTAATACTTGAAGTGTTTGTTATTCAGCAATAAAACTTTCCCTTGAGACTTGGAAGAAACTTAGGCAGGTCCTTTTCAGTTAAAAAAAAAAAAAAAAGCAAACAAAAACTGCTTTGGGAGGCTTAGATGGGAGGATCACTTAGGGCCAGGAGTTCAGAACCAATCTGGGCAACATAGAAAGACCACATCTCTACAAAAAAACAAAAACAAAAACGAACTTTTTTTTTCATTAGCCGGATCTGGCAGTGCATATCTGTAGTCTTAGACAGCAAGATTGCTTGAGCTCAGTTGTTCCAGGTCACAGTGAGCTATAGTAGTGCCACTGCACTCCAGCCTTGGTGCCAGAGCAAGGCCCTGTCTCTAAAATATAATAATAAAATAAATATATATAAATAAAAATTATATAATAAAAACAAATATTGCATGTAAGTCAGGGAAGGGAAAAATAAAAAATAGAAACCTACCTCACAATCACACATCTTTAACATGGTATCAGGCTTTTAGAAATAGAAAAAAAAAGTTTTATGCCAATTTTAAATATGTGATTTATAATTTTCAAAAGATACATTGATTCTTAGTCCTGCAGCAACACTACTGATGAGTTTACAACTGACTAGAGATAGTCTTGCTATAATTATAGGTAGAGCACATATTTTTGTAGACATTAAGAGGTTTAGGAGATAAAGAAATTATTATATGGACATTATAACTTTTACTAGTATAGCTATTTTGAATTGAAAAATGCTGATGACTTTCAAAAAATCAACTGTTGTTTAAATTAGGTGAATCCACATTAAAGAGGCTTAAGGTTATTTAACACACAAAACAAATCAAAATAGTCTATCTGAACAACAAATTTCATGGATCCAAAAAAGCAGATATTTAATCCCTCAACATTCTTGTTCTTTGCCCAGCTAAAATTCCACAATATTTACTGTCTGATACGAGGGAACTAAGTCATTTTTCTATGCTATATGAATAATAGTTTATTTTTACAAATAGAATGATGTGAAAAATGTATCCATCAAGGTACAAAACCTATTTGCAAAAATCACCTAGTAATCAATGACATGAGTCCTTTGTGTAAGATATATCCAGGTTCAAATTCACAGTTTTGCCACTTATTAGCTGTGTTATCCTAGACAACCTTAACTTTCTCATTCCTTAGGTTAATTGTTGGCAATAGTGATATTTATTCTATATTTGATACTTACTCCAGTTTAAATTGGATGTTAAAAAAATACTCAAAGATTAGAAAATATAATAAAGTAACATGCCCTGGACTGTTCTTTAGCAAGTACTGCTGCTTTAAAATAAAATGTACCAATTTTAAATGCATAGTTCAAAGTCTTAACTAATGTATACAGTCATGCAGCCTACACTGTAACATGATACAGCATATCCCTATCACTCCAAAAAGTTCTTACATGGCCCTTTGCAATCCCTCCCCTCTCTCATACTTTGGTCCCTGAAAAGCACTGCCCTATATTTTAAAATCCTGGTTTTTCCCTTTCTAGAATTACAAAGAAATGAAATTATTCAGTATGTAGTCTTTTACGCTGCCTCCTTTAACTTAGTATAATTCTTTATAAACTCATTTATGTTGTTGCATGTATTAATATTTGATTTCTTCATGAGGCATATATGCAAACATTGTACTGGGCCAATTGTATATTCCTGTATTTTTTTGTTTGTTTGTTTTGGTTTTGGGGTCTATTCTGTTTTGTTTTTGAGACAGAGTCTTGCTCTGTCCCCAAGTTGGAGTGCAGTGGCGCAATCTCGGCTGATTGCAACCTCTGCCTCCCGGGTTCAAGCAATTTTCCTGCCTCAGCCTCCAAGTAGGTGAAACTACAGGCCCACCTCATTGTGCTAATTTTTGTGGGGGTTTTTTGTTTGTTTGTTTTTGTTTTTGTTTTATTCTTTTTTTTTTTTTTTTTAGTAGAGATGGGGTTTCACCATGTTTGCTAGTCTGGTCCTGAACTCTTGATCCTAGGTAATTCACCTGCCTCGCCCTCCCAAAGTGCTGGGATTACAGGCGTGGGCTGCTGCACCCAGCCAGATATTACTGTATTTTTAAAGACATCCATATATATGAATAGACAAAGATTTCTAAATATGACATACATACATTTTTTAGAAGATTGATAAATTGGCCCTCATTACAATTATCAGTAACTGATCTTAATTAGGATTAAATTCTGTTCACTGAAAATCACCATTTAAAAAGTGAAAAGAAAAATGACAGACTAGGAGAAAGTATTTGCAATGTATAAATTCAACAAAGAAATAGTATCTAGAATACATAGAGGGCTCTTGTAAGTAAATAAGAAAAAGACAAAAAAAATCCAGTTAAGAGATGGAAAATTTGAACAAGCACTGCACAAAATGAGATATCATAAAACCAGAAAGCAGGCAAAAGGTAATCAACATAATTAGTCATCAGAAAAATGCAAAATACACCCACAGCGACATACTAAGATACATCCACAAAAAAGACTAAAATAAAACTCGCAATATCAAGTGTCAACAACGATATGAAACAACTAGAATTCTTACAGTGCTCATGAGAGGATAAACTGATACAATCACTTTGAAAAAAAATTTTGGTATTATTTTCTATGTCCTGGCTATTTCACTTTTGAGTATGTCCCTAAACAAAATGAGTACTTAACATTCAACAAAATATATGCACAAGAATGCTCATAATAGAGTTTATTCATTGTGTACAAAACTGGAAACATCCCAAATATCCATGAATAATATGATAAGTAAATATATTGTGGCACACGTTGGTAGTATAGAATGAAATTTAAAGCAGAAAACGGGAAAGAATGAACTATTGCTGCATACAGCTGGATGGATTAATTCTTTTTTTTTTTTTTTTTTCAGATGGAGTCTCGCTCTGTCACCAGGCTGGAGTGCAGTGGCGCGGTCTCGGCTCACTGCAACCTCTGCCTCCCAGGTTCAAGTGATTCTCCTGCCTCAGCCTCCCAAGTAGTTGAGACTACAGGCCTGCCACCACGCCCAGTTAATTTTTGTATTTTTAGTAGAGACAGGGTTTCACTATGTTGGCCAGGAAGTAGCTACTCTGGAGAGGAGTACTGAGTAGGAAGGAACACATGGGAGCCCTCTAAGATATTTAAAATATTCTATGCCTTGCTCTGAGTGGTGATTACATGGGTGCATACACATTTAAAAATAATCAGGAAGTTTATTAAATATTTGGGCATGTAAATGCATGTAAGATACCTCAATTAGCAAACAACTCTTGGAAGATACTGCAGATCATCTGGGAGTGTCATCCGGGAAGGCATTTTGAGACAGAATGTAATCATTTTGATCAGATATAAGTTCAGCTCCACAGTTTGAATTCACTAGTATCTTCAGTTAAAGGCCACAGGTGGTAATGATGTCTCCTGTTGCTATATTTAGCGATATAGTAGTTTTAAGATAGCTCAACTTTAAATATGAAGTTGCGATAAGATTCAGTTTACTCACTCTTCATAAGAAATGTACTGAAGAAAGTTCATATTTACAATATATTATTGTTAAAAATAAAATTATAAACGCACTTTTTAATGAATTAATAGCTCTATAAATACCCACTGACTTGGTAACATATGTAAACATATATAAAGCTTAATGTAACTATTAAACAATGGATTTCAGGTTTATTTTAGAATTTGATATGATAAAAGCACTGCAAAAAGGGCAGTTAAAATGTAGCCTACATATTCTCACTCCGGATACTATAAGAAATGAAAAATACCTTGTAAATTACAAGGTAACCCTTGATATATTTGTTTAGTATGCATTTATTTATAATAATTGTATAAACACCTATTTTTTAATTAAAACGCTTATTGAAGACACTATGAACCATGGCATGCAAAAGGCATCAGGATACAACGAGACAGAGATTAAACTCTCAAGCGTTCATAGTGAGAGGGCAGACAGACAAATATCATTATAATTCAATGTTGAAATTGGGTCAGAGCTATGTGCTCATGGAGAGTTCTATGCCAAAGTCTATAAAACACAGTTCCAGTCCAAAGAACTTAAAAATGTAACGACAAAGTGAAATCCATATGAACTTTAAAAACAAAATTCCACATTAATTTCTATAAAACTTGTAATTCATGGTAACTAAAGTTTAAATGTCCTATATTTTAAATTTGGTATAATCAATTCATTGCAGTCTCTGTATTGTTATCTCAGTGTGTATGTGTGTGTGTATATTAAATGCAAAACAATCCAAATGAAAGGCACGAGAAAGATAATATTTTTGTCATATATTTTCTACTCTCAAACTTCCCAAATAAATGCCTGTTAATGATTTCAGGTTTAAAGGGCCTCTTTTCCAAATGCCAGTGAGCATGACAAGTGGCCCACACTTCAAGACTTTATAGCCCTCTGATATACTTGCTCTCAGACACAAACCAGATACTTCACCATCTGCTTTTCTTCTTGCTGATCACTCATGTTTTAGGTTAGATAACATCCACAGAAAACCATAAACACATCATATATTACATGATAATTATCCTTCCTTAAAGATAACAGAAAAGGAAACCCATTTTCTGATGTCACTTACTCCAAAAAGCTTTAAATCCAAAAGATGAGCAATATCTGTTCCACTGAGAAATAAATTAGAACATAAATGTTGAACACTCAAGAAACCAGAGATAAATTCACATACAATAACTCTCCTGAAATTGTCTTTGTTTGTAGCACAATATTAAATGAGCCCAAAGTGAAGGAAGATAAATAACATTTTTAATTTGTTAGACTATCCCACAGATGCACTGGAGAATGCCGGAATATATAGCACATTAGAAGTGCTTTGTCTGCATCATGATATTGATTCCTCTGATCATAACGGGATATTTTAGCTCAAAATGTGATTTTTATGGTGAGAATACGGAGAAAACACTTATTGATGAGCCCACTATTTGCCAAAAATAGTATATTAAGAAGGAAGATGTTATATTAGTCCGTTTTCAGCCTGCTTATATAAAGACATACCCAAAACTGGGTAATATATAAAGAAATTAGGTTTAATGAACTCACAGTTTCACGTGGCTGTGGAGGCCTCACAATCATGGCAGAAGGCAAAAGGCACGTCTTACATGGCAGCAGGCAAGAGAGAGAATGAGAACCAAGTGAAAGGGGTTTCCCCTTATACAACCATCAGATCTCGTGAGACTTACTCACTACCACAAGAACAGTATGGGGGAAATTGCCCTCATGATTCAATTATCTCCCACTAGTTTCCTCCTACAACACGTGGGAATTATGGGAGCTGCAATTCAAATGAGATTTGGGTCGGCACACAGCCAAACCATATCAGATACCCTGAACTATATAAGTCTAAAAGCGAAAAATTCAGGTTTTGCAGTCTGTCCATTCAGTGACCATTTTTAGATAACTAGAGTGATTTGCTGCCTTTATGCTACTTCCCCCACTCATTCTCTAATTTCAAAGGTGTCTTAGACTTTATCATGAATCACACTATAAATTGTTTTATAAAACTATATTGTTCTTCACTTTTTAAAGATGTCTTCAACCTTTACTCCCCCATAGTCATACAGATATGGTAACAAGATCCTACAACAAAAATTACCAGATGTCAAGCTCTGCATTTGACTCTGCGCATTTTGAGATCATCAAGTATGTCTTATTCAGCTTCAGTTTCCCAGCCTGACAGAGAACCGAGGACTCAAAAATCTATTGGTTGAATGAAGGAAACCAAAGTTAGGAGTGCATTAGTCCCCTGGAAGAAACTCATTCATAATTGTATGGTACAGTGTGCTCCCACATGAAAAGGATTAAGAAAAACAATGCCTACATATTCGCCTCATTTCTCTCCAGTTACAGTTTTACAGCTTTAACTTTCCCTTTACATCAAATTTCTGGAAAGCTTTGTCTAATTTCTGTATGAATTATGATGTCTTGGATTTCACCCTAGCTGGCTATTTTTTCTGTCTCTTTTAAAAGCATCTACTCTTCCTGTCACTAAACTCATGGCCCCAATCTAAGCCCTCTTTCCTTTCCACTCTACACTTTCAAAAGAGTTAATTTCACCCATGTCCAAATCTTCAATAATAACGTTCACAGATAACTTATGTGTGAAATAATTTATCTATACAACAATTACTTAATATCTCACAAACACATAAACAAACTTGATCTTGTTATTTTATCTTCCAATGTTCCAATGCTAGCTAATTCATCATCACCCATCCAATAATGAAAAACAGAGAATTAAGAGTTACCCTGTTCAATACAAGAAAGAGCTACTACATAGTGTGGGGGTTCTGAGAAGGTAGCAGGGGTTAGGACCTCAAGCACAGGGTACAAGTGGCCTCAAACACAAGGTATATGGGAAATCTTTTTATTATAGTAACAGAGTCAGGTTTGATATCAGAAAAATGAGAAATTCTCTACTGAATGGCTTTTGTTTTCAGTGTAAATTACAACATGAATTCATCTACCAAAAATGAATAGGAAAAGTTGGTTGAATTTTTATGAGACACAAGAGAAACTTGATAGAAATGCCAGGTGGTTTCAAGGTCTCCTTTGAGCATCATGATTATTGACATATAATCAAACCATTTGCCCTGTGGTTGCAGCTTTCTCCATCAGCACTCAGTTTCTTATGAAAATAAGTGAGGGAAGAAAAATGGGACAGAAGTAGGTTTACAATTCCTTATCCATGATTCCAAACTCCAAAATGTCCTGAAAACCATTTTTTTCCAAATTATTTTGGCTGCAAACCAATTTTCTGATAAGAACTCATGTATAGTCTATATTTATTTAAATTAGAGTACATGTAATACATTTTGCTAAATATGTCTATTGTTTTATATTATGGGGTACTGTCTCAGACTGTTAGAGGTGTTACGTAATGTTTTAAAAATTTGAATTCTGAATCATGTTTAGTTTTAAGGGCTTTTTGACAAAGGTTTGTAGATTCAGCATAAGCATCCATTCAGATTTGACATTTTGCCAGAGGGCTTAATTTTTCCATAACTTTTTGACAACCTTACCTCAGGAATAATGCCATGTGTGTGCTGAAAATTAAAAGGTAAATTATTAAGTTATGCATTTATATTTGATCTACTATTAATTTTATGAGAAAATAAAGCACTTTTCTGAAGTTTCCCAGAATGCAATGTGACCAAAACCTTTATGGGAAAAGTTTTTAAAGTGATAATTTGGCTCTGAAATTCCCTTTTGTGTTCTTATGGAGAATGGATTTATATAATGGCAATGTAATTTTTCATTTAACATATTTTTCAGTATGTTACATGAGAACTGCTTACCTCATGTTTTGATTACTATTCCTGTATGAAATACTTTAATGGCTTAAAACATAACACTTATTTTATTAATATCAGCTCTCAAGGATTTTGTGGGTCAGGAGAAAGGTTGCAGCTGAGCGCTTCTGGCTTGGAGTCTCTCATGATGTTCACTCAGATGGTAGCTGGGCCTGGTGCAGTAGGCCTAGAAATATCTTTCTTTCTATGTTTTCTCAAGCCATCTTCATATGGTCTCTCTATGTGAGCTATTTGGGCTTCCTCACAGCATAACAGCTCAAGGCTCTTGCACAAGGGTTCCAGCAACTAAAGTGAAACTAATCTTTTTTGAACTAACCACAAAAGTCACACAGCATCCCTTCTACCACTTTTATTTGTTATAAGCAAGTCATAAGCCTGACATTACAAGAAGGGAATAATAATCAGAGAGGTACTTTGCTACACCTTAATTTCTGTTAAACTCTCCTGTCTTATACCTAGAGGAGCTTTAATATGATCCATATAGCTAAACTTGTGAATCACTACTTAGAGCCCCATTACTTCATAGTTCGGCAGCTTTTGATACAGCTGCCAACTTTCTCCTTTCTGAAGCGTTTCCTTCCCTTGGCTTCCATGACACCACACTTCTCCTTCTTCTCTGTTTATATCTTGTTTCTTCATCAATTCAACCTCCCATAGAGGGCTTGATATGTTGAAGTTTCTCAAGAACCCAGGCCCTCTTGCCTTCTCACCTTGAAATTTCATCCTAGACATTTGTGTTGATTTCCTGAAGTTGCTATAACAAATCAGCACAAATTTGCTAGCTTAAAACACGAAATGAATTCTCTCACAGCTCTGGAGGACGGAAGCCTGGAATACTTCCTCCAGAGGATCAAAGGGAGCTTCTGTTTCTTGTTTGTTCCAGCCTTTGGTGGCTCCAGATATTCCTGGGCTTTTGGCTGCATTACTCCAATCTCTGCTTCCATCTTCATATGGCCTTCTTCTCTGGGTCTAGGTATTTTATAAAGTTACTTGGCATTAGTTTTAGGGCCCACCTGGATAATCCTAGATGATCTTATTTTGAGATCCTTCACTTAGTTATACCTAAAAAACCAATTTTCCAAATAAGTTAACATTCACAAGTCCTAGGGATAAGGACACAGACATATTTGGTTTGGGGTGGTGACCATAAACACCATTCAGTCCACTTCAGCATACTTAGCCTATTCTGTGGATTTAATTGCCATCTACTTAGAAATTCATATCTCCAGCTTTCTGGGTGTCTCTTCTGAGTTCTACATCTATATATTTATAAACATGAAAACCTGTTTCACATCTCCTTTAGATATCAGAAAGATTCCTAACACAGTTGTTCAAAATGAATCTCCCTGTAGATGCTCCTGAATCTGCTCCTCCAGTTCTTATCTCAAAAATGGCATCATAATTCACCTTGTTTTGCATGTGTTTACAGATGTTAATTATTTTATTCACAATCTGCATATACAAAGATATCCTGTATTTAATACTTCTTAAATATTTCACCAGTTTCCCCACTTCTAACCATTCTCAATGCTATCACTCTACTAGAACACGAAATCACCCACTAAGAGTAAAGGAGAACATTGCAACTTTAAGGATGAAGTGTCCATTATCAGAAGTCTGGATCCCATCACCGCCATCCACTCTGAAAAATAAGGCTGGCCTTCACTACCTTCAATGACCTCTCAAGTCTTTCCACTTCCATTAGTTTCCACTGTCACTGTTCTAGTGCAGTCACCATTATTTTTCCCCTGAATGATTGTAGAAGCGCCTAAGTGAATCCCAGCCTCACCATCATTCACCCCTCAAGCTACCCTCCACCTTGCAAAAACAGTGAACTTACAAAACACAAAACTAGTTTGATCACACAAGTGCCTAAAGCCTTTATGGCTTTTCAATGATTTCACAATAAAGTCCAAAATACATAACATGGCCTTTCAGCAAGCGACCACTCTCTCCCTCTCTAGGCTCATTGCCCAACACAGCCCTACTTGCTCTAGACCATGACACCTTCTTTCATATGGGCCTCTACACAGAATGCTTCTCTGGCTTGCAATGACCACCCGCTCTACTTCATCAGTAAGTGAAACCCTGATTATCTGTAAAGTTTTGTCTATAACGCTACTTAATTTTATCTTAATGCCACTTCTTCTGGATAGCTCTCTCTAAATTATAGGCCTAAATTTATCTCTCCATTTTTTACTTTCATTCCATTTCATACTTCTTTATATCGCAAATGCAATTGTGCTAATTATCACTACACTTCATCAAATCTAAGTCTACGTTATTTAATAAAACTATTGCCAATCAAACTGTGACATTCACATTCTTATTAGTTAGAATTTTTGTTTTATCTTAAAGAATGAGCTGTTTAGCCCTATCTACTTGTATTTTATAATATTACATTCTTTTGTACTTTGCATTCTTTGTTCAAAAAACAAAAATGTTGATTAAAGTATGTATAAAATATCTTCATTATCCCTCAGAGCCCAAATAATCTGCACTACTTTTCCAGTCAGAATGGTTGATGCCTGTGCTTGCTCATACAATAATATCTGCTGTGTCATCAGGAGTATTGATAGTGTAGTACTTCTTAAAAGTGTTTTCCACTTTTGTCTCTGGGAAATTGCTGTCATCCATTCTGAAAATTTTCATGCTTATGCATAGGCAATTAATCGCAACTACCATGGCACAACTACTGGCAAGCCGTCAATAATTGAGATGCAATACTATTACAGAGATGTTAAAAGAGAAGAAAGAATAATGTAAATTTTAGAATCTAGCAATTTGATACATATTTATATAATTATTTGATTAATTCCTATCCCTACTGATAAATTTTCACATCTGCCCAAGCAGATTTTGTATGTTTATGGGGCATTCCATTTCATTGCGTCAATCTTCACCAAGAATATTACAAAAAATCTGTATCTAGCAGACCTTCCTCTAGAACTCTCTCCTGTTGGGGAGTTTCTGATTACATGCCTGCTTGGAGGACAGGTATAAGAAATCAGCTAACACCTCCAAGGACTTACTGTGAGTCAGAGAAGAGCAAAGAAAAACTCCTTTCAATTGTGCCCTTCTGAGCAGGTGAAGGTGCTGCCTGAGTCCACCACCACACACAGTGCATGAAATTGCTCATGAAATTGCACAAGCCTGTTGTTTTCACCTCACCCAGTTCATGGCATCAAATGGAATACCTGTATCTCCCTCAGCACACCACTGTGTTCCCTCTTTGGGCTCCTTCATTCGTTGCTGCCTATGTGGACACCTCTTCCTCCCTAATATTTCTTTCCAATGTTTTCAGCTCTTAGACTGCATTACTAAATCACCAGTGTTTTTAATTGTTGGCCTATCTCTTTGCATATATCAAAACAAGACTCCAGCCCCCAACAATGAGGGATGAGGCAGGACCTCCTGATGAGTGCTGAGCTGGTAATGCTAGGGGAGCGCTCCAGCATCCTGCTATCCAAATTAAGCCTGAAGCCACTCTTAGTCAAAGAGCCATCTGAGGCATGGGAAATGCTTACATTCCTCCAGACCAAGCAAGGTACACGGATGAAAGCAGTGAGGAACCAAACTCTGGAAAAGAGAGTTTTGAAAATGGGAGACCAGTGAAGGACATGATAAATCTCAAGAAGAAAGGTGCAATCTGAAATAACTCGGCTTTGGAAAACTTAGGGACCCAGCATAGGGCACTAGCTTCTAATCCAGCACTGGTACTAACTGGATACCTGAGCTCAGACTTTGTTGTAACAAAAGATCACCATAGACTGGGTGGCCTGTGAACAATATAAATTTATTTATTATAGTCCTGGAGGCTGAAAGCCTGAGATCAGAATGTCTGCTTGGTTGAGTTCTGATAAGGGCCCTCTTTCAGGTTGCAGATCACCAACTTCTCATTGCATCCTCCTATGACAGAAAGAGAGCTAGCTCTCTGCACTACATATAATGGCACTAACCCATTCATGAGAGCTGCACCCTCAAGACCTAATTACTTCTCAAAGGCCCCACCTCTAAATATCATCACATTGGGATTAGGGTTTCAATATATGAATTTGGAGTAGGAGGGAAATACAAACATTCAATCATTTGATTTGGTCAATAATTGTTTGTTGAATAAATAAAAGCCTGAAATATGATGATTCAACATAGTGAGACATATAAGAAGAAAGCAAGAAATAAAATATTCTGAGACAATGCGAAACAAATAAGGCATCACCGCACAGACTCATAAAATAATTATGTGGAATTGAATACCCTCTATATGCCAGGTTGTATGTTAAGAGCTTATTTCAATGCTAGACTGAGGCACTAATTATGACTCCCATTTTATACATGATGAAAATGAGACTTAGAGTGTATAGTACACAGAATAATGTTCTCTCAAAGACATGCCTGTCCTGATCAGCAGAATTTGTGAATATATTACTTTACATGGCAAAATGGATATTGCAGGCATGATTTAAGTTAAGGGTCTTGAGATAGAAAAGTTATTTTGAATTATCCAGGTGTGCCAATGTTATCACAAAATCCCTTATAAGGTAATGAGAGGAGGAAGAAGATGTGAAGAGAGGAGCAGAGTTCAGAGAGAAAGAGTAAGAGAGAGTTAAAGTTGCTATGCTGCTGATCTTGAAGACAGAGAGTGGGGCTGTGAGCCAAGGAATGTAGGTGGCCTCCAGAAGCTGGAAAAGGCAAGGGAACAGATGTTGCCCTGGTGCCTTCAAAAGCAATGCAGCCCTGACAATATCTGGATTTTAGGGCTCTGACCTCCACAAACATAATACAATGAATTTGTATTGTTTTATATTTCAAAGTTTATAGTAATTTGTTACAGCAACAATAGGAAATTAATTCCTTAATACAGAAGGATTAAGGAATTTTCTCAATGATCTCATTTTCTCAGTGAGGGTCAGCTGAAACCCAGGCATCTCTGACACTGAGTTTTGTCATTTCTCCCATCTTAGTAGCAGGAAAGTCACTCAGAAAATAGATAAATCCACACTTGTAAAATGGAAGTGTCTCAACCTACTTAACAGGAATTAGGCATTTTTAACATGCTGCCAATAATGGTGAAAAAAATGAACCAGATAAATCTATATGACTGAAAAACTGCTACCTGTTTCTAAGTACCGAGAGAAAAACTGTTCATCCAATTTTGTTAAGCTTAAATTCTCACCAGACATATATCCTTTTACTGTGGACTCAAATTTGATCACTATTCAAGTCTTTTTCAATGTCTTCTCTATGGTTGGCTTACCTCCTAAGCAGATAAAAATTGATTTTCTAATTCTGTATGACTTGTTGCACAATATATCTTTTTGTATGTACACAAAACTCTGAAAGCTTACTTAAACTCTGTTAGCTCATGGTTAGCCTCAAATTTACACCAACTTAAGAATTATTTTTTCTACTAAATGTTGTTTAATAATCATTGTTTTATTTTTATTGCCAAATTCTAGTTTTAAAAATGGTTGGTAGGAATGTAAATTAGTTCAACCCCTATGAAACACAGTATAGAGAAATCGCAAAGCACTAAAAATAGAACTACCATTCCACCAGCAATTACATTACTTGGCATCTCCCCAAAGAAAAAGAAAGCATTATATAAAAAAAGACACCTGCATTTGGATGTTTATTGCAGCACTATTCACAATAGAGAAGTCATGGAACCACCCTAAGTGCCCATCAATGGTTGCTTGGATAATGGAATATCATACAGCCATAATAAACAATAAGATCATATCCTTTGCAGCAGCATGAATGGAGCTAGAGGTCATTATCCTGAGTAAACTAACTCAGAAGCAGAAGATCAAATATCATGTATTCTCCCTAATAAGTAGAAGCTTAGCAATGGGCAGACATGAACATCAAGATGGAGATAATAGACACTGGGAACTCCAAAAGCGTAGACAATAAGAGGTGAGTGAGGATTGAAAAATTGCCTATTTGGTACAATGTTTAATACTTGGGTGATGGGCACACTAGAATTGCGTTCCCCACAATTACCCATGTAATACCCATGTAAGAAACAAGCACATGTAGCCCCTGAGCCTAAAATAAAATAAAATTTTTAAGTCCTCAATATAATCTATTTATTTCTGAGTTAAATAAAATATTTTAAGAGAGATAAATGTTTCAACAAAAATATATTTGTACATATCAGCATTTTTATTAATAAAAATATTTGCCTTATTTTGACTTAATAATGTATATAATATCAGAGATATTAAAATGTACAATATACAATTAAGATATACAATATACAATTAAGATATACAATATCTGAGATACTTTCTCAGATTTTACTGGGGCTTGGAGTGAGTGAAGAATCCAATCCATAGCCCTTGTTTTCAAGGAGTTTGGTTAGGAAATCAGAATATATTGTCGAAATACAATTCATAAACAAATCCCTGAATCCAAAATATCCTAAAGGTACTATACCCTCTCTTTAAACCATTCTCCAAACTGCAATCATAACAAGTCAGATTCCAGTTTTGTTTTACTTCCGTATCTTTTTTGGAAGAGTCAGCTTAAGGTTTCATTGCACAACTGGGAGCTGAAATGTTGAAGAAAAGGATGTTGAGTCCCTGAATATGGAATACGGGCAATGGTATAAGGCACACGACTTGGTCAGTGGGTGACAGACTTTAGTAAATGCAGTGTATAAGGGGAAAGGGACCTGTGATTGGACAGGGGGGTCGAGATCACAGAAAAGCCTGAACACTGCACTCTGTGATTAGTATTTGATTCTTCTATGTTTAAGACATTATTTTCTCAAAAATGTTTAGCACGATATAGAACTTAAGAGTACAGGGAGGAAAGCCAGCTTGCTTGGTTCTTTGCCTTAATTTCCTCATCTTGAAAATGGGATTATATATAGATCTTATCCTAATACAGTGACTGTGAAGATAAAATGTGTTAATATAGAAAAGTGTCTAGAAGAATGACTGGCACATAAAAAGTGCTAAAGAAGTGTTTTTTACTATTCCACACAACACAGATGTTGAAAAGAGTTCAGGCAAAGCTACATGTGATTTCCCTTTACAGATTATTATTTCAACAGCTTTGAGAAATTTAGTAGGGAAAATTTGTTTTCCATGTTTATTTTAGTACTATTCACAATAGCTGAGATATGGAATCAAACTAGGTGCTCAACAGCAGATGAATGGATAAAGAAAATGCATAAAAAAGTACTACTGAGCCATAAAAAAGAATAAAATACTGTCATAAATAAAAGAATAAAATACTGTGGCAACATGAATGGAACTGGAGGATGTTATATTAAGTGAATTAAGCCAGGAACAGAAAGTGAAATACCACACGCTCTGTCATACGTGGAAGTTAAAAAAAAAAAAAAAAGTTGATTTCATAGAAGTAAAAAGTAGAACAGAGGATACCAGAGGCTGGGAAAGATAGAAGGAAAGGAAGAGATTTGTTAAAGGGTACAAAATTACAGTTAGATAGGAGGAATACATTCTAATATTCTATACCATTGTAAGATGACTATAATTGACAATAATATATTACTATATATTATATAGAGTCAAATGGCTAAAACGAGGAATGCATTGAACATTCCCAACATAAAGAAATGACAAATGTTTGATATAATAGGTATGCTAATTACCCTAATCTGATTACTATACATTATATGTATTGAAACAATGTTAGGTACCTTCCATGAATAAGCACAATTATTATTATTTGTCAATTTAAAAATTAAAGGAAAAAAAAGAAAGAATAGGTAAGTGTGGTGGCTCATGTCTGTAATCCCCGCGCTTTGAGAGGCCACAGGAGAGGATAGCTTGAGGCTAGCAGTTTAAGACCAGTCTGCAACATAGTGAGACCCCATCTCTACAGGAAAATAAATATATTAGCTTGGTGTGATGTTGCATGCCTGTAGTCCCAGTTACTCTGGAGGTTGAGATAGGAAGATCGCTTGAGCCCAGGAGTTGAGGCTGGAGTGAACTATGATCGCACCACTGCACTCCAGCTGGGATGGCAGCAAAACCCTGTTTCTAAAAATAAAAATCCAGAAGAAAGAAAGAAAAAGTAATTTAATTTTACTTTAGCCAGCGTTTTACAAAATTATGGGATTTCAGATTTTTGTTATTATTTATTTCTTTATTATTTGATTGAAGAACTAAGAATTTTAATAGCACTTATTAATATTCTGTGATACAGTTTGGGAAATCTGTTTTGGAGAATAGAGAGTATTTCTTTCATATCTAAGACAAATACAGTCAATTCTTACTATTTGCTGTAATGGGTTCTATAAAGCCACCATGAACACTGAATTAGAAAATACTAAACTACTGCTCCTAGGGTAATCCAGAGTTATTTTCCCACAAGCCTCTGCCCAAGACATTTTCCTCAACCTAAACACCATTTGTAGTATAAATATTTGTTTGTCAACATCCTCCTAAAACTAGTCAGTCTCATAAGAATAGAAAACCTGCTCTCCCACCTAATCCTATTTCTGTATCCCACTTAGCAGGTATTCTTAAAATTCTTCCACAGCATCCTAAGCTGCAGAACCTTTCTCACCTGAAAATTTAACATATTCATGACACATTGCCTTTCAAAATATGTAAACTTCTCAGCATGAGCCACAAAGAGCTTAACATTGTCCTGACCCTGGGTTACATGACCATAGTTTTTTGACTTTCAGCCTCACAACAAAGCTGTCCCCTACACATTTTTACTGGTTGTCATCTCATGAGCCCACAAATTTAGCCAGTTTTCCATCTTTTCTATAGTTTCATTATGAACTATAAATGTTAACTTTAGCTCTTTCCAGAGTAACCTCTTATCGAGATAAGAAAATTTTCTCTTCCTTTTTCTGGATGTACTATGCTGTTGATTCATTAACATTGAACTGACAGCCAAGAGTACTATAACACATGCCTGAATGAAGCCTTTTTAACACACATATATTCTCCAGAAGGCACACCTTTTGCACTTAGAAACACTAGATAGCAGTTCAGCATTACATTTGAGGGGCCAATTTAAACAGAGAAATTATCGACAAAAAGCACAAAAATGTGAAAAACATGACGCTAAAAAAGATCGGGAAAAAGACACTCATTTACTAAAAGCAGGGCTGCAAAGAGGTGGCAGAGCATCACCTTTTTCAACATCAGCTGGGAACCTGTGAAACCTGTGGAGTGACTTAATTTTTCTCTCTGTGTGTGTCCACAAATGCCTATGAAAGCACTGCAAGTATTGATTTTGGGGTTGCAAATACATTTTAACAAGTAGGCTTCCAGCTTCATCCATGTCCCTACAAAGGACATGAACTCATCCTTTTTCATGGCTGCATAGTATTCCATGGTGTATATGTGCCACATTTTCTTAACCCAGTCTATCATTGATCGACATTTGGGTTGGTTCCAAGTCTTTGCTATCGTGGGATGGGGGGAGTGGGGAGGGAAAGCATTAGGAGATATACCTAATGTAAATGATGAGTTAATGGGTGCAGTACATGAACATGGCACATGTATACATATGTAACAAACCTGCACGTTGTGCACATGTACCCTAGAACTTAAAGTATAATAAAATCAATAAATAAATAAAATAAAGTAACAAGTAGGCAAATTCAGGAATAATGAAGATTAACTGTATATCGACGACACTGTGTGCAAGAGACTTTTTGAATGGAGGAAGAAGATACTGCCAGTAAGAATATAGACGAAGAGATTGTGACCTCTTTACATGTCTCTGATTTCTGTAAAGACTACAAGATCAATATTACACAAGACTAATCTCAGTAGCCTGTATTTGCATGTGTTACAATTGTATGGTCACTTTATAAGGGAATGACTTATTAAAGTCCTTGGTTCCTTCAGGGGAGATCTAATAAAGAGAAATAGCTGATGGCTGGACTAATACAATAGCATTATCTGTGATGCTGGTCACTTTCGTAAAGGGCTGTGTTCATTAAGAGTGGTATCATCAAGACACATCAGGTGGTGTGTAGCCTAATCTAACATTCAGTTTGTCTAAAGCAGAAATCCAGTCACAGTATAGTTTGGTCATAAAATCTATATATGTACAGAACAATTCAATATTTATTATAAAATCATATAGTTTAAATATGAATGGAAGCTATTTATGAAAAACAAACTTATGAGTCATATGAATATAAATCATTGGAAATTATACCTGTCAATCTCATATCATCCATCCATAAGATATTTCCCAAAAAGGAATAGATGATGGATACTTACTTTTTGATAAGTCTCAAATATTGTTTCTAAAACATTTTTCAAATCAGTCTCTCATTTTAATCCTGCTACCACTTCCCTGGTATAGACTTTCTTTAGCCCTATTCTGATCCTATTCAATAGCTTATCACAAGTTGGTAAAAAACCTCCAAGATCGAGCAACACCGGCAGACGGAGCTGGCAGCTGAAGGGCCAGAGAAAGCCAGCTCTCGCTTGGACAGACACCAACCTGCAAAGACACTTACATGCCTCCGCTTTACATACGGAGAAAGGGGTTTCTGATGGTTAAGGGTCTCTGAATTTATCTTCTTTATTAAACAAGTTATGATCATATTCCCTAAAATCTAAAACATTTAATGTTTGGACTTGGGCAACATAGTTAACCTCATTAAGTCTGGGCTTTTCTCATCTGTAAAGCAAGTATAGTAATATGGACCCAGCCTGCTCTCTGTCCTTTTCTGTGCTTAAAATGGGGAAAGTAAATGTAAAAATCAAGTTAATCAGATGAGTTATGGCATGGGATTCACTTGTAGGATTTACATTGGCTTTCAAGTCAGGGCTTTGCAATGTTAATTTTGGCTATTCAAATACTTTTCGCTCCTCGATTTCAAGCTCCTGGCAGTGCTACATAGAGATTTTTAGATCTCTGTGCCTCAAATATGTGGGATATTAATTATGCTCTGGTCATGCCTGCATGGAAAGGCAGTTACACTTCAGTGTGCGGCAGTCAAGACCTCTACTTGATAATCAGCGTCAAAAATCAATTCGCATTTGAGATAAATATTTCATGTTTTAAATATTTAGAAGAGGTACGTTTATTTATCTTTTTTAAAATAATACCATAAGTGGTAAAGTTTTTTAGTAAACACCTTTGGTTTGTACACTTCTGAACAAAAATCATTTTAAACATAATGGAAATTGGATCAGTTTAACTGCAACAAAAGCTTCCTCCTTGTTTGATTTTAAAGGGAATGCATCTCCTTATGCGTTCTGTCCAATGCAAGTTTCTTCTCACTCCACCAAGTTTTTGTAACCTTTCATCTCTAATGTTTTCTTCAAAGCAGGAAATTTCTTTAACAAAAGGAGGAACTATTTAGATATCGGACAAATTGACCCAGTAGCTGAGAAGTTGCAAAATAGCTTTTGGATGTGATTTTTCATGATTGGCTAGAGAGTGTGTGCCCCTTAAGTGCTTTCATATCTGTCTTTCTGAGGAAAGATAAACTGTTCTTTGGCCCAAAGATGAGATAACACTCCTGGTTGTGAACAATAGGCGAGGAGCTCTGGCAGGATTGCTAAATAATTCTTCAGTAACTTCGAACAGACTCCACAGGCTTGCTTTGATTAGCAGGAAGGATCATGAAGCAGAGTGGAACTATGTGATGATGTGATGTTAGAACTGGCGAGGCAGAATCTACTCTGACCTTTTGACCTTACACACAGGCAGTCTGGGAGACGGGAAAGAAAAAGCTCTTGGCAAATTTCCTATAATAACTTATTTAAAGGCATATCTAATTTTGGCTGTGTTTTTTACTATATTTATTTACTTGGCAAGGCATTGAATTCCATAAAGGCAGAAGTCAGCCAGTCTGCCAGCACATTTGACATGATGGATTGTCTGTCTACTGTACAATACTCTGAACATCAGCATTTTGGGGGAGGTTGGGCAGAAGATAAAAAGATCTAGATTTAGTAGTTATTGTTGCATTGTTACAAGAAAAAGTGGTGCCAGCTCCTAAAGATATAAATAGTAAAGGAATTGAGGCCTGAGGGCCAGGGGTGAAGGGTTGTCTAAGCTGAAGCCCTGTCAGTGTTGTATTGTAGCTATTTATATGATGAAATTAATCACTTGAAAACAGGTCAAGGTGAAGTCAGAGTGCTTGAAGCAATTGTTTGTACTTTATCAAAGACAGGTTTTTCTTCTTCCATCAGTCAACATCCACATGAAAGCCATTGAGATTTGAAAGAAATCTCACCTGTGCCACTAGCTGCTGCTAGCTAAGTCTCAGGTTTTCCTAGTAGTCTGTAATTCTAGAAATATCAAATAGAAAACAGTGTTACTTAGATAATGATATTTTGGCAGGGTATAAATTTGGATCTTCCAAGTATTTCTCTTTCCTTTTTGTGTACCTATTTAGACTGCAGATTTTCAGTGAAAATGCCATATTTGTGTTGATATTGTTGAAATCCTTTTTTACCTAAACATAATTGTAATCAACTTTGAATTCTGAAAGGGTTTGTACTATAAATAGGAAAAACCTAGATTTCTACATAACATGATACACACCTACACACACACACACACACACACACACACGTACACTACGTCAATTAAAAACCATAAAATTTCTAGAGAAAATGTAATAGAATATCTTTGTAGCAGGATCTTAGAATGGTATCTTAAACAAAAATACCAAAAACACAAATGTAAGACAAAAAAGATAATTTTCAATATGCCAAAATGCAGATTTATAGTCTATGAATCATAACATAGACAAAAGTTAAGAAACAGATGGAAAAATGGAAGAAGATATTTAATTCAGAAAAGAAACAAAAAGAAAGATTATATAAGTCTATAAATCAACAAGAATAAAGATGCTCCTGAAGAAAAAAAGCAAAAATCATGAAAAAGAAATTAACAGCACATAAAGACACACTCAAAATCACTAGATCATTAGTAATGAGAGAAATGTCAATTAAAACAAGGTGTTACTTTGCACCTTTTAAACAAAGATTAGGAAGCTAGAATGTCATGTATTGGTGGAAATTCAAGGACATAGGAGCCCTCAAGCACTGTTAGTGAAAAATGCTATTTTGGAGAGCAAATCTACTTCTCTCTAGATATGCAGGATAGAAAGGATATAGCCCGCACAGCTCTGCAATTCTCCTGCTGGATACGTGACTCAAAGATAGTCTCACACAGGTTCACAGGGTATACTTGTAAGGTGTTCATCGCAGTGTTAGAATTGGGAGGCAACCTGGGAGTCTAACCCTGGGAGAATGACCAGGTAAAACGTGATGAATGGACACCATGAAATGTCAATCAGTAGTTATGAACAATGGATTCATTACTCAAAACACTATGATTGAATTTTAAAATATAGTTTTTAGTGAAAAAAGCATGAAAATAATAGTATATATGAACACAATACATTTATATAAATTAAAATTTCATGTACACAAAGCATGCATATTTTGCAAAAGCACTTATACAAAACATGGTGCACATTAAACACGTTACAAAGGAAGTTTATGGAAATTGGAGCCAGGATTGAAGAAAAAAAGGTGAAAGGGACAAAACAAATCAATGAATTAATTTTTAAGATATATGAGCAGGAGAAAATGGGGGATGAGCATGAATTCTGGAAGGTTGAATAGAAAATATTCATCTTCCTTTTTGGTTTGTCATGTTGGCGCATTCTTGTACATTGTGGGGCACACAAGACTCCAGCGCAGTTATTACATAAACCAAAAACTCGGCAGGAATTTGTCCTTTGGAACATAGGTACTCTCTTTTCATTTGGTCTTTATGTGTGTCTTTTATTCACATATCCAAACTCAGGGATCAGCCACAGAAGTAAGATGAGATGGATGAATTGTTGCTATTGTGGAAGAAAGCCACACTGTATTAAATATCTGTAAATTAGTACAACCACTATGAAAAACAGTATGGTTTCCAAAAATATTTAAAACATAACTACCACATCATTCAGCAATCCCACTACTGAGTATATATACAAAGGAAAATAAGTCAGTATGTCAAAAAAAATCTGTACACCCGTGCTTATTACAGCACTATTCACAATAGCCAAGATATGCAATCAACCTATCCATCAGTGGATAAATGAATAAAGAAAATGTGGTATGTTTATACAATAGAATACTACTCAGCCATAAAAAGTAGGAAATTCTGTCATTTGTGGCAACATGGATGGAACTAGAAGACCTTACGTTAAGTAAATCAGACACATAAACATGAATACTGCATGTTCTCCCTCATTTGTTGGAATTACAAATGTTGATCTCAAAGAAGAAAAGAATAGAATAGTGGTTACCAGTGATTACAAAAGGTAAAGGAAGGCTAGGAAGAAGTTGGCTTACAGATAAAAAAAATACAGCAAGATAGGAGGAATAAGTTCTAGTGACTAACAGCATTATATGGTGACTATAGTTAACAACAATTTTTTGTATAATTTCAAATAAAGGAGAGGATTTTGAGTGTTTCTGGCATGAAGAAATAATACATATTTGAGGTGATGGATATGCTATTACCCCAATTTTATCATTACACATAGTATATATGTATTGAAATATCACACCTTACCCCAAAAATATGAACAATTACAGTGTCCATATTTGGACACAATGCAATATTCTTTTTCTGTTGGAAGTGCATCTTCTTACATGTATGGTTCCTCAGTAATTTTCAAATGCTCCATTAACCAGAGGGCAGTATGTGGCATTTTTCACTTACCAAATATAATTCAGATATCTGAATATCCTCAATCTTTAAGTGTTCTTGTCCAAAAAGCATCTCACATGTTTTATGCCCTCTGAGTTAAGACTATGTCCAGGTAGATGGAGATCAATGGGGTGTTGGGGAATTTTGGAAAGCTGTTAGCTCGAGATTGTAGTACCAAGTGGGAGCCTGCAGGTCAGCTACCCTGAACATCCTTGGGGTTCACTCTATTCTCTCATTAAACCTAAGCCTGTAATCAAGAGGAAGGAGGGCCACTGTCACATCCTGCATAAAAAATGTAGCTACTAATTTTAGTCCACTTCTGCCTGTTGGAACCTTAAGATCAAAGTCCCATAATTGAGAGAAGCAAGATTGTAAATAGATTGTTGTTTTGCTTGCCCAAGGACTGTGAGAACAGTTAAAGAAAGAGAGAGAAAAGTAAGAGAGAATGCTTTCTTTTTTTCTTTTGGAAAAAAGAGGGAGAAAAGAAAGAGAGAATGCTTTCTTTTTTTCCTCTTGGAAAAAAGAGAGGCTGTTTTTGCTCTCTTTGAGAATCCTCACGGACTCATTCAAACTAGAATCCTCAAACTCACACTGACTGTGATGAGTTTTCCGGAATGAAAATTATAATACCAGCACGCGTTCCATATCTTCTTTCTCTTTCCTGCCTCCACCTGCAGCAAGCCCTCGAGTATCTATCAAGCTCCCCTTTCTAACAGATGAACCCGCTGGGCTAACTCTCCTCTTCTGGTTCCAGGATGGAATCAGTCTTGTCTAACTTCATGCCTGGAATGGCAATAGGTTTCCATTATCTATGTCCCCCTTTTGCTCACCTTTGGCTGTTATCTAGTCTGGTGTCTGAATTCCTTTTGTCCACATCTTCTTCCCTAGTGACTGCATAGCTTGTCCAGGTTGTTTCTCCCTCACATCAGTTCTTGCAATCTTCTGACTTTTATGCAGGTTTTTTTGATCGTCTGTGTTTTTTTTTCTAGGACCTATATGCATCTGCCTGTTACAGAATTTTTCTATGCTCTAGTTTTTCACTTGCCAGTGTAGTTTAACCCAATAATTTGTTCAATAGGCACTGAATGCAATTACTCGTGGATTTTCTTCCTCCAACTTCAGCATTTAGAAAAAGATATTATTTCAAACCTAGCTCATTATCATGAGGCTTTTCTGCCTTCTTTCTTAAACATTTAATTCTCCCTCCCATGTCCACTCTGGTTTCTAGGTTAACACAGACAATGCAATTTCCCACAAAGCCTCTGCTGCAACCTCTTCATTTCTTTCTAGGAATTATTCGTGCCATACTGAGTCCCAACTCTGTTAATTCTGATACCTAATCCAGGAAGACATATCCTGGAATAAGTAGTAGATAAACTATGCTTCCGATTTCTCCTTAATCTAGATGATTAAGCGTAGAACTTAATCATTTATAGGAATAAAATCCCCCATTTATTTTCCATAAAATAAGAATACAGATGAAAATGAAGAAGAAAAAATAAAGTAAAATTACAATCAGGTCACCAGCTGTTAGAAGTTAAATTGTGCCCTTCCATTCACCACTGGCAAAAAAAAAAAAAAAAAAAAAAAAAAATACACACACAAATACACACATATGTATATATTTAATGTGTGTATATATAATATATATTTTATATATATATTAAAGATTATATATATTAGAAACCAAATTCCTAGTACCTCAGAATGCAGAGTGTGACCTTATTTGGAAATAGGGTCGTTGCAAAGGTTATTAGTTAAGATAAAGTCATAACTTGAGTAGGATTTTTTTTTTTTTTTTTTTTAGATGAAGTTTGCTCTTGGAAGCATGGAAGGCATGCTCTTGTTGCCCAGGCTGGAGTGGAGTGCAATGGTGCAATCTTGGCTCACTGCAACCTCCACCTCCTAGGTCCAAGTGATTCTCCTGCCTCAGCCTCCCAAGTTGCTGGGATTACAGGCACTCACTGCCACACCCAGCTAAGCGTTTGCATTTTTAGTAGAGACGGGGTTTTGCCATGTTGGCCAGGCTGGTTTCAAACTCCTGACCTCAGGTGGTCCATCCACCTCGGCCTCCCAAAGTGCTGGGATTACAGGTGTGAGCCACCGTGCCTGGCCAGGATAGGTTCTTAATACAATATAACTGATGTCCTTATACAAAGACAACAATGTGAAGACACACAAACACAGAGAGAACTTATGTTAGTTCATTTTCACCCTGCTAATAAAGATACAATCAAGACTGGGTAATTCATAAGGAAAAAGAAGTTTAATGGATTCACAGTTTCACATGGCTGGGGAGGCTTCACAATCATGGTAGAAGGCAAAGGAGGAAAAAGGCACATCTTACATGGTGGCAGGCAAGAGACAGCATGTGCAGGGGAAGTGTCCCTTATAAAACCAGCAGATTTTGTGAGACTTATTCACTGTCACAAGAACAGCATGAGAAAAACTCACCCCCATGATTCAGTTACCTCCCACCTGGTCCCTCCCATAACACAAGGGAATTATTACAATTCAAAGTGAGATTTGGGTAGGGACACAGAGCAAAACCGTATCATTTCACCTGTGGCTCCTCCAACTCCCAAATCTTATGTCCTCACATTTCAAAACAAATTATGCCTTCCTAGCAGTCCCCCAAAGTCTTAACTCATTTCAGCATTAACTCAAAAGTCTACAGTCCAAAGTCTCATCTGAGGCAAGGCAAGTCCCTTCTGCCTATGAGCCTGTAAAATCTAAAGCACGTTTGTTACTTCTTAGATACAATGGAGGTATGGTAATTGGGTAAATATACACATTGCAAATGGAATAAATAGGCCAAAATGCATGGGCTATAGGCCCCTTGCAAGACTGAAATCCAGAGAAGCAGTCAAATCTTGAAGCTTCAAAATGATCTCCTTTGACTCCATGTCTCACATCCAGGTCACACTGATGCAAGAAGTGGGCTCCCACAGCCTTGGGTAGCTCGGGCCCTGTGGCTTTGGAGGTCACAGTCTCCCTCCCACCCAGCTGCTTTCATGGGCTGTCATTGAGTGTCTGTGGCTTTTCCAAGCACACGGTGGAAGCTGTTGGTGGATCTACCATTCTGGGGTCAGAAGGATGATGGCCCTCATCTCACAGCTCCACTAGGCAGTGCCCTAGTGGGGACTCTGTGTGTGTGCTTAGACCCCACATTTCCCTTCCACACTGCCCTAACAGAGGCTCTCCATGAGGGTCCTTTCCCGGCAGCAAACTTCTGCTGGACATCCAAGCATTTCTATACATCCTCTGAAATCTAGGCAGAGGTTTCCAAACCTCAATTCGTGACTTCTGTGCACACACAGGCTCAACATCACATGGAAGCTGCCAAGGCTTGGGGCTTGCACCTTCTGAAGCCATGGGCCAAGTGAACCTTCACTCCTTTTAGCCACAGCTGTAGTGGCTGGGACGCAGGGCACCAAGTCCCTAGGCTGCACACAGCAGGGGGACCCTGGGCCTGGCCTATGAAACTGTTTTTTCTTCCTAGGCCTCCAGGCCTATGATGGGAGTGGCTGCAGTGAAGCTCTCTGACATGCCCTGGAGATATTTTCCTGATTGTCTTGGCAATTAACATTTGACTCCTAGTTACTTATGCAAATTTCTGCAGCCAGCTTGAATTTCTCCTCAGAAAATAAATTTTTCATTTGTCTTGTATCTTCAGGCTGCAAATTTTCCAAAGTTTTATGCTCTGCTTCCCTTTTAAATGTAAGTTCCAACTCCAAACAATATCTTTGTAAATACATAAAACCGAATGCTTTTAACAGCACCCAAGTCACCTCTTGAATGCTTTGTTGCTTAGAAATTTCTTCTCCCAGATACCCTAAATCATCTTTCTCAGGTTCAAAATTCCACAGATCTCTAGGGCAGGGACAACATAACACCAGTCTCTCTGCTAAAACATAGCAAGAGTCACCTTTATTCCAGTTCTCAACAAGTTCCTCATCTCCATCTAAAACCACCTCAACCTGGACTTCATTGTTCATGTCACTATCAGCATTTTGGTCAAAGCCATTCAACAAGTCCCTGGGAAGTTTCAAACTTTCTGACATCTTCCTGTCTTCTTCTGAGCCCTCCAAACTGTTCCAACCTCTGCCTGTTACCCAGTTCCAAAGTTGCTTCCACATTTCTAGGTATCTTCACAGCAGCACCCCGCTACCCAGTAACAATATCTGTATTAGTCAGGGTTCTCTAAAGGGACAGAACTAATAGGATAGAAGAATATATGAAGAGGAGTTTATTAGGGTGATTGACTCACATGATCACAAGGTGAAGTCCCACAATAGGCCACAAGCTGAGGAGCCAGGAAGCCAGTCCAAGCCTCAAAACCTCAAAAGTAGGGAAGCTGATGGTGGAGCCTTCAGTCTGTGGCTGAAGGCCTGAGAGCCCCTGGCAAATCACTGGTGTATGCCCAAGAGTCCAAAAGCTGAAGAACATGGAGTCTGATGTTCGAGGGCAGGAAGCACCCAGCATGGGACAAAGATGGAGGCCAGAAGACTTAGCTAGTCTAGTCCTTCCACATTCTTCTGCCAGCTTTTGTTCTGGCCCTCCTGGCAGCCGATTGGATTATGCCCACCCAAATTGAGGGTGGGTCTGCCTCTCCCAGTCCACTAACTCAAGTGTTAATCTCCTTTGGCAACCCCCTCACAGACACACTCGGGAACAATACCTTGCATTCTTCAGTCCAATTAAGTTGACATTCAATATTAGCCATCACGGAACTCCATGTGAAGATGAGGAAAGGATTGGAGTGATACATATACAAGCCAAGAAATGCCAAGGATTCCTGGTCATTGCCAGAAGCTAGGAAAGAGGCAAGAAATAGATTCTCCTTAAGCACCCTCAGGAGTCAACCCTGCCAACACCTTGATCTTGGACTTCTGACTTTCAGAACTATGAGACAGTAAATATCTATTGTTTAAGTCACCCAGTTTGTGCTACTTTGTTGCAGTAGCCCTAGGAAACGAATACTCCAGCTCTGATTGATTCAAGAAACAAAATATTTAGGGGTACTAATATTGAATTAATAGGTTGCTCAATTATTAAAATGAAGAATAAGACTGTTACCAACATGAAAATTAAGTTCCAATTTGCATAGAAATAAGTGCTGTCCCTTGTAGTCCTGTTCCAACTGAATGTCATGATTTAGGAAGAACAAAACTGTTTCTTCTCTATAAAATATATTTTTCCACATCATAAAACTTACATATTCTATTATTAAGGAATAAACATTCCCAGCAACTTATTTGATTTCATGTAATAGTGAAACACCCAGTAGAGGAAAGAATGCATTTTATCATAGCTACATGATCCACTTTTTAAATTGAATTCATAGTATAACCAGTCTGTTACTAGGAAAAAAAAAGTGAAAACATGCTGATCAATTATCAGATCTCCCTGCTGCTTCAGTCTCTTCAGTGTACTCAAGCATGCGTATGAGAGAGAGAGAGAGAGAGAGAATAAACTCACATTCCTAACTGTAAGATATATATGATAGAATATAATTTGATTTTTTAAAATTGTAGAAATGTGGATGATACAGATTCTCCAATTTATTCTGAACTACTTCTCACAACCTGCTTTTTTACTATGAACTTACAGCAAGATTATAAAAAGATGTCTGTGGATTCTCTAAAGGCTGCAGAATTGTGTGATAATTGCTCATTTCTCTTTCTCTACAGGCTCTCTGAGACTGGGTCCTTAGTCATAGTAGTGCAATAACTACCATTCCTTGAAGACTTACTATGTGCCAGTCACAGTGCTAAGATTTCAATCATTGGTGCATTAAACAGCAAATACAACAGGTTTGATTGGCATAGGCGCCCATTGTTCCAGGTGTTTATGTACTGGAAGCCACTTTAAACTACAGGATTGACACCAGATTAAATTTTTCTGACATCCCAATGTGTTTTCAAAATGGTGAAGAATACCAGACAGTTTATTATTCCAAGGTAGTGTTTGTTTTGCTTTACAGACATATCCTGACTTTTAGTACAACTTTGAGGCTTGGAGTCCTCCTTTTCACCACTGAACTCATTTTGCAACATGCAATTGCCAATAGCTGGCAGTCATATAATTTTGAATTGATATTCAAAATTATTTGTCAGTTTGGTCCAAGAACTGTTAAATATAAGAAAAATGTTTACTCATTTTTCCTTTCTCCAGAAGAATTTGAAGAATTTCTAATACAGTGACTTAAGAGGAAATTAAATAAAGTCCAAATCACATTTTTGTTTTCTATTTTTTAATATTTGGGAATGCTCACTTATGTTATTCTTCAGATTCATTTCTTTACTCTGAAATTGACACAAATTCTAAGAAACAATGTATCTTACACTTCACTTCCTAAATCCAAACAAATATACTGCAATAAAAACATTCACCTCTGTTAATTTGGTCATGAGCAAATTATATCTATTGGAACTACATAAATATTGATGACCAGATTTGGGTATAAGTTTGGCTTAAATTATATGTAGTTATAAAATCTGTTTTAGTAATTTCTTTCTATATGACTTGATTCTTTCTATATGACTTGATGACTGAGTTTAATTGCCTTCCACTGCCTGTTTCATCTGTATTAATATTGTTCTTACAATTGGACTAATGGCTTCACAGGTAAGTTATCAGAAGTACTAATGGAATTCAGACATTTGTAGAATGTTTTCTACTTCAAAAAATGACTGTATATAATTGTATTTAGGTCTCAAAGAACACTGTCTTTACTTGACCAGGGAAAAAAATGAGAAAAGTTGAATTATTGCAATGGTCACAAAATCAACAACTGATAGAATTGGAACAAGATCTATATTCTATGCTCTTTGTAACACCTTCTACTTCTGCTGTATTCTCTGTTACTCACACCCAGGATAACCATAAAATCTAACACATTGCTTTTCATAGCATTTATTTTTAAAAAAGTCTTGGGAGAGAAATAGACCTTAATATCACCCCTTTCTTCTAGCAGGTAAGATGTTCTTTCCTATTTTACAAACAGAGAAGACAGAGGCCCATAGAAATTATGATTTGTCTTAAATTAATGTGTGATGAAATGTAAATTATATTAAAGTTTTCCTTCTTCTGGCTATACTATGCACTATCATTTTAGCCAAAATTTATTTTTGTTTAATGTTTATCAGTGAAAGACTAAAATGCTGTTCATATTTGAGGAAAATAAAATTTCCCCCAAAAAAGACATTTCAAAAGTAAAAATTATACATGGCATTTTATGTTCTTTTCACTGGCAGGCAATCTACAGGAAATTATTTAACCATGAGCCAAACTGAAGTGTCAACTTCCTGTTATCAGGACAACAAAAACATTATGGAAACAAATTCTTGGTTTTGAAATTTTTATGGCATGAGTACTCATGACTATAAACCAAACTTTTAAGATAAGAAGACTAACTTGTTTCTCAACATCAAATAAAATCACCTTATTACATGTATTTATCTTCTCTCAGTTTTTTCTGTGCTTTGTGAAGCCTCCTCGAGCCATGGTCACCTTAAAAATGGATCACAGTTATATAGGGAAAAAATTAAAAGTCAAATTGTCATTTATCTTAAATATTGAATGATAATTGATATCTTGGTTTGTCCCATATGATGAGTTGTATGACTCTTGGAATATAATAGGCTTTCTGAATGACTGTAAATAAATTTGGAACAAAAGTCAGTAAAGAAAAAAGTGGGAGTCATACTTTTTGTCATTATCATATCAAACAAACACAAACGCTTTTAACCATACCTAAAAAAGTTGAGTTTCCCAGATTTAGGGAAACTGCACAATCTGAAAACACAGTCACAAGACTATCCTCACTTCAGGTACCAGCTGTCTTTGAATGTCCCCAGGACCGCCCTTATTTCAGACCAGTTGGTAACAAATTCAGAGGTTACCACAGCCACCTTGGGTTCAAAATTTCACTAGAAAGACTTACAGAACTCACTGAAAATAATTGTACTCACAATTGCATTAATCAGAGGTCTAGGATACAAATTAAGACCAGCCAAAGGAAGAAGCACATAGACCAACTCCACAGCAACCCCATGGGATTGGGGAATGGGCAGCAAGAAAAAAACAATATAAACCTGGACTTAATTCTGCCTACTGGCTAGTGACTAGTAACTAAAGTCTAGTAAAGACTAGTAAACTCTGCCTTCTTCCAGCATCCAGGCAACTGTGGCAAGCTAACTTATGATTGGTTAAAATTTCAAATCCTTCATAGCTCCTGACACTAGTTACTGCCAGTAAAGTGGTAAGCTCATGAACTGATAACTCTAAATATTTTGTACATATATTTGTTTATATGCATATGTATTTTATGCACTTTTATTTTCTCACTTCTAATTCATTTCTTATCAGATTTTCTGCTCACCACCACTCTAATAAAATAACTCTTTCAAAGGTCTCCAATGGCTTCCAAATTGCCAAATCTAGCAATCTATGTTCAGTCTCATCCTGCTTGACCTTGCCAAGTTATTAGTATGTTCTCCATTTCTGTAAGACCAACCCTTACTCTTCTCCTTCTTCTCAGCCTACTCAATATGAAGGCAAAGAGGACAAAGATCTTTGGGATAATCACTTCCAATTAATGAATAGTAAATATATGTAACATACAAAATATGTGGTAATTGCCTATGTTATTGGTAAGGCTTCCAGTCAACAGGAGGCTATTAGTTAAGTTTTAGGGGAGTCGAAAGTTATGTGTGGGTTTTTGACTGTGAGGAGGTGCTGCTAACCTCACCTTACTCAAGGATCAACTGAATTTATCCCAGAATCCCCTTCCGTACGTGGTCTGGATTTGAGTTAGATAAAAGAGAAGCTTTCTTGAGTGAAGAGGGCATTTATTTTGGAAGACTGTGGTGGGAGGCCAGGGTGAGAGGAAGTCCCAGGGTGTTCACTGGGCTCTAGTTTCAGCTCATCTTTCTACTGTTTTCATCAACCAACAGCAGCCCCAAGCCAACCACCAAGCTCTAGCAAGGTGACAGCTTCAACAGACCTCTCTTCAAGCACTGCCTTATTTAAGTCCCAATTCAGCGGCCAAGGATGCACATCTTCTGGAACTTTTCTGCAATCTCTGACCTGGCCATCCAGAACAGGCTGTCACGGTTAGTGACTTTTGCTGAATATCACTTTCCTGTTCCCGATCTTCACATGCCCAGTTCTTTCCACATGATTGTAATCTTTAATTTCCATAAAAAATTTCTTCTACTTATAATATTTCTTGTGCTTTTTTTTAGACTGAATGCTAAGGGATAGATGTGTGAAATTTCAATTATTGTTTTTAGCAAATAAACCAAAACTTCATATTCTATGGCTAAAAGTGTGGTGTTCCTCTTACACGTGATGAAAGGCAGGGACTGACTCAAAATATGTATGCCTTTCAAAACTCTAAAAATAAAGCATGTCATCAGGCTGTGACAGGGATAAACATATAATGAGCACATATAGAATCCCAAGAGTTACCTTCACTGGTCACATATGTAGCCTTCTGCTATCGACTGAATTGTGCCCCACTCTAATTAATGTGTTGAAGCCCAAACCCAGTATGACTGTACAAAGAGACACTGTCTTTAGAAGGCAATGGAAGTTTATTTAGGTCATAAGTGTGGGGTCCTAATCTAATAGGACTGCGGAGATTTATAAGAAGGAAAAGATCTCTCTCTCTCTTTATCTCTCTCTCTCTCTTCCTCTCTCTCTCAAGCAGTATCCTCATGTATAAAATAATTCTTACAGAGGACTAGGTTTCTTTCTGGGAACCCCTTCAACTCTTTTCTGCCCCAATCGCTCATAACATCCCACTTTATACACTTCATAGTCCTCACACTCATCTGAGCCTCCAACCCAATCACCTCCCAGAGTCTATTCTACCTTGTGCAGCTATAACATCCTAATTTTCAACTTCCACTCTTTTTTTACTGATTTAATACTGCGGAATAAATCCTATATGAAAATATGTACTTACCACTGATCTTCCATGTAAAACTCTGAAACCCTAGTAGTTGACAATTTAGAAATTCTGAATACTTGTGCTCAATTTATATCATAAATTCTAGATTATTATTGACATTAAATAAGCAGACAATATCACAGGACACTTCATCATCTGACCTTGCTTGTCTTTCTCTAACTACATTTCTCCCAGCTCCACTTCTCTGGTCAAAAAGAATCATGCTTTCCTTTCTTTCAAACATGCTTTACATACGCTATTTTCACTGTCTGGAATTCACTCCTGCTGCATTTCCCATGTCTTACTTATCCTTGAGGTCTAAAGTTAACTAAAGCATTTTCCAAAGGATTCCTTGACCTTGAAAGATTGAGTCTTGTTCTTCCTTTACTTTCTGACTTACTATGGATAACCTCTCTAAGTAGACTCTCTACTTTTTAACAGCACATTATTTTCTTGTTTACTAGTGCCCTTTCCAATTTATTTGTTTATTATTTATAGCATATTAGAGAAATAGCCTATAAACATTAAGAGAGTAGGGGCCATATATGTCTTATTCACTCTTTTTTGGAATTCAGTTTCTGACACAATGAAGGTACATCTTAAGTTGACTAAATGAATGACAAAATACAGTATGAATGAAGAATTGATTAAATCATTAATAACTATGGTATCAATTTCCCTCCACATTACCTTGAAATCAGCCTTTATTAGTCAATCTTGCACACTGGAAAGCTGGAAGGCAGATGCTGTATCTAGCCAATTATTTTATCACCAATTCCAACAGGAACTCATACTCATAGATACTGTGCTGCTGTTAGAATAGCTGTCCATTATCTCTCAAATCATTTATTTTCTCAACTCTTTGTCTTGCCCTCTTTGTTCTCATTTTTTCTTCCACAATTGACTAGTTTTCATTCATCATGGATTAGTCAACCGCATCTTTCCCATAAAACCTACACTCAAAGTAGAGTGACTTTTCCCTAAATTCCTATTTTTCCCAGCTTTGACACTTGACAATACTCTGTCTTTCAACCTTTTGGGAAGCTATTGTCTTGCATTGTCATCAACTTTTAAACACGTGCATAACTTGTTATCTCAATTAAATTGTAATTTTTAAAGGAAAGGCATATAGCATATGACTACCTCTTTTATATTCTTAACAATGTTGAGAATAGTGCAATAAATGAAATAAACATCTTCACTGAATGAATGAATAAACATATCACTTATGGAATCACATTTTTATATTTAATCTTCCAGGAAAATAATTACTTTATTTGACCTTGCCAAAACTTCTTGAAAACAACATATGTAACTTTAAGCCATATTTTTCAATAAATAACATCTTCATTACTCTGAGTGAATTGTAAGAATTGACTCAATTACCAAGATGACCAAGCCAGCTTCAAGGATGTGACCAATACACTGTGAGAATTTGACTCATTGTATACTGGGCTTTTCACTTGGCTGTTTAACAGGAGAAAACAGGAAAGAAGCACACAGTCAAGTGTGCTTGCAGTGGAGAAATTGGTGTTCAGTGTTCTGGACAGGCTTTAAGTCCTCTGGGTTATATCCAAGCAACACAGCCTCAGAGCTAGATCACAGAATCAAGACACCAGAATTCTACTTCTGTGTCCAACATTTAGTGCAATCAGATGGAATGCAACATTGAAATATGAAATGTAATGTTTTAGTTAAATCAGTGTTCAAGCTGGCAATTTATTATATGCAGCCTGTTCAGAATTGAAAAATTTGCTATTGTCTAGACTGTGCTTCAGACAATCAGCCACAAATCCCAATGTAGAGGTTATTCTGTGGTTGCATAACTTAAATAAATTTCCTACCTCAAAGTCATTGACAAAAAAATACTGGAATAACGAATCCCTAGTAAAGTCAGATCTCGTCAAATAGAAGTTATTTATAGTCATATACTGTGATAGATGGCCATATTCAAAGCATTTGATATTAAAAGTCTAAAATCAATCTTACTATGTATACATAGGAAGTTGTCAAGCTAATTTGACACTATTACACAGCATTTAAGTATGCACCAAGTCTAGAATGTTCAATTAGACAAACTTACAATACCTAAGTAAAGTTATGTTAGTCTAGATAAATCATACTTATTTATTGAAGAATTCTAATTTGAAGAATTCCAGACAGCAAGTTTTATTCTAAAAATAATTTATAATGTTAGCTGCAAATGTCATATATCAATAAGATTGTGTAAAAAGCCCTAAATTTTTCATCCTTAGAAAGCAGTTAATCATTGAGACATGATAACACCACCAAAAAAGATTACCCTATGCAGTTCTTGAAGTACATTTTGCTTCTAATAAATTTAAAAAGATAATTTCCACATAAAGGATATATTCAAATCATGGCAATAATAAAAGCTAAGAAGTGCCATGGAATTAATAAGACCTTGCCCACAAAAGCAAAGAGCCAATTGGCAATAACATTGTCTAATGGAGGGGCAGACCGCTGGAACTCTCCTTGCACCGCCAAGAGAGTTAGAAAGTTATGACCAACAATAATTTGGTCAGGGGAAAAAGCTCAAATTGCATAATCTGTGAAACAAAAAAGAAGTCTGTGTGCCATTAGTTAATTTCCTCAAATTATACAAATAAGCTCTACTGAAGTTTAATGACAGACATATTGAGTGAGATTATCTCAAAACTCTTTTCCAACTTTTAAATTTTATGACTTTGTGACTGTCTAGTATATTTAAATCTGAATATAGATCGGGCAGAAATAAAACAAATAAAATTCTCTCCATAATGCTGGATATATTTATTTGATTTTTTTCAGAAGCTCGAAAAAGGGAAAATTTATCTTCATTGAACTTTCTTTGTGTGTCTTTTCAGCACTGGAACAGTTAGTACAGAGTTTCCTTCCAAGCAGTATTTTTCAATGACTTTTAAAAAATAAAAGGGAGGAATAAATGACTACCTGATAAGAAACAACTTCCTGATGTGCAATGCCATGAGAAAAATTGATTTTCAAGTATTAAATAAATGTCTAAATATATTGATTATTAAAATAAGAACTATGAGTCCTCATTCACAAAAAATAATTTTATCCTGTCCACTTAAGATAAAAAGAATTGCACTTGAACACTCTTTGGTCATTTTTAATGGGATTAGATTCTATAACTGTATTATTGAGAGGAAAATATAATATTAAACTGTCTAAGATTTGTGGCCAGGTGTTACTCATCAAAAATTTATGAGATCACTTGAAGGTATTCATTTCAAAGTTTATATCCTGTTGAACACAGTCATTTATTTATTTATTTATTTATGTATTTATTTATTTATTTATTTTCTAACCAGTTTTTAAGAAAGAGCATGAGATTTGGAAAGAGAAGTTCTTAGTTCACATTCAGGCTTTGACTTTTACAAGTAATGTATCTTGGGCAAATCACTAATTTTGCTGCAGATAACTTTTTGTGTTTGAGAATTGCTAAGATATTTACATTATGCAAAGATATAATTGCTTTGTAATCTATGAAAATATATTAAAAATGTCAATAGGTAATATGGGAAGAATAGCTGGCTGTCCATCAAAATCTCCTTCCCATTTTTACTGTATATGGTTGTGGTTCCTTAAAGGAGCTAGGTTCCATTTCCAAGACCACCTTGCAGCTAGCTGTGGCCTTGTGACTGGTTAATATCAACAGAATAAGTAATTGTGTATGCCACTTTATGATCAAGGTAATAACATCATTCATCCTCCATACTCACTGTCTCTTTCCACAAAATAAATAAAAATGGTTATAGCCCCATGGGATGACAGAAGATGGGAGAAACTTAGGTTTCTGCATTATGGATATGGAAAAAAATCTGCTCATGGATCAGGAATAACCACCTTGGACTGTTACTATGATGGTGAAAATGGTCTCTTGTGTTGACCCATTATATACTTTGCATGTATATTTTATCAAACCTTAGTGTATGCTTCCTAGTAGAGAAACTGATACCTTAAAGTGAAGTGTTTCTATTTAGTAAACCACTAAAATACAGGACATGGGAATAACAGCTGGGCAGTGGGCAGTGTGGTGGTGAATACTGAGTGTCAACTTGATTGGATTGAAGATGCAAAGTATTGATCCTGGGTGTGTCTGTGAAGGTGTTGCCAAAGGAGATTAACATTTGAGTCAGTGTGCTGGGAAAGGCAGACCCACCCTTAATCTGGATGAGCACAATCTAATCAGCTGCCAGTGCAGCTAGAACAAAAAGCAGGCAGAAGAATGTGAAAAGACTAGACTGGCTTAACCTCCCAGCCTACATCTTTCTTCTGTACTGGATGTTTCCTGCCCTTGAACATCAGACTGCAAGAACTTCAGCTTTGGGACTCAGACTGGCTTCCTTGCTCCTCAGCTTGCAGATAGCCTATTGTGGGAGCTTGTGATCATGTGAGTTAATATTCCTTAATAAACTCACTTTTATTTATACACTTATACTATTAGTTCTGTCCCTCTAGAGAACCCTGACTAATACAGATTTTGGTACCAGGAGTGGTTTTAGAGGAATAGAATATTAAGGATGGAGTTCTTTCATTGGTTTGGGGGTTTCTGGAGTTGGCTGCTTAATGTGATTAGACCCAAAAATGCTAAGGACTCTACTTCTTTTTTTTTTTTTTTTTTTTTTTTGAGACAGAGTCTCACTCTGTCGCCCAGGCTGGAGTGCAGTGGTGCGATCTCGGCTCACTGCAAGCTCCGCCTCCCAGGTTCATGCCGTTCTCCTGCGTCAGCCTCCCAAGTAGCTGGGACCACAGGTGCCCACCACCACGCCCAGCTAATTTTTTATATTTTTAGTACAGACGGGGTTTCACCATGTTAGCCAGGATGGTCTCAATCTCCTGACCTCGTGATCCGCCCGCCTCGGCCTCACAAAGGACTCTACTTCTAATAGTATGGAGAACACTGATAGTCCTTGGCATGAACTGTGTAGATGCATTTGACACTCCTGATTCACTGCACATGAGGGGCGAGGAGTTTAGTGACTCATACATAATACCTTTGACCATATGTGGAGAACCAAAGAACATTATGAAGTTGGTTGGTTGCTTCTAAGTTCACTGGACAAAGTGATGTAAGAAAATTATGAACTCAGGAATTCTAACTCCCAGTTACAGATGCAGATACTGAGCCTCAAATCTCCTAAGATTGCCCTGAGTGAGACTTACCTCCTGTAGAGAAAAAGCTAAAGTTGTGGAAAATCAGACACAGGCTCTTATAATGCGAGCAACTGACCTGCAACAAAAGATGTATGCACAGCCTTGCCAGGTGTCTACTGTTAAAGTGAGGGCATTGATTGGAAAAAAATGAGACCCTGCAAGTTGGAATGGGGATGTGTGGGAGGACCCTGATGAAGCTGGGGACACTGAGATTGTAAACTCTGATGAACCTTTTTTGCCAGAAGAAACAGCTTCCCCATCCCCAGTAGTGGCAACATTCCCTCCCCAACCCCAACTGCCATCAGCCTTTCTATCTTTGTCTGAGGAGATAAACCCTGTGCTGCCTGAGGCAACAGCAATGGCCTCCGCTGAGGCAGTTTCCAGGCAAGGTAATGTTGATTCTCCTCAGTACTCACCCTCAACACCCCTGATTGCTTCTAGACCTATAAGTAGACTAAAGTCCCAGCAGGCCCCTAGAGATGAGGTTCAGAGTGTGACCCATGAAGAGGTGTACTACACTCAAAAAGAACTACTTGAGTTTTCTGGTTTATATAAGCAGAAATCTGTAGAACAGGTATGGGAATGGATATTAAGGGTGTGGGATAATAGTGGAAGGAACATAGAGTTGGATCAGGCCGAATTCATTGATTTGGGCCCCCTAAGTGAGGATTCTGCATTTAATATTGCTGCTCGGGGAGATAAAAAAAGTTCTAATAGTTTGTTTGGTTAACTGAAATATGGATTAAAAGATGGCCCACTGTGAGCAAGCTGGAAATGCCTGATTTCCTCCCTTGATTTAATGTAGAAGAAGGGATCCAAAGGCTTAGGGACATTGGGAAGATGGGGTGGATTAGTCACTTCAGACCTACTCATCTCATCTGGGAGAGAGTCCGGAAGATATACCCTTGACCAATATTTTGTGAAATAGATTTGTGAGGGAAGCACCTGCATCTCTGAGGAGCTCTGTAGGGACTGCTCTTCTCTGTATGCCAGATCTAACAGTGAGAACTGCAGTCACTCAACTATGAAATGTAAATGCAATGCGAATAATTGGATCCTGAGGTGGCAGGGGCCAAGTGGCAACACTCAGCCATCAAAAGCAAGGTGGGCATAGCTACCGTAATGGACATCAGAGGCAAAGCAGCAATCAGAATAGTGTGACTTGTGTAGAACGCTGGCATTGTCTAATTAATCACGGTGTTTCTAGAAGTGAAATTGATAGGAAGCCTACTGCATTCCTACTTAATTTATATAATAAGAAAACATCCAGATCTAGTGGACAAAAAACTAATTTGAATTATAAAAACAAAGAATCATAGCTCCTTAATCAGTTTCCAGACTTGAACTCGTTTAAAGACCCAGAACCCCTTGAATGGAGAGCAGGCTGGGTCCCCTTGAGGAAGGACCCCACTACACTACTGACAATTTATGCAGTTATCCTTTCTCCCATCCTTCCCCACAGAGACCTCTGGCCTTTTACCAGGGTAAAGTGCATTGAGGAAAGGAAAATGATCAGACATTTCAGGGACTACTAGATACTGGCTCTGAGCTGACACTGATTCCAGGGAACCCAAAACATCATTGTGGTCCTCCAGTTGAAGTAGGGACTTATAGAGGTCAGGTAATTAATGGAGTTTTAGCCCAGATTCAACTTACAGTGGGTCCAGTGTGTTCCCAGACTCATTGTGTGGTCATTTCCCCAGTGCCAGAATGCATAATTGGCATAGACATACTTAGCAGCTGGCAGAACCCCCACATTGCTTCTCTGACTGGTAGGGTGAAGGCTATTATGGTGGAAAGGCCGAATGGAAGACAATAGAGCTGCCTCTACCTAGAAAAACAGTGAATCAAAAACAATATCGCATCCCTGGAGGGATTGCAGAGATTAGTACCACCATCAAGGAACTGAACAATGCAGGGATGGTAATTCCCACCACATCCCCATTCAACTCTCCTATTTGGCCTGTGCAGAAGATAGATGGATCTTGGAGAATGACAGTGGATTATTGTAAGCTTAACCAAGTAGTGACTCCAATTGCAGCTACTGTACCATATGTGGTTTCATCACTTGAGCAAATTAACCATCTCCTGGTACCTGGTATGTAGCCATTGATTTAGCAAATGCCTTTTTCTCCATTCCCGTACATAAGGCCCACCAGAAGCAATTTGCCTTTAGCTGGTGAAGCCAGCAATATACTTTTATTATCCTACCTCAGGGGTATATCAACTCTCTGGCTTTGTGTCACAATTTTGTTTGGAGAGACGTTGATCAATTCTCCCTGGGGCCCAGAACAGGAAAAGGTTCTGCAACAGGTCCAGGCTGCTGCACAAGCTGCTCTGCCACTTGGGCCATATGACCCAGCAGATCTAATGTTTCTTGAGGTGTCAGTGGCACATAGGGATGCTCTTTGGTCCAGAGATATGTGGATGTACCTCTCTGAGTGGTCAAAAACTGTGAAGATATTTGTATCCCATGTAAGTGCTCACCAACAGGTGACCTCAGCAGATTCCCACAGATTTCCCCTTCCCAAAAGATATGACACTGGTTGATTTTGTTGAGGATATTATGCTGATTGGATCCAGTAAGTGAGAAGTAGCAAACACACTTGACTTATTGGTGAGACATTTGCATGCCAGAGGACGGGAAATAAATCTGACTAAAATTCTGGGATCTTCTGTGTCAGTAAAATTTCTGTGGGTCCAGTGGTGTGGGGCCTATCAAGATATTCTTTCTAAGGTGAAGGATAAGTTGCTGCATTTGACCCCTCCTACAACCAAGAAAGAGGCACAATACCTAGTGCGCCAATTTGGATTTTGGAGGCAATACATTCCTCATTTGAGTGTGTTACTCCAGCCCATTTATTGAGTGACTCAAAAGGCTGCCAGTTTTGAGTGGAGTCCAGAACAGGAAAAGGCTCTGCAACAGGTCCAGGCTGTTGTGCAAGCTGCTCTGCCACTTGGGCCATATGACCCAGCAGATCCAGTGTTGCTTGAGATGTCAGTGGCAGACAGGGATGCTGTTTGGATCCTTTGGCAGGCCCCCATAAGTGAATCACAGTGGAGGCCTCCAGGATTTTGGAGCAAGGCCCTGCCATCTTCTGCTGATAACTACTCTCCTTTTGAGAGACAGCTCTTGGCCTGCTACTGGACTTTGGTGGAAACTGAACGTTTGACTATGGGTCATCAAGTCACCATACCACCTGAACTGCCTATCATGAACTGGGTGTTTTCTGACCTATCCAGCCCTAAAATGTGTCATCCACAGCAGCATTCCATCATAAAATAGAAATGGTATATACATGATTGGGCTTGAGCAGGTCCTGAAGGCACAAGTAAGTTACACGAGGAAGTTGTTCAAATGCCCATGGTCTCCACTCCTGACACTCTGCCTTCTCTCCCCGATCCTGCACTGATGGCCTCATGGGGAGTTCCCTATGATCAGTTGACAGAGGAAGGGAAGACTAGGGCCTGGTTCACAGATGGTTCTGAACAACATGTAGGCACCACCCGAAAGTGGACAGCTGTGGCAATGTAGCCCCTCTCTAGGACATCCCTGAAGGACAGTGGTGAAGGGAAATCTTCCCAGTGGGCAGAACTTCAACCAGTGCACCTGGCTGTGCGCTTTGCATGGAAGGAGAAATGACCAGATGTGCGACTGCATACTGATATATGAGCTGCGGCCAATCGTTTGACTGGATGATGAGGGACTTGGAAGAAGCATGATTGGAAAATTGGTGACAAAGAAATTCGGGGAAGATGTATGTGGATGTACCTCTCTGAGTGGTCAAAAACTGTAAAGATATTTGTATCCTATGTGAGTGCTCACCAATAGGTGACCTCAACAGAGAAGGATTTTAATAATCAATGTTGGATAGGATGACCCATTCTGTGAACACCACTCAGCCTCTCTCCCCAGTCACCTCTGATATCACCCAAAGGGACCATGAACAAAGTGGCCATGGTGGCAGGGGTGGAGGTTACATATGGGCTCAGCAACACGGACTTCCACTCACCAAGGGTGACCTGGCTACAGCCACTGCTGAGTTCCCAATTTGCCAGCAGCAGAGACCAAAACTGAGCCCTCAATATGGCACCATTCCTCGGGGTGATCAGCCAGCTACCTGGTGGCAGATTCATATTGGACCTCTTCCATCATGCAAAGGGCAGAGGTTTGTCCTCACTGGAATAGACACTTACTCCTGATATAGGTTTGCCTATCCTGCACTCAATGCTTCTGCCAAGACTACCATCCGTGAACTCACAGAATGCCTTATCCACCATCATGGTATTCCACACAGCATCGCCACCAAGCAAGGCAATAATCTTATGGCTAAAGAAGTGTAGGCAGTGGGCTCATGCTCATGGAATTCACTGGTCTTACCGTGTTCCCCATCATTCTGACGCAGCTGGATTGATAGAATGGTGAAATGGCCTTTCAAAGTTGCAATTACAATGCCAACTAGGTGCAATACTTTGCAGGGCTGGGGCAAAGTTCTTCACAAGGCTGTGTGTTCTCTGAATCAGTGTCCAATATATAGTATTATGTTTGAGCATGTTTACACTCATACTAAGAAAATATCTTCGTTTTATTTCCTTTTTCATGTACCATAAGATTTATTGACTTCATATCAGAATTTAAGTGTTGTTAACTTTATGTAATAGCATTTGGATTGGGGATTGGTTCATTTCTAGTTTTAAGAAAGATAGCTGTATTATGTTAGGTATAATTATGATAGTTTATTTGAAGATTATGTATGATCTCAGGAGATTTGTATGGGTTCAAGTTGACAAGGGGTGGATGTGTGATGGTTAATACTGAGTGTCAACTTGACTTGATTGAAAGATGCAAAATGCTGGTCCTGGGTGTGTCTGTGAGGGTGTTGCCAAAGGAGATTAACAGTTGAGTCAGTGGGCTGGGAAAGGCAGACCCACCCTTAACTGGGTGGGCACCATCTAATCAGCAGGCAGAAACAGGTGAAAAAGAGAGACTGGCCTAGGCTGCCAGCCTACGTCTTTCTCCCGGGCTGGATACTTTCTGCCCTCGAACATTGGACTCCAAGTTCTTCAGCTTTGGGACTCGGACTGGCTTCCTTCCTCCTCAGCTTGCAGACAGCCTATTATGGAACCTTGTGATTGTGTGTTAATACTCCTTAATAAACTCCTCTTTGTATGTACATCTATCCTGTTAGCTCTGTTCCTCTAGAGAACCCTGACTAGTACAGGCAGTGAGGAATAGCTGATGTAGGCTGGGAAATTGGGGACCTATGCTGTGCAGTATCAAAATATTTGGCTAAACTATTGCCGGAGATAAGTTAGAAGGCCAAAGACAGATAATTGTGGTTCTAGGGAAATTGTTGGAAGGAGCCAAAATATTAGTGTGTGTTGGCTACACAGACTGCATTTAGCAAAATATTTCAGGAAAAAGATTAGCTTATATATGACTGACCAACTGGTAGCAGGGCTGGAAAAAGAGAACTCTTGAAGCCCACATAGCATTTGCTCTCCAGAGATTGTTAAGACTTTCCAGAATAAAAAGAATTTAGCCATGTGATAAAGGTCAGGTTAAAGGCATTGTTTTCTCACACAAGTGTATTGTTTTAAGTGGTTTTTATTTAGTGGCCACTAAATTTGAAGAAATAGCCATGAGGGAAAGACAGCAAAATTACAAGGCAGATGTAAGAACTATGTCTAGGAAAAAATTCAGGGTATGACTCCAGTCATAATAAACTAACTAGAAGCAAATATTCCTGAAAATTTTGAAAGGGCTGTGCCAAGAAAGAATGCATGATTCTAGGCTGTAAAATCCAGAGACCAATGGGCAAGCCTTAACACTTGGACCCCCAAAATTGAATGAATAAGTAGTCAGCTATGAAAGCTGATCAGTTCTCAAAGGGTCAGAGTTTCTGACATCCACTGCAAATAATGATGTCATGAAGGATTGAACAAGGAGAAACAATCTAGAGGTAATACTCAGGGTCATGAAGAACAAAGGGCAAGATAATTTTTCTATAAAAAGACTGCCTAATCCATAATATATTATAGGGATATTTTAATGCCTGTTCAGCAGAATATGACAAAGGAGTAGTGACTACTGTGAGATTTTTAACATATATTCTACCCTTCTACCATCATATTTGGTGTGGAGGAAGGCAGGGGCAAATAGCTTGTCATTTTGATTAGCAGGTCACTGGACAGGTAGAAGTCATATCTGGTCTATGGAAGCAAATGTACAACTCCCACAGATCATGGATTTTGAGCTGATGCAGTTTCTTAATCAAAATCTGGAATTTTCCTCTTAGTGATGGGATAGGTGTGGTTTCCAAGTGGGAAGAAAGGTGCAATTTTCCCACCCAAAGAACTAAGAGTGAATTTGGCAGTCAGAGAAATGGACGGTAGAAGTATCAATGTCTCCACTAACCTTGCTAGTCACTTGTAGCTGGGAAGCAGCTACCCAGTTAAGAAGTGCATTTATTTACTCTGCTTGCGTTCAGATGTGATCTTGTGATTAGTTGTCAACAAAGTTAGGTGAACAGAAAAGATGTGAGCCACTTCCAGGCAAAGGATGTAATTAATTGGTTTGCTTTTGTCCATTCCACTTCCCCTTGTACTCATGGATGCCAATATGATGAAAGGTGGAGCCACAATCCAGAAGACTGGGACTCTGAGTCACCCATGGAAAAGAGTCACCTTGAATTGTGTGGGCTAGAAATAAACTTTCATTGCATTTGAAGCATGTAGATCATTTTGTTTCTATTTGTTACCACAGTTTAGTATAATCTTCCACATTATAGTTATATTAGTAAGAGATAATATTTATTCAGGGAAAAGCACAATGTTAACAAAGTCATTTTAAGTGTTCTTGTAAGAAGAAAAATATGGATATGGAATACACTGCAATATATGATGCATATCTAAGGCATTTTTGCATTTGAAATCTGAGGTGAAAACTCCTTTCATGTAACTTGGCTAGTTTTTGTTATGTAATATTAACAGACTATGCACATATATATGTGTATATATATATATATGCATATAAATATATATATGTGTGTGTATAATTTGTTTAAAAATGAATCTTCTACTAATATAAATGAAGAAAAACATAAAAGTAGATAATCTTATTTATAATGTAATATGTGAATTTCAGCTTTGCATTTTTGATTGAGTTTTATTTGCTCTTTGACAAAAATTGAGCAGCCATCAGATATGTGATGGGGAAAATATACAAACAAAGCTATGACTTATATAACTCGTGCCTTGAAAATCAAGTAAAAGAAGCCACAGTGCAGTTTTAGGACAACAAATGAGTCAGGAATCAAAAGTTCTAAACTCTGGTTTAGCGTCTACTTGCTAACAATGGATTGGTTCTCAGACATCAATTTTTCCCTATTTCCATTTAGAGAGAGAGAAAGCTAAAATGTACATTTCTCAGACTCCCTCACAGCTATGGTTTTGGACATAAGATTCTGCCAAGCACAATTTAGAAATTATAATGAGAAGGAAGTCACCTTCCTATGATTACTGTACTAATGTTTTCAGTGTTCTAACCTCAAGTTCTACTTTGTAGTCACCAACTGCGTACAGTAGCAAAAACATGTTCCTGAAGAGTAGTATGAACTTCTGCTCTTCCAGACATCCCTACAATTTTTGAAGTACCTAATTCCCTGAATTAAGTTTCATTCTATTTGAAGCATCTAAAGCGGCTCTTTTTTCCTGTACTGAACATTGAGTGACTCACTAATAATGAGTGATTAATAAACTCTTTGAGCTCAACTGATCATAGATAAACATTAATAGGTAGTATTTCAACTGAGAAACAGTTGAGGACTATGGCCAAGTTTATAGTTTCCAAAGCACTAAAAAGAAAAAAAAAAAAGAAAATTTATACAAAAATCAGAAAATGAAGAAAGGAAAAACTATAAAATAAAATGGCAGAATGACAAGGGTAAATAATATTAAAATAAACCAGAATGGCCTGATTGTATTCATTTAAATAAAGGAATAAGAAAGTACGTCTTTCTCTCTTTTCCTTTAGAAACCCCACTAAAACAAGAAATGTGTTCAAAGTGGAATTTTAAAATAGTATAAACCTGGAAAAGTGAAAATAACGAGAGGGGTTTATAAATAAATCAGAGATGTCAACAAATATGTGAAAGTCATAAGGTGTAAAGAAGTGAGTAAACAAATGAAGGAAGAAGAAATAATCACATCTTCGAATATCAGTGCTACAGAGCCAGTGCAAGTCTGTCTCCCTAGTGGAATGTCTGAAGCACGGGGCTCACAGTTGGCAAGAAAGGGAGAGAAAAAGACTGAGAAGTGAGGTTAAAACAGATTTTTAGCACGTTCTGCAAATATGTTTAAGTACATTTTGCTTGTTCTCTGTATCTTCCAGAATGTTTAAAGTAGTCCAACATTTTTTAAATTTAATGCCAAACATTGGAGAAAGGAGAGAGAAAATGGTAAATATATGTGAACCACATAGTCCACATCAGGAATTAACAACTATTTTGCACTTTACTAAAGTAAATAATCCAGAATTATAGGAGTTTACATATGAGAACGGACGCACTGAATCTGGACTTAGAGGAAGATTCATTTTTCTGGCAGATTCTGAGTTGTTTACTACATGTAAGTTTTATATCCTTGGGGATGGAGTTGGTGAATGCCTTGGAAGGCAACAACAAATCAAGAGTTGGAAGATACATATTTTTTAAAGAGAGAGCTCCTATAATTTATAATTTTATGAATGGCTCAATCTTCCTTCTTAGCATGTCTAGTTCTGATGGATCTATTTGTTATTCCTGTACATTCCTATCCTGTGCCTCTAGGCCTTTTGGCATCAATAAGCAGGTGTAGCTCCTGCTGCAACAATCAGAGAAGAAATAAGCTTAGGACAAATTACTAACAAATTTTTACTAATACTAACTGGCAATTGTGACATAGGCCTTACCACATATCTCATTAGGGCTCTAACACTTGCAGACAAACCCTTTTACATAGTTAACCAATTTTCACATATAAAATTCATGTCTTTTTCTGTAAACATTGGGAAACTTAGGCACTAGTTTTTAGATGCAATTGAAATACAAAAAGCCAAAGCACTTCAGCAGTGTAAAGAACTCTGAAAATCCATTCCTCCATAAGAGCTAAGAGAACACTAGCTGAATTGTTCAAAATCAACATTTTTATAACTCTGGAAGTTAACCAAAGGCTTGCAATAATTAGTGGATTGAAAAAACACACAAACAAACAAACAAAAAAACGAATCTCAGTAAGAAGAGTGAGGTTTGTGGTATTTCTAATTTCCCCTGTTCCCATCCCTGCTCCTCTGTACCTCGGCAACAGCCTTGAAAACCAGCAGCCTTACAACCATGGTAGCTGTAAGAACCAGCAGTCTAACAGCCACTGAAGGAAGAATGCGTTTGGAGCTCCAAAAACCAGATCTTGAGAGAAATGTTATTTTTTGACCTGTCTGGCACCATTCATAGGGGGCTCATCTTTACATGAAGTAAGTCAGAGCTTACTCACTAGGAAAATCCCTTCCCCAGGTCATTTATCAAAAATTTCACAGAGAATTATATATTACTTCAGCTGCCTGAGGTGTTAATATCATTTGGGGTAAGCAAGAGTCTGGCCAAAAAACTTAACAAGAAAACTTGGAGATGATATGTCCACTGAGCTGTGAAAAGCTCTGTCACGTTCTTGGGAATCTGAAGATCATATACATGTACAGGGCTGTACAATACTCAGAAAAGAACTGAGAAAGTTCTAACCTCTCATTTCTAGTTAATTTTGATACTTTATCCAAGCAGGAAGTAATGGCTGAAGCACAAATGTGAACTCTCAGAGCATTAAAGACATGCCCAACACACAAACAAAGCCCCTCAGGAGAGTTTAGGGGACTAGTTGGCTCAAAAAATCTAAGGAAATGAATCATTAGTTGATCACTCAGTTAAATGAGCAGTGACTTCAGTGATTGCACATGACCAAGAATACAGACTTTAGAGAATTATTTCATGAAAAACCTGAAAGGAACAAATAGCAACAGCAAAAACAAAACTAGGGGAAGGAGGAGATCTGATTACCAAAGCTAACACATGATATAATTTTAAGTATCCAGTTTTTAACAAGTAATTATAAGACATCCAAAGAAACAGGAATGTATTATCGTACATGAGAAAAAAAGCATTCAATAGAAACTGTTCCTGAGGAAGCCCAGATGTTGGATTTATTAGACACATACAGTAGCTATTCGAAATGTGCTCAAAGAACTGAAGAAAATCTTGTGGAAAGAATGAAAATAAAGTTAGAAAAATTCCTCACTCAATATCAATAAAGAGAGAGAAATTATTTTTAAAAAAGAATCAATAGAAATTCTGAAGTTGACAAACAATTTTTATTTTTACTACAGGGGCTTTATAGCACATTTAAGTTATCAAAAGAAGAACAAATAACCTTGTAAACAAGTCCATTGAGATTATCCTGTCTGAGGAACAGAAAAAAATAACAAGATCTCTGGGATTGGAGTTTCAGGAGGAAAGCATAAAGAGAAAGAGATAGAAAAAAATTTTGAAAAAATACAGGCAAAAACTTTCAAACTTTGATTTAAAAAACACTAACTTACACATCCAAGAAGATCAACAACTTCCAAGTAGGATTAACTCAAAAAGATCCAAGTGTAGACACATTATAATCAGAGTGGCAAAAGCTGAAAACAAAGAGGGTGTTGAAAGCAGCAAGAAAAAAGAGTATTATAAGGTACAAAGGAATCTCAATAAAATTAACAGGTGACTTTCAACAGAAATCATGGAGGTTATAAGGCAGTAAAACAACATATTCAAAGTGCTTAAAGCAAAAGAATGTCAACCAAGAATTGAATATCCAGCAAAACTAACCTTCAAAAATTAAAGAGAGATTAAGATATCCCCAGGCCAAAAAAAAAAAAAAAGAAAAAAAGAAAAAAAAGGAAATTTGTAACTAACAGACCTATACTACCATAAATACTGAAGCAACTCCTTCAGAATCAAATGAAAAGAAGTTAGACAGTAATTCAAATCCACATGAACATTTTTCAGGCCTGGAAATAGGCACCTGAAAAGGCTTTACCTGGCAGGCCTCATGGGGAAATCTACTCTCCCCACACCAAACTTGACATACAGACCGTGCATTGAAGTCTCTGGCAAAAGTTGCAGCCAAGAACTCAGGCCTCTCTGGCTGGTCATGCTCTTATGTGCATTTTATTCATAGCCAAAGGACCTCTATTAGGAAGTCTCCTTATTGGGAAGCCTCAGCTGAGAGATTCCTCAAGCACCTCTATATTTTTATAATGGGATCGCAAAGATAATTTTTCCACTCTGACCCAGTACTTAGGACTCTTTGAATTTTAGCCCTTACCCTTCCACTTTCCCTAGCCCCAGGTCATAAAATGACAGAAGTCCTTTATTCAAGGCTCTCTTGGCAGTTACATATTTTCTCCATCTGTATTGCTACATTTGACCCTCACACACTGCCATTCCATGGGGGAAATGAGAACATTGAGGGAGCCAGCATGCCAGCACTCTTTGCTATTTAGCCTCTTATACTATCACAGTAAGTGAAAAACAGCTCAATTATTATTTATAGCTTAGTTTATTGTCTTAATGAATGTCAACACCCAGCAGCTCAGCTTTCTTCAAAAGAATAAAGAGCACTAGCTGGTGCAGTGGCTCATGCCTGTAATCCCAGCACTTTGAGAGGCCGAGGTGGGTGGATCATGAGGTGGGTGGATCACGAGGTCAGGAGCTCAAGACCAGCCTGGCCAATATGGTGAAACCCCGTCTCTAATAAAAATACAAAAATTAGTCAGGCGTGGTGATGTGCACCTGTAGTCTCAGCTGCTCGGGAGGCTGAGGCAGGAGAATCGCTTGAACCTGGGAGGTGGAAGTTGTAGTGAGCTGAGATTGTGCCATTGCACTCCAGCCTGGGTGACAGAATCAGACCCTATCTCAAAAGAAAAAAAAAAAACAAAAAAACAAAAAAAAACGGAGCACTAGTAAAAGTAACTACACAGGTAAATATAACAGATGTAATAAATGTATTTTTTGTTTCTAACACTTTTCTTTCCCTATCTGATTTAAAGGGCAAATACATAAAGCAATAATCATGAATATGTGTTCATTGGCCTTAATGCATAAAGGTGTAATTCATATGAAAACAATAGCAAGAAGAATTGTAAGGGAACAAAGCTATATTACAGTAAAATTTTTGTATACCACTGAAAGTTGGTATGCATTAATTTAAAATAGATTGTTGACATTAATTTAAAATTGACAGTAATTTAAAATACATTGTCTTAGTTAAGATGTAAATTTTAAGCCCAGGGCAACCATTAAGAAAATAATGCAAAAAAATATAACAAAAGTAACAAAAGGAATTAAAATAGTGTAATACAAATATATAGTTAACACAAACAAAGCAGTAATTGAGTAATGGAGGAACAAAAAACATTATATATATGTTATATGTTTAAATATATATTTATATACATATATATATCCCAAGACCAAAAATAAATAAATTAAAGAAGAAATACATCACTAATAGACCTATACTACATGAAATACTGAAGCAAGTCCTTCAGAATCAAATGAAAGGAAACTAGTCAACAACTCAAATCCACATGAACATAAGGAGTCCAGCTCCAGGCCAAAATCATATATGTGATTTTTTAGGCCTAAAAATAGGCACCTGCATATATATATATATATATACACATACATGTATATGCATGATATAAATCCAACTAGGCACCAAATAAATCCAAAATAGGCACCTACCTATATATAGATATATATATATATGTGTGTATATATATATATATGCAGATATAAATCCAACTTTATCTATATTGCATTAAACAAAAGTATACTAAACTCTCAAACAAGTGGCAGAGATTGGCAGAATGAATTAGAAATCTGATCCAACTATATGTTGTCTGTAAGAAATACACTCAAGATTCAAAAATAGGTAGGTGGAAAGTTAAAAAGATGGAAAAATTATATCATAAAAATAGCAATCAAAAGACAACTGAAATGGTGATACTAATATCAAGCAAAATAGACTTTAAGAAAAATATTATTATTAGAAAAAATAGAACTATGTTTTATAATGATAAAAGGGTCAACCATTCAGGAAGACATAACAATTATAAACATATATGCATCTAACAAGAGAGTCCCAAAATACGTGGAGCCAAAACTGACAATACTACAGGGAGACATAGCCATGTCAAAAAGAATAATGGGACACTTCTATAGCCTCGATTGCAATAATGAATAAAAATAAGCTAAGAAGAATTTCAACAAGGAATTAAAGGAGATTTAACAAATCTATAAGCCAACTAGAGCTAACAGATTTTTATGGAACACTCTACACACAGCAGAAGAATCCACATTCTTCTAAAGTACACAGGTAATATTCTCTAAGATAAACTATATATTACTTCATTAAAACCACAAAAAATTAAAAAGTTGAAAATATACAAAGTATGTTCTTCAACATTAAAGAAATTAAATTATAAAGGGATAACAAAAGGAATTTTGGGAATTTACAAATATGTAGAAATTAAACAACATGCTCCTAGCCAATGGGTCAAAGAAGACATGATAAGGAAAATTACAAAATACTTTGAGATAAAATATTTATAGAATTCTATTACGTTTCTGCACATTGTGACAGTACACGGATCAAATTCTTTTTTCTCTGGACTATTTTTCTTACAATTTGTACAGAAAACATCCTTGGAAAGCAGCAAAAATGTTATTTATTGTCATCAGTTACACACCATTATGTGACTGTGACTATAAAAAGTGAGGAGAACAATTTTCTATATTATAAAAATACTAATTGTAAAATGGTTACATCTTTCTAATATGTATTAGTGGTATCATAGATTTTTTGAAATAGAATTTCTGTGGAAAATAATACTATCTAGAAGATGTAGCATTTATTGGATTCTGCTCATTTTTATTCATAAATTAGACTTTTGCTACCTTAAATTGTTCTTAATAGTCTAGGTGCTAATGTATGCTTGTTGTTAGTGTAAATCATTGCAGGCCTCAGCTAATCAAATGTTTTATATGATTTTTTCACTACTTTTGGCTTCAAAGAGAAGAAAAATTTCAGTTTATAAAATCTGCCAAGGAATTAACTGGAACCAAGAACTTGATTAAGTATAAAAGAAGGCAAAAATAGGGGAGAGTGATCAAAACAATAAAGCAATTGCTTCTAAAAGAAAATCTCTGGTACTTTGGATTAACTGAGCAAATTTACCCAGAAATAAGCTCAAGGTAATCACAGACTTTTATATATTCAAGTGTGCATAAATATAACATTTTATATATTCAAGTGTACATAAATACAACATTCATAAATTTTTCCCAGGAAAGAGTATATAATGTGCACCTCCAATTTCATGTCAAATCTTTATCACATTTAATAGTAAATTTTATCTCAAAAATAAATGTTGAAAAAATCAGTCAAGCTACACATTTTTTAAATTAAGAAATAAACTTTCATTTGAATAAAAATAGTTATGACACCATTGGATTAACTAATAAGTAATAATTAAAGCCATATTTCTAGGTCTTTACAGTCTACATTTCTGGGAACTTCTGATATTTTAAAAGTAATTTAAGAGGTCTGATATGGTTTGGCTATGTGTGCCCACCCAAATTTCATCTCAAATTGTAATCTCCAGGGCTGGACCTGGTGAGAGGTGACTGGATTATAAGGGCAGTTTTCTTATGCTGTTCTCATGATAGCAAGTGAGTTCTCGTGAGATGTGATGGTTTTATAAGGGGCTCTTCCCCTTTGCTTGTTTGCTCACTGTCACCTGCCGCCATGTAAGACTTGTCTTTGCTTTTTTCTTGCTTTCTGCCATGATTATATGTTTCCTGAGGCCTCCCCAGCCATGTGGAACTGTGGGTAAATTAAACCTATTTCCTTTATTAACTACCAGTCTCAGGTAGGTCTTTATAGCAGTGTGAGAAGAGACTAATACTATAAATTGGTACTGGTAGAGTGGGGTGCTGCTGTAAAGATACCTGAAAATGTGGAAGCAACTTTGAAACTGGGTTAACAGGCAGAGGTTGGAACAGTCTGAAGAGCTCGGAAGAAGACAAGAATTTGTGGGAAAGTTTGGAACTTCCTAGATACTTGCTGAATGGTTTTAACCAAAATGCTGATAGTGATACATGGACAATGAAGTCTAGGCTGAGGTTGCCTCAGATGGAAATGAGGAACTCCTTGGAAACTGGAGCAAAGGTGACCCTTGCTATGCTTTAGCAAACAGACTGTCAGCAGTTTGCTGCTGCCCTAGAGATCTGTGGAACTTTGAACTTGAGACAGATTATCTGAAATTGGAACTTATATTTAAAGAGAAAGTAAAGCATAAAAGTTTGGCAAATGTGCAACCTGACCATGCAATAGAAAAGCAAAACCTATTTTCTGGGGAGAAATTCAAACTGGTTGCAAAAATTTGCGTAAGTAACCAGGAGCCAAAAGTTGATAGCCAAGACAATGAAAAATATGTCTCCAGGGCATGCCAGAGAACATCACAGCAGCGCCTTCCATCACAGGCCTGGAGGCCTAAGAGGAAAAAATTGTTTCTTGGGGGTAGGCCCAGGGCCCCACTGCCACTCTGAGCAGCCTTGGAACTTGGCTGTCTGTGTCCCAGCCATTGCCACACCAGCTCCAGCCATGACTAAATAGGGGGATCATAGAACTCAGGCCATTGCTTCAGAGGGTGCAAGCCCCAAGCCTCAGAAGCTTCTATGTGGTGTTGGGCCTGCAGGTAAAAAAAACACAAGAATTGAGGTTTGGGAACCTCTGCCTAAATTTGAGGATATATGGAAACGCCTGGATGTCCAGGCAGTTTTCTGCAGGAGTGGAGCCCTCATGGAGAATCTCTGCTAGGACAGTGCATAAGGGAAATGTGGGGTTGGAGACCCCACACAGAGTTCTCACTGCAGCACTGCCTAGTGGAGCTGTGAGAAGAGAGCCACCTCCTTCCAGACCCCAGAATGGTAGATCTACCGACAGCTTGCACTGTGAGCTTGGAAAAGCCACAGACACTCCATGACAGCCCATGAAAGCAGCCGGGTGGGAGGATGACTGTGCCCTGCAAAGCCACAGGGGCAGAGCTATCTCAGACCATGGGAACCCACCTCTTGCATCAGCATGACCTGGATGTGAGACATGAAGTCAAAGCAGATCAATTTAAGCTTTAAGATTTAATTACTGCCTTGCCTGGTTTCAGACTTACATGAGGCCTATAATCCCTTTGTTTTGGCCAATTTCTCCCATTTGGAATAGGAACATTTAGCCAATGCCTGTACCCCATTGTGTCTTGGAAGTAACTAACTTGTTTTTTATTTTACAGGCTCATAGGTGGAAGGGACTTGCCTTGACTCAGATGAGACTTTGGACTGTGGACTTTTGAGTTAATGCTGAAATGGGTTAAGACTTTGGGGGACTGGTGGGGAGGCATGATTGGTTTTGAAATGTGAGGACAGGAGATTTGGGAGGGGCCGGGGTGGAATGATATGGTTTGGCTCTGTGTCCCCACCAAATTCTCATCTCAAGTTATAATCCCCACAATCCCCATGTGTCAAGGGCAGGACCTGGTAGGAGGTGACTAGATCAGGGGAATGATTTCCCCCGTGCTGTTCTCATGATAGTGAGTGGGTTCTCATGAGATCTGATGATGTTATAAGGGGCTCATCCCTCTTCGCTTGTTCACACTTTCTCTCCCCTGCCTCCATGTCAGATGTGCCTTTGCTTCTCTCTTGCTTTCTGCTATGATTGTAAGTTTCCTGAGGCCTCCCTCCCCAGCCATGCAGAACTGTGAGTAAATTAAACCTCTGTTCTTTATAAATTACCCAGTCTCGGATATGTCTTTATAGCAGTATGAGAAGAGACTAATACAAGGTCTGAATATGCCTTCTAAATTTAATAGACATAATCATCATAATTACATGGTTTTAATTTAACATATGCATTTTATTGGCTAAACAGGTGCACAGTTTATGCTGGGCCCCTCCACAAAAACCATTCTTCCATTTTCTTTGGCTACAAAGGTCATTTCCTTTAAATAACCCATCTGACTTCTAAATCCAAGTTACATGTCTTGTGATATAGGCATTCTGTACATCAAAGCACTTACTATGGTATCTTTGGTTTTATGTTTATTCATCATTATACCCCATAAAAATTGGAAACTTCATGAAGGTGCAACCCACATATGTCACTGATCTTACTCTTGAACAAAGAACACAAAAGTAGAAAATGGAGGAATGAAATAAAAATCGCAGAGATGTGCAAAAAGAGGAGTGTTCAATAATTAATCCACACATAGATAAATTCTTTATACTCAATAAATATGATGAATGTAAATATGATATACTCAATAAATATGATGAATGTAATGAATGCATTATACTCCCAGAATGCACCATTTTCTAGGTACTAGATGATACAGCAGTAAATAAAACACAAAATTTCTGCCATCTAGCTGCATACATTTTAGAATCTAGATGGTTGTTACCTGAGATATATCATAATATATTTTTACCAAAAGAAGCAATGTAAAATAATGTTATAATAATATAATATATTATATATATATATATAAAATATAATATAATCATCTAAAAATGTGAGGACACTGGGCACATATGCAGTATGATGAAATAGGAGAAATGCAGGACCAAGCAAATAGACACATGAAATAGGTCATCAGTAGTTTCAGGATGTCTTGTAGATTCATTTATTTGTTCATTATACTCAAATACTAATTTGACAATTTATATAAGCATCCTACTAAAGACTAAGTATTGAGTCCTGAACAAACAGACATGACTCTGTGCTCATAGCATTCTGATTTATTTTTAACTATTGCGTTTTAACCACTGCCTTGGTCTGAATGTTTTTGTTCCCTCTAAAGACGTACGTTGAAACTTAGCCTCCAATGCAACAAAATTGAGAGATGGAGCTTAATAGAAGGTGTTTAGGTCAGAATAGGTCTGCCCTCATGAATTAATTAATGCTGCTATGGAAAGGTCTTGTGAAAGTCCATTCTGCCTCTTTTGCTATTTTGCCATGTGAAGAATAGCATTTGTCTCCCTTTTTTGCCTTTCTTCTTCTGCCATGAAAAGTCACAGCAAGAAGTCTCTCATCAAATGCCTGTCTCTTGATCTTGGACTTTCCAGCCTCCAGAAATGCGAGAAAAAATTTTCTGGTTTTTGTAAATTATCAAGTCACAGGTATTTTGTTGTAACAGTACTAAATGGACTTAGACAACCACATATTACCGTAAGTTACACTGACTTTTTAAAACTAAACTTCTTATTAAAAAAAAATTACAGATTGATATGCAGTTGACAATAATAATAGAAACACCCCATGCACCCTTTGTCCATATTCCTGAGTAACATCTTGCAAAACTGTAGTTCAATATCATAACCATAATATGACATTGACACAATTAAGATACCAAATATTGTCTTTACCACAATGATTTTTCATGGTGCCTCTTGATAACCACACCTACTTCCCTCTGCCATTTGGTAACTCATGAAAATCACTAATCTGTTCTCCGTTGTTATAAATTTTACTATTTCAAAAATATTATGTGTGTACTACACTAGTATGTAGCCATTTTGGATTGATTTTGCATATGTGGAGATTCTCTTATCCATAAAAATTTCCTTTTTTCTTACTGCTTTCAAAATTCTTTGTTTTTGACTTCTTACAATCTGATTGTTATGTGTCTCTGTGGACTTTTTTGGTTCACCTATTTAGGGTCTTCTTATAGCCCTGGATATAGATTATCATTTTCTTCCTCAGATTTGAGAAGTTTTCAGCCACTATTTTGAATACGCTTTCTGATCTTTCTCCTCTCTTTTTCTGAGGACTTTCATAATGCATACATTTAGATGATGTTCTTTAAATCTTTCAAACTTGTTTCACCATATTTCATTGTTTTACTTTTGTTCCTCTCACTAAATAATATCCAATTATCTGTCTTCAGATTTGCTAAGCCTTTATTCTGTTTGAAATAGTCTGTGGTTGAACTGCTCTAGTGACTTTTACCATTCAGTTATTATATTCTTCAACTCCATGATTTCTGTCGGAACTCTTTTATATTTTACATCTCTTTATTGAAATTTTCACTTTATTAATGCATTGTTCTCTCAATCTCAGTGGGCATCTTTATTATTGTTTTTAAATTAATTCTATGTCATACAAATTCTTTTTTATGGGGTGGGGGAAGATCACTTGGGATTTTCTATATAGACCATCATGTAATTTGCAAATAAGGACCATTTTATTTATTCTTTTCCTATCTGCATGCCTATTATTTGCTTTGCTTGTTTTACTGTGTTAGCTAGATTTTCCAGCACTATGTGGGATACTGGTGGTGACAGTGAACATCCTTGTCAGTTTCTAATCTTAGATGTAAAAAAATGTAGTATTTTACCATTAAGTATGATGTTGTATATAAGCTATTTGTAGATATCCTTTAGCAAGTGTAGAGTTTCCCTCTATTGTTATATTTCTGAAAGTTATTATGAGCGGGTGTTGCATTTTATCAAAATGCTTTTGCTGTATTAATGAATATGATCTTGTGATTTTTCTCCTTTTGAGTGTTAACACAGTGGATTACATTGGCTGTCAAATACTGAAGTAGCCTCAAATCACTGGAATAAATCCCATGTGATCATGATGTATATTTTTTCTACATTACTGAATTCTATTTAATAATATTTTAATAAAGTTTATCACATGTCTATATTCGTGACAGACATTGGTCTGTAATTTTCTTTTTTGTTTCTTTCTTAGTTTTTGGTATCAGGGTAATATAAACATCAAAAAAGAATTGGGAACTGTAAACTTATTTTTTCTGGAAGAGATTACATAAAATTGGTGTTAGCTATTCAAAGATTTAGTACAATTATATGGGTAACCATTTGTGCCTGGAGATTTCTTTTTAGTAGTTTTTCAAATTTGACTTAGTTACAATTTAATTTTATTAACAATTATAGGGCTATTCAAATTTATCTACTACATATTGGGTGAGTTGTCACATTTTGTGCTTTTTGAAAAACTGGTCGATTTTTATCAAAGTTAACAAACATGTTTGGGGAGTTCTTGATAGTATTTTCTTATTATCCTTTTGAGCTCGGTAATGGCTGTAGTGGTATCACTCCCAATATTGGCAACTTGTGACCTCTTTTTTAGTCAGTTTTTATGCTTTTAAATTTTACTTATTTTTCAAGGAACTAATTCTTTGCTTATTTTGAATTTTTTATTGCTTTTCTATTTTCAAATTCATTGATTTAAACTATTATCTTTAATATTTTCTTCCTTCTGCTTGCTTTGGATTTATTTTGTTCTTAAATTACTGAGGTCAGAGATTAGATGATTAATTTGGAACTTTCCTTATTTTCTAACGTATACATTTAGTGCTAGAAATTTCCTTTTGGGGTCGGGTGTAGTGGCTTATGCATGTAAACCTAGCATGTTAGGAGACCAAGACGGGAGGATCACTTGAGGCCAGAAATTTGAAACCAGCCTGGACACTATAGTGACACCCTGTCTCTACAAAATATTTTTTCATTAGCTGCACATGGTTGCATGCAGCTCTAGTCCAAGCTTTTTGAGGGGCTGAGGCAGGAGGAGCCCTTGAGACCTGAATGGTGAGGCTGCAGTGAGCCATGATCATGCCACTGCACTCCAGCCTGGGTGAAAGAGTGACATGGTCTAAAAAAAAGGAAAAAAAAAAAACCCTCTTGGAACTAATTTTGCTGTGTCCTGAAAAACTTTATATGTTTATATATTCATTTATAATTCATTGAATGTCTTTTTTATTTTACTTGAAACTTCCTCTTTAACCCAGGGATTATTTAGAAATGCATTATTTCATTTCAAAGTGTTTGGAGATCCTCCTATTAACTTTCTGATACTGGTTTCCAGTTTGATCCCATTGTGATTACAGAACACTCCTTATATGATTTCAATTTGCAAAAACTGTGTCTAGGTCTGCTTTATAGCCCAAATATGGTCTATCTTGGTATACTTTCCATGGGTACTTAGAAGAAATGTTTATTTTGCTCTTTGGGGAGTAAAATGTTCCTTAAATGTTGATTAGATACTTATAGCTGGTGGTGTTGAGTTCTTGTATATCTTTACTGATTTTCTGTCTAAATAGCCTATTGATTATTGATAGAAAGATGCTGAAATCTCCAACAAAGCTATGATCTTTGTCTTTTTCTCCTGTCTTTTTAATTACATCAGCTTTTGTTTCACATATCTTGTACCTCTATTGTTTGACATGTACACATTTAGGATTGGTGTCTTTTTGGTGTATAAACTTTTTATCATTATGTAATGTATTTCTCTGTCTCTGGTAATTTTCTTTGTTCTGAAGTCTCCTTAATTTTACAATAATCTAGCCACTCCTGCTTTTTTAAATTAATATTTGCATGGCATATCTTTTCCATCCTTTTACTTTTAATTTATTTATATTGTATTCGAAGTGAGTTTTTATAGCATATAGCTCAGTCATATATTTTTAATCCACCCTATAAATCTTTGTCTTTTCATGTGTGTATTTATTTACTTTTAATGTCACTGTTAACATGCTGGCATTTAAATCTACCATTTAAGTTTTATTTTGCTCCCTCTCTTTTCTCTTTGTTCTGTTTCCTGTTTTCTTTTTTCCTGCCTTTTTATGAGCAATGTGACAATTATTTTAGAATTTTATTTTGATGCATATACTATAATTTTTACATATCTCTTGTTATAGCATTTTTAGTGGTTGCTCAAGGTATTATAGTACAAAACTTATTATAGTCTACTGATGTTGACATTTTACCAATTAAAGTGAAGCGTTAAAGCTTTCCTCTCATCACATCTTTTTTCCTCTTTCATTTATAAAATAATTGTCTTTAATATTGTTCTAAGCAATTAGAATCACATCAGTGTAATAATTTTTGCCTCAACTGTCAATCATGACTTAGAAAACCCAAGAAAAGAAGAAAATATGAGTAAGTCTTTTACTTATCCATATTTTTGCTGTTTCTTGTTGTTTCTTTCTGATATTCCAAAATTTCTTTTTTTATCATTTCATTTCTGTTTAGTGAATGATAAATTCTGACCCAATTTTGAAGTGAATTCTCACTGAATTATGTCCCCTCAAAATTTATATATAAAATTGGTGATTGAGGTCCTAATCACCAATGTGACCGTATTTGAAGACAGGACCTATTAGGAGGTAATTAAGGTTAAATAAAGTTACAAAGTTAGGGCACTTTTACAATAGGATTAGCGTGCTTTTAAGAAGATAGACTAGAAAGCTGTCTCTCTGTCTCTCCCGCCCTCTCTGTCTCTGTCTCTCTCTCTTTCTGCACACACACACACACACACACACACACACAAAGAGATCATGTGAACACACAACAATATGGCAGCTGCCTACAAGAAGGAAAGAGAAACCTCACCAGAAACCAACCATGCTGGTGTCTTTGTCCGAGACCCCTAGCCTCCAAAACTGTGAGAAAATATGTCTGTTGTTTAAGCCATCCAGACTATGGTATATTAATAGCCTATGCTAACTAACATGGATAATTTCCTTTAGTCATTCTTTTAGAATATATCTGCCGGTGATAAATTCTCTTAGCTTTCCTTCTTCAGAGAATGTCATCATTTAGCTTTGATTCTTAATAGAAATGTAAATGGTATTTAGAATTTTGAGCTGACAGTTTTCTTTCAGCACTTAAAAAAATGCTGACGCACTGATTTCTGATTGAAAAGTTAATATCATTCAAATTGTTTTACTCCTATAGCCAAAATGTCATTTCTCCCCAGTTGCTTCTATCATTTGTATTTGCCTTTAGTTTTTACAAGTTTGAGTATGATATATCTTCATGCAGACTTTTCTGGGTTTATATTGTATGGGTTTTTTCTCAGCTTCTTGAATCTGTAGGTTTATGTATTTTGCCAGATTTGGGAAGTTTTTGGTCATTTTTTTGTGTATTTTTTTTACCCCTCCCTTCTTTGTTCTTTCCTTCTGGAACTCTAATCCTGTTTACTTATCCATCCTTCTATCCTCATTATTCTGCTGTTGAACTAATCCACTGAGTTTTCTATTTTGGTTAGTGTATTTTTTAGCTTTAAAATTTTCATCTCGCTCTTATTTTATCTTCTATTTCTTTACTAAGACTTTTCTCTTTTAATTTATTTCCAGTTTATTTGTAATTACTTTCAGAAGCATTTTTATAATGATTTGTCACATAATTCCAGTATCTACATTGTATTGGTGTTGACATCTCTTGATTTCTTTCTTCATTCAGTTAGAAGTATTCCTGGCCATTTTGTGACATGTGATATTCTGTTAAAACCTGAACCCTTTGGAACTATGAGACTGGATCCTATGTAAACCTACTCAGTTGGTTTCCTCTACAGGGACAGAAGGCAAGTGAGGATAGAATTTCAAGTTCCCTACTTATCCTCTATTAATAGTCAAAGAGGAGAAAAGCTCCTTGTTACTGTTGGGCAAGTGAGGGATTTTCATGCCCCCACTAGACATTTGCTGATATCATATGGGCGTGCTTTTGTTATTGCTCCCCATGTGGCCTCCACTGACACCATAGGGAGGGGAAAATGGGCAATGATGAAAGTACAGACTCTCCTCTAGGCCTTTTCTACCACCACCAGAAAGAGCATTCTTCTTTATTACCAGGTGGGAGTGAAAAGCAAAGCTCCTCAGGTGGTATTCACTGACACAATAGGAGCCACAAGTGTGACTCATTATCCTTAGCAGAGAACAAAGTTACACCTTCCTACTCAGTCTTCTCTGACATCACCCTAGAGAGAGTTTGAGACACCTCTTTATAGCTTAAAAAGAATGAAAATCTATGCTCCTCATTTAGCTTTTGCCAGCTAAGGTGGAAGTGGACTACAGATTTTTTTCTGTGATATTTGGTCAGGGTGGAAGAGTTATTATATAGAAGTTTTCTTTCTTGCTAGTATGTGTCTTTCCTGAAACTTTGACTAGAGCCAGTAGGCTTTTGTTAAGGATTTTTGTTTTTGCATCCTTTGGCATTTCTGGGATTTTCCAGCTTCTGTAGCTCCACGTCGGAAATACGTGAGGCAAAGAGAAAACATAGAAAACCTACCACCATGTCATTCTTTGGTCCTCAAGTTCCTTAGCTAGTTTTCCTACTTCTTTACACTTTTCAGGTCTTCCTAGGTTTGTTTTACATATAATTTTCAAGGTTTTCAGTTGGATTTAGCAGGAATATATCTACTCCATCTTTCTGGAAGCAAAATACCATTAAGAGATACTGATTTTAGAAATGGAAATGACTCATGTGAGAGAACACAAAATGGAATAATTTTACTGAGACAAGAAGGATCAAACCACAGAGAAGATGAAGACTAAATCAGCATGAGCTAAGGTGGTTACAGAGGATAAAGTTACCTGACTGTTATAATCAAGATTCTGGAGCCCAGGGAGGGCAAAACCATGTGATTAGTAGCCCTTCCCAAATTCCATTATCAGTGGGAACAGTCAAATTCCTGGTGGCCACTTCCTTAGTACTGGCTTTTTACCCACAAGATTTAATACTAAGTTGATTGATTCAACTGTGTTTTCTTTGCCTGTTTCATGAGCTGCTCACTTTAATTCTGGATGTTCGACTAGTAAAAAAGATCCATTTCTGTAATTTTGAAAATATGGAAATATGTGAAGTCAAAGTCAATCTCAAACCTTCTTTGTAGAGATGGTAAGTAAAATTAAAGGATTGAAAACCCATTACTGTGCTACAAATCTACTTAAAATTTCTTAATCATTGCTGTTTCTGAGCTCCTCTGAATAATCTCTTAATGTGTGGTACCCTGGCTCATGGCAAGGACATGACTTAAATTACATGCAAAAATATCTTAAAAGTATTTATTCAGGTAATAGATACTCCCTTTGTGATGAGAAACAGATTTAATACAATGATGACTTGTTCCCAAACAATAATCTGAGTATCAGAAATTGAAGCTTAAGTTATTCCTAAGTTTTATTCCTAAAACGGATTTTTTTTGTTTTTCAGAAGAAACTAGAACATATTAATAAACAATTTCACACCCAAAGGAATGTGAAACTTCATTTTCCTGACAAAGAATGTCCACTAATTAAAAATGACTGTGTTGGCAATTTAAAAGTATCTCTTTGCATATTGAACACTTGCTTTGGGTAAGAACTTGGCAAACTAAAAGCATATGGCCATTCTCTTTTTCATGGTTGTACCCAATAAATGTCATCAGAATTTCAAAATGATGAAGAAGGTCTTTAAGTAGAGAAAATGAAATGCCACTTTTGGTTTTCTAAATGACAGAGATTTGAGGGAGGGGCTCTGAGGCACATACGCAGAGACCATTAAGTGATATAGGGACCAGAAATACAGAGCCAAATTCTATACAATAAAGACCAAATATCAAAAATAGTTTACAATACTAAAACAGGTTATGTCTAATGCCAAGAAATGCTTTCAGTAATACTAGTAATTTTTTATGCCTCTAATCATAATTCATAAGACTGAATTAAAGTAGACAACCCTACATTTAATTTGTCCTTTGAGCAATATTATGTGGTTTCAAAACCATAGCTATAAGAAGAAGAAATTCATTTGCTGTTTCCCTTAGTGTATTATTCAAGTTCAGTCCATTACTAACCACTTTCAATTTTTAAATACCAGCATGTCTTCATTGTAGGAGTACTGGACTAAGAGTAACAAGCTGCAAATCTGAGTTCTTAACTACCACTGACATCACAATGCATTACATTTTTTCTGAATCTCACTTTCCTTATTTGTAAATTAAAATAGTAATGGTAGCTGCTCTGAGTGCCTCACAGGGTAGCTCTAAGGAACAAAAGAAAGAAAATCTTTATAAAGTAGAATTCATACCAAAGTGGTAATTAAACCCTTAAACAGCAAAACTCCAAGTGGATGTACCTGGAGACTGAACTAGCACAAAAGAGCAAGAGGAGACATTTGTTAGTGCAAATGAAGGGGAATAATATGTGAAAAGATACCTGTATTACAGGTAAATTTCCTCAGGAAGCATTCAACTTGGAAGATGTTCTTATTAAAACACCCAGGGTCATCTTGGTATGTGCATGTGCATGCATGCACATGCACATACACACTCATGCAAACACAGATACACACACACACTGGTCTGCATTTATTGAATGCTAATTAAATACCAACTGAATGTCGGCTCTGTGTTTGTCACTGTGCTCAGAACTAGTGATAGAGGAGTAAGTAATTGAGAAACAGTCCCTCCTTTCACAGAGCATATGTTCTGGTAAGGAAGATTACAATATCGTTTCCAAGTGTGCAATGACAACATGATATGTTGTAGAAATGAGAACTATGGTGGTATGAATATTTATTATTGAGACATGAACATATTTGTGTCTACATTAACTGATATTTTAAATTTCCATACCCCATTTCCATACTATTATAAAATGTTTAATAGTAATTAACTTGATATTTCAATATTTAAGCTCCAGGATATATCAGGGGAAATTCAGCCAGATATCGGGCAAAATTCACCCGATATTTCACATAGGTTCTTTTCTATTTTCCCTAAGCGTTGGCTGGTTTGAGAAATAAAGGGACTGAGTACAAAAGAGAGAAATTCTAAAGCTGGGCATCCGGGGGGAGACATCACATGTCGGTAGTTTCCATGATGCCCCACAAGCCGCAAAACCAGCAAGTTTTTATTAGGGACTTTCAAAAGGGGAGGGAGTGTACGAATAGGGTGTGGGTCACAGAGATCACGTGCTTCACAAGGTAATAGAATATCACGAGGCAAATGGAGGCAGGGCAAGATCACAGGACCACAGGACCGGGGCAAAATTAAAATTGCTAATGAAGTTTCAGGCACCATTGTCACTGATAACCTCTTATCAGGAGACAGGGTTTGAGAGCAACCAGTCTGACCAAAATTTATTAGGTGGGAATTTCCTGTTTCTAATAAGCCTGGGAGACCTGTGGGAGACTGGGGTTTATTTCATCCCTACAGTTTCGACCATAGAAGACGGCCACACCCAAGGGGGCTATTTCAGAGACCTACCCTCAGGGGTACATTCTCTTTCTCAGGGATGTTCCTTGCTGAGAAAAAGAATTCAGCAACATTTCTCCCATTTGCTTTTGAAAGAAGAGAAATATGGCTCTGTTCTGCCTGGCTCACCGGCAGTCAGAGTTTAAAGTTATCTCTCTTATTCCCTGAACATTGCTGTTATGCTGTTCTTTTTTCAAGGTGCCCAGATTTCATATTGTTCGAACACACATGCTCTACAATTTGTGCAGTTAACGCAATTATCACAGGGTCCTGAGGCAACATACATCCTCTTCAGCTGACAGGATTAAGAGATTAAAGTAAAGACAGGCATAGGAAATCACAAGGGTATTGACTGGGGAAGTGTTAAGTGTCCATGAAATCTTCACAATTTGTGTTTAGAGACTGCAGTAAAGACAGGCATAAGAAATTATAAAAGTATTAATTTGGGGAACTAATAAATGTCCATGAAATCTTCACAATCTATGTTCTTCTGCCATGGCTTCAGCTGGTCCCTCTGTTTTGGATCCCTGACTTCCCGCAACAAGGATATCCAGGAGGAAATGTGTCTCAGCTAGAAAAGGAAACAGCATTACCCAAAGATGGCCAAAAGGACTTGGTGTTCTCTTGTGGTGAGATGGTTAGTTAGTGTCTGTTCAGTTATTAGGCAGAAACATGATTTTGCTGTCTTTATTTGGAAGTCGAAAGGCTTGTATATGAATATCAGGTTGACAAGGGGCAGACTGTGACAGCTTCGTACAACATCAACTTAGTTAAGCCAAAACTAGGTCTTCTGTAATTCTGTTTTCTATGTTTTTCTGCGTTAGGGTGAGCCAAAAGAGAAACCGCACAAGATTGGAATGGTAGATGTGAAACAATGGCTATAATCTCTAAAGGTCATTGTAGGGTACCAGGTTCCCCTGTAGCTCACACACATTGTTACTGAGCCGCTAGGCATGTGGAAGCAGCCAGATCTACAGCTTTTTCAGATCCTGCTAGAGCTTCAGGTTTAATTGTTGCTCCCAGGTACAGAGTAGCTAGCTCTTCCTAACACAGAACACTCATATCATCAAGATTGGAGGAGGTAAGATTCAGACAGTGTTTCCAATTTTTCCTTATGGATTCCAGTTTGTCCTTGCTGTGTCTCCTATTCCATGTCTAACTTTTTTTCTGAACTACCAGCCCTGACTATCTATAGCAACTTCAGACCCACGGCCAGATACAGTGACAACAGCCTTCTGTAGACTTCTTTGCCAGCTCCCACAATTATATATGTTCTGATTCCAATAATGTTCTTTCTTCTGTGGTGATTATGCTTTCTGATTGAACTCTAACTGATACAATATGCTGCAGCAAAATTAGGGGGAAATATCAAAAAGAAAGGCAACATCATGCAGTGAGCCGAGATTGCGCCACTGCACTTGAGCCTGGTGTCAGAGTGAGACTCCATCTCAAAAAAAAAAAAAAAAAAGGCAACATCAGAGCACAAAAACAACGAATTAAATAACATAAGAAAATCTGGAATTATTGACCTAGGATGATTGCTTCTGAAATCAGAAAGCCACCAGTTCAGCTAAATTAGAAGGACGTGGACTTTAGAACGAAGGTCTCCAGGCAAAAGGACTGGAGATTTGAGATTAAGTCCACATAAAGAATGGGTTACATGACAGAAAGAAGAGACAAAATCAAGGATATTATCAAAACCTGAAAGAAAATAAAAGAAATCAATCATGAACTTCAGGTAAAACAAGCATCTGCATAAGCAATTATGGTCCGCATATCAAGTTATTCCTTCAAATTAGAATAGGAAGCCAGTAAACTTCTAGAGGAAAAATAGACTGGATTTTAGGCAATAGAATGAGTAAAAAGATAGACGATACTGGATACATAACAAAGAAAACATATGTTTCCTTTTCTAACAAGAAAAACAAATCAAAATAAAAGCACTTAGAAACTCTACAAAGAACCAAGAAAAGAAAAATGGTAAAAACATGAAGGAAGTTAAAATGGGTCATGATTTTGAGAACTTGGAGGAGAGTAATAAAGGAGAATGGATTTGATCTTCATCCAATGAATGTCAATGGGGTTGTCTCAGTGGTGCTATAGAACAGGAGACGTAATTCCGTCATCCACTGGGCATTGTTGTCAAGGATATTTACATGGCCATACCAACTTAATTGTAATTTATTGTTTTCAACTTTCAGACTCAGACTGCATAATGCCTAGAAGACCAAATAATTAACATAAAACAGAATATTAATGGAATCAACACTGAGAAAATTAACTGAGTCGCAGAAAAAAGAACAAGGACATCATTTGATGTGCTTCACTTGTTACAAACTTGAGAAAAAAAGCATCTCAATAAAATATAGTATGATGCTTTGCTGAGTTAAGTGTGAGCTAGAGTTAGTAAAATCATCCTGTTTAATTATGCTGTACACTATAAAAACAATTTAGCATAGAACATAAAACATTGCTTTTCTGTGTTTCTTGAAAACCTGTTATTTCTCTGAACTTGAGTCAGAGAATCTTATGAAGTGAATGACTGTGTGCCCCCCAAATTCGTGTGTTGAAGCTCTAATCCCTAGTATGGCTGTATTTAGAGATGGAGTCTCTAAAGAAATATTTAGGGTCAAATGTGGTCATAAGGGTGGGTCCCTAATCCAATATGGCTGACTTCCTTATGAGAAGATATGCTAGGGAGCTCTCCATGTACCAAGGAAAAGCCATGTGAGGGCACAGCAAGAAGGGGCCATCTACAAACCAGAAAGAGAGCCTCACCAGAAACTAAATCAGCCAGAACCTTGATGTGGGCCTTCTAGCCTCCAGAACAATGAAAAAATACTTTTTTGTTGTTTAAGCCATCTAGTCTACAGTATTTTGTTATGCCAGCCAAGCTGACTAAGGCAGAGACCAATGGTGGGGTTAAAGAAGAGGTGAAGAGAAGCTAAATGCCTCGTGTTTCTAGTTCAATCATATTAGCTTCATGTTTATTTGTTTTATAATTGTTGTTTATTGTATTTGATATCAGATTTTCCCCGACAAAAGAAAAAAGAGTTCTAAATCATCAACTAGCACCCCTGAAGAAACAGAATGTCAAAAGCATCTAAATACTAAATAATTTATGTTTCCTACTCAAATATTACTGATTTTCCTTCATGCCACCATTTTTATGCATTGTTTGACATTTTATTTTAAAATAAATTTTAAACTCACAGGAAGGTTTTTAAATAGTTACATAAAACTCACACTCATAGCTATATTCAACAACTATCAACATTTTGCCAAAATTTCTCACACATACTCTATTTCTATTCCTCTTCTCCCTTCCCTCTCTCTTTACACATATAAAATAATATAGACACAGAAATCTAAATCTTTGGGATTAAATGCAGATATCGTACTTCCATATCTCCTAAATACTTAAACATGTATTACAGCAAAACAAAGGCATTCTCTCTTTAATCACCTTCACAACATTTTTTGAACTTTCTTTTTTCTTTCTGTACTTCTTGCCCATAACTTATCTTGATTGCATTTGGTTACTTTTTTCATATTCATAAATACATACTAGTATTCTGAATGAGATAAGCTAGGTAGAAAGGGGAAAGACTGTTGTTTCTAGAAGAAACTGTTGAATTCAGTTGCCATGGTGGGATTATGAAAACGGTTTTGATAAAAATTCAAGCAGAAATAAACATGCATGATCTTCTCCATTTAGAATTGTACAAAAAGCCATGTATACTGTCTGCTTTGAGATGAAACAATAGTCTTGTGCATTGTCATGTCAAACACAAATAACTCTTTATTCTATTTTGTTTTTCTTGTTTTGCCTTGTAGTCCTGCATGAAAGATATCCAAAAACTGATCTTCACTGAAAAACAACACTAAAATCAAGCAGAAGATTGCTTTTGGCAAAACATATTGAGCTGGTAAAACACTAATTAGTATATTTGAGTCTAGGCCTCAGGACATTTTCTTCAAATGTTTTCATTTTTATTCATAATTTATAATGTAATTCTCTTTTATTTTGAAATACACACTTGTTTTGGAGGAAAACTCTGGCAATATACCAAGGAAGAAGTTATATCTAAATGATTTAAATAGTGTTTGCTAAGCATCTTTGGTAACTGTTTTTCTCCCTTAGAACTATAAAATCTAACAAACATAATTTATGGAGATGTTTAGTCTTGAACAGAGATGTTATAGTTTTGAACCGGATTAAATTTCAAAAGTACCTTTCTATATCTTGAGACTTTTTGGTAATATAAATCAAAATAAAACATCCATAAAACATAAAATTCTGTTTCTTTCATCTCTTAAGTTTCTGTGCTCTAATAAACTGTTAGGGGTGTTTGTACACCAACTGTACACACATTTACTCATGGATACAATGAGAAGCTGAGAATTTTTGAGTTGCACAATTAGGATGCAAGAAGATTCTTCAAATACTTCGTCATAGTCCAAAGACTGAGGAATGCATACTATCTCAAAGAGAAAAAATAAATAAGGCTCACTTATCTTTCAAATTAGATTGACAGGCTATTAGCATAAGTAAAATTGTGTCATATTAATTATTGATCTGTAGGATGTTAGAGATTGTGCTAGAAAACTTAATGTGAGGACATGATACTCTTACTCACGCCTGGAGAGTTAGCAGTAATGTTAGTGTTATCCTGGCCAACTCTGTCTTTTTTCATCCTAAATCATTTTCCCATCAACCACTGATGAGAAATTCTGCTAATGAAGACATATTCCTTTGTGTAAAACCCACACATGAACGAGATCATGATTTTTATGCAATCAGTATTAGTCACCACAGAATAGTCTTGCAATAAATGTTGTTTAAATGTTTCTGAATATAGAAAAAAGAGACAAAAGTCAGTAAGCAGATGACGAAGTCCTACTTATAGAGACTAAACCTTTTGGGCTTCATGATGGCGTTTCTGCCTTATAGAGTTATTATGTGAAGCTACTCCAACGTAAAGGAATACAAAAATTAACACATCACATAGAACATGGTATGTCCTCAATAAATTGAACTGCCTTTCCCCTCACACATGTCCTTTATATCTCCCACACCAAAGTGGCCAAATGGGACACTGTTCTATATAAATACATATACATATATATATGTACATTTATATATATATATATACACATTTTTATATATATACATATATATAAAAGAGCCTTGTATGGTGGCTCACACCTATAATCCCAGAACTTTGGGAGGCCAAGACTGGAGGGTCCCTTGAGCCCAGGAGTTTGAGACTAGACTGGGCAACATAGGGAGTCCCCATCTTCTCTCTTAAACAATTTAAAAATCAGTCAGGCATGGTGCCGTGCACCTGTGGTTCCAGTGACTCAGAAGGCTGAGGTGGGAGGATCACTTATGCCCACGTTGAGGCTCCAGTGAGCTGTCATAGCACCACTGCACTCCAGCCTGAGCAACAGAGCAAGACCTTGTCTCAAAAGAGAGAAAAAAAATCATCTGTCACTTTTCTATATATGACAGTCCATATACAGTTATCATATATTGACCACTCTAAATCTAGCCTTCAGATAATCTGACTTTGTTTTTAAATATAAATTGTGCATTGGCAAATCTAAATCTACCTTTCAAAGTACATATAGTTTTATTTTTTTAAGACACTATCTGATTATTAACAAATTTGAACAAATTTGTCATGTGGCTGAGGATGAGGGGCTGGGAGAGGGGAGTGGAACTGCCCCTACACCAGATCATTTGATAGTATTTGTGAACAAAGATCAATGTCAAGTAAAAGGACCTTTTTCTCCACCTGGTCTATAAAGGACCCACCAAGGCACCTGAAATTCCCTTGCTCCTGTGGGACACTAGGAGCTGCTGTCCTCTTTCCTACTTCAAAGCCCCCTCCACCTGTTTCCTCTGGGATAGGGGTAGAATTGCCATAATGTTAAGCAGCAAAGGAATTGTCCAAAATAATCCCCTCTTCATGTAAGGTGGCCAAAACAGGCCCAAAACTCATTGACCAGGCTGCAAGGGGGAGGTAGAAACACATGCTCTGTTATCCCTGCTCTGTGTAAATTAGGTAACCTGATGATGAAGTTAAGAGATTGGGAGCTGCCTGCATCACTACCTCTGCCCATTGGAGAGGTTGGAGCTCAAGGGAGCAGCTGCTGACTGAGAAAGAACAAATGCCCCACTGGATTCCCCAGTAATCAGTAATTGGTATGTGAGTATTGATCCCCTCCACTGAAGCTGATTCCTGGTACGTCCAGGGGCTCTCATTCACCCAATGGATGGTCCAGTCCTGAAGGACACTACCTCCTTTCACTCCCAAATTAAGGAAGGATTAGCATTTTTCAGATATCAGAAATTTAACTCTCCTGATAGTCTCTAAGTCTATTGTTCTACTTCCAGACATTATACCTCTAATTGCCTTTTTATAAACACTCACTATTAATTAAAATGGGGGCTGTCTATAGTTGTTCAATCATTGGCCAATTTTTTGGAGTTCTGTTAATCCTAAAGCTTCCAACAATCTCTGCTACAATATAAAAATGTTTAAATATTTTGAAGGTGGCAGTGTCTAATAAATATCTAATAATTGATTTAGTACTTTCAGATAAATTCAATAAAATAATTCTTGCATTATGTCTACTAGAATAATTTTATTATAGTTATAATAATTCTTAAATACTAGCCTTTCGAAGGCATGTGATCTTCACATCATATTTTGTTGCTGTCTCTTCCATAACGGTATGATGTTTTAACATATTTGTGTGATAAATAAAATTTAATTTTTTAGATGAGAAAATCTGGTGTCAACATATATTTCACTGAAACAATGGCTGAAATTTCACCTGAAACAATATATTAAAATGATATCTGTTGAGTGTATCCTTTCTAAATTCAAATATTAAAACCACTATTGCAACTTGTTAAAATGTAAAAGTAACTCAGATTATAGAAAGAATTCACTAAATGATGCTCTAGTAACTTACTAAAGACATTTTTAATGAAGTCAATCAATATTTTCACTTATCTTTATGAGAGTTCCAAAAAGCTAGCATAATGAGCTTTTCACAATATATATTTTGTTTCATTATGCATAATATCACCTTAATGTTTGTGGGAATTTAGTGTTTCAACCATTCCTCTTACTATGTGTTGCTGTTTAGAAATGTTTCTAAATTTTAAGTTAGTTAAAGATCAGTGATTTAAAAGGAGCAATTCTGCCACCTTGTGTTCTGTAAAACCAGGATAGCTGCTTGCTTCCGGGAAATCGCCAGTACTTTCTTATCAAACTTGAAAGCTGTAACTCTGAATCAGAATTCTAGAATGATAATCAGCTGTGCCCGTCCCCCTGTTTATTTTCTTCCAAGTTTGCATGTACTGATCATGGAAGCTGGTTACTTAAGCTGTACCTGTGCCAGAGTTAGGACTCATTCCTCAGGATTTCTACTAAGGTTTGTAAAGCCAAACAACAAAACTTTAATTGCAACCATATGTCACTCTGTTTAAATTTTATTTATATATATATATATATATATATATATATATTTCAAATTTAGGATATATGTGTACATCAGAATTACTGAAATGCTAGTTGATACTCAGCTATACAGGTTATATTATACTGTTTCAAAACAATAATAAGAACAACACAAAATAAGCTTACAATGTTTAAAAACATACAACTTTTAAGAGGTAAGAAAAGTTGCTTGTGGTTTTTTGAAGTCAGATAATTAATAGAAGAAAACTTTCAAACTTTTGGTAAAATACAACTTTTAATCAGAAGATTAGAAATTAAACAGAAAAGGACCTACCGCTAATAAGGAAATAATCATTAACCTATTGATGTGTCTCTTTCTTATAACGGAAAGTGCTAGGAATACACAATACATTGTTTAAAGTTTTGCAATTTATCATTCTTCCCTAGAAAGGCAGAAGATGAAATGCCATCAAAAGCCTCAACTTCTGAGTCTGTCCTTCTCTTGTAACTTGGATTACTGAACTCTTTGTATCATCTGTTCCCTTTGTGGATTTATTTTCAAGAGAAAAATATACGTTAGTCTTCACAGGACTAAACTTTTTAAGTCTACGAAAAGGCTTCATCAGAAATTTATATACTTAGTGGTTGGAGTGAAGAGAGAGACCATCATTTTAATCAGATTCTCAAAGGCATCTATGTCCCCACCTTCCCAAAAGGATAAAAATTACCATAAAAAGTCTCTGATTTGAATTACACAACTCTATTCCCTATGAGTAAATCATAAAATTTAGGTGGCATGTTACTGCCATCTTGTGTCTAGTGAGTATCTCTTTCAGTTTCCATTAAGTGTGCTAGTTGGAGTGATCAATAAAGAAACATTCTAAATTCAACCTGTAGGATTCTGCAGGGACTTACATGAACAAAACATGGAAAAACAATGAACTTCAAGCTATAGGTCCCTTAAAGCATTATTAGAATTATTGTCTAAAAGAGTTTTAATAAATTATAGGGCTGCTCATGATTAAAGATTTCTCCTTAATAGTTTTAGTCTTAAACAACTCATACTTAGAGCAGGAATTAGAATTGGCAGGAATCTCATAAGAAAGGACACCTAGATAATAATTTTTCTGCAACCGAAGGCAAGGAAATATCACTAATTCATTGAGATGTTGCAATTAGTTTTTAAATCTTGGATTCTTAAGGTGAATTTCTCCAAGTTTCTGAGTATTCCACCCAACATGTGCCAAACTTCAAAACTTTCTAAAGTTTAGGCATTTCAACTTGAAAAAAAAATTTTAAAGCACAAACATAAAAGGAAAATGCTGTGATGTATTACACAAAATCAGAATAATTTTTCAGCATTGTGATTTTTAGTTATCTGGCCAAACTGTCTGTGTTGATTTCACATACAATTTAAGAACTAAAATTGCTTTTTGAACACTTATGTATAAAAAGTGATTGTAATTCTAAAATAATCCAGAAATTTAAGAAATGGAGGATTAGTTACAGACATCAGAAAGAAAACACAAAAGTTCCAATGCTAACCAGCCAGTCCAGCATGAACTTTTGAATATTATCAACTTCCCAACTGCATGGGAAGATGATTGGAGAGAGCTGGCAACTGCTTTTGAGTAATAAGTATATTTTGGAGCTCAATGGAAAGAAGAACTATTAATTTTCTTTCTCACTAGTGTGACTACAAAATTCTTAGTTGTAGAGGCATTCGCAGATATTATGAGGGTATTTCTAGCTAACAAATAATTTCTAGTTTAGAGGGAATTCAAAGTAACCCTTTGGTTAAAAGAGGATTTGGAAGCTGGTCTTGAAGCTGATTTTGAATAGCAGGGACACTGATCTGGTGACTTTGTGGGGAGAGCATCACTTAATACTGCTTTTGATAGATTGAAAACTGCTCTTTGAGAGAGGAAGAATTTGATCTCATGATATAGCACTTCAGTAAAAAAAAAAAAAGCAGAAATAAGTAGTATAAAAATAAGCACCAATAAAGTTACCTTTTCAGGAGAAATTTTCTTCATATTATATTTTTATCTGGTTGGGGGGGTTGGGGGTTGGAGACAGATGAGTTTAATTCAAATTCTCCAACTGACAAGCATTACTCATATTATCTGGATCAACTCACGTTGTTTGAGTCTTTGATCATACAGCTGGCTTCCTAAACATGACAGGATTTCCTAAGACTCCTAAGATATACTTCTAACAGGACCCTCAGTTAAAACAAATCATGCACGTTTCCAGGATCTGTTTCTGAGCCACTCAGATTCTTCTATTAACAAGCATATCTGAAGTCAGTGCCCTATACCCATTTTTAGACTCTCTTACCCGAGGGCAGCCTACCTCTCTGAATTGGCAGAACTATTGTTAGCATACTGCATTGTTCTGGGTTTGCCCATCTGATATGCCTATCCCAGAGGAAGAGCTGCAGGAACTGATAGAAGTTTGGAGAGCCATGTTTCCTTCCACTCCATGCTTCTTGACCAATTAAAACAAAGCGCAGAAGCGGAAAAATCAGTAATCACATTACAAAAGAACACAGGCATAAAAATCTTTCATTTTGGACAGTGGAAACTCAATTTTGCTATATCTTCCTCAAAATTTGCTTAGAAATGACCACAGGAAAAAAAAAACAACAACAAAAACACAGAACCAGAAAAGACCTCATAAGGACATGTGAGGGGCTTCCGGCCAGTTTTATGTGCCCCTTGTGTCTCTGGCCACACCTGACTGAGAGCATAGATGTTCTCTTTGGCAATCTTTCCTGCTCTTTCACTCCAGTGGCAGCTGGTCTCCCCACTTCTCTTTGTGTTTACCCGATTCTATAGCTGCAGCATTCCCCCTTCTCTCACTGACATTGGCTGGACTTTGACTTGAAACTTGTTCTGTGCTTGTAGTGACCTCTGATGTTGACCTGTTACTATCTTCCACTAAAATGCTTCCCAATGAGCTTCCAGTCCCTGCTGGCACTTCTTTAGCCCTAAGGGGCGAGGATCCCTTCTTAATACCAGTACCTCCCTAGTATCAGCACCCTGAACACCAACCCATTACAAAAAATGATGAACTTCTCAACGACATTTCTAGCTTCCTCTCTTGAAAACTTTTGGAATGTTTTTCCAAGGGCTTGACCGGGGTACATTGACCAACACCACAAAGTGTTACAACGAGAGTACCCATTCCTCCACTCCCAGTGTTATCCTGTGGCCAGGATCAAGTCTAGGCAGCTCAGTTACTTTCCCACTCAAGATAAGCTCCCTTCTCATCCAAAGCACCTTGGAGAAATTGAAATAACCTTTGACCCCACCCTGGGTGGAGGTGTCTTAAGCCTGCCTTCTAGATAAAAATGCTAGTTCCAGTGTTTTCTGCAACATTTCTCCTAGGGGAGTCATTAATTTTTCATGAAGATCGTAGTGGCTTTTATTCCTAAGCTGAAATCAATAAAGTTAATATGTAAAACAAGCCTGTCCCGTGGGATATTTGTGTCACTTAAAATGCGGAACTACAAGCATGACTGGTAAAATTGGAATTTTTCCTAAATTTTTAAAGTTGAAATAAGGAGTAGTTTCTGTTTAACTATGTTTCATATTCATTCCAAATTAGTGAAATGCACATAAATATTTTCTAAGCACTCTGTATTTTTTTAAAAAATTTCTTTTGTTGTTACTTATTTACCCCAAAATCACATTTTATGACTTCAAATCATCTTCATTCTTTAAAGCTGTCATGGATTTGGCTCTTTCAGATTGATCTCAATATATTTCTGACTGTGGTAACGTCAAAAGCCAATATCGATTTCTTTCAAAAAATACTGAAGAAAACACTCTCTATTCCAATAAAATAATTTTTAAAAATCATTTCTCTCTTAAACTAGTGTATTTTTAAAGAAGAATTTAAATAAAAAGCAAGGCAAGCATTTCTACCCTTGTATATGACTACAATTCAAAAGCTTCGACAAAGTTGAAATTTTCTTATTGTCATTTGTCAGAATATATCTTGCAAAACAGATTTATTAGTATTTACCATCCATACGTTTAATTCTGTGTGAGAGTATGTATGTACTTTGGCAGTGCGGTGGAGTATTTGCATGCTTTAGGAATTTTTGAAAGGAAGCCCCAGGAAGCAGGATAGTTGATTTCCTTGACATAATCAGCTAAATGCCCATCATCAGCCACTTGTCTATAGATAAAGTAAGGAACCTAAGTGTGTTTTGAAGAGCATTAGAAGGGGGGAGGTACCTATCTATATTTCAATCCATATTTTTCACTGTCATATAATCCAACCCCACAAACATATTCAATTGGTTTAATATCCATGGAGATATTTTCATAGTTCTACAACCATCCTTTGTCTTGTTCACATTTGAATTAAGCGTTTTCCTGAGTAAATTTCAAGGATAGAGTTTGAGAAATTTCAGGAACTCCTTTAGAACTGCCAAATAGAAAGTTTCTCATGTAGACAAATCATTTTTTACAATAATACAATACAGTAATAAGAAAGAAAAATCACATAAATTACTAAAATCTATAATATCTATAATAGTAGAAAACTTGATGGTTACGAAGCAACTTTTTTTTTTTTTTTTTTTGAGACGGAGTCTCACTCTATCACCCAGACTGGAGTGTAGTGGCGCAATCTCAACTCACTGCAAACTCCGCCTCCCAGGTTCATGCCATTCTCCTGCCTCAGCCTCCTGAGTAGCTGGGACTGCAGGCGCCTGCCACCACTCTCAGCTAATTTTTTGTATTTTTTTGTAGAGATGGGGTTTTACCATGTTAGCCAGGATGGTTTTGACCTCCTGACCTCGTGATCCACCCGCCTTGGCCTCCCAAAGTGCTGGGATTACAGTCATGAGTCACCGCGCACGGCCAGCGTTTTTGAAATTAATTCAAATTTCTGAAAATCTGACCAAATGAATATTTTTCTTTCTTATATATTATACGTGTTATATACTATATATATTTAAAATGCCAGTTTGAATAATTGGCTTCTTTGCATTAGATAGACATTTAAAATAAAAAAAAGAAATTGATTAAGATAAGTAAATAAACCAGTCTTTCCGATAACGCTACAAATTTATTCTAAGTTTTACTCAGAATAACAAATACTATTTTAAATTTGCCATACCCTTAAGCATATATAATCAATAAGTTTCTTTAAATAATTGTTATTTGTAAGAATATATCTTGCAAAACAGATTTTCAAAGTTGAAATTTCTAAGGCATGCAACTAGAAAATGTTTGAGGAAAACATAAGAAAATTATGCCTTGTTTCTCAAACATTTTCTAGTTGTTGGTTTTAGTGGGAAGTTTCATATCACATATAAAGAACTTCCTTAAAAAATAAAAAATATGCCATAACTTTGGAATCATATAATATACCCCACTTACTAACTTGAGACACATGTTTTAAAATTATATTTAGAGAAAAGAGACTTTCAATGACAATTTGATTGTGAACACAGAATTATAATCGAAACTTGGTAGCACTATGTGGCTTTTTTTCCAGACACAATAGGTAGGGTTTTGATTTGATCACATCTCCAGGAATTCAGTGTGGCTCACACTGAAATTGTTGTGGTTCACACAAGATTGTTGAGCACAATCTTGGATTACACTCATTGAAACCTAGAAGGGGAAATGACCAACAAGAGATTTAACAGAAAGCATACTTTGCCATATGGCTTCTAACTGTTTGCTCTTTGAAGCTCAGTGAGAGAGATCTGAGATACCACAGCAATGTTTTTCCTTTGTCATGAAAGATTTGTCTAGGAAGACAGCAGAAGCCATGAATTTGACATGCTAGTCAAAATACAAGAAGTTTAAGGCAACAGATGAAAAAGCAGAGGGCCTGCAGCTGTTTCAAATGAGTTCCCATGGTGCTGAGCTTCTTTCGAAGAGGGCCCTATCTCAGAATAAAGCCACAAGAGTTCTTCCTACCACTAAACAGCCCTGTAGGTTAAAACCCATGACAGCCATTCTATTGACTTAAATTTTGATAGATCCTTATTTATGCATCGAAGTTTAGTCAGTAATCTTTTGCATAAATGGGATATAATTAGTGATGTATGAAAATTCACTAAATAAGCTTTCCTTCTTTGGCTTATGATCCTCAGAATTAATCAATAATCTTTTGCATTTTTTGTTCTAACTCTGGGAATTTTCATGCTATTCTGAACCTTGGATGTTTAAAATGCATAATAAAATACATGAAGTCCAACCTCTCCTCAATTAAAATCTAATAAGCTTTGAAAACTCTATTTTGAGGTATCACTAGAGATCATATTTTACAAAAGATTGTATTATTCTGTTCTCACCCTGCTATGAAGAAATACCCAAGGCTGGTAATTTATAAAGAAAAGAGGTTTAATTGACTCACATTTCTGCATGGCTGGCAGCGGGGTGGGGGTCCTCAGGAAACTTACAATCATGGCGGAAGGCACCTCTTTACAGGGTTGCAGGAGATAGAATGAGTGCCAGGAGGGGAAATGCTGGATGCTCCTATGATGTGGTTTGACTGTGTCCCCACCAAAATCTCATGTTGAATTTTAGCTCCCATAACCTCCATGTGTCATGGGAGGTACCCAGTGGGAGGTAATTGAATTGTGGGGCCTGGCCTTTCCTGTCCTGTTCTCGAAATAGTGAATAAGTCTCACAAGATCTGATGGTTTTATAAAGAGGAGATTCCCTGCACGTGCTTTCTTGCCTGCCACCATGTAAGACGTACCATTGCTTCTCCTTTGCCTTCCGCTATGATTGTGAGGCCTCCCCAGCCATGCTGAACTGTGAGTCTGTTAAGCCTCTTTCCTTCATAAATTACCCAGTCTCAGGTATGTCTTTATTAGCAGTGTGAGAACAGACTAATACACTTATAAAGCCATCAGATCTCGTGAGAACTCACTATCACAAGAACAACTGGGAGAAACCTCCCCTATGATTCAATTACCTCCACTGGGTTCTTCTCACATGGGGGTGTTATGAGGATTACAATTCAAGTTGAGATTTCGGTGGGGACATAGCCAAACGATATCACCCATAGATCACCTTTTTTTTATTCATGAGTTAATTATTTTGAGAAAAGAATCTTAGTATATTCCTAAAATTTAGAGAAAGACTTTATGTCTAAAAGAATGTCCATTAGAAAATTGTCACTGGGGCCAGGTGTGGTGGGTTATGTCTGTAATCCCAGCACTTTGGGAGCCCAAGGTGGGCGGATCACTTGAGGTCAGGAGTTGGAGACCAGCCCAACCAACATGGTGAAACCCCGTCTCCACTAAAAACACAAGTGTGTTGGCAGTGTGGTGTGTTATAGGTGTGGTGGCAGACACCTGTAATCCCAGCTACTCTGGAGGCTAAGGCAGGAGAATCGCTTGAACCTGGGGCCATAGGTTGCAGTGAGCCGAGATCACGCTACTGTACTCCAGCCTGGGTGACGGAGTGAAACTCCATCTCAAAAAAAAAAAAAAGAAAAGAAAAGAAACTTGACACTGGTTGGTTTGTTTTGTTTTGTTTGGAGCATTGAAACAATTGTCTTCCAACTATTAATCCATCATAGCAAGGTTAAAATGTTAATGCAACTATTATATTTAAAAATTAGCATCCTGATGAAATTATAAACTTGACCACATTGCAATAGCACCAACAATGGATTACTCATCACACATAATGACCCATTTCAAATTTAAATGATATTATTTAGTGCAATTGAATTAGAATGATCAAATTTCTATCTAGAGGACATATGTGATGACTTTATAGTAAATTGCCATAAAGACAGTAGGCAGTGACATGAGAAGAGGTCAAACAATTTAAAGTCCAAAAGATATAGGAACTAAAGATGACTTTGCACCCAAACTTCTTTCTATTTTCTTTTTACCTGCTCTTCATGCAATATATAGGAACAACTTAGGGTTGTAATGCAGTGCCTGGGAGTTCCTTTATATCACATTTAGTTGCTATGAGAGTTCCTGGATGAGAAAATCAGGGACAATCCAAACGGAGTGGACATGGAGCAGAGGCAGAGAACAGCACATCACAGTGAGAAGGGAATAAAGAAGAATAAAGTCAATGCAAATTTGGCACTTTCCAACCATTTGTTTCTCCTTGTGACTTTTAAAAATCTTTTGCTAGGCTATCTTTAAGCTATAATTCGTAGTCTCAACAGAAGGCACAGAGTGAGTAGTATCCAGACCACTACAACTCAAGGAAAGAAGGCCTTTCTTTAATGGATAGCAATTTAAGACTACAAGAGTTCACCGTTTTTACCATCCTTGGAACAATATGTGTGCCCTAGGGAGAGATAATTACTTTTAAGAACTTCAAATCTAGCACCTTTCACCAACTTAATTCTTTGAAAATGTTAGAAAAACATGACTTTTTTTCCTCAAACTTGTTCTGAACTGACTTCAATGTTCCCACCCAGGGAGCAATTCAGGAAAGATTCTTCTTGCCAACCTTTCATGGCTAAATTTCTCAAGCATGACCTAGGTTAGAGTAAAGTTGCTTCAGTCTTGGGATGATTGCCCTTTTTCCATTTATCGGTTTTACATTTTTGTTTCATCTCTGCAGGAAAGCATTTGTGTGGCTGGGGGATGAGGAAGTGTGCTTTTTGTGGGATTGCATGGTCTCCTAAACTATGATTTTGTCACTTTAAGATGAAAATGCTGACAGCTAGGGTGGAGAGTCAAAGAAATAAAATTAACGCCCTTGTCTGGTGTTCAAAGTAATGATTTCATATGAGTGTTACAATGATTGTTCCATACTAGGATAAAGACTCATGCTGATGAATGACTTAATAACCTATGGTAACTATGTGAAGTTGTTTTATTAAAGATGGTGGCCTACTGATCTCTGTCTCTTCTGAAAACAAAATGAGGATAAAGAAGTACAAACTATACCCACAGCAAGAGAGATATAACAGATATTCTGGATTTTCTAATTACAGTAGTTGTTATGAAAGAAATCAATTTCTAAAAAATTGTAAGTGATCTCTAGTAAGAAATCAGTCTCCCTTAGTGAAATAAAAATATACCTGAAAGTGGCTTCCCCCCGCACCCCCACCCCCGGCCCAATGGTAGCTGGCATGCTTCATGGGACCCAAGCCTATGACATTAAAATTGACCTCCATTGCATTAAGGGAAAAAGACTCTTCTTCCACTTGTTTGTGTATATAAGGACCTTGAGTTCCCCACATTTATTTCAGAGTCAAGAAGCAAAAGATTAAGCACTGGACATTAGTTAAATAATGTAATGATTTTCAATAAAATTCACAGGTTACCCCAACAATCATGGGTTAACTGTGTCCTATAAGAGCATAGTAAAATCTACAATCTTTTCATTATATTTGGTAGCAAAGCATACTGCACGGCTATAACTTCTTCTCTGCCCTTGCTCAGCTACTTCCTCTCCTCCAGTTCCCCTTTGCCATCCATGACCAGCCATGCACATGCATGAACAGTCAGAGGAGGAACAGGGATGCTCTTCAGGAACCGTTATGAGAGCCCCTGAGTGTCTGAGAAATGCAATTGCCTCCACTGCACTCCAACTCCTACCAATAGCTCCTTTCCCCATTCTTTTTTGGAGGAAAAGCTAGGTTCCTAACTCCACTTCAATCAGTCACAACTCACTTCATCACATGTGTCCTGGATGAAGTTATAAAATCAGATATCCAATGAAGAGAAATGGTGCAGGTATTAACTTTGGGCTGATTTCCGGTGGTATATTCTCAGATTCTTGCCTCATTTCCTCTACTGTTTTGTCATAGAATGTTAAGGGTTTTCTAGAGACAATAAAGCTGAAAGCAATAGAAAGAAATCTTGGCTGGAAAATGAAAAGAAAATAATCCTTCAATATTAAGATCCTTTAAAAGGAGATGAAGGAATTACATTAAATGGCAATTACAGTGCAGTAAGGAAATGACTCCAAGGCTGGTAAGCTCATCATGATTTTGGGGGAGAATTCATAGTAGAACAGGAAAAGGCAAAGCTTTGGAACCAGAACAGAGCCCCCAATGCATTTGTGCCTGAGGGATGTCACTGGGGCAAAGGCCATTCATGTAGAGGTCTGTGAGAAGGCCATCACTGAGGCCTCTCCTGTCTCCAGTGGCCCTACCTTTCCAGTGTGACCCAATTCTCAAGACATCTAAGAATTATTATCATGGCCTATGAACATCTGACTAGATGTTTAATTTACTCAGTGGCTCCCATGAACCTCACAAGACCTCACAGTTGGGGTGCTAAGAAATGTTGGGAATGGAGGAAAAAAAAGTTATCATTTTTAGTTACTTGATAAAAGTTAATCACAATTCAGTTGGTAAATTCTCAATCATCATTGTTCAAATGTCAGCTAAAGTAAATTTCCAAACCAATCTTGCCCAACAGTTGATCACTCTTTCCATGCTCGACAGCTCTACCTTGTAAAGAGTTATTGGCCGGGTGTGGTGGCTCATGCCTGTAATCCCAGCACTTTGGGAGGCCAAGGCGGGAGAACTGCCTGAGGTCAGGAGTTCAAGACCAGCCTGTTCAACACGGTGAAACTAAATAAAATACAAAAATTAACAGGGTGTGGTGGCATGTGCCTGTAATCCCAGCTTCTCAGGAGGCTGAGGCAGGGGAATTGCTTGAACCAGGGAGGTGGAGGTTGCAGTGAGCCAAGATTGCACCACTCCACTCCAGCCTAGATGGCAGAGCAACACTCTGTCTCAAAAAAAAAAAAAAAAAGAGTTATTTATAGGTTTAATTTATTACTTGAGTCTTCTCTTCCTTTGCTTCCCTTTCCTTTTCCTCCCTTCCTTCCTCCCTCCCTCCCTTCCTTCCTCCCTCCACCCTTCCTCCTTCCTTTCTTTCTCCCTCCCTCCCTCCCTCCTCCTTCTTCCTTCCTTCCTCCCTCCCTTTTTCTTCTCCTTCTCCTTCTCTTCCTCCTCTTCTTCTTCCTCCTCCTCCTCTTCCTCTTCTTCTCCTTCCTTCCTTCCTCTGTCCTTTCTCTCTCTTTCTCTCACTCTTCCTTTTTTTCTTTCTTTGTCTGTCCCCCTGACTTTAGAGAAAAGAAACTGTATCATCTACGGTTGTGTTCTGTCATAAGAATTTGATAAATATTTGTTGGGCTGAATGAAACTGAAGGTTGTAGAAGTCACTCTTAGATTCTTGGAAATATAGTTGCTCAACTGTAAAATAGTCATACTATCTTTTTCTTAGGGTTGCTGGACTAATTTTAATAATTTGCCATATATGTCTGGTAAATTTCATGCCCTCAGCTAAATGGTTGTTGATGTATTACTATTTTCAGGTATGATATTATTTTTAATATTTTCATAATATGTGTATTATTATTATTGAGACAGAATCTTGCTCTGTCACCCAGGCTGGAATGCAGTGGCGTGATCTCGGCTCACTGCAACATCCGCTTCCTGGGTTCAAGAGATTCTGCTGCCTCAGCCTCCCAAGTAGCTGGGACTACAGGCGCATGCTACCACACCTGGCTAACTTTTTGTATTTTTAGTAGAGACAGGGTTTCACTGTGTTAGCCAGGATGGTCTCCATTTCCTGACCTTGTGATCCGCCCGCCTCGGCCTCCCAGAGTGCTGGCATTACAGGCATAAGTCACCGTGCCTGGCCAATATCTGTATTATTATCACTACTACTAATAATAATTGAGCTCCTAGGTGGGCCTGGGGTAAACTTTATCTGCTGAAGGCTTGAAGTGATTGTGTTTGTCCTCCAAATACAGTCTAAATGATTTCAGTAAAGCAGATACCACTTCTTTTTTGCATTTTTTTTCTGTTCCAATTATGTTCTTGGTTATGCTTTGTCTGCCTTTTACTTCTTATAATTTTTTTTCAAGTTTTCTTAAGATGACTTCTCTCATTCTAATGGTTTTAATATTAAATTTCTAAATCTGGTTTTAAAATGAAGCAGGATTACAAAACAGAGAAGAGAACATGTTTGCAGATTAAGCTGGTATTAGATTAATAAATAAAAACTTTTTAACATGGGAATGCCACAATTTTGTGGCAGCTGGGGACAAATGTTTCTAGTGTTTTTTGTGGCAGGGAAATGCAATCAGTTCATATGGAAGATGAATTTAGTTTTTGGATGTTCCTCCTTGTAATTAATAATAAATCCTGGTAAAAATAATGAGAGGAAAACACGAAACAGAAGAAAAGAATCTCCAATCTGTGACTGGAGTGTAACTGTTTGGATAATAATTATTGCCACATTTTTTGTATCATTACGAAAGTAAAATATCAGACCAACATTCACATTGTTTTATAAAAGAAAAACAGGAACATCATTTTGTTCCTGATACTTGGCACTGACATTTCTACATATTATTAGAAGTAGCATTTGTCCCTTTACTGTAATGTTCTGTTTTGAACAGATTGATTTTGACATTCTAACAAATAACCAACATGTAGGCAATTGAATATTTTGATTTTTTCCCAAAGAATTAGTTAAAACTTACATATACCTTTGAAGAGTCATCAACTTTTAGGTAGCATTTAATTAAAGCAATGAGACCAGATGAAATTACTTAGGGAATAAACAGAAATGCATAGACATTTTTGTTTGTTCTTAGTTGCCAATCATTGAAAAAATGATAAATTATCAGGCAAGGTAACTGGTGATCAGTTTCATTATCAAAGAGGAATAAACAACTATAGAAACCAAAGGGAAATTGTCATATGAAAGTAAAAATCCTTTTGGGATTAGATAGAGGGCACTGGTCTAGTAAGATAAAGCAACCACTCAAAATGTTAGAGGTGATTTGAGAGCTTGGTATCCCTTGCTGAAGCCAAATTTACATATACAGTTGATTTTACTATTTATTGAAGTTTACTTTCCCAGGAGAAAAAAGAAAAAAAAATGAATTTTTCATTTTCTGTTCTTCTTAAATTAGGCAAATTCTGAATAGATTTATATTTTACTAGCTCACATTCTACTTAAAATGAACAAGTACAAATATATAACTTTATAACCCTATTTTCTGACTTTCTACTCTAGTGTGGCTTTCTCCTCATGCTGACTGCTTCCAGATTAATAATCTCAGAGCAATTCCAGAAGTGCAGGGGAGTCACATTCTCTATTTAATGTGCAGCAAAATGCCAATAGACTCTATTTGCCTAAATAACCAAAAAGATATCTATAAATATGCATGCATAAAAATCCTATAAAAAATAAAAGTGTTAAAGAAGTAAGTCCAATCAATTGTAAAAGTGTTTGCTGTCGTTGTTTTGAAGAGTTTCTTTCTTAGGTCTTTGGAACTATTTCACTTTGTATGGGAAGACAGCCTGATTTTTCATTAGTAGAAATAGTAGTGGTATAAAAACAGTAGTAATAGAAAAGATAGCGTATGTAAATATACTATTTCCGAGTTTAAGAATTGGTGAAGTAGGTTAAGAAACACAGCCATGAACCTTTCAGGGGTCATGGCACAGAGCAAAGATAAGCATAGAGTAATATGGAGGTGTTGTCTTGACTGAGCCTCTATCTAACTGAATACATGCTATTCAGGTCCTTCAAATCAATTTCTGCATGTTTATTTAATACATATAAGTTGCTGTGGTTGGAGTGGCTTACTGGATCACAATTCTCATCTCATTCCTTCAATTTAATATGGCTGAGCCTAAGAAGGGTCACTTCTTAAACTATGTTTATTTCACTTGGGAAACTAAATTTGTACAATGTTTAGAGAATATAGCTTTTCTCTGCTCCTCTCAGAAACTGAAGGTTTGTTCACTCACATTTTTGACAGTTGATGATCACTCTCTACTGAGAGTTTATCTGGGGCTACCAAGGAGAAAACCTACACATGGCCTCTGTGCTTTCTCACAAAATGGTAGCTGAGTTTCAGAGACAAATGTTCTGAGAAAGAAATAGTGATGGAAATAAAGGGAGAAGGAGAGAGAGAGAGAGAGAGAGAGTAGACAGAAGCCTTAGAAGTCATGCAACGTCACATCCACTGCATTCTGTCCATCAAGCCAGCCGCAAATGCCACCAAAATGCAAGGGCATGAAAAATAGACTTTATGTCTTTATCAGAAGAGGCAGAATTCTGAAAAAGCATGTAGGCAATAGAATCTCTCATAATTGGTTTACTCGACATGCTGTCAGTATAGTTCCATGGAGGAATTTTGTTGTTGCTGTCCTTATTTTCTAAAGAGGTAAAGTTTTATCATGAAGAACAGAACTGATGAATGTGAAGGAAAGAAAGATAAAACAATTAATAAGCGTGTCCATATTTACATGTGTATTCAGGCTAAGTATGCGTTCCTTCAAAAGGCTCCTATTCACCGCTTGAAACTGCATGGGGAAATTGATTCATGGCTAAATATAAATAGCAGCTTCCATTTTAATATACAGTCTTCCTTGGGGTAACAGGAAATTGGCATGACTTCACACATCAAATATTCTTTTTCCTCCCCTTCCTCCCTCTCCTCCCGCATCCCCTTCTGCTGCTTCTTCCTTTTTTCTCTTTTATAAAATAATTTTGCATTATCCTCCAAATAATAGTTATACCTCATCACACTCCGTGCCCACACTGTTTCTTCAGACTTTAGATTAAATCCAAAGACATAATGTAATGGCCAGTGATTGTCAAAGTGCAGAAAAGGTCTATCTAGGGAAGAATTCTCGATAGGAAGAAAATGTGGAACACTCTAATGGAAAGAGAGGAGAGTCAGACCTATTCTCACTCTCTTCCTTTTGGTGTGGACATATGGTAGGTGGACAGAGGGAACGATGCAAAACAAACACCAGCCCAGTGAGGAGGGAACTCAACGCTATTTGGGGAACAGTTGTTGCTTTTTGTGGTATAGTTTAGAGAAATTTCAAGTAGTCATGTTTAGGTTTGGTTAGGAGAGATGACTAGATAGGTTATCTGGAGGGCTTTTCATGATCTTCACAGAATGAGTGGCACAGTAATTGGTGATATAAGATTCTATGTGCCCAGAATAAAGCACAGAAAACATGAGCAAGAAGAGGCCTCCAGGGGAGTCAGAGTTAAAAAGGCACAGTATTTAAAAATGTCACCACCAGTGGCAAATAGTTGAGTCCAAGGACTTCAGTAATGGGTATTGGAATGCTAACCACACAGCAGATAGGGCCAGTCCTGCTTCACTAGTTGTGGGTTCAGGGACCAAACCAGAAAGTCCCTGCTTAGCAGAGACCAGCAAGATTCAGAAGACACCTCGTAGATCAGGGAACACTGCTATGGAGGTTCTCCCTTCCTGCACACATGTGGAGAGGAAGGGTGGAGGAGAAGAAAATCTAAACTCCTAAGCACTTGTACAAAGAAGACTGATACATCCAAAAGTATTATATAAACTGGAAGGGACTGTGATTCTATCAACTTCAGGTTGCAATTTAGGTTTTCCTGACCACTTATAAAGTACTGTTAATGAGGATAATCAGATTGGTTGTAGTAAATTAAGAACAACAATATTTTGCCCATCTGAGTACATGCTCACCTAGCAAATGTGTGAGCCTTCCCCCTTAGAGAATCTTGAAAGCCTTATCATGAAAGAACAAATTTAGCTGACGTAAAAGAACAGAATGTCTTCCCTTAGGAAATGGAGGTCCAAGGTATTCAAATGGCCTGCTTACAAGTAGCAGAATAGAAATCAGCATTCAGGATGCCTGGCATCCAGTTCAGTTTTCCCTGCCACACCATGTCCCACATGCAGTCAGGTCTGCTTGTTCTCTAATGGAAAGTCAACGGAGGAATGAGTTCAGATGGGAAGGGAGAGACCAGATTAAAGGTGTGAAAGCCCAGAACACTAATTGGCAAACGTCAGTTAATTTTTAAATATAATGTCTTCATCATTAAACACTTACTCTTCTCAAACCATGTGAAATCATTAAAGGACGTTACTGAGTCAACAGAAAAAAAGACAAGGTCCATCTTGGATCATTTCACTGTTGGAGACTAAGCAGAAGTGAAAATCTCCTCTAACAAAATTAGCCACTCAAATCATCTAAATGAGCTCAACAATGTTATACTAGATTACCTTTCAGAGTAATTAGACCACCCATGCCTGTCAATTTAAGGAGGCTACTTTCTGGAATGTGTTGAACTTGACATCATTCCCAAACTGGTAGAAAATGGAATAATGAGAATTACAGTTTTGATATCTTTTGTTTAGCCAAGTATGCTTTCTTCCACTAAGTGATCATAGCATTTCTTAATATTATAGATACTTCATTTTCTTTGTTCAACCCATTTTGTAACATGCTATGTTACTTTATTATTTTGAAAATTGTAGAATTGTGTCTATTCTTCTTAGGCATATTGGTCAAGCTGTAATTTTTTTTGGTTTAGCATAATTAGAAGTCTGGTATAAAAAAGTGTTTTAAAAACTATTACCTAAAAAAGAAAGTATGGGGCAGTGTAGCTTATGAGTAGGAAATTTCATTTGTTTGTGTGCACAAGTAAATATTTTCATGGTGAAGTCAGATGCATTTGCATGACCAAAGCTCTATTTGCATGTACAAATATGGGTTTCAAGTACCCAATACAATTAAATTACACAAACACATATGCTAATATAATGTGTTGTAGTTGTCGAGTTTTTTTCTCAGTAAAATATCAAGGATGAATGAGCTCATTAGTTCCACAGTAAGCAATTCTTCTCCCTCAAAGCATCTTATTTTAAAATACTCCACATCCCTTGTAAGTTGGATTCCTAGGTATTTTATTCTCTTTGAAGCAATTGTGAATGGGAATTGACTCATGATTTGGCTCTCTGTTTGTCTGTTGTTGGTGTGTAAGAATGCTTGTGATTTTTGTACATTGATTTTGTATCCTGAGACTTTGCTAAAGTTGCTTATCAGCTTAAGGAGATTTTGGTGGCACATATACACCATGGAATACTATGCAGCCATAAAAAATGATGAGTTCATGTCCTTTGTAGGGACATGGATGAAATCGGAAATCATCATTCTCAGTAAACTATCGCAAGACCGCATACTCTCACTCATAGGTGGGAACTGAACAATGAGAACACATGGACACAGGAAGGGGAACATCACACTCTGGGGACTGTTGTGGGTTGGGGGGAGGGGGTAGGGATAGCATCGGGAGATATACCTAATGCTAGACGACGAGTTAGTGGGTGCAGCGCACCAGCATGGCACATGTATACATATGTAACTAACCTGCACGTTGTGCACATGTACCCTAAAACTTAAAGTATAATAATAATAAATGAAAAAATAAAAAAAAATAAAATAAAATACTCATCCCTCTACCCTTGCAACTTATAGAAGTAAAAAACAATTTTTTAACTTGAAGAAATACTTTTAAAAGGCAAATATCCCACAAAATATTTACTTTAATTACAACACAAGCATAACACAGTTTTTAAGAAAGATTTTCAATTCCTCTAAGAAAGTTATATAGAAACCTATTAAACAGCTACAATTTTAGGTGCCAAACTCACCATGCTATTCCTAGAGAGAAGTAATAATTTTTTTGAAAGGTGGAGAAATTCTCGCAAGGCCATGGGAATCAATTTTAGGTGGACCCCCGCCAGGCCTGTGACTCTATCAACCCTTAAGATCCGCTACTTTGCTGGAAAACTCTTCCTATTTTCTCAAATGTGGCATTACAGGCAGTAACCATTATTGAATACTCAGAAAGGAAAGTAAATCTTCAAGTGGGAATATTTTTAAAATATGCCTAAAATGTGAATTTTAGAAAAATAACTTTCCTCTCTTACAACTTTTCCTCATTAGTAGTATCTTTCCAAAGTTACCTTGTAAGTTAAATTAAGGTTTAAAAGTGCTTTTATAGTAACTTGATCATGTTTTAAGAGGTTCAAAAACAATTATTTTATTAAGGCCTTGGAAATAGTTTAATAAATTCATGCCTAAAATTTTTTTAAATTTTTCTTTATTTTTTTCCTAATAACATTTTCTGGGCTAAAGGACTTCTCTCAAGTTCACATTCAATGATGTATATTGTTTGAATAAGTATATTCAGAAGTCTTCCAAAACAAGCAATTGTGAAAATTTAGTAAGGCTTACTTGGGCCCAAAGTATGATTTTCTTCAGAGTAGTTTCTTATTCTTTTAGACTGTAAGCAATGGACATTATATGTATTTGCATTTATACTATATAAAAATGTATTTATACTATATATATAAAATATTCACTATAACATACATAAACACAAATATAATGAACATTTTATTTATATGTAGTATAAATTCACTATCACTATATGTATTATACATACAGTAGTATAAATTCATTGATATCATTCTCTATGAAATACTAAAAATTCTATTCAGCACATCAGGCTCATTCACCAAAAAAATGATTTTGTCATCATGAATTTCATAGCATTCACTCTGTACTAGGAGAGAGAGAGGGGTTGGAAGTCATGGGACTTCCTTTTAGGACACTGAAACCTAGTTGTGAAGAAACATGCACAAAATGATCTATTACTTCCAAAATGTTATATCAAGATCTTAAATTGTACATCCCAACAAATGTAAATAAGTGATCCGATGTGAACGGCACTTGAAAGGGTTGATGTGGAGTTCACTGTCATTGTCAGAGTAGCACAGACTGGCAGAAGAAGACTTCAGGTGTTTAGATAGAAGGAATGATCTCAGCAAAGGAAGAGAGGAGATTAGAACTCCTCAGCAGAAGCCAAAAAGCAGTCAGAAGTTGCTATAAGCTCCCACTTATAAGGCAGAACATGTGGTATTTCGTTTGCTGTTCCTGTGTTAGTTTGCTAAGGACAATGGCCTCTAGCTCCATCCATGTCCCTGCAAAGGACATGATTTTACACAAGAACACATAGAGGGGAAGAACACACACTGGGGCCTTTCTGAGGGTGAAGAGTGGGAGGAGGGAGAGGATCAGGACAAACAACTAATGGGTGCTAGGCTTAATACCTGGGCAATGAAATAATCGGTACAACAAATGCCCATGACCAGCTTTACCTATGTAACAAAGCTACGCTGGTACCCCTGAACTTAAAATAAAAGTAAAAAAAAAAAAAAGAACTTGCCATAAGCGTGTTAAAAGAGGAATAGAAATTGAGAATATGTAATACAAAAGAAAAATAGAGTCATGCCTACTGACCACATTCTGGGAGCCATCACACAAGCCAGCTCTGTTGGATTGATTAATTTTATGTAGCCACAGTGTGGCTAGAACCTTATCATGCATCTTATTATTCTTTTCACATAACCTCACGCATATCTCACCATTGAGGACAACGGTGAGAACCAGTCTTGTCTTCATTCTAGAATTAGAGTAATAGGGACAACAAAAACAACAACAAAGTCATGGAACATCTAACTGTCCTTCTATCTAAATGTCAACAAACAACTCTGATGTGTCATCCCCACCCCGCTTTACAGTGAATGTTGTCCCAATTATAGTTATGATCTTTGTATTCTGGAAAATGCCAAAGGCTGATGCGCATAAAAGAAGAGGTCCATTCCAAAGAAGGCCAGGGAAAAAGGTATCGAGAGATGAGGAGAGCCTGGAAGATAAACCTTTTGGCCCAAATATAGCTTCCCATTCAAAGAAAGAATTCTACAGCGGTCAACGCTTCCATCTCCAAGACCTATTATGAGCACATTTAACTTCTGGCCAGATTCCCAGCATTTCTGCTGTTCTTTGACTTTTCTACTGGTCCACAATGATGGAAATTCACACACAAAAGGATATGTAGAGTAAGAGTGCACAAATATGGGCATCTTCTATTCACCCATTGAAAGACAGGGTCCATTTCTGAAGGCATGCTTGCTATTTCCACCAAATAAAAGGAGTAGGAAACATAAAAGGTCTATTAGATCATCTTGTCAACTCTTTTTCTTAGTTTCGTCAACAGTCCAGGATGCTGTCAAATGAAACTCCTCACTTTAGGGCATCTCCAAGGATAAAGGCAAGGCACGCCTCTGGAATTTACATAGATTCCCAGTCTGCCAACCAGCTACAACAAGGTTCTATGATTCATGATTAGAAATGATGAAAGAAAGTAACACTGTTTATCATCACATACCACCTCCCTGTGTTTCTTTCTCCCAGAATTAATAAATGCAATGACACTGAATTCACAAAAATATTGTATTTTTAAGCTTTCATATGCAATGATTCCTTTCATTGCTATTAATAAACAAGAGGACTCCTCCAGCTGAACTCTTTCACTGTGTGTGTGTGTGTGTGTGTGTGTGTGTGTGTGTGTGTGTGTTATATCTGACAAGTTTGCTGTACTGTGCTAATGAGCCCTAACGGTTTTAACATAAGTCCTGCAGGGCTGGACTACTTGAGGCTTATTCCATCATTGAAAAAAAATGCTCAAGCTTATGGCCATACTAGACGTTCAGATAGCTTGAAGTGAAATACAGTCTGTCAATCTGTTCAGTGTCATACCTATAATCAGAATGCTGGGAATGTGCACAAGTCCTTGTGCTTTTTCTTATGAATTGGAAGACTTTTCTTTCTTAAATAAAAGGAAACAGATCATGCAGCATGTTGAGTAGAAACAGGCTGGTGCATAACAGGAGAAGAAAATCCAATGGAATAGCCACACACAGATTGCCTTTACTTCTAGGTTGGCAGGCAATGTAAGATTTGGAATTAACACCAGAAAGGAATTTCTCCCATCTCTTTCCATGGAGCTGGCTCACTGATGTTCAAGCCATGTTAATAGTCTCAGACTGCTGGCTCTGGAAAATGCTAAAGGTATCAAAAGGCACTCAGAGATTTACCAGTGAATCCAAAATATAAAAGCATTTATCCAAGTGCACCCAGTTTCCCAGTCTTCATTAATAATCAGGTAATTGAAAGTGTTCTCATCTCTAATGCCTAATGCAGTGAATTATGTGCAGTCTTGCCACCACATCTATGAGGCACGTTAAAGCCCATGGTGGGTTCTCAACCCTGGCGGCATGCTAATGTCACCCAGAGAGCTCTCACCAAATACCTACATCCAGGGCCCATCCCCAGAGATTCTGGCTTAATTGGCCTGAAGTAGAGCCAAGCCTTGGTATTTTGTATTGCTCCCCAGGAGATTCTAGTGTGCAGCCAAGATTGAAAGACTAAAATGAACAGGCTGAATCTGAAATGAATTATAGATACATTATAATAACATGTAACTCTTTATTAGAAGACTCAGAACTTTCTAGAAAAAAATTCCTCTGACTCCTCAAGACTGCTCTCACTACTTCACTTAATGTCTCCTGTGTATCTCAGAGATCAGGAGTTACTTGGCATAAAATGTGTGTGAGAGGCAGCCTTGCGTAATGGTTAAGAGCACGGTGTTTATATTCTTGGGTTTAAATCCTTACTCCTATTTAGTGGTATGATCTTGGTTGAATTACTTAGTTCTGTTCCTCTACTTTCCCTCTGTAAAATGGTAATAATAGCTCCAGTTGAAAGGATTGAATGACTCAATGTGCGTGAAACACTTACACTGTGCCTGGCCCATGGGAAGCTCTACATATGTACTGGCTATTACTATCCCTAAACTGCCATTAGCTGAAAAACAAAAATGTATGAAAATCCAAACCCAAAGTGTTTAATGCTTGAACAGCGTTCTAAACAAGAATCAGCTTTTGTTTTCCCTTTACTGTAAGTCTAGTATGCAATGACCTCTACAATTCTTAATATTCCACCCAGGACTCAGCCAAATGCACTAGTTTCTTCCATCAAAAAGGCTGCATGTTTTTTGCCAGTATTGTCAAATTGGGAATCAGTTATTACATAATTTTGTGTTTACTAACAGCATTGTTGCAATACCATAAAAACTATAGTTTGCAAAAGAGCACTGTATTTCCAGATGTTTTGTGCACTTCTATAGCAGTTTTGGTGATATCTGGAGAATAAGCATTATGTAAACCTGAAATTTAAATTTCCATTTGTACAATAACAAGACTGACATAATGTGGATGCAAAGTGTGGTAGTTTTTTTTTTTTTTTTAAAAAAAGGAAGAAAAAAGCTAAAAAGTCTTTTGTATAAGCATGCGCCCCGCTTAACTAGCTACTTCACTGTTTGACAAAATATCATTTGGAAACTATGTCGGTAAATACCATCAATCCCATTTAGAAGTTGTACTGCACTGACTCTGAAATATTGTTTTGCTTTTAATTCTGCAGGCATAATTTTTCCAGTGGGTCAGAATCAAGATTACAATAATGTGAAGCAGCGGAAGAAAATCTCCCTGCTGTTAGAAGAAAACATGGTTATCCTACCTATTAGCAGACAAACATGGAAATATTTGATTTAATTTAACGTTGACATAATTTAATTTGACTTAATGCTCTCCCAGGGAACAGTGATTTCTGATGTCAGGAACTGCCTTTCCTTTAAGGCACATGCTTCTTCTTTAGAGGTAAGGAACTGCAAACATTTTCTGTAAAGCACCACGCATATACATTTTAGATTTTGCACCCATATGTTCTCTGTTGCAATACTAAACTCTGCTATTGAAGCAAGAAAGTCACAAATAAATGAGCATGTCTGGTATGGAAGGCTGGATAATAGTTTCCAAAGAAAAGCAGATTCTAATACCTGCAACATGTGACTACTGCCTTATATTGCAAAAGGAACTTTGCAGGTATGGTTAAATCAAGGATCTTGAAATGAGGAGATTATTCTACATCATCTGGATGAGCCCTAAAAGTAATCACACTTGTCTTTAAAAAAGAGAGGCAGAGGGACATTTGACCAGAGACAGAAGGCAATGTGACAACTGGAGCAGGATGCTATGCTACTGGCATGAAAGATAGAGAAAGGGCCAGATGCCACAAAATCAGTTTTTACATGTAAAATACAGTGTTATCAACTACAGGGACAATATTGTACAGCAGATCTCTGGTACTTACTCATCTTGCCTAATTGAGAATTTATGCTCTTTGACTAGCAACTCCCTACAGCCCCTTGCCCCCAGCCCCAGGTTACCACCATGTTACCCTCTAATTCTATGAGTTTGACTATTTTAGATACCTCATGTCAGGGGAATCATGCAATTTTAGTCGTTCTATGACTGGCTTATTTCACTTAGCATCAGGTCCCCAGGATCATCCAAGGTGTTGCATATAGCAGGACTTTCTTTTTTAACCTTGAATAAATATTACATTGTAAGTACGTACCATATTTTCTTTATTTGTTCATCTTAGAAGGATGTTTATTCATTTCTAATCTTGTTATTGCAAATAGTGATGCAATGAACATTGGAGTGCTAACATCTCTTCTAGATTCTAATTCTTTTGGATAAATACTAGAAGTGGGAGTAGTGTACTATGTGATAGCTCTATTTTTAATATTTTGAGAACACTCCTTACTCTTTTCCATAGCTGCTGCACTATTTGGCATTTCTCCAACAGTGCTCAAGAGATCCAACTTCTCCACATCCTCACCAACACCTGTTGTGTTTTGATTGTTGAAAACAGCCATATTAAAAAGTGTGAGGTGATATATCATTATGGCTTTGATTTGCATTTCTCTGATGATTACTGACAATGAACATCTTTTCTTTTACCTGTTGGCCATTTGTATGTCTCAATGACTGTTTATTCAAGACTTTAGCCCATTTCTTAATGTGGTAGTTTTTTTACTATTAAGTTATAAAAGTTTCCTTATATATTTTGGAAATTAATCATTTATGTAATAAATGGTTTACAAAGATTTTATTCCATTCCCTAGATTGCCTTTTCACTCTATTGATTATTTCCTTTGATGTCAGAAACTTTCTAGTTCAATGTTGGCACTCTTGGGAATCAGTTATTATATAATTTTGCGTTTTAAATTTTTTATTTTAATTTTGTATTTTGCTTTTCTTGCCTGCTTTTGATGTCATATTCATGAATTTATTGCCAATACCAATGTCTTCAAGTTTTACAGTTTCAGGTCTGATACGTAAGTCTTTAATCCACTTTGAGTTGAATTTACATATGCTTTAATATAAAGGTCCAATTCTATTCTTTTGCCTGTGGATATCCAGTTGTGCCAGAGCCATTTGTTGAAGAAATTATCCTTTCTCAATTGTATGACCTTTGTCAAAGATAATTTGACCATATATGTGTGAATTTATTTTCGGGTTCTCTATTCTGTTCCATTTTTCTATGTGTTTGTCTTTATGCCAGTAACATATTATTTTTATTTTTTATTGATAGATGAAACTTTGTGTATTTACCATGTATAATGTATTGTTTTAAAGTATACATACAATGTTGAATAACTAACTAGCTAATTAACATATGCATCCCTTCACATGGTTATCATTTTTGTGATGAGAACACTTTATATCCACTTTTCTTAGCTATTACTATAGCTTTGGAATAAATTTTGAAATTAGGAAGTGTGATGCCTCTAAGTTTGTTCCTCTTGATCAAGATTGTTTTAGCTATTTGAGGTATTTTGTACTCCCATATAAATTTTAGAATTATTTTTTCTAATTCTATAAAAAATTCCATTGGGAATTTGATAGGGATTACATTGAATCTGTAGATTACTTTGGGCAGTATTGACATTTTAACAATATTAAGTCTTTCAATCTATGAACACAGGATATCTTCCATCTGCTTGTATCTTGTTTATTTCATCAACGTTTCGTAGTTTTCTGTGTACAAGTATTTTGCCTCCTTAATATGTTTTGCTTTTTGTTGCTTTATAAGTGGACTTGTTTTCCTAATTTTTTTCAGACAGATTGTTGTATAGAAACTCAACTGATTTTTGTATGTTGACTTGTATCCCACAATTTTACTGACGTTATTAGTCCTAATAGTTTTTTTAATGGAGTCTTTAGGGTTTTCTATGTATAAAAACTGTATCTGCAAACAAGAGACAATGCTAATTTTTCCTTTCTGATTTGAGTGCCACTTTTCTTTTCTTGCCTAATTTCTCAGGCTAGGAATTCCAGTACTATATTAAATAAAACAACAAAAGTGACAAAAGAGGGCATCCTTGCTTTGTTCCAAATCATAGAAGAAAAACTTCCAAGTTTTCACCAGTAAGTATGATGTCAACTGTGGGCTCTTCATCTATGGCCTTTATTATGTTGAGGTAAAGTCTTTCTATGCCTAGTTTGTTTAGAGCTTGTATCACTAAAATGTTGTTGAATTTTGTCAAACACTTTTTCCACATCTATTAAAATGATATGTATATTATAGATTTTATTCTGTTAGTTCATTCAGGCTGTTATAACAAATATTTTAGATTGGGTGGTTAATAAACAGAAATTTACTTCTCACAGTTTTAGAGGATGAGATGTTCACAATTGAGGCACTGGCCTCTTGTATAAGAGCACTAATTCCAATCATCTCCCTAAGGCTCTACCTCCTAATGTCATCACATTGGTGATGAGGTATTAACGCGTGAATTTTGGGGTGACACAAACATTCAGACCATAGAAGTGGCATAGTACATTAATTATTTTTGTATGTTAAAACAATCGTGCATCTCAGAGAGCAATCCCACTTGGTCATGGTGTATAATCCTTTTAATGTGCTGTTGAATTCAGTTTGCTGGTACTTTGTTAAAAATTTTTACATCTTCAGGGATATTGACCTGTAGTTTTCTTTTTTTGTAGTATATTTGTCTGGATTTGGTATCAGGGTAATGTTGAGATCTCGTAAAAAAACTTTTCCAGTTTTTTTAAAGAGTCTGAGAAAGGTTGATGTTAATTCTTCCTTATGTGTTTGGTAGAATTTACCAGTGAAGCCATCTGGTGCTGGGCTTTTCTTTATTAAGAAGTTTCTGGACAATGATCCAATCGTATATAAATATATATAGATATAGATAGACATAATTTATAAATAATATAATTTATATTATATTATATATAATTATATATTTATATATCATATATTATATATCATTTATATATCATTTAAGTATATCATCTATATATAATATATGATATATATCATTTATATAATATATCATAGAAATATATATATCATTATATAAATATATATAATTTATATAATGATATATAATAACGTTATATTTATATAATGATATATATTTATATATAAATATATATAATGATATATACATATATAACATCTAATACATTAATATATTATATATCATTGATATGTCATTAATATATCAGATGATACATCATTAATATATCATTAATATATTAGATATTGATATATCACTATATTAGATATCATTGTTGATATATCACTATAATATAGTAATATATTAGATATTATTTGTATTATATACAATATATAAAAATATATTACATAAAATTAATATATTAAAATTACATAAAATACATTATATATAGCATACATAACAAAATATATGCTATATATTATATAGTATATTTATGTATATTTATTTATACTGATATATGTGTATATATATTGGTATGTGTACATATATATATGTATAGGTACGTTCTTTGGGATCAGTTGAGACACGTCTTCTTTCATTTCTGATTTTACTTATTTAACTATTCTATCTTCTTTTTTAGTCTAGCTAAAGGTTGTCAATTTTGTCTGTCTTTAAAATATACCAACACTTAGGTTTGCTGACTTTTTGTATTGTTTTCTATTATCTATTGTGCTTATTTCTCTTCTAAACTGTACAATATCCTTTCTTCTGCTAACTTTAGGCTTAGGTTGCTCTTCATTTTACTTTTTCACCTATTTTACTCCTTTGAGGTGTAAGGTTAGGTTATTTATTGAAGATCTTTCTTCGTTTTTAATGTAGGCATTTATTACCATAAACCTCCTTCTTAGAACTGCTTTTGCTGCATCTTAGAAATGTTTAGTATGTTGTATTTTTATTTTTGTTTGTCTCAAAATATTTTCTAACTTCCCTTTTGATTTTTTTCTTTTACCCATTGGTTGTTGAGAAGTAAGTGTTTTTAAATTTCCATATATTTGTGAATTTTCCAGTGTTTCTTCTGCTCTTGACTTCTAGTTTCATTTCATTGTGGTCATAAAAGATACTTAGTATAATTTCAATCTTCTTAAATTTGTTAGCATTCATTTTGTGACCTAGCCCGTGCTCAATCCTAAAGAAATATTCATGTACACATGAGAAGACTTTCTATTCTGCTTCTCTTGGGTTGGATGTTCTACATATATCTGTTAAGTCCATTTAGTCTATAGTGTTATTCAAGTCCTCTGTTTACTTATTGATATTCTGTCTGGATGTCTGTCCATTATTGAAAGTGTGGCACTGAAGTCTCCTACTATTATTGCATAGCTATTTCTACCCTCAGCTTTGTCATAAATATACAAAGCTCATCTGCTGTATATATTTAGATGCTCTAATGTTGGAGGTGTATGTACTTATAATCATTGTATCTTCCTGGGAAATTGATTGTTTTATCATTACAAAACATCTTTTTTATGTTTAGTGAAAGTTTTTGACTTAAAAATCTATTTTGCCTGATGCAAGTGTATCCACCTTTGTTGTATTTTGGTTGCCACTTCAACCAAATTTGCCACATCAAATATCTTTTTCCATCCCTTCACTTGTAGCTATATGTGTCCTTAAATCTAATGTCAGTTTCATGTGGATACAGTATAGTTGGATGACTTTTTAGTCCATTCAGCCACTCTAAGCCTTTTGATTGGGACATTTAATCATTTAAACTTTAAAAGTTTAAATTAATTAATTATTTATAGGAAAAGATGTACTATTAACACTTTGTTTGCTGTTTGTCTTATAGTTCCTTTCTCTCTTTTTGCCTCCTCAGTTTATTTTATTTTATTTTATTTTATTTTATTTTATTTTATTTTTGGGGGGGTGGAGTTTCGCTCTTGCTGCTTGGGCAGGAAAGCAATGGCGCAATCTCAGCTCACTGCAACCTCTGCCTCCCGGGTTCAAGTGATTCTCCTGCCTCAGCCTCCCTAGTAGGTGAGATTACAGGTGCCCGCCACCACGCCTGGCTAATTGTTTGTATTTTTAGTAGAGAACGGGGTTTCACCACGTTGGTCAGGCTGGTCTTGAACTCCTGACCTCAGGTGATCCGCCCGCCTCATCCCCCCAGGGTGCTGGGATTACAGGTGTGAGCCACCGAACCCGGACTCTTTTTGTCTCTTGCTCCTTTCATTTGTGTTTCATTGATTTTTTTTTATTGATATGCCTTTATTTCTTATTTTTATCTTGTGCTATAGGCATTTTATTGTGGTTACCATGGGACCTACATAAAATATCTTACAGTTTTAACAGTATTTTTTTAAAAAAATAACAATTTAACTTCAAGCATATGCAAAAACTTTTTTCTTTCCCCACACTCAGTTATTGATTTCCTAATTTAAATTAAGTTATAGTGTGGATCTATTATCATATTTTAAAATTATAGTTATTTTCAATACTTTTGTCTTTTATATTAGAATTAAAAGTGATTTGTCCACCACCATTACAATAATACAGTATTCTGTATTTGTGTATACATTTATCTTTTTTTGTTGTTGTTCTGAGATGGAGTCTCACTCTGTCTCTGAGGCTGGGGTGCAATGGCATGATCTCGGCTCACTGCAACCTCTGCCTCCCAGGTTCAAGCAATTCTCCCGCCTCAGCCTCCTGAGTAGCTGGGACTACAGGCGCTGCCACAACACCCAGCAAATTTTTGTATTTTAAGTAGAGACAGGATTTCACTATGTTGTCCAGGCTGGTCTAGAACTCCTAACCTCAGGTGATCCACCCACCTCAGCCTCCCAAAGTGCTGAAATTACAGGCATGAGCCACCAGGCCCGGCCCTATACATTGATCTTTACAAGTAAGTTTCATACTCTTTATGCCATTCTGTTACTGGTTAGTATCCTTCCCTTTTGACTTGAAGAACTCCCATTAGCATTTCTTGAGAGGCAAATTGAATGGTGATGAGCTTCCTCAGTTTTTGTTAGTCTGGAAAAATTCTTATTCTTCTTTATTTTTGAAGGACATTTTTACCAGCTATGGTATATTTGGTTCATAGTCATTCATTTGTTTGTTTCTTTTAGCACTTTCAATAAATTGTCCTACTCCCATCTAACTTGCAAAGTTTCTGCTGAGAAAATTACCTTATAGTCTTGAGGAGGTTCGCTTATATGAGACAAGACATTTTTCTCTTGCTACTTTCAAAATTCTCTTTGGCTTTCGACAATTTGATTACAAAGTGGCTACGTATAGATTTCTTTGGGTTTATTCTTTTGGGCTTGGGTTGAGGAGGCAGATTTCTGGTCTATATATTCATTTCCTAACCCAGATTTGGCAAATTTTTAGCATTAACTTTTAAAATATGCTTTCAGTATTCTTTTTTCCTCCTTCTAAGATCCCCATTTTATATATATATATACACACACACATATATATATACACATATATACACATATATATACACATATATACACATATATATACACATATATACACACATATATACATATATACACATATATATACATATATACACATATATACACATATATATATACATATACACACATATATCCATATATGTGTATATATGTATATATATATCCATATATATGTGTGTGTATATATATGTGTATATATATCCATATATATGTGTGTGTGTATATATATGTGTGTGTGTGTGTGTGTATATATATATATATATATATATATATATATATATATATATATATATATATATATATATATATATATATCTCCACTTGGTGGTGTCCCATAAGTTCCTTAATCTTTCTTCACTCTTGTTTTCTTCGGTTTTCTTTCTGCTTCTATGACTGAATAATTTTTATAACCAGGCTCTGACTTTACTAACGCTCTCTTCTATTTGATCTAGTCTACAGTTGAACTTCATTAGTAAATTGTTCAGTTCAGTTATTATATTCTTTAGTCCCATGATTTCTGTTTGGTACGTTTTTAATATTTCCTGTCTCTTTGTTGAAATTCTCACATTGTTTATGCATTATTCTCCACACCTCAGTGAGAAATTTTAAGATGCTTATTTTGCATTATTTGCTAGATAAATTATATAACTCCATTTAATTCAGGTAGGTTTCTAGAGATTTGTCTTCCTTCTTTGACTGGAACATCATTGCCTAGTTCTCTATTTCTCTTTCCTCTCTGTGTTGCTGTCTAAATATTACATAAAATAGTCACTTCTTCCACTCTTCAAAGACTAGCCTTGTCTAGGAGAAGTTCTCACTAATCAGCCTGGCCAGAGATTCTGAAGACCTCTCGAACTGTAAGTTTTCTCAACCCACTTTCTTTATTATACTCACCCCCCAACCACCACAGGCATCTAGAATATGCCAGATGCCATCAATACTCCAAGACAAGAAAAATAAAACCAGTTCTTCAGGAAGTCCCTGAAAAGGTTGGATTATTGGGTGCTCTAAGTCAACTCTTTCAATCCCCAAAGAGGAGCTGGGAGCTGGGATTTTTATCTGCTCACTCTGATCTGTGCAGTCAGGTGAGCAGCTGTAGTGACTAGTTGTGTGCTAAAAACCCTATGCCTGCTTTGCTCATGTCTTATCAACTATCCTTCATCACAAAGTACATAATGGTACTGTAGGTGTCAGTTTACATGACTGGTTTTTTTTTTCCTTCTTAGTGTCAATTTTTGTGAGTATATAGCAGGTATATATATTTATGGGGTACATGAGATATTTTGATATAGGAATACATGCTTAATAACCACATCAAGACAAGTGATATTCATCACCCCAAACATTTATCCTTTGTGTTATAAATAATCCAGCTACACACTTTTAGTTATTTTAAAATAGAAAATTAAATTATTATTGCCTTTAGTCACCCTCTTGCACTATGAAATACAAGGTCTTATTTATACTTCCTAACTATTTTTTGTACCCATTAACCATACCTACTTTTATTCCATCACCAATCACTACCCTTCCCAGCCACTGGTAACCATCCTTCCACTCTCTATACCCATGAGTACAATTCTTTTAATTTCTAGCTCCCATAAATACATGAGAACACGCAAAATTTGACTTTCTGTGCCTGGCTTATTTCACTTGACGTAATGACTTCCAAGTCATTATGTTAATGACATGTGCCATTCATGCTGCTGCAAATGACAGGATCTTATTTGTTTTAATAGCTGAATAGTACTCCTTTGTATATATGTACCACATTTTCCTTATTTATTCATCTGCTGAGGGACACTTAGTTTGCTTCCAAATCATGGTTACTGTGAATAGTGCTATAATAAACATGGGAGTGCAGATATCTATTCAATCTGTTAATTTCATTTCTTTTGGATATATACCTAGCTGTGGGATTGTGGGATCATACAGTAGCTCTATTTTTACTTTTTTGAGGAAACTTCAAACCGTTCCAGTAGTGGTTGTACTAATTTACATTCCCACTAACTATGTACAAGGTCTCCACCTTCTTACTAGCATTTGTTTCTGCCCATTTTTTTTTTTTTTTGGATAAAAGCCATTTTTACTGGATGAGATGATATCTCACTGTAGTTTTGAGATTTGCATTTCTCTGATGATCAATGATGTTGAGCACCTTTTCATTCACCTGATTTTTATTTGTACATATTCTTTTGTAAATGCCTATTCAGATCTTTTGTCCATATTTTAATCAGATTATTAATTTTTTCCTATAGAGTTGTTTGAGCTATTTATGTATTCTGGTAACTAACAATTGGACAGATGGATAGTTTACAGATATTTTCTACCATGCGATGGGGTTATCTCTTCACTTTATTGACTGTATCTATTGCTGTGGAGAAGCTTTTTAATTTGATGTTATGCCATTTGTCTATTTTTGCTTTGCAAACTGTTTGTGGGGCATTACTCAAAATCTTTACTTAGCGCAATGTCCTGGAGAGTTTCTCAAATGTTTTCTTGTAGTCGTTTCATAGATTGAGGTCTGAAATTTAAGTGTTTAATCCATTTTGATTTGATTTTTTTATATGGCAAGAGATAGAGGTCTAGTTTCATTCTTCTGCATATGGATATCCAGATTTCCCAGCACCATTTATTGATGAGACATTTATTTTTCCATTGTATGTTCTTGGTGTCTTTTTTTAAAATGAGTTTGTTTTGGGTTCTCTATTCTGTTCTATTTGTCTACGTGTCTGTCTTTGTTTATTCGTTTGTTTGTTTGTCTGTTTTTGGAGACAGAGTCTTGCTCTGTTACCCAGCCTAGAGTGCAATGGCAAAATCTCAACTAGCTGCAAACTCTGCATCCAAAGTTCAAGCAATTCTTGTGCCTCAGCCTTACAAGTAGCTGGGTTTACAGGCATGTGCCACCAAACCTGGCTAATTTTTGTATTTTAGTAGAGACGGGGTTTCACCACGTCGGCCAGACTGGTCTCGAACTGTTGGCCTCAAGTGATCCACCAGCCCTGGGCTCCCAAATTCTTGGGATAACAGTAGGCATGAGCCACTGCACTGGGTCTATGTGTCTGTCTTCATGCCAATATTAATGCTGTTTTGGTCACTATAACTCTAATATTATTTGATGTCAGGTAATAGGATTCCTCTAGTTTTGTTCTGCCTGCTCAGAATAGCTTTGGCTATTCTGAGTCTTTTGTGGTTCCATATAAATTTTAGGATTATTTTTTCTATTTCTGTGAAGAATGTCATTGGTATTTTGAAAGGGATTGCATTGAATCTGTAGATTGCTTTGGGTAATATGGACTTTCTAACAATATTGATTCTTGAAATTCATGAACATAGAATATCTTTCCATTTTTGTGTGTTACTTTTTTATTTCTTTTTCAGATTAATCACTTTTGGCATATAAAAATACTACTAATATCTGTATATTGATGTTGTATCCCATGATTTACTGAATTTATTAGTTCTCATCATTTTTTATTTGCTGCAGTCTTTATTTTTTCCAAATATAAGATTATATATGCATATAAGGATAATTTGACTCCTTCCTTTCCAATTTGGACGCTCATTATTTCTTTATCTTGTCTGATTGCTCTAGCTAGAACTTCCAGTACTATGCTGAATAACAGCAGTGAAACTGGGCATCCTTGTCATGTTCTCAATCTTAGAGAAAAGGTTTTCAGTTTTTCCCCATTCAGTATGATACTAGCTGTGGATCTGTCATATATGGCTTTTATTATGTTGAGATATGTCCTTTCTATACTGTTTTTTTAGGGTTTTTATTATGAAGGGATGTTGAATTATATCAAATGCTTCTCCAGCATTAGTTGAAATTATCATATTGTTTTTGTCTTATTCTGTTGTTATATCAAATTGGTTGATTTGCATATATTGGACCATCCTTGCACCTCTGAGATAAATCCCACTTGGCCATGATAAATCATCTTTTTGATGTGTTATTGAGTTCAGTTTGCTAGTGTTTTGTGAAGCATTTGTGAATCAAGATTCATCAGGGATATTGGCCTGTAGTTTTGTTTTTTTTTTTAAATGGGTCTGTCTGGTTTTGGTATCAAAGTAATTCTGGGCTCATAAAATGAGTTTGAAAATATTCCCTCTTCTTCTGTTATTCTAAATAGTTTGAGTAGTATTGGTATTCTTTAAATGTTAGGTAAAATTCAGCAATGAAGTCATTATATCTCAGGCTTGTCTTTCCTGGGAGATGTTTTATTATCATTTTGATCTCATCACTTATTATTGGTCTGTTCAGATTGTAAATTTCTTCACGGTTCAATGTTGGTAGACTGTATGTGTCTAAAAATTTATCCATTCCTTCTAGATATTCCAATTTATGGGTATATAGTGCTCAAAGCAGCCTCTAATAATCCTTTAAATTTCTGTACTATTGGTTGTAATGTCTCCTTTTTCATCTCTAATTTTATTTGGGTCTTCTCTCTTTATCTTAGTCTGGCTAAAGGTTTGTCAATTTTGTTTAACTTTTCAGAAAACCAACTTTGATTCATTTTATTAATCTTTTGTATTGTTTTCTTCATTTCTTCATTTTAATTTCATTTATTTATGTTCTGATCTTTACTGTTTCTTTTCTACTACTAATGTTGGGTTTGGTCAGCTATGGCTTTTCTAGCTTTTTAAGATGCATAATTAGGATGTTTAAAGTTTTTCTGCTTTTTTATGTAGGCCCTTATAGCTATAAACTTTCCTCTTAGTATTGCTTTAACTGCATACCATAGGTTTTAGCATGCTGTGTTTCAATTATTGTTTGTTTGTAAAAATGTTTCAATTTCCTCCTTAATTTCTTCACTGAACCACAGGTCATTCGGGAGCATAATGTTTAATTTCCACGTATTTGTATAGTTTCTAAAATTCCTCTTGTTATTGATTTACTATTTTTATTATTTATTACTTTTTATTTCATTTGGTCAGAGAAGGTATTTGATTTTTTTTTAATTTTTAAAGACTTAATTTTTTTGGCCTAATATATAGTCTATCATTGAAAATGCTCCATGTGCCAAGGAGAAGAATGTGCATTCTGCAGCTGTTGGATGATATTTTCTGTAAATATTTATTAGGTCCATTTGGTCTGCAGTGTGGATTAAGTGCAAATTTCTTTGTTGATTTTCAGTCTCGATGATCTGTGCAATGTGAAAGTTGAGTGTTGAAGTCTTTAGCTATTATTATGTTAAGGTTGATCACTCTCTTTAGCTCTGACAATACTTGCTTCATATATCTAGGTGTTCCTGTGTTGGCTGCATATACATTTACAATTATTGTATCCTCTTGGTAATTTTATCCTGTTGTCATTATATAATGGTCTTCTTTGTATTTTTTTACAGTTTTTGTCTTAAAATCTATTTTATCTGATATAAAATAGATTTATATCTGATAAATTTATATCTATTTTATCTGATATAAAAAATCTATTTTATCTGATATAAAATTATATCTGACTTGCTCTTTCGTAGTTCCCATTGGCATGGAATATATTTTTCCATCTCTTTATTTTCAGTCTACTTGTGTCTTTACAGGTGAAGTGCATTTCTTCTAGACTATAGATCATTGGGTCTTGTTTTCTTTTTTCTTTTCTGTTCTTTTTTTTTAAGACAGAGTCTCCCTCTGTCACCTCAGCTGGAGTGCACAGCATGATCTCAGCTCACTGCAACCTCCACCTCCTGAGCTCTAAGCAATTCTCCTGCCTCAGCCTCCAGAGTAGCTGGGACTAAAGGCACCCCCACGCCTGGCTAATTTTGTATTTTTAGTAGAGACGGGGTTTCATCATGTTGGCCAGGGTGGTCTCAAACTCCTGACCTCAGGAAATCCACATGCCTCGGCCTCCCAAAGTACAGGGACTACATGCGTGAGCCACAACACCTGGGCTTGTTTTCTTATCCATGAGTCTATGTCTTTTAATTGAAGAGTTTAGTTCATTTATATTTAATGTTATTCTTGATAAGTAAAGTCTTACTCCTGTAAGACTTCTTTTGTTTTGTTTTGTTGTTGATTTTCTGGGTGTTTTTTTGTGTGTTCTCTTCTTTCTGATTTTTCTTCCTGTTTTCCTTTTAGTAGAAGTGATTTTCTCCAGCAGACTATTTTAATTTCTTGTTCATTATTTTTTGTTCATCTGTTGTGTGTTATTTGATTTGCAGTTACCATAGAGCTTGCAAATAAAATTGTATAACTTATTATTTTAAACTGATAACAGCTTAACACTGATGGCATAAATCAACAAATGAAATAACAAACAAGCAAAATACTAATGAAAATTCTATAAATTTAACTTCATCCTCCTACTTTTTTGTGATGGATATTTATGATGGGTTTTATCATATAATTTCTATATTTTTATTAAAATTTTAATTTCCATGATTAGTTTTTTTATTAAGATTTTTTTAAATTTCAATAGCTTTTGGGGTACAAGTGGTTTTCATTACATGGATGAAATTTTTAGTGGTGAATTCTGAGATTGTAGTTCACCCATCACCAAGTAGGGTAGACTGTAGCTAATGTGAAGTTATTTATCCCTATTACCCCTCTTAGTCTCTAAAATCCATCATATCACTCTGTATGCCTCTGCATGCTCATAGCTTACTTCCCACTTATAAGTGAGAAAATACAATATTTTGGTTTCTACTCCTGTGTTACTTCATTTAGAATAATGGCCTCCAGCTCCATTGAAGTTGCTGCAAAAGACATTATTTCATTTCTTTTAATGGCTGAGTGGTAGTTCATGTGTGTATATAACACATTTTTTTATCCACTCATTAGTCAATGGGCACTTAACTTGGTTCCACATCTTTGTAATTGTGAATTGTGCTGCATTTGCAAATGTCTTTTTCATATAATGACTTCTTTTCCTTTGAGTAGATACTCAGTAGTGGGATTGCTGGATTGAATGGTAGATCTACTTATAGCTCTTTAAGGAATCTCCATGCTGTTTTCCATAAAGGTTGTACTAATTTACACTCCCACCAGCAGTTTGTAAGTATTCGCTTTTTCCCACATCCATGGCAACATCCATTGCTTTTTGACTGTTTAATAATCGCCTTACTTGCAGGAATAAGGTGGTATCTCACTGTAGTTTTAATTTGCATTTCCCTAATGATTAGTGATGTTGAGCTTTTTTTTCATATGTTTGTTGGTAATTTGTGTATCTTCTTTCAAGAAATGTCTATTCATTTCCTATGCTCACTTTTCAAAGGAATTATTTGATTTTTTTCTTGGTGTTTGAGTTCCTTACAGATTCTGGATACTAGTTCTTTGTCAGATGCATAGATTGCAAATATTTTCTCGTATTCTGTGGGTTATCTGTTTACTCTGGTGAGTATTTCTTCTGCTGTGCAGAAGATTTTTCATTTAATTATCTCTCATTTATTTCTTTTTGTTTTTGTTGCATTTACTTTGGGGGGTTTAGTCATGAATTCTTTACCTAGGCTGACATCTAAAATAGTTTTTCTAACATTGTCTTCTAGAAATTTTATGGTTTCAAACCTTACATTTAAGTCTTTGATCCATCTTAAATTTTTTTATATGGTGAGAAATAAGGATACAGTTTTATTCTTCTATGTGTGGCTTGCCAGTTATCCCAGCACCATTTATTAAATGGAGCGTCCCTTCTCCAATTTGTGTTTTCATATGCTTTGTCAGAGATCAATTGGTTGTATGTATTTGGCTTTATTTCTCCATTATCTATTCTGTTCCATTGTTCTATGACTCTATTTTTATACCAGTACCATTCTGTTTTGGTAACTATAGCCTTGTAATACAACTTGAAGTCAGATAATGTGATGCCTCCAGATTTGTACTTATTGCTTTTGATTGTTTTGGTTATTCTGGCTCTTTTTTCATTTCATATAAATTTTAGGATTTTCTAATTCTGTGGCTACTAATGTTGGTATTTTGATGGGAATTGCATTAAATCTGTAAATTGCTTTGGGTAGTATGGCCATTTTCACAACACTGTTTCTTCCAATCCATGAGCATGGAATGCCATTCCATCTGTTTGTGCCATCTGTGATTTCTTTCAGTATTTTTTTTTAGCTCTCTTCTTAGAGATCTTTCACCTGTTTGGCTATTTCTAGGTATTTTATACTCTCTACAGCTGTAGTAAAATTTATTGAGTTCTTGATTTTATTCCCAGCTGGGTTGTTGTTGATATATAGCAGTGTTACTAATTTGTGTACGTTGATTGTGTAACCTGAGACTTTATTAAATTTGTTTTTCAAATCTAAGAATCTTTTGGAGGAGTCTTTAGAATTTTCTAGATGTACTACACTCATATCGTCTATAAATGGCAGTAGTTTGACTTTCTCTTTTTCAATTTGGATGCCCCATATTTTTTTCTTGTTTAATTGCTCTTTTTAGTACTTCCAGAACTATGTTGAATAGAAATGGTAAAAGTGGGTATTTTTGTCTTTTCTGGTCTCAGAGACCAGAATTTCTCAGAGAAAATGCTTTCAACTTTTCCCATTCAGTATGATGTTGACTGTGGGTTTGTCATATATGGATTTTATTATTTTAAGATAGGTTCTTTCTATGTCTAGTTTGTCGAGAGTTTTTTTTTTTCATAAAGGAGAGCTAAAATTTGTCAGTCACTTCTGCATCCATTGAGATGATCATATGGTTTTTGTTTTTAATTCTGATGATGTGATGTATCACATTTTTTAACTTGCATATATTAAACCACCTCTGCATCCCTTGGACATAACCCACTAGATGATTTTGAATTATCTTTTTGATGTACTGCTGGATTCAGTTAGCTAATATTTTGTTGAGGTTGTTTGCCTCTATGTTCACCACAGAAATTGGTCTGTAGTTTTCTTTATTTTATTTTTTGTGTCATTCCTGGTTTTAGTATCAGAGTGACATTAGCTTCATAAAATGGTTTAGGGATGATGTCTTCTTTCTCAATCTTTTGGAATAGTTTCAGTAGGATTGCTACTAATTCTTTAAATGTCTGGTAGAATTCACCTGTGAATTTATCTGGTCCTGGGCTTTTATTAATCGGCAATTTTTAAATTACTGGCTCAAGCTTGCTGCCTCTTATTGATCTGTTCAAAGTTTCTGTTTATTCCTGATTTAATCTGAGAGGGTTGTATATTTCCAGGAATTTGTCCATTTACTCTAGGTTTTCTAGTTTGTATGAAAAAAGGTGTTCCATAGTGGTCTCAAATGATCTTTTGTATTTCTGTGGTGTTGATTGTAATGTCTCCAGTTTCACTTCCAATTGAGTTTATTTGGATCTTCTCTGTTCTTTTCATTGTTAATTTAGCTAATTGTCTATCACATTTGTTTATTTTTTCAAAAAAACAGTTTTTTCTTTCATGGCTTTTTTGGGTTTTTTTTTAATTGTTGTTTGAATTTCATTTAGTTCTGCTGTGATCCTTGTTATTTCTTTTCTTCTTCTAGTTTTGTTTTCATTTGTTTTTGTTTCTCCAGTTCCTTGAGGATGACATTAGGTTGCCAATTTGTGTTCTTTCAGACTTTTTGATGTAGGCATTTAGCACTATAAACTTTCCTCTTGGCAGTGCTTTTGCTGTATCCCAAAGGTTTTGATGCCTATGATGGTGGACAAGGTGGGAAAGACTTCCTCTTCTTAAGACCCTTCACATGCACCAGGGCTTTCTAACTGTTGGGGTAGAGCTGAAGACTTTTCCTGCTCAACCCAGCACTTTAACTGTGCCACTGCTGAAAGAAGCTTTCCACCAGCAGAAAGACCTAGTGCTCAAGGCCTGCCACTCAGATTATTTTGTCCCACATGGTGTTCCCTTCATGTGGTGCACTCCTCCCTCCTCTAGAGTACTGTGAGTGTTGTTGCTCCTCTGGGTCTAGCTACCCAGTGAAGCTGCAACACTCCAGGCTGGTGCTGGGGAATGTTTGCAAGGGGTCCAGTGATGTGACCTGTCTGAGGCAATATCTTTTGTGTATGTGGGGTTTCTGGTGTTTTGAAATAGTTCTACAATGAACACTTGTTAGTTTTGTCATCAGAAATAAATTCTTTCAGTGTAGTGCAAGTAAGTTCTATGTTTTCAGGCATTTCCTCAGCCTCTGTCTGCAAGTTAATCTAAAAATGTGAAGGATGTTTGTATTGGCAGATTGAGATGTGAATTGTGCATACAAAGGTAGGAAAAGGTAGAAATTATGTTAATCCAAATGTCTTTGTGGAAAAGTAATAACCTGTGGCATGAGACATGCCTTCAAAGTTAATTAGGTAATTATTAGCCTAAAGAAGCAAAAGGTCAAAGTTGAATAGTTTTAGCGATAAAGCTTAAAAGATTCATTAACAGAAAATGAACACAGGAAGTTCCAGAACTAACTATGAATCCCTGGTTCTTATAACTAAAAAGGTCATCTTCTGATCGTTTTAACTAATGTTCCTCCATCCAAAATAATGAGGAAGACAATTTTGCTCTGCTCCCCAACGCATGTAAATAACATAATGTCAGAGTGAAGAGGTTAAAAATTAACATTTTCTAGTTGCATTTAGTGAAAATGTTTAATTTTCAAAATCAGTGAAACAAAGGTAGAATGCATAAGAATTTGAAACCAATTGGAAAGGAGAGTTCTGTCAAAGTCAATACTGAATCCTCTGGTTGACTGAAGAATGGTAGTGCCGATAACAAAAATTCATAATAGCATTTCAGAGACAGAAAGAGAGAGAGAAGTGCCACAAGGCAGAGACCGTTTCAAGAGAAGAAACGCTGACTTTTGTTTGGTTTGTGTTAAGAATGCCCACATAGAAATACACAAAAGGTGGCCAGGTTCGGTGGCTCACCCCTGTAATCCCAGTGAGGCATGAGAATAGGGTTTGGAGACAGGGAACATAAGGACTTCCTAGAACTAAATCACATGGAAACATTACAGCTATGACAGGAAATATCCTCTCCATTTATGTAGGGAATAGGCCAAATACATGACTTTGTAACTTTACTTCATCCTCTTCATTTACATAGGGTGTACACCAAGTAACCAATGGAAACATCTAGAGGGTATTTAAACCCCCAAAAAAAATCTGTAACAGGGCCCTTGAGCCCGTATTCTGAGGCCTGCTCCCACACTGTGGAGTGTACTTTCATTTTCAATAAATCTCTGCTTTTGTTGCTTCATTCTTTGCTTGCTTTGTTTGTGCGTTTTGTCCAATTCTTTGTTCAAGACACCAAGAACCTGGACACCCTCCAGTGGTTAACAGCAGCACTTTGGGAGACCGAGGAAGGCAGATCACTTGAAGCCAGAAGTTTAAGACCAGCCTGGTCAACATAGCGAAACCCTGTTTCTACCAAAAATACAAAAAATTAGTCAGGTGTGATGGCATACACCTGTAGTTCCAGCTACTTGGGAGGCTGAGGCAGGAGAATCGCTTGAATCAGGGAGGCGGAGGTTGCAGTGAGTTGAGATCGCACCACTGCACTCCAGCCTGGGTGACAGAGCTAGACTCTGTCTCAAAAAAGAAAGAAACATAGAAAAGGCAGCTGAAAATTAGAATTTACAGGAACTATTCAAGCAGGTAAGAACAAGTTGGATATCATCCACAGCAACCTGATCACTGAAGCAATGCCCTAAACTTCTACAGATTCATGAAAACTAATAGATCACAGATAGGGAGGGAGTAGCAGCAGAATTCAGAGAGCTTGTTGAGACAGATGCAGGGGGAAAGAATTTTAGGGAATAGAATTTGAAAGAGGAAAAAAGTAAACAAAAAATGAGAAAAAATATTTTGGAAAAACAATACGTAAGAGATACAGCACAAGTTAGTAGAAGAGCTGATCAAGATAGCTTTATTGCCCCTGGAAAACATCTGAAACCACAAAAAAAAAGGAGCAGAGAAATATATTTTTTAAATTGTGACATTATCCAAGACTGGATCTTGAGTGAAGAGCAGTAAAATATTAAGGAGGCTGCTTTATGTTGTAGAAAATACATAGATTTTGGAAGCAAATATACCTGTGTTTGAATATTGACCTGGAAGACTTTGAATCTTGAAACTCTTTGAGCTTCATCGTTCTTTCTGTGTAAATTAGAGAGGACTATACTTAGGTCACACAATTATTTTGAAAAGTTCAATGAATACAAACACATAAAATTCAAAGCATGACGCAGGACACATAGTTGTCATTCAATAAATGTTACCTCCCTTCAAGGATATAGGTGCTATTATTAACCATAAATTACAGATAAAGAAACTATTTATAACATACAGTGCTTGTTCATTCAACTGATACTTACTGAGCCTCTGCTATGTGGCAACGTATGGTTGAATTGCAAGGCAAATGATCCTACACAATCTTCTGGCAAGGAAAGGCAAATAATAAACAAAAAAGTAAATACAGATATCATATAAAGATGAGTGCAATTCAGAAAAAAAACAGCATGGTTTTATAAAGGTATCTGGGTGGCTAGCTTAGGTTAGGTTGTCAAAATGCTTCACCAAAGAGGTAGGAAGAAGGAATCAGGCAGCCATGTGAAGATTAAGATGAGGGCTATTCCAGGAAAGGTCAACAGCCAGAGTAAAGGACTTAGGAAGAGTATGACACAACTGGCACATCCAAGGAACCCAAGGCATGTTTAGTCCAGCCAAGGGTTTTCAGTGGGTGAGGGGAAGAGTGGTACCAGGGAAGTCAGAGTGGCCAGATCACATAGGGCTTGGTAAGCCAGACAAAGTAGCATGGGTGTTAGTCCACATGAAATTGGGCAGCATTGGAGTGCTGTAAGCAGGCCACTAAAATAATCTGATTTTGTATTTTTCAAAGATCCCTCTGACTACTGGGTGAAGAAAAGACTGCTAAGGGCTAAAAGCCAAAGGAGGACACACATCAGGAGGTCATTGTGTTCATGTTTAGAGGAGAAACAAGGACTACTTAAGCAAAAGAAGTAGGGCTGCAGAGGAGCAGGGGAAGACACATCTTTGGGGTATGCTTAACAGAACCTGCCACCATATTAGATGTGTGGGAAAGATAAGTATCAAGGGTAACACTTGGATTATTGTTGGGTACAAGTGACTGCAGGGGTGCCAATTGACCAGATCAGAAAGCAGAAAGTTGGGGGGCAGAGAGGAGAGGACAAATGGGTGGAGAGAAGATGCTAGATACGCAGTTGGATGAATATACCTTGAAAAGTTTTGAGGAGATTCAGAAACAGCAATTTAGAACAAATTTCAAACCATAGGATGGAATGAGAACTCTGAGGGAGAGTATACAAAACTGGGAGAGAAGAAATCCCAGCATTCCCCCAGGGCATGTCACCCTTTCAAGATCACACAAAAAAGGAATAGGAAACTGTGAAAGAGGAGAAGAATAGATAAGTAAAGCAGAAGGAAATTCAGAAAAGTGTAGAATCAGGCAAGCCAGGAGAGGAAGATGTTTCAACAAAGGGGCCATTCTATTCAGTGCTGAGATAATAAAGTATCTATAATAATTCAAAAGGTGAGTCCATTGAATTTGAAAGCATAGAAGTTATGGATGACCTTGATAAGAAGAATTTTTGTGAAAGGATGAGAACTGGAGGCCAAATAAGATTTTGTATCATTTTCCTACATAGCAACATAGCCTAGGCATGCCCCCCCCATATTAAATGTCAGCAAAGGAATGACTTAAAATACTGTATTTATTTTCTTTATACAATTATGTTTAAATGTTTTTCATGCATAATTTTGTTTAATCAAAAATGTTTATATTCTACTTTAAATCTTTTTCTTTTCCTTATTTTTTCTACCTTTCATTCAATATCAGCTCTCCTCTGCCACAAGGTAGTCCACATTGCAATGCAGTAGTGATCTTCAATATTTTCCCTGTGCCTAGTCTTATTTATGTACATAGATGCATACTTGTATACAGATATATAGGGCCTGGATTTTTGTCCATATATTGTTTTACCTAAATTGAATCATACCATAAATACTTTCTGAATCTTGCTTTCCACTCACCTATATCTCACAGAAACCCTGAGTCAACTGGTATAGCTTAAATCCATTCTTTTTTAACGGTTGGGTTATATTCTAGATGTGAGTTTGCTATAATTAAACTTCCCTCTATAGACTAGCATTTACTTTGTTTTCAATCAAACACATGATGATTAATGGTGCCAAACTACATCAAAACTTTATTAGCATTATAATTCCCTTTATTTGAATGTTTATGTCTTTAGCACATTTTTATTTTTATTTTAAAAAATGCCTGTGAATATTCACACATAAATCTTTCACATATCTCTAATTCTTTTCTTAGGATAGATGCTTAGATATAAAGATGAAAGGCTTGGGTATAAAAAACATTTTAAGAAATCTTGACAATGGTGCTAAATATCTTTCTAGAAAAGTAGAAATTTGTATTCTTACAGAAGATGAGAGTGTTAAGACCACTGTTCCACGCCGTCAGAACTCATCTGAGCATTATCTGAAGCAACTATGCCGTCACTTGGGGAAGATGCCTCATAACCCTAACAGAGGCCTGACTGAAGTGCGAACGCTGATCTAAACAAAGCAGTCAGGAACACGCTGGCTAGGATTCTCCTGACCTCTTCTTTTGTTGCCATAGTTACCTTTATCAATAAATGTCCAAAGATGTAACCGAGGCATTGTTGTCATAGTTCATTGGATGGCAACAAACTGTTATTGAATAAATTAGTGTCCCAATTAAGAGTCTTTCCTATTTTTCAGCACCTTTCCAATCTGTAACAGGTATTTCCTTTCAAAACACTGACAGAGTGAAATAATGTGAACTTCGGTTAGAAATGAGAATTCTTGGTGTCAATTTAAAATCTTGACACCCAGGAGAATGAAAATTGTGATTTCTACTAATTATCCCATGAGGTTTTGCTAAAAAAGCATCTGTTTTCTAGCCCTGCACCTTGTATCCTAACCAAAATATAATTGTCCATGATTAAAGCACGGTTGTCTGCCTTCCTGAATCTTGGGCATCGGAAGTCAGCTTTCTGCTGCTAAATCTCCTTTTGGGACAGCTCTCTAGAAGAACTCTGTAGAAAAGTTTGTGTTGCAGAGTTTTGCATGGAGTTAACTAGCAGACATTAAAAACACAGGATAAACTCTGTTGAGTCAGGCACTTTTGACTTTCTGATAATTTTTCAATCTTTCCCCTGAAAATCAGGAGATCTGGAAGGTTTTCTTTCATATGGAAAATACTAAAGTGCTTAAAAGAAACAGAACACATTTGCATATGTAACACAATTCCTTATTTGAACCAGATTTATTTAATAATCACAATCTAATTTTAGATAGTTTCTGTTTTCCAGAAAATGCAAGCTAGAGATCATTAGAGCAATTAGTACAAGATAAACTTTAGAATATTGCATTTGGCCAGACCAGATGTAAAATCATTAGGGAATAAACATAACCATGCTTCATAGAAGCCCACTATTCAGACATTAGATGAGTTTTAGATCCGATGACATAATGACAGGCCTCATTTAAAAAGACTAATAACTTAGTGAAAACCATGTGTATTTCTACAACACTATTTGCATTTTACTAATTTAATCTCACGCATTCACTGAGGGTACTGACATTTTAGCCAGTGTGAGCATGAGAAGCAGGTGACTCATGTATGATCTAAATGCACCACATCAAGATGACTAGTTGAGTTGTATTCAGAAGGGCTGAAATAATGTGTTATTATCCAAAACACCATAGTTATATAAAAACAGGCAGCATAGCAGATACCTGAAAAAATGTTTTTTTTGGATGAATAAGGGAAAAATGTTAACATTTTACAGTTTATAAGTTGCCTTCATTCCCATTTCTTGAGTACCTGTCATTACTAGGCAATGAACTAGTTTTTGAGATGCCATGATAGATAAGATAGAGTATCTCTTTTTAGAAGCTAGCTTAATTCTAAACCCTGTAATCCAGGAATCATAAGTATTATTAAGCCATTTGTACAAGAGCTGAAAAGCAGTTAAATATGATCAAATGAATTGTCCAAGTCACAGAGTGCTAAGTGGGAACATTAGGACCAATATTCAGGCTTTGCAACTCAGTCCAGTGTGCTTTTTACTATCTTTTTCTAACCATCTTCCAAATTACTGTTTCTTTTTATGACGTCAACTCCAGCTGACTTAATTGCAACCCTGGAAACAACTTTTCCAAGTGCTCTTTTCATACTCTTTGGTGATTCGTTCATCCATATATTTGTGTATATGTGTGTGTATGTATCTATGTGTGTTTGTGTGTGGGTGTGTGAGTGTGTGTGCTGTGTGTGGGTACATAGCTAAGAATCTGATTCTACATAATGCTAATACAATCATTTGGGAAGATAAAAAATCCTACCACCTGTGTGTTTGGTCCATTTGAGGAAAAATAATAAGACTGACTATATTTTGTACTAATTTGCAAATTATTTAGCAAATATTTCTTTTAAGTGTTCTAACTGCAATTTGGAGACACTATATCATAACAATTAAGAGGATGATGTTTAAAACAAGAACAGACTTGGGGTGGAATCCTACTTATCTCTCCCACTAGTTACTTATTCTTTTTCATTTTTTTCTCCTGTAAAATGGAGATAATGAGAACAACCTCACAAAATTGTTATAAGAACTAGACGGGCTAACACACAGAGCCTGGTTTATAACCAGCACTCAATAAACAGTAGATTTCATAATTAAAAAGGTGAGATGATCTTTGAATGTAATCACCCTAAAATCAGTACAGTGCTTTATTAATCTGACTACATTTTTCTCCCAACTCACCTTATTCACTATTTCTAGTGAAATATTTTTAGTTGTTTCAGAAGTTAAATCTGTCCAAATTATAAAAATGACAATATCATCAATGATCATATTTAAAAATAAGACACTGGAAGATCCAAATGCATTCAATGCCTCAGTTATTTACAGTTTGGTATATTGAGATACTGTGATGAATAATTTTTTTTAACACTACAGACACATTTACTTTGCATCTCCCATTGCTTCTGGCAGAGCTATTAGTTGCTCAATAAACATATAGTAAACAAGATTATATAGGGTGGTTTATTTTAAGTGCATTGTGAACATGTCAGATGGCATATTTTAAAAAGCAAACTATCCCCATGATCCAATTAGCACTAAACAATTAAGATTGACTTCCACCATAAAACTCAAATTTGTCCTTTTGTAATGCTGAGTACCATTCAAAATAAGTAGAAGAAGGTTATTATCATGTTCAAAATACGTATAAAAATAACTGCATGAAATTTTCAGTTTTGCAGTATGAATAAATTCTGGAGATCTAATGTACAGCATGGTTACTATAGCTATTAATACTGTATTACCTATTTGAAATTTGCTAAGAGATTAGATCTTAAATGTTCTCACCAAAAAAAAAATGTAACTATATAAGGTGATATATATGTTAGTAAGCTTGATTGTGGCGATCATTTCACAATGTATATAAACAAAATATTTCACCTTAAATATATACAATTTTTATTTGTTAATTATCCCACAATAAAGCTGGGAGAAATTCTAACACAAACAAAAAAAAAAATAACTGTACATTGATTGAGAGTTTAGATCATTCTGGAAAATCAACACAGGTTTACAAACCCAGAGCAAAAGAGAAATTCAACACTAACAAAAAAGAAAGTTGATATTCCACAGGCAGGAATTCTTACTTAAAATGTGAAATATAACTATTACTTTTTCAAGAGGATCAAGCCCACTTGCACTGAAGCTGTGATCCCACGCCACACAAAGAGGCATAGAAAGGACCAGCAAAAACCATGGAAGGTGGAAAATGATATTGGATTATTTTCTATTAAGTAACTTACATCATTGTCTATCTTGTAGATAGTCACAAACAATGAGATGTAAAATGAAGAAAAAAATTAACATTTTTATTTTGAGGGCATTGTCAAAGAATAAGATGCTATTCCCTGAAATTGAATGATTTTCTAACCTGACACTTACCATTCCAAGGCCAAGTGTTATTACTTCCTAGCTTTTCTGATGGAAGTTTTACCAACTTAATTCAAAGTTTCTGTGGACAGTGTTTAGTTAACATGAGTTATCCTTTTATTGATGATTTGACAATGTTGTTATGAATATCAACTTATGGTTTTTCTTTATATTAAATCAGCCCTTCTCCTCTTTTGTATTCAGCTCTTTCTTCTGGTTTTTCCTTATGGAAATTATTTCTTTGGAAACCCTTTTCTATTTTTACTTTTCTGTTTCTTATCTGCTATTGATCCAAAAAATAAAACTAAGACTCTTATAATTGTGAGTTAGGTAAAAGTAGATATACATTAAAAGCATGTTTCAATAATTTTTTCATAAAATAAAACAAAGAGTTTAATCACTTGAGAAATTGTGCCATTTTTTGAGATGTGGAAGACTAAAGAGAAGCAAATTTGGAGAGGAAAACAACTAATTATTATTTGTTACTGGATACTTTTGTCCATTCAATATCCAAGTGGAGAAACTGACTAGTATGTTGAGTAAATCAATCTTGGATTTCACCATTGAGATGTACGCTGGAGATGTAGTTGGGGGAGTTACCAGATATTGATTGTCTATAAAGCAATGGGACTAGGTGAGATTATTAGGGAGTGATGGTAGATATGGAGAAAAAAAGTAGATCACTGAGGCTTGAACCACTCCAACATTGAGCAATCAGGAAGAGGAATGGAATTCACAAATGAAACTGAAAGAAGAACCCTTGAGATAGGAGAATAACCAAGGGGATGGGCTTTAAAAGCTAAGTGAAGGAAATGTTTCAAAAGAAGTGAGTGTTTGATCAACTGTGGAGTAAGATCAAGATTGAAAACTGACTATTGGATTTGACAACATGGAGGTCATCAGGCCTTACTCAGGACAATTTGGGTAGAAGTTTGGAGAAAAAAAAACCAACCAAACTAATGTAGGCTTGAGAGAAAGGGAGAAAAAGAAACAGAGTTGGTGAGAAAATATAACCACTGTCAAGACTTTTTTTCAAAAAAAATTAAAAGCTGAGAAATGTGCCCAATAACTGGACAGAAAAGTAGAACCAAGGAAGGACTTTTTTTAAAAACATGGAAGATTCCAGAATGTTTGTATATAGAAGAAAATGCCCAGAAGAGAGGAAATATTGATGATACAGGAAAAAGAAAATATCATTTTATATGAGGAGTGAAGAAATTAAGATGTCAAGGATGACGTCTAAGTTTCTGGCTTGTGTACCTTAATGAATAGTGAAAATCTTTACCAAATCAGAAAATAGTGGAAAATTACGTTTATAAGAAAGATCATTAGTTCATTTTGTAACATATGTTAAGTTGCAGGAGTTGTGAGTTATCTAAAAGACACAAATAGGCAGTATGGCTCCTAGAAGATAAATTAGATCTAAAGAAATAAACTTTAAGACAACTGGACATGATAATAATTTAAGCCAAGGGTGAAGGCAAGATCTCCAAGGTCCTCTTAATTTTTTGTGGTTAAAGGATCTCCTATATCCATGAACTTATCACCCTAATTTGTGAAATAAAGAAACCATATTTTAAGGACCTGTTTTATATGTTCTGTACAGGATATTACCATGTGTGATGAATGTTTTAAATACTGTGAGTTTGTAAAGTTAATGTTATTTTATAGATGAAGAAACAGAAGTTTAGAGAAACTTTGCCCATGAAAAGTTCAAAATGGTAGAGATGGAGTTGAATCTAGGCTTATCACAACCCCAATGCCTGTTCTGTCTTTCAGCTACATGAGTTGGGATGTTTTATGATCCCCTCTGACCATTATAGTTACTTCTTAATAGGTTTTCTGATTTTCTAGCACCTTATCTCCATTCCTAAGCTTTTTTGTGGATAAGAATCACTTCCAGAGTATTGCCCTCCCCAGACAAACCAATAGTGTACACAATCTGCACATTTAATAAGCATCCTCAAGTGATTCTGATGCAAGTAGGCTGTGAATCTACAATGTAAAAGGTTAACAACGTAAACAATTTACATGCAACAATGTAAAAGGTTACAATGTAAAAGGATAACAATGTAAAAGGTTTGCTCTACTATAGTCTATGTGTGGTGTCACATTAATCCTCTAAAAGGAAAACTAACTCATGCTGCTTGCTTGATTAATAATTGATAAGTACTTAGAGTCTCCTATGACATGTCCTAGACCTACTTTTCAAGCCAGACTGTCTAAACCAATCTTACTATTTTTGTCTGTATTCCTAAATAATACCTTTTCCATCCACATAAATTTGAAGCTCCCCTTCCACACTCTTAGATGCCCTCTTCCAGATTCCTTACCTCCATGTTACTAAATAAAATCCTAACTATTTTTAAAGGCACAATTTTAAAAATCCATGTTTACTCTAGTTAGAAATAGGGTTTCTCATTTAACTAGTTGCATACACTAGATATTATCTTATCTTGAGTTATCATATCTTGAGTTACATTTTATGTGAGTATACATTTCTTATCACCCAACAGGGTACTACCTTCATGTTTCTTTGCATTTTCCACAGCAGTTTCCATAGCATAAGTATACATCAGAGATGGGCCATCGGTGTTTGCTAATTTAATAAATAAGGTCACCCATTAAGCCATATAAAGATCTTACTTCCACTAGGGAATTGAGGAGGCAAATTGAATATTGAAAAGGAGCTTTAAAAATGTCATCTACTTCACCATAAGATTTCACACAGCACTCAACCGTATAGACACAAATGTATTGGGGAAAAATTGCCTGTCTTCTGTAAACTAAAATCAAAGTCATAACAAAATTTTCTTACACATTTTCTCCCAAGCTTGATTATTGCAAGTAAACAATTAACTCAAGTAAAATTATTAGAGATGGTACTTTCCAAACCTTTCTTATTACAATCCCATTCAAGACCAAGGGGTATAAACTGAATCAGAAAAAGATGTAGGTGTACAATAAATTATTGTTAATCATACTCACCCTATTCTGCTACCAAATACTAGATGTTATTCATTCTATTAATACAAACCTGTAGTTTTGTACCCATTAACCATCTTCACTTTATCACCCTTTCCCAGCTACCATTCCCAGGCTGTGGTAACCTTTATTCTGTTCTCTATCTCCATGAGTCCAATTTATTTTTTAGCTCCAAGAAATGATAAATACTTAAGGTGATGGATACTCAAGTTACCCTGTTCTGATCACTACACATTGTATGTCTGTATCAAAACATCACTTGTACTCCATAAATATGTACAACTATTATGTACCCATAGCAATTAAAAATATATTTAAAAATTACAGGAAGAACAAACAGTACAGCAGTAGAACTATAATAGCCAGATGTATCAATGACAAACAATAAAACATCTGAAAACAAACAAAATAGAAATGTGGGCACAGTGAAGACAAAAGCAATAACTGAAAGTAAGTGGTTACAATCAAAATAGAAACACACAGCTGGCAAATTAGTTTTGCAGAAGAGTTTAAGTTTTCCTATTTCCTTGGCAACTGAAGAAGGTTGTGATGTTAACTGCTTAGACATCTGCATCCTCAGAACCATCTCCTCCTTTAGAAACTAGAATAAATACCAAAGTAATACTACGGGCCAGAATATACTACTCCTTAACAAAACCAAATGAAAGTAATGAAATAAAGCTTTTAATATGTGAATTATCTTTGGTTTAATGCCTGAGAGGGATTAATTATTTTTTGTTTTCTTTGTTTTCTTTAGAGAAAAGTGAACGTCCATGTAATGGCAGGAATTTCCTGAGGTTGCTACATTCTAAGTGTTTTGGACCCTCGAGCTAATCATTACAAACTATCCCTACACTCTTAGGAGATCTTTATTATTATTCTTTTTAGGTTAAAGTTGGCACTTGATTATAGACCCAGTTTGCTCATAGCCTGTAGAACATGGGCATGAATACCAAGAAACAGCCAAAGGCAAGCCAGATTTCAATCACAGAAGACTCTTATTTCCCACATTAGAATAAATTTAAACTGACAAAGGACAAAAGTCAACGATATAAAGTCAAAACTAAAAATACAAAGGATTTGGTATACAATTCAACATTCTAGAAATGTCAGTTCTTTTACCTAGGTTTTGTGTGTGTGTGTGTGTGTGTGTGTGTGTGTGTGAATCTCTAAAAACAGATGGTTATGTCTTAGTAGTCACAGTACTCAGTCTGCCATCTTGCCAGTATGTACCTGATCTGATTTAAAAGTGCAGGGACTTTTTTCCCCCAAATATCAAGCTTTGTTGTGATAATGTCAGAATTATTCATACTTGGTTAGGTACATAGGTACAGGTACAGGAAGCCACATATAAGAATCACCCAATTATTTACTGAATTTCATTTTTTGTTGTTATATGTGATATAAAACTTATGTGAAAGAAAAGATAGAGATTAATAGAATAAATTATCTTTAAGGGCATAATGCTATAGCTGTTTTTTAAAGAGCAGCTCAATCTCCTCTCCTCTCTTCTCCTTTTCTCCCTTTTCTCACCTTGCCTCGCTTCTCCCATGCTTCTCCTCTCCTTTCCTGTCCTCTCAGAAATGGAGAAATGGAGTTGAGTAGCTATGGGTAATTGCAAGTGGTTCAATGAAATATAGGCCCTTGGAAGCTCAAAGTTAACAAACGGAAGTTAATAATGCTTGCAAAGTGTCTTGAGGTGAAAATGTATTTTCCTAGTCACAGATATAAAAAGTAAATAACTAGTATGTGTTCATCTGTGAAATCTTTGGCATTTAAAATAAATCCTCATTCTCTGGGTGGGCAGCCTTGGAGGAGATGAAAAAGTTTTGGCAAATTAGACACTCAGATTTCTACTCATACGGTATCTCAACTTGGCTTCCTCTTTTGCTTACTCCTAAATAAATTCCACACAGAAGGCTGTTTTTAAAAAATCATAATAAATAATTCAGGAATTATATGTGCCAAATAATCGATTGAAATAATTGAGGTCAACAGGCATGTGGTTTGCACTCATTCCCTAAGGCTGCTGTGACAAATTACTATAAACTTGGTGGTTTAAAATGACAGAAATGTATTCAGTCACAGCTCTGGAGGCCAGAAGTCAAAATCAAGGCATCAGCAGGGCTGCATTCCCTCTGGAGACTCTACGGAAGGATGCTCCCTTGTCTTCCCCAGCTTCTTGATTCCTTGGCTTGTGGCCACAACCTCTTTGCTCCATCTTCAAATTGCCTTTCTTGTGTGCCTCTCTACTCCTCAATGGGCTACTTGGGAGGCCACTTGTTATTGGGTTTAGGACAAACTGAGATAAGTCAAGAGGTTCTCCTCATCTCAAGATCCTTAACTGCATCTGCAAAGACTCCTTTTCCAAAAAAAGGCAACATTTACAGGTTCCAAGCATTGAAATATAAACAAAGCTTTTTGGAGACCATCATTAAACCCACTAGAGAGTTCGCATTTCAATTCCAAAAATCATTTTTTTTATTTTTTTCTTTTTTGAGACAGTTTCATTCTGTTGCCCAGGCTGCAGTGCAGTGGGGCGATCTCAGCTCACTGCAACCTCCTCCTCCCCAGTTCAAGCGATTCTTGTGCCTCAGCTTCCTGAGTAGCTGGGATTACAGGCACATACAACCATGCCTGGTTGATTTTTTTGTATTATTAGTAGAGATGGATTTCACCATGTTGGCCAGGCCAGTCTTGAACTCCAAACCTCAAGTGATCCACCTGCATCAGCCTCCCAAAGTGCTGGGATTACAGGCATGAGCCACCACGCCTGGCCTCAAAAGGTCATTTCATAATAAAGGGTCTAGGCTTGGATATAAATAAATTATCAGCTATTATGTAATACATTCTTCAAATGAGATCATAAAGCTGCTAATCCAATTATTATTTATTATTAGAACTATGTTGGAATTATACTATAACACTGCTGGAAGTACAAGCAATGTTGTATAATACATGTTCCTAAAAGAACATATAAGAAGTGTTACTGAAATAACAAACATTTTCCTCTAAAGAATTGCTAGGCATGAATCCTGTAAACTCCAGCTAAATGAAGCTTAATAATAATAGTAAATTGAGTGTGCCATGCACCATACTAAGTGTTTCACACATTGTCTGGTTTAATCCTCATGATGACTTACAAGATAGCATAACAGACTTCTCTGAATGCTGATTCTTCCTTGCCATAACATCTCTTCCTTTCCAAAAAAAAAACATTTCTTATTTTCTGGTGTCTGGTATCTTACAAAAAGCTGGGTCTTCATTAAGTCAGTGATGATAATCCCAACCCCTTTGCTGGTGAGTGGATCAGGAATAGACATGGAACACAATTGTGGCCAATGATACTTGAAGAAAGCTACTGAGGGGGTTTCTAGAATGAAGTTTCTTCACACATTGTATTAGTTTGTTAGAGGTGCCATTACAAACTACCACAGACTGGGTGGCTTAAACGGCAGAAATTTATTTTCTCTTAGTTCTGGAGGCTAGAAGTCCAAGATCAAGATGTTGGCAATGTTGATTTCTTCTAAGTTCTTTCTCCTTGGTCTTTTCTCTTTGTCTATCTGTCCTCTTCTTTGAAGGACACTGGTCATATTGAATGAGAACCTACCCCAGTGACCTTATTTAACTGTAATTACCAGTATCCCCAAATTAGGTCACATTCTGAGGTACATGGGGTTAGAACTGATGAATTTGGAGGTGACATGACTCAGCCTACAACATGTTTAAAAAAACACACACAGAAAAAAAAAATCTTCATCATTTAAACATTGTCTCTGCTGGGTGTGATATCTAACAGGAAATGACCCTGTAGATGACAGAACAGTGGACAGAATCTAGAACCTTTCCGACATCATGAGACTGGGGCATCCTTGACTTAGGACTTCCTATTACGGATGATAGTTACTGTTCTTATTTTTAAGCAGTTGAGGTGTTTTTTTTCTCTCTCGCTTCTGCTACAGTATCTAATTTGTATAAGTAAATACGTTTATTTTCATTGCCATTTCACAAATACAGAAACCTTGTCAGGAAAGCTGGAATTCTGATCCAGGAATCTAACTCCTGCCTGAATGTCCATAAATAATAGGTCTGTGGCATCAAAATGTTCTCTCCAATACTCAGGCTTTCATTTCAGTTTTATAAAAGCCTCCTAGAGAAAAATTTAAAAGCAGACCTTAGAATATTACTAGCTGGTTGTTCTAGAAATCTAGAAGCAAGGAACTGTGCAAAGAATTAAGTCAGCCATGAAGGTATTTTGATGAACAAGAAAGTATCTCTACTAAGATAAGGTTAAAAAACAATAAGAATGGCTACAATATAAATACACAAAAGTCAACAGATAAAGAAAAAGTGGTATATATACACTATGGAGTACTCTGCAGACATCAAAAAGAATGAAATCATGCCTTTTACAGGATCATGGATGGAGCTGGAGACCATTATCCTTGGTAAACTAATGCAGAAACAGAAAACAGAGTACCTCATGATATGGTTTGGCTTCGTGTCCTCACCCAAATCTCATCTTGTAGCTCCCATAATTCCCACATGTTGTAGGAGGGACCCAGTGGGAGATGACTGAGTCATGGGAGTGGATATTTCCCATGCTTTTCTCATGATAGTGAATGGGTCTCACAAGATCTGATGGTTTTAAAAGTGGGAGTCTCCCTGCACAAGCTCTCCTTTTGCCTGCTGCCACCCACGTAAGACATGACTTGCTCTTCCTTGCCTTCTGCCATGACTATGAGGCCTCCCCAGCCATGTAGAACTGTAAGTCCAATTATACCTCTTTCTTTTGTAAATTTCCCAGTCTCAAGTATGTCTTTATCAGCAGTGTGAAAACAGACTAATACACTGCATGTTCTCACTTAGAAGTAGAAGCTAAATGATGAGAACTCACAGACACAAAGACAGACACAATGGATACTCAGCCCTACTTGAGAGTGGAGGATGGGAGGAAGCAGAGGAGCAGAAAAAAATAAATATTGGGTACTAGGCTTAGCATCTGGGTGATGAAATGATCTGTACAACAAACCTCCATGACACAAGTTTACCTATATAACAAACCTGCACATGTACCCCAAAACCTGAAAGTTAAAAGTCACTAAGCCAGTTAAATGAGATTATTGTTAACAACCTAATATACAAATTGTGCTCTCTCTACTAATCTCTGTAGATAGTTTGAGCCCAGTCCTTAATTCTCTTTGGCAAGAATTGCAAATTACCTTTAGCTACGGATTTCATTGTTCAATTGGTTTTAATTACAGCGTTTTCCATTACTCATCATTTTCCTTATTTCAAATTAAGCCTCTCTTTTACTTCTTCCCTTAAGAGGAAATGAGTGTTTGTCTTTTCTCAAACCTTCCTTTACATATTTGTATCACATGCCTTTTGTTTGCCTTTCTGGAATAAACCCACTGTTCTCTCATGTCCACAGATGCCTCATCATCCCAGCATAAATTATTCCAATGTTTCATGTATTTACTTTTTTAAATTTTAAAAAATAGCCTGCCTTTCTTCTTCTGAGATGCAATAATATAAAGAAACATGGACAGCCTATTTCTTGTGCTTCAAAGAACATATTCCTAATAATTTGGGCCACTATTTTGTTCCATTCTAGTGTTTTTATTGTGTGTGGAAAAATCCTTCAGGTTAATTCCTCAGTTTTACTCAGAACTAGAATGCCTGGCAGTGTGAGGTCAGTGTTATCACCAATTCTCAACCAGCATCAGGAAGGACCACACTTAACCCAGCTGTGACTGATAAATAACTCCTGGCTTAGCAGAAACTGTGAGCTTGTGTGCGATGGTTAAGCAATGTAATAAAGGAACCAGCTCTAGTGGAGAGACTCTGAGCTCCAGAAGACTCACTGAGGTCAGAGTCCCTCTGCCTTACTTTCTAGTGATATATGTTTTGCTCTATTTTCTAATTTACTTTGGTCCTATTTGGCTTTAGGGGTATATTTTTCTTCAGTGACTTTTACTTTGCAGCTGATTATGGCATAAGTACTGCTGCAGATGGCTTTTTTGGCCCCAATTAATGGCCTCCCTTTGCCATGTGACTTTGCAGCTCTTTCCACCAAGACATGAAGCCTGTCCTCCAAGTCTTTAATATAGAGCTGGCTTTGTACCTTTGTACCAATAGCATCTGGTGAAGGTGGCAGCTAACCACTTCTGAAGGTAGGCCTCAAAAAGCCCTTTGCACATTTTCACTGTCTCAGAATGTCACCTTTGCTAGGAGAACAAACCCTAGATAGCTTTCTGGAAGATGAGAGACCACATGGAACAGAGACCAATGATCTCGGCTGAAGACAACTTCAACCAGTTCCCGGCTGACCCACCAACTGACCACAGATGCAAGAGTGAGCTTAACCAAGATCAGCTGAGGTTGGCCCAGATCAGCAGAACCACCAACCCAGTCCTAAGTTCACAAACAAAAATAAATTTTCATTGTTACATACCACTGTGAAGGAAATGGCTGTGCTTTACTCAGTAGTAGTCTGAGGTGGCTGCCTGGTGCAGCATGACTTAGCAGGGTTTGGAATGCAGGCGCACAACTCTGCTTGTTATATAACCATGCCACGTGAGGTGCATTAGGTGATCACTCATCTGAGCTCGTACTTGGCTCACAGCCACTATTGTCTGTAAAGGTGTAATTACTCTACTTAAGGCTGTACATACAGCTTGCGGTTTGCACCTGCGGCTGACACCCAGGCTCACTCACGCCCAGAGAGAGAGTAAAAGCCATGTCAAAACTGTGTACAATTCTTCGAGTATTTTTCCAGCTACCTGCCATTGGTCTATCCACTCCCCTCAGTCCTCAGTTTGGGCTGGAACCTGACACTTGGCATGAAAACTGGCATCACGAACAGGATCCCAAGGTGGGTGAGCCTTTGGTCCCCGCTGATTCTTGGTTGGCTCTGTGGCCACAACATGGGTTGTGGTACCAGACTGCAGCTGTGCTGTGAGGATGGGCTCTGGTGGAGACTGGGCGGTGGTAGGTGGGTCCCTTGTGAGCATGGAGAAGGCCCTGAAGTTGCTGGAAGCACAGAGCACTGAGAAGGAAGGAGCCTTTGCTGGCAGAATTGGATGGGCATTTTTGACTGCGCTTGGAGTACACACCCAGTCCCTGAGGGATGCCACAGACGTAAGGGCTTTGCAGACATAGGCGAGGCACCTGGAGGCCTGGCTACACAGTTCAGAAAAAGAATTAGAAGCTGCCATGAATGGGGACCTCCAGGCACCCCCTGGAAGCCTGGCTACAGAGCTTGAAAAAGGAATTAGAGGCTGCTGTGAATGCAGGCCTGGAGGCCATTGGTGGGACCGAGGGGTCTGTGCAGTAAAGAAGGGGAAGATGCCCATGGGAAAATAGGGGACCCCAACCAGTAACACACTCAAAGATGTGGATAGATTTGATTTTGGCCAGGGTTGAGAAACAGAAAATTGATAAGCAGCCCAATGAAGTACTCTTAACTTTGTGGAGACAGTTGCCTCTGGAACAGCAATTCCAGAAAATGCCCAAGAGGAAGAAGGGGAGAAGGACATTGCTGCGTGATCTGGTCCCACCTGGGGTGTTCCAGCTCAAAGACTATGTACTGAAGCAAGGCAGGGATGTAAAGCCTTTTCTGTTTATGAGGGAACTGGCCGAGGTGCCCAGCTTGAGGGGACACTGGGCAACCAGAAGCCACATGTGAAATTGACAAGCCACTGGTCCCTGCACCCAGATAAGTTTCCAGGCAAGGCTGCATAGACAGCTATGAAATGTCTATGGTCAATGAAAGTGAAATCTGTATCTCTGCACCTTGGCATCAGCCACCTGGCCCCTGGTTATGCACTGTGTATGTCTCTCCCATACCTGTATACATTCTGGGGGTGGACACTTTACACAGCTTGACAGCTGTCTCATCTATCACATATTTGATGGACTACTTGACAACAGAATTGGGACAGTACCACTATGGGGTGGACTTGACTAATGCATTTTTTTTTACAGAGTCAGGAACAATTTGCCTTCATGGGAAGGTGACAATGGACTTTCACAGTGTTACTGCAGGGCTATGTGCATAGCCCCACCATATGTCATGGTCTTGTTAATGATATTATCCATGGTCTTTTTAATGCTATCAAGCTAACCTCTAATTCTCTTGCAGATTTAGAATCGGCAGTGCTCCTCTTGCCTGAGATTGCAATGGTGCAGCTGAGACCACCTTCCTGGCAGCCAAGTGGGCTATTCAGCAGGAATAAGCCCTGTGGATAGTTGAGCAGGGGCTCCCATTCGAGCTGGATGTGCATGTGACCACAGATGGTTTCAGCTGGGGCCTGTGGCAGCACACGGAGTGCTTGAGAACACCAGTAGGCTTTTGATCCCAACTATGAAAGGGAGCTGAGCTCTGGTATTCCTTGATAGAGCAGCAGTTAGTAACTGCATGTGCTGCCCTTCAGGTTCATGAGAGCTTGGCAGGATTGGTTACAATCTTCATGCAGACAACTTACCCAATAGCAGGATGAGTGCATTCATGGATAATGACCCCCTGGACTGGGATGGGGGAGACATCCACTTTGGCAAAGTGGAGTGCCTACTTGGAGCAGCAGAGTACACTGAGCACAAGTCCCTTAGAAGTCTTGGGAGCTGCAGTCCTATGCAAGATAAGGCCATGGGGCCTGAGGCACCCCTAGAATTTGAGCCTTTACCATTTAAAGAAGGACATCCCTCCATTCCCAATGGGGCATGGTACACAAATGGGTTTAGCTGAGGTGGTACTGCTGCCTGGACCACTGTTGCAATCCAACCTAGTACTGACACCATATGGTTTGAAACCGGGTGTGGGCAAAGTAGCCAATGGGCTGAACTTAAAGCAGTATGGATGGTGATCACCAAGGAGGTGACACCTATAGAAATGTGCACTAATAGCTGGGAAGTTTATCGAGGCTTAACCTTGTGGTTAACTACCTGGAAGTTACAAAATTAGCTATTTGTTCACCGGCCCACGTAGGCCAAGCCATGTGGCAAGATCTATAGGAGGAAGAATGACCTTCTCTGACCAGGTATAGGGATGAACAGTAACCTATTGTTGCCTGTCCTGATGCCCCTGAAGTCAGAAGAACAGAAAAATTGGCTGTGGCCATGGACCCTCCAACCCCCCAACTGCCTGTGGTTGGCCATCATAGCTCCCTGGGAGAAGTGCCTACAGTATGAATTGCCTGTCACTCCTTGGCTGTTCAGTGCATGCCCCCCATGGTTGACTGTTCATAGGGAAACAGCCAGGGGATGAACCCTCCTCTGGGGGGCATATGTAATATCTGTGTTGCCTATTATGAGCTCCCCTGTGACTGTGGCACAGACACAGGACCCAAAGCAACCATGGGGAGGTGGAAGGTGTGGTATTATCAGCCAGAGCAGAAGCCCTTGGTAGGTGCATTGTTATCCAGGGATGGAAAGTTAGCCTGTTATTGTTGTTGTGGGTTAAGGATTCAGGGATCTGCCCTTTGGGCACATGTCCCTGCACAGAGGATGCTTTCAGCCTATGGGGTGGAGTGTAAGGGAAATGGCTGCATGTTATTTTGCAGTAGGTTGAGGAAGCCTCCCAGCGCAGCATGAATCAGTAGGTTTGGAGTGTAAGTGCACAACTTCACACATTATGTAACCAACACTGTGTGAGGCACATTAGGTGATCACTCACATGAGCTTGTGCTTGTCTCAAAGCCACTATTGTCTGTAAAAGGTATAATTACCCTGCTAATGCTTTACATATGGCTTGCAGCTCATGCCCAGGCCCATGCCCAGGCTTGTGCCCAGGCTTGTGGCTTGCACCCATGGCTCATGCCCAGGCTCGCTTGTGCTGAGATAGAGTAAGAACCGTGTCAAAACCGTCTGTGATTCCTCAAGTGTTTTTCCAGCTCCCTGCCACTTGTCCACCCACTGCCCTCGGTCCCCAGCTTGGGCTGGAACCCGACACTTAGGATGACAAGCATTATGGTCTTGTGGATGTTAATTAGACAGCATTATTATAGCATAAAAAAAAGGCACAAGCCCATTTCTAATAATTATTGTATTTTCCTAACCAGTACATATGATTTTTTTTAGATTATCTTGTTTTCTGTTCATGATCGCTTGACATTCTATCTCTTATTTTATTAAAAGTTGTGACATTCTTTGCCATCCTCAGGAGAGGAGCTGGTTATTTTGACTTCCACAGCAATATGCCTAGCAGCCAACCAGGCTGAAGTGAGTGTCTAAATAAGACTATTTAATGGATAATTTTCAGGTTTCTCAGATGCACCACATTTGCTCTATCCACTCTGTTTTTCCTAACCTTATCAGATTTCATTCTGTCACAGTCCTAATCCATGAAATCATTGTAAATACTGTCTACCCTTTGACCTCATTTGATTAGTAGAAAACATGCTGTCACCAAGCCAAGCTTTGATCTAAGGGATCTTTCTTAAAGCAATGAGAATAATCACTATTCCAGTAACAGCAACAGTTGTTGAACAAACAAGATTTACCTGGGGATTTGAAGCAAGGGCAAATTTTTCCTCTCAGTTTTTTTTTCAAATAAATAAATTAATAGAAGGGCAAAAGCAACAGGAACTAAAAGTATAGATTCCTGTACTACCTAGTTATTGTTTTTTTCTAAATTTGAAAGTCTTATTCACAAGATAAACAGCCACGTCTATTTTTGAAATTTTTTATGGAGGCAAAAAATTCAAGGTGCTAGATTGTCCTGCTTTGACAACTAAAAAGCGGGGGGAAATCCCTGTCATTTACAATGGATGCAGGTTAATTGTCTGAAAGACTGGCATATAAAAGACCAGTTTATTTAGCTAAGGTATGCAGGTCATTTGAATAGCACAATTAGCAAAGGTGAGCTGGGGGAGTATGAAGGAAATTCAAGGAATCTTCATTTCTGACAACTTGGTGAAGGATATCTGACCTAATACCATAGTGTATAGGTGATGGATTTCTATGAAATTGTAGTTAGTGTGGGAAGAGCATAAAAAGTGTATAGCCAGAAGACAGAAGCCAAAAGCAAAGAACTAGGTGCAGGACGGATGATGGGTTAAAATGAAAAAACAAAACTGAAGACAAAGAGAAGCCAAGAGATTTCAGAATGCAAAGACAAAATGGGGGTAAGGAAAGGAAAGAGAAGATCACACAGTCTATAGACCATTACCAAGTGAGACTATCCAAAGCCATGAAAGACAGGCATAGGCATATACCTGAGTTTCAGGAGTACCTCTAAGAGACTCAGCCAATGTCATCCCATTTTCTGAAAGCAGGAAAAAAAATAAATAAGCCGCTGAAAATTAGATTTTCTTAACAAATGGCTGAGGATAAATAGTGCATAGGTACATGAGATATATACTAAAATTAAAATGTAAAAAAAAATTTAGACATTTAGGGAAGAAGCCATCTTTTTTGAGAAGTACACCAGTTTAATAAACTCTAAGCTCTTCTGTTTGCTGATAGTCCTCTGGGCTATGGAAATACTCTGGTTATGGGACTATTGCAGCTATGAGAATAGTACAAGATGAAGCTTCCTGTTATCGAGCTTCACAGGTAATCTGTGTCCTCTGACATTCCTGACTGTTGCTCACTACACAAGAGCCAAGAAAGCAGGGTTGAATCTCATCACCACAGCATGTGTCTATTGCTATTTCATAGTCCCCTCTTCCATCTGCTAAAGATGGAACATGATCTATCTTGCTCACTCTAATTTTTTTTTTGCCTTAAAAACTGGGCCATGAGTTAGAGGCATGAATAGAAACCATCTCTCAACTCCAGGAGGCTTTGCAAATTACAGACTATGAAGTACTTGACATATAGTTTCTAAATACAGTTAATCAAAGTTATAAAACCTAAGAAATAAATAAACTCAAGATTTGAAAATCTATTTGAAAAGTATATAGCTATAGTCCTATCCCATGATAGAGTTCATTTACTTCATCTCTTTCCTTTTCCACCAGAAAAAAACTAAGTATTAAACATAGAAGTTTCAGAAACCTTCTTACAAAACTGTCATAAAAGAACATCATATTTCATGCATATGGGATCATGCTTAGATCGAACACAAAACTAAGACCATAATTTTTTGAGAAAATTTATAATTAGATTTTATCAAATTCAAGTTGTTAAGTATTGTTCTTTTCTTACTGACATTGTGCATAAATGGCTTGAGATCAGAGTTTGCATTATTTTTCATTTTGTGAAAATTATCTTGTTATATTGGTAATATCATTTAAAAATCTTTTTTATTCACAGTAGTTCTCTAATCTCTTTAAAAATATATTATTTCTTTTTATAAGAACTCATCTGTGATTATGGGAGTTAAAAACTTTAAGCTTTTAAAAAATGCCCTTGTTTGTTCAGAGCCCTTCTGTTTCTTACTCAGAATTTGACTTCTATATAATAAAGAGAAAACTAAAATTTTACTCCAATATTAAGTTTCCTACTTGGTTCAGACAAACTACCACTGGATGACACACATACTTGTTGGAGTGGACAATAAATCATCCCATCTACAATAATGAGATGATATCTGATATGGTTTGGCTATGTCCCCACCCAAATCTCATCTTGAATTCCCACATGTTGTGGGAGGGACCAGGTGGGAGATAATTGAATCATGGGGGCAGGTCTCTCCCATGCTGTTCTCAGGATAGTGAATAAGACTTATGAGATCTGATGATTATATAAAGGGGAGTTTCCCTGCACAAGCTCTCTTCTCTTGTCTGCCACCACATGAGATGTGCCTTTCACCTTCCACCATGACTGTGACGTGTCCCCAACACATGGAACTTTAAGTCCATTAAACCTTTTATCTTCCCAGTCTTGGGTATGTCTTTATCAGCAGCATGAAAATAGACTACTACAATGTCTTAGAATCTGATATGGTTTGACTCTGTCCCCACCCAAATCTCATCTTGAATTGTAGCTCCCAGAATTCCCATGTGTCATGGGAGGGACCCTGTGGGAGGTAATTGAATCATGGGGTTGGGTCTTTCCCATGCTGTTCTCATGATATTGAATCAGTCTCAGGAGATCTGATAGTTTTATAAATGAGAGATCCCCTACACAAGCTCTCTTGCCTGCTGCCATGTAAGAGGTGACTTTGCTCCTCATTTGCCTTGATTGTGAGGCCTCCCTAGACATGTGGAACTGTGAGACAATTAAACAACTTTCCTTTATAAACTACCCAGTGTCAGGTATGTCTTTATTAGCAGTGTGAGAACAGACTAATACAGAATCCTATTATATTTAAAATTTGCTTTAGAATATGCTAAAAAGATATATATGTGATGGGCTACCAAATATTATCTGTACAATGATTTATTTCTCCCTTTGCAGCAAAAGTTTAAGCACCAGAAAACTAAAAACTCTGAAGCACAGCATTCAAATAAAATAATCTCAGGCAATTCAGGTTTCTGTGGGGTCCTCCACAAAGCCAAAAATCTTTCAACAGTGCTGTGGTCTGAGGACAGACATGTTTCGCTTAATACCTTTGTGGTTAATATGACTTTTAATAAAATTCTCCAAAATTATTTCTCCAGAATTAGGTAATATAAATAAAAGAGGCAAAGGCTGGGTTGCAAGTTGACCATTACATCATTCATTTCACCATTGTTACACAAATATTTCTTGACCTCATTTATTTCATAGAATGTACAAGTGAATTTTTGTAACATGTAGGTTACATTTCACCAATCTATTAAACAAGTAAATATTCATATTTGAATGTATGATTGTGCTAAGAAGGGGAAAACTGCATAATTTTCTAAATTCAGAAGAAAGTAAAACTAACATTAAAAGAAAAGTATTTAAAACTAACATTAAATGTAAGATATTTATCTGAAATATTTCAAATGGATTAAAAATTACATAATAAATAGCATACCATATATTTCAATTTGGCTGTATTTAAAAAAAAGAGAACCCAAAATAACTTTCAAATTTTTAAATTAAAAAAATTATATTTGGAATATTCTGGAGAGAGGTATACTTCTCTAAATGCCTTAGTAATTCTTGTTTGTGTAACCAAGAGATAAGAGAAAATCTAAACAAACTCCACTCAGATTTTACAGTAAAAGCCTGATTGTATAGCTGTTTGTTTATTGAGATAGGTGGGTGATAGATTGGTGATAGGTAGCTATATAGATAAAGAGGATAAGTCATCTTAAAACCTGATAAATACCATGAACTTAATCCCTATAAACCAATAAATTATACAATATATGTCTTCAAAATAGAAATTTAACCTTATCTGACCCACTTATGAGCAAAATTTTCTGGAGCCCTCCACTGAGTTGCTTCATCTCCATACTTTTCTTGTAGCTACTAAATAAACTAAAGTATTTTAACTTCTGTTGTTCAACAGGGAATAATTAATCTGAGATCCTTGAGGCTATTCCACTCAGCCCTCTAAACATACCTGTGGCACATAAAATGGCCACGACCAAAGATAAAGACCATGGGCTTCTTCCTCTTGTTTCTCTCTTAACCTAAAGAAGCAAAGACACACCTACTCATGCCATATTTGACCCTTTGTTAGCTCATTCTCCTAAGCAGAGCAGTCACTGGTCAGATTAAAAGAGCCAGGATGACCATTTGGACCTGATTTTACTGGGAGGGGAGAGGGGCAAAGAAGGGAGTTGCTGTTCCCTAAAATGAGGAACCCCTCAGCCTTCGCATTTTCCTCTTGAGTCCCACAAAGGAGCAGCAACTTTACCCACAACGTTAGTGAGAGGAGGCCTAGCTATTCTTCTTCTTATTCTGTACCAATCCTCCACATATTTCCACATTAGAAAATATTCCTAGCATTTCTGGGCAGGCTGAGACTCTCCTCTTGGGCTCCTAGCTATTCGCACAATAGAACATACTGGCAACCTCTTACTCACAGTTTATAATACAATTCACAAAAAAGCCCACCATGTTATTATTGCATAAATTTCTTACAAAAGCTAAACAATATTTTTACTTCTACTTGGTTAAACTATTTTACCTGCATCTACACTGTAATATTTTAAATATCTTAAGTTACATTTCATTACTTTTTATCACAGCACCTATGTAACTCAGAATAACTGTTGGAAATACGAAGTATAGTTTCCTTCTTAATCCCCAAAACTCACCCCACCTTTTCTGCAGGTTCTGAATCAAAGAGTGCCGTTTGGACCGAAAGGCCTGTGCCAGGCTTCCACACCATCTGCTTCTTAATGTAAAATAGCTCAGCTGCAGAGCAGAGTGAGCTTGACGTAACCACAGCATCTGAGGGCCCACGGCCTCTGAGACAGTGAGAATAGCACAAAGAGGTCAAGCAAAGTGTCAAGGCTGACACCGAAAGAGCCTCATTTTTTTTTCTAGATAAAAATCACGGCCAGGCGCGGTGGCTCACGCCTGTAATCCCAGCACTTTGGGAGGCCGAGGTGGGCGGATCATGAGGTCAGGAGATCCAGACCACCCTGGCTAACACGGTGAAACCCCGTCTCTACTAAAAAATACAAAAAATTAGCCGGGCATGGCGGTGGCGGGCGCCTGTAGTCCCAGCTACTGGGGCGGCTGAGGCAGGAGAATGGCGTCAGCCCGGGAGGCGGAGCTTGCAGTGAGCCGAGATCGTGCTACCGCACTCCAGCCTGGGCTACAGAGCGAGACTCCGTCCAAAAAAAAATAAAAAATAAAAATAAATAAAAGTTAAAAATAAAAATAAATCACAACCATAGGTTGCCAAATTAATATTTTTAAAAAAGATTAAAAATTTTAGTTGCTTATTAAGACAGCATAGATGGTGAGTGAACTAATTATTTAGATTATTTTGCCAAGTTACAGCCAGTTACAGATGAAGAAACAGCTCCTGTTTTTAGATAAACCTCACCCTCAGAGTGTAAAATATTTATATGAGCATGATACAGAATATCATGAGTCATTTTACGTTTATAAAGGAAAATGCCAACTCATTTCCAATGCCAGCAACTTTTTCTAAAGGTTAGGATTGTCTCTAACCAATTACAAAAAACTAATAAGCCAAGCTCAGATAGAGAAAGACCACAGTATCTCACTTATGTGGAATATTTAAAAAGTAGAATTCACAGAAACAGAGAGTAAAGTGGTTGCCAGAGGCTGGGGGCTAGAGGAGCTGGGAAAGTGTTGGTCAAAGCACATGGAATTTCAGTTAGATGGGATAAATAAGTTCAAGAAATCTATTGTACATCATAGGGATTACAGTTAATAACAGTACATCGTATACGTAAAAATTCCTGAGAGTAGATTTTAAGTATTCTCACCACAACAAAATAAGTATGTGAGACAATGCATGTGTGAAATATCTTCACTTAGCCCTTCCATTATGCATACATATATCAAAAAAATCATGTTGTATGCCATCAATATATATTATTTTACTTGTCAGTTTGAAAAATCAATTTTAAAAGCTAATTATTCAGGACAAACACTTTTTTTTTTAGAATAATTACGTTGGGAGATCACCATGCCATCTTTTAGAAGCAGTTTAAATCTCAGTGGAAAACAAAAGTACTTATTAGATATATCCTTGTAGCACACCATGCTTGCATACAACTTAGAGGAACATCATTGCTCAGGCTGTCTAAATAAATGACACATAGAAAAGGGATAAAGTTAGGATATAGAAATATACAGAAAAGCAGAGGCCGATGGGGAGGTGGGGTCAGGCTTAAGGGTTTGCAACTAATTTTTATGAATACAAAAATTTTGGACAGAAACAAATTCATGTTTCTTTCTTAAATATCAAGAGAAAAGGAGTATCTGTTTGTTATTTTTCTCTCAAAACATATTTTTTACAGTCTGTAATAGTTTTGGTATGAGAGCCATCTTACATAATTTAAATAAATTTAAATTAAATCTTTTTTAAAAAATGGGAACAAAGAGAGAACAAAAGGGCAGTCATTTCTTAGAGAAATCTTGGTTTATTTTGCATTATTATTTTTCCAGAAAAATTATTAATAAAATATGCAATATGGAAAATAGTGATAAATCAGATCAATAAATCAAGATGCATCAAGATTCCACTGGTACTAGACTCTGTGTGGGTGTAGTGCACTGGAAAGGTGGAATTATGGAACATTTTTTAAAAGCAACTGTCCACGTGTAATTATTACAATTAATGGGTAAAGAAATAGGCACGAGAAAAAGTGAGGCATAGTGTGAGATAAAGGAGATGAGGAATCCCAAGAATGTCACCAGAGACAGATTTTGCTTTTTAAATATTAAACATGGAAAAATTCATTCTTAGATTGCCCCATTTAGATGGTCATATTAGTTTCCTATTGCTGGGGGTACCAACCACTGCAAACTTGGTGGCTTAAAACAATAGACATTTATTACCTTGTAGTTCTAGAAGTCAGAAGTTCAAAATGGGTTTCACTGGACTAAAACCAAGATGTTATCAGGGCTGGTTCCTTTCAAAGGCTCTAAGGGAGAATTTGTTCCCATTCTTTTCCCAGCTTCTAAAAGTTACCTGCATTCCTTAAATAGTTCATTTGACCTTCATTCCTTGAAGATCTTCATCAAAGCCAGCAGCATAGCATCTTCCAGTCTCTTTCAGACTCGGACCCTCTTGCCTCTCTCTTATAACAGCCTTGTGATTGCACTGGGCTCACGTGGATAATCCAAGATAATCTTTCCATCTCAAGATCCTTAACTTAATCACATCTGCAAAATCCCTTTTGCCATGCAAGGTAACATATTTACAAGTATAGGGGATTAGCTCATGGACACCTTTGGGAGGGAGGGGCATTAATCTCCTATCACAATTGTGGACTCGCATTTTGCTTTGGTTAAAATACTCTCCCAATTTGGAAGCTACTGAGCATGTTGATGCTAAAATTAATATTCCAACCTCTAGGCAAAATATTTCTCAACTGCATGGAAAGGGCTCACATGGATGATGTATTTTATTTTGGACACTTGGTTGCAGTCTAAATGAAATTAAGTTGAAAGTGGTAGCCACTCTGTGGCTGAGATGTGATTAAAGGAGTGAGATAAGACAAACACAGAAGAATCCTGTACACACAAAAATAGATTCAGCCACAGCAAGCCCTGCTGGCATGGTGAAAAGACAATCTATACATAGACTAAATGTAAAATGAAAATTCACACAGAAGTAGTAGCTATCATGTGTACTTGACCTCTCAGGTGAAATAGAAGAATTAATATAAATCACACAAGACATTTAAAAGTGTATTCAGTCAAAACTTACATGGGTTTAGGAAATTATTTTGTAATGTGAATGAGTGATATCCCAAAGTATGTTCTCACCCCAATGTCCAGGAATTGTGGATTTTATTTGAATATGGATATCCGTGGCATACATCCAAGCAAATGGAAACTCTCTGGAAGAAATAAAACTAGACATTTCTGTCCCTCTTATCATAGCAAAGAACTTCTGCTCTAAACAAAAGCCCTGATAATTCTTTTCAAATATCTGCATTAGACATGATAACAGTCTATACAAACAATGAATTAATTGTAAGATCTGCATGCAAGGATAGGAATATTTTATTCTAAACTTGGCTAAGCCACTTTGGTAGAGGTAGGTCACTGTCTTCGTTACCTATTGCTACATAACAAATTGCCCCCAAAACTTAGTGGCTTAAATCAACAAACATTTTTATCTCACGGTTTCTATGGATTAAGAATATGGAAGCAACCTAGCTAGGTAGCATCTCATGACTCTGCAATCAAGATGTCAGCTAGAGCAGCTGCAGTCATGTCAAGGCTCATGTGACAAAGGGTCCACTTCCGAGCTCACTCAGTTGTTGGGAGAACTCAGAAGATTTGCTTCTGACCTCTTTCCTGGGCTTCTCAGCATGACTGTCCCATGACGTGGACACTGACTTTCTCCAAAGAGAACCATGCAAGAGATGGCAAAAGCACATTCATGATGGAAGCCACAGGTTTTTTTTAATAACTTAATCTCAGAAGTGACACCCATCACTGCTACCACATTCTACAGTTTATTCTTGAACAATATGAGTTTGAACTGCATGGATTCACTTATACATGGATTTTCTCCTGCCTCTATCACCCCTAAGACAAGAAGACCAAATCTTCCTTTTCATTCTCCTCCTCAGCCTACTCAATGTGAAGATGACAAGGATGAAGACCTTTATGATGCTCCACTTCCACTTAATAAATAGTAAATATATGTTTTCTTCCTTGTGATTTTCTTAGCATTTTCTTTTCTGTAACTTACTTTATTGTAAGAATACGGTATATAATACATATTACATACAAACAAGCGCTAACCGACTGTTTATGTTATGAGTAAGGCTTCCACTCAACAGTAGGCTGTAGTAGTTAACTGTTGGGGAAGTTAAAAATTATACAAAGATGGCCAGGTGCGGTGGCTCAACACCTGTAATCCCAGCACTTTGGGAGGCCAAGGCGGGCAGATCACGAGGTCAGGAGATCGAGACCATCCTGGCTAACATGGTGAAACCCGTCTCTAGTAAAAATACAAAAAAAAAAAAATTAGCCGGGCATGGTGGCGGGCGCCTGTAGTCCCAACTACCGGTGGCTGAGGCAGGAGAATAGCTGAACCTGGAGGGCAGAGCTTGCAGTGAGCCAAGAACGCACCACTGCACTCCAGCCTGGGCAACAGAGCAAGACTCTGTCTCAAAAAAAAAAAAAAAATATATATATATATATATATACAAAGATTTTTTGACTGTGCAGGGGATCAACACCTCTAACTCCCATGTTGTTCAAGGGTCAATTCTATTTATTAGTAGTGAGGTAATGTATTAGTCCATTTCCTTGCTGCTAATAAAGACATACCCAAGACTGGGTAGTTTATACAGTAAAAGAAGTTTAATGGACTCACAGTTCTGTGTGGCTTGGGAGGCCTCACAATCATGGCAGAAGGCAAAAGGCACATCTTACAGGGAAGGGAGAATGAGAACCAAGTGAAAGGGCAAATCCCTTGTAAAATCATCAGATCTTGTGAGGCTTATTTACTACCACAAGAATAGTATGGGAGAAAAGCCCCCATGATTCAATTATCTCCCACTGGGTCCCTCCCATGACAGGTTGGAATTATGGGAGCTGCAATTTAAGATGAGATTTGGGTGGGGACACAGCCAAACCATATCAGGTAACATACCCTAGCCCATATTCAACAAGTAGGAATTCTACAAAGTCACAAACACCAGGAGGTAGGAAATGTCACAGACCACCTCAGAGACTGCCTGCTGTAGTCACCTGGGAAAACTCTCCTCCTAAATTAACTTTCCTAAGGAAGTCATCGTGCTTATACTTTGGTATTGGATCATTTTAAAGCTAATTTCCTAAAGACTAATGTGTATGTCTATAAAAGGTAAACAAAGCCAGACACTACAGTGGTAAAGACAAATTTGTAATCAGTAATATACTATTGCCGCACAGAAGAGTGTCCAGTGTAGGCTGAACTCAACTTTGATTTGTGCAGAGGTAACTGAGCATTTTAAAGGGAGAATGGGAAGGTTGACAAGGGGTCTAGTAGCCTATCAGTAGAGTCAGAAGTGAAAAATTACTGAGACTTGGTCACTAAATGTCAATTAAACCAGCTGTATCTGTTGGCTGCAAATTGCCCAAGTTAGAATTCTCTCCTGTCACAGAGACTGGGAGTCAGAGACCCTTTCCTCTTCCTAATTGTTACATATTAAAGGAATGGCTTTCAAGTCCTTGAAAAACACACTTCTGTGTTGTAGGAGATACATATACATCTCAAAGGGATGGATGAAAGATTCACAATCATGAACAGTTTTTAGAAAATGCTTGAAAAGAATTGTCAGAGCTCTATAATCAGGTGTTGGCTATGACAGTCAATTCTTTTGGCAGCCTTGAACTTTCTCAGGTAGGCTCTGTAAGGGGACTGGGATCATCCTAGAGATGCAACCTTGAAATGTTAGAAACTATGCTAGTGTTTGTTTCAGCCTTTTAATGCCAGAGGATGGGACAGACAGACAAAATCATCTATGCTGAGAGTTTTTATAGGCCAAGATCAAGAGTTTTTATAGCCAAGAGGAAGGCCCAATGGAGACTACCTAGAGTTTGGTCAAAGGAATAATCTTTGTCATGTCCATATTATGACACTTTAAGCCCATTCATTCTCTATTGGGCCTCAGTTACCAAGTGCATTAATATGCAAGTTCAGTGGTACCTGAGTCAGTACTGGTGAAGACAGGCATCCGTTCATGCTACTCGGTTCTCCACCTGTGACTGGAATTCCTCAGCTAATTTATCACCTTCTTCCTTGCTCGTGGGTTGGCTGATCATGGGCCTTGTCGACTGTTGGTCCCCCAAATGTAGAATCAATCTGTCTGCCAGCTTGGCTAGATGTAGAAGCCAGCTGGCTATGCTGACTATTCTCAGGACCAGGGAGAACCCAAAGAACAGCCCCTCCAGGACAGCCAGCCAGGCCCCAGCAAACCAGCCAGAAATTTCTGAAAACTTCCAGAGCTGGTCAGCTATGCTTGACATCTGTGTTCCAGAGCCGGGGACCCTCATTCCAAACTCACAGGGCCAACTCTTGCTATAATATGTAGCTTTTATTTTCCATTTGCACTCTTCTTCTGATATTTTTGCATGTTCAGGGCTGGTCAATCTTAGTAGAAAGAAACACTTTGTTATGTTCAAACTTTTCAAGCAGACATTGTTCAGTGCATTTTCCAAACCAGAAGGTACTAATTAAAAGCACTTCGGTAAGATTCTGGATTTTCCAGTACTCAGTTCCCCAAACTGAATGGGAACACATACAGGAAAACATTCATTTATTAAAAAGTTGAAGTACTATGTGATAGAATGAAATGTAGTGGAATCACCAATAGCAGGTCTATTATCTTTGATGTCAATATTTCTAATATTTTCCATAACATGTATCACAAATAGCTGAGTCTTTTCTTTTAAATATCACAAATATCACAAATAGCTGAGTCTTTTTTATTTTAAGCCCTTCCAGTGCTTATAGTAAGTAGTCTTTTTAGAAAAAAATCAAGTTTTCAGTGACTTTTATAAACTTTGGGACAAAATGGTTATGCAATGTAACAATAATACCAATGTTGAAGCACTGTCTTTTAAAAAAATATTTCATTGATAAATAAAAGTTGTGTATATTCAAAGTGCACAGCGTGATGACTTGACATATTGTATATATTGTGTACTGACTACCACTATTAAAATAATTAACACATCCATCACAACCTATAGTTATCGCTTGTATGTGTAGCAGGGTGGAGGAGGGGATAAGACACTTGAAATCTGCTCTTTTAGCAAATTTCTTTCTTTGTCTTTTTTTTTTTTTTTTTTTTTTTTTTGAGATGGAGTTTTGCTCTGTTGCCCAGGCTGGAGTGCAGTGGCGTGATCTCCGATCACTGCAACCTCCACCTCCCAGGTTCAAGCGATTCAGCCTCCTGAGTAGCTGGGATTACAGGTGCCCATCACCATGCCCAGCTAATTTTAGTATTTTTAGTAGAGATGGGGTTTCACCATGTTAGTTAGATTTGTCTTGAACTCCTGACCTCAGGTGATGCACCCAACTCGGCCTCCCAAAGTGCTGGGATTACAGGCATGAGCCACCGCATAATATTGTTAACTACAGTCACCATGCTGTACTTTAGACCCCCAGAATGCATACATCTTAAGACTGGAAATTTGTATTCTTTGACCAATATCTCCTCATTTCTCTACACCCCAGCCCATGGAAACCATCATTCTACTCTTGAAGCACTGTATATTAAATGTCACCTGAGGCCTGTTTCCAGTTATCTCCGAGCTTCAATTTACTTGTCTTTGAATTTATGTTAATGTTCCCCTTCTCTCTCTGGGTTGATGTGAGAAGGGAAATGAAATCACATACATGAAAGCTCCTAGCACAATGTCTGTTCTATAATAAATGTAAAATTAATATTTGTTTTTCTGGTTGGAAGGTTATAATTTTTTAAATTATAGATGTTTCTTCAGAAGGAATAGAAGAAAAAATGTTAGGTCTTTGCATGTCTTAATCTACAAACTGTCACCCCAAGACAGCTTTGTACTCAAAATGTGAATTTAGTCCCTTTAGATGATGAGTTGAGGGGAGGGTGAGTTGTTTGTTTTTGATCCCTTGTTGAATGGATAGTCAACCTAAAACCACAGTTCTTACTTGAGTGTCTCCCATAGACACTAGCAGAAAATAATTATTTTATGCCTTCACTGTGATAAGATTTGATATCTCTTTTATGAGAGATCTTAAATGCCTATATTTTCTGGAGGCCGTTAATCCGTTTTATTCTTTTTCTGTTGCAACAGACTGATGTTGGCAGTAAAAACAATGAAAGAGGGGAAGGTTTTCGACTAATTAAATATGTTGGATGCTTACTATATATTCACAACATGGTCTTAAATGAAATGGGCAATAATATATTTGGATTAAAAAGAAAAGAGAAGCAAAAATAATTTAGAGAGTTGAACAGAAGTGCGCTAGAGGAAATGCCAAATACACGTTCAGGGACTGAGATTAGGCAATTCAGGCTGAAACACATGGATTATGTATAAGAGTAAATGACAACATGCTTCCTCATTTAGCTATCAACTGTCATCTCACTGGCCATTCACTTCCAGGCAAGAGCTCTGCCAGATTTCTCAAATGAATTTTCTACACCCATTACATCTGTTTCCTCTCCACCTACTTTCCCCTTTACCCCATGTAATTTGCTTTCCATTTCCAACAATGTGCCAAGTGCATGCTTGCAAAGTTCACTAATGACTATATTATTGCCAAAACAGGTGACCTTCTCTCTTCTTTTGTCTTTTATTCTACAGGACATCTTCAGTGCATTTGACACTTTCTCTTAACATTTTTTCTTACCTACAGTCTTAATCTTTTGCCTTAGTTTCTCTATGTTTTCTAACCATTTCTAGTTATTTTTCCTCATTTTCTTCCCCAGAAACATCTCTGTGCATTACTCAACTCAAAAGGTCTGTTCCTCAAACCCTATCTCCATATATTTTCTGCCCTGGAATGCAGCCATACTCCAAGCCTTGACTATCCCTTATCAAATGTCGCTTTTCTATGCTGCTGGCCCATTTTCACAGGAATGTGCAGCGCCCTCACATTAACCCTGCATGTTCTATCCCCACCATCTCTTCTCCTCTCAAATGTGACAGTCTTCTCACATGCACCAGCCACCCTCAACCATCTAGCCTATGTGCAGTTCCCATAGTTAATAAAAAATCTGCTAGTTAATTCATGTTCTCTCACATTGCACAGACTTTTTGCATATACTTCCCTCCACCTGGAATGACCTTCCTATCCTGTGAGACTTTTTAATATCTGCCAGTCTTCCAAGACTCTGCTAAAGTCCTTAATAAGTATTTCCTACCTCCCTATTTTAAGGCAAATGCTCCTCTTCCTTCTGTTTTAAGAGTTGATTTTGGAGGTTTAGTCTCCTGTTTCTTTCAGGTTGTGAATACTTTAAAAAGACAGTCACTATTTATCTCTTTCCTCTGCTTCCAATGCCCAGCATAATTTGTAACCCACCACACTTAATCAAAACCTCCTTGTTCAATGAAAACATGAATAAAGCAAGCCAGGCAGTTGCCAGGTCTGCCTCTCTGGTGAGTTCTCTAGTCTTAGGTGTGTAACTGATTCCTTGGCATGTCCATCTCCACTCATCTCAAATCCAGTACTTTCAATACTTGAAACAATACCTCAGTTTACAATGGAGATCTCCCAATTTAAAGCTTATTCTCTAAGAATTTCCCATTGAAACCAGGATTTTCTCCTCTGTTAGACTGTAAGCTTCTTACGTGACTATTGCATTTCCCCTAGAACTAAATAATTCTTAACCCATGTATGTGCATAAGTTTGGACTAAATGAAAGGTTAAATAGTAAATACAAATACTGGAAATGTAACTTGGAGCCAGTTGGTAGGAAACTAAAACCAAATGTTGGCTCTGCCTAGAAGACTTTCTACTTGGTCTTTGTCAAAATCCTTCTCCAGTGTCAATTCCTCCGTTAAACTCTTCCTCAGGTTCCACTTCGCAGATGGTACTTGGGAGATCTGTTATTACAGTGGTTTTGAATGTGCTTTTGCCCACTCCTTCCCCCCACCATCTCCCAACAGTAAGGTAGCTGAGGTCACAACTTCCTATTGCTTTTAGAAAAATACCTTGCCCAGACTGGACATTTGTAGCTATTTGGCTGAACTGAGGCACCAAGAGCTGGGACCCACAGACTTCATCAGAGGTGTTAAGAGTTCAAGAGAAGTGATCGGGTACGCAGAGAGCTAGTCAGCAATAGAGAAGCCCCAAAAAGCTGACAGCTTATTTCACAAGTCTTTGCCCCTTTCAGAAAAGGAAAAGACAGCTCTGGAATGTTCTAAGTGACCATTTCTTTTCACAGGAACCCTCACCATTATCCACTCCAAAAGGGCCAGATAAAAAGCTGGACTCTGCCAAGCACCCTCAAATCCAGTTACATGACTAAACCGTTAAACAGACATCCTGATTCAAAGGCCCGGGGTAACTTGCCCTAGCATTTCCTATGAGAACATGTCTGTTTAATAACAATGTAATAACAGATAATAAGGACACCAATCACAGAGAGAGCTGGTTCGGCCCAAGTTAAAAGTTGATGATAATTACTAGACTAAACAAATTATTAAAAATATGTCTCTATCTTCAATCTGAATTTTTAAATACTTAAGAATAACTTGGGAACTGAGGTTCAATTTAGTAAGCATCATTATAACTAATACCAAATGGTTTAGCTACAATTGTACTTTGAAAAGTTTTGGGAATTTTATTTTATTTTTTTTTTGGCATGTCAGGGCAGATGAAATTTCAAAAGAATACATACTTCATTCCTTCTGAAGTGACCCTTAATTATTTGGGGAGGAAAATGAGATGAAGCCTATGTGTCAACATATGCTAGACACCCTTAGTCTGTACATATGTGGACACATTTCAGACATCATAGGTGGAAAATGATTTTAAATGTTTTAAAGTACTTTTTCATTTGAGAAGCAAGGGTAACCAAATATTTACTGTCAAAAGAAAAAGAAAATTGACCTACTCCTCTTCTTCATATCTAAAAATATGTTCATTATGAACACATTTGGGTTCTCTACTATAGGGAACAAATTTCCTAGATCTGAGTAACAGTAATTTGTATTAAATCTGTCCATCAAAGAAATCGGTATTCCAACTCCCCTAAAAGGTGGTGGGGAGTAAAATTAAATACAAAAGTTTTCAAAAAATTGGGTGGTATTTTTTATCATCAAAGAGCTATGAAATAACTTTTTTTCATTAAGAATATTTCACTTTGAGACTTTTATTTCTGCCCTTTCCATAACATGTATAATGTTTTTCCTAATGTCATTTTTCCTGGCCGAGAAGCACGTTAACAAAAATAGAGATTTTTTTTTTAAGTGGAGGTGGAGAGAACAGGAGTGTTATGTCACAAGTGACTTCAAATGGAAGAAAAATACCAATTCCACATTTTATTCTGAAGAGAGAATGGAAATTTAAAGATAATGTTCACTAACTTTCCCTGTGTGCCCATAGTCAACCAAAGATTTCTGTGTCTGCTTAACCCAGCATTGATCCAACTAATAAATTGTTCCTTTATAGAAAATAATCTCTGTCCCAACACAAGAGGAAGCAGTGTGAATTCTTTATTTTTAGCTAGGCTGCATATCATGAATCCTTGCCATGTTGAGGAATTGTGCTACTGATTCTTTCTACTAAAGACCATTTGGGGCATTTGAATTAAGTAACCTGCTCTTCATGCTGACTAATACGGATAGATTCTTACCATTTTCCAGTACTTCATGTAAATATTTCCAACTCCTATCAAATAAAACTAGTATTTCTTGACTCTTTTAATATACTTCAAGAAGCTTTTATGTTTGTTTTGGAATGTTTTAATTTTCACTTTATTGATTTTTAGCTAAAATGTTACCCTTTTACTCTACAAGTTAATTTTGAGTGGAGTGAGAAAAACCCATGTTTCAAAACCAGATGAGATTATCCCTGTGTGATGTTGCACTTATGCACTCTTTGCAGTTAGCAAATATAAATAAAATGCACAGGAATAGCGTTCATGGCATTTTTCTTTTTTTTTTTTTTTTCTTTTTTTTTTTTTGAGACGGAGTCTCGCTCTGTCGCCCAGGCTGGAGTGCAGTGGTGCGATCTCGGCTCACTGCAAGCTCCGCCTCCCGGGTTCATGCCATTCTCCTGCCTCAGCCTCCCGAGTAGCTGGGACTACAGGCGCCCGCTACCACGCCCGGCTAATTTTTTTTTTTTGTATTTTTAGTAGAGACGGGGTTTCACCGTGTTAGCCAGGATGGTCTCGATCTCCTGACCTCGTGATCCGCCCGCCTAGGCCTCCCAAAGTGCTGGGATTACAGGCGTGAGCCACCGTGCCCGGCCAGCATTTTTCAGATATACCATAGGAGTGGCAAGTGGCTGCATAAGAAACAAAAATATACAAATGGCTAACAGGCATATAAAAAGGTGCCCAACATCATTGATCATCAGAGAAATGCAAGTCAAAAGTACAATGAAGTATCATCTCACCCCAGTAAAAATGGTTTTTATCCAAAAGACAGGCAATAATGACTGCTGGTGAGGATGTGGATAGAAGGGAACCCTCAAATACTGTTGATGTTCCCATGGAGCTACTATGGAGAACAGTTTGTAGCTTCTTTAAGAAACTAAAAATAGAACAACCCTACTGCTAGGTATATACCCCCAAAAAAGGAAATCAGTATATCGAAGATATACCTGCACTCGTATGGGTTTCATTTGTTTGTTTGAGATGGGGTTTCACTCCCATAGCCCAGGTTGAAGTGCAGTGGTGTGATCTCAGCTCACTGCAGACTCAACTACCCAGACTCAGGTGACCCTCCCACCTCAGCCTCCTGAGTAGCTGGGACTACAGGCTGGCACTACCACACTTAGCTAATATTTTATATTTTTAGTAGAGATGAAGGCTTACCACATTACCTAAGTTGGTCTTGAACTCCTGGGCTCAAGCAATCTGCCTGCCTTGGCCTCCCAAAGTGCTAGGATTACAGGCCAGAGCCACAACACCCAGCCTCCTATGTTTATTACAGCACTGTTCACAATAGCCAAGATTTGGAAGCAACCTAAGTGTCCATAAGCAGATGAACGGATAAAGAAAATGTGGTATGTATACCCAGTGGAGTATTATTCAGCCACAAATAAGAATGAGATCCTGTCATTTACAACAATATGGATGAAACTGGAGGTCATTATGTTAAACGAAATAAGCTAGGCACAGAAACACAAACTTGGTATGTTCTCTTTCATTTGTGGGAGTTAAAAATTAAAAGAATTGAACTCATGGAGATAGAGAGTAGAATGATGGTTATCAGAGGCTATTAAGGGTTGTGGTGGAGAGGAAAGAGAATGGTTAATGTGGACAAAAACATAGGTGGAATGAATAAGATGTAGTATTTGATAGCACAATAGGGTGACTATAATGAATAATAACTTATTATACATTTTAAAATAACTAAAGAATAAAATTGGATTGTTTGTACCAAAAAGAAAAATGATGCTTGAGGTAATGAATATTTCATTTGCCCTGATGTGATTACTATGAATTGTACGCCTATATCAAAATATCTTATGTACCCCATAAATATATACACCTACTATGTACCCACAAAAATTAAAAATTAAAAAAAGAAATCAAAATTAATGCCTTTGATAAGTAGAGAAATTTTCAAACCGATTGACACATAACTACTGTCCAATAAATGTTCGATGTTATTATAATTTGTCACCGCATCCACTTTCAACACCTGCGACCTCAGTGTTTTCATAATCTGGTTATATCCGCATATTCATTTCCAGTTACCAAATAAAATTCCAAAACTCAGACCTAGTGCGGTCAGTCCCACAATGCCATAAGCCACCTATCTTCTGTTTGCGCTTTTCCCAAATAAGAATTTTAAAGTATGCACTGACAATCAATATCAATACATATATTATTAGTGTAAGAATTAATAATGATGCACGAAATACTTTGATCCGCTGAGGGAGAGAAGTTATACAAGATTTTATCAATTTCCAGTGGCATCATGTGCTTCTCTCGCTCAGGTTGTGGCCTTGATATAAGTAGCTCTCCCTTCACTGGCTTCAATCACTTTTTGTTCTGAAAGTATTTATTCCCATTGCTAGTGTTACTACAGCACCCACAATAGGAGATACACAATAAATGATCCAGAAAATAGTTTCTCTCCTAAACAATCACTTGTAACTCCTGGTAACATTGGCCATAAAATAAACTCTCCCAATCCCACATGCCCAGGGGCTGAAAGAATTCAGGGTGGGCCAGATGGAAATTATATCCTGAACCTACAAGAAATTAAATATGCTCAGCCTCTCCAGTTTCCCTGTTTTTTTTTGTTTTTTTTTTTTTTGGTTTACATGGGAACCTGTGTTTGTAATGGAGTTTTGTGTTAACCAGCTGCAGACAGAGTCCTTATTGCCTGTGCCTTCCCAGTGCCACAGAACTCCTTTTCCTAACATTTATTCAAGTCATGGTTTATGGTTTCATATGCTTTTTAATTGATTTTAGTCTTTCCCTACCAGAGGCAATGTTTGGGTGCTTTGTTTGTTTTATTGGTTGGTTGGTTGGTTTGGGTTTGGGTTTACTTGCTAGTTTTGCCCACATTTTATCCCCACTGTATCTAACAATGTCCTAGGGTCTGATAGGCTTTTTAAAAATATCTGGTTGACTGACTACTTAATCAAGTTCTCATGTTCTCTAAGGGTTTCTAAGATGACATGCTTTCTCAATATTCATTTGCCCTCTTCTTTCCTTTCCCTGATGCCTATGCCTTACAGAACAAATGGCCTTGTTGGGTTTAACATATTTCTAAAAACTGGATTAATCAATACACCTCCATTTACAGCAACCACCTCCAGCACTATGATCACCATAATCTTTGTCTTTTTGTTAGAGAAACCCTATCCCTTCTATTTTTTCTCCTGCTACATGGTTTAAATTTCTTATGTGTTATCACTGACCTTGTGCTATGGATGGAACTATGTGGGCAAAATCACTCTTTGGCTTTCTACATAACAATTTTTTCAGGGTTGTTTTCTCTTTCCTATGAGGGAAAGTTTATGCTATCTCTAAAATATTGCAAAGGTTGTCCCAGTCTTCCTCTTACCTGGCTGTGTTTCTGGCCAAAGTTGAGAAAATGGAGAAGAAAGCTCATGGCCCCTCAAGTAGCCTACCATACAGCGGAGAGCACCTGTGTGGACAAAAATTACAATGTGATGAGAGAGACGCTGTCATGGAGATCTGTATGAAGTGCTGTGAGATAACAAGAGAAACATCCAGATTTACCCCCCCCCCCCCACACACACACACAAACTCAAGGGAGAAGTCATAGGAAAAAAAGAACTTTAAAATGGCAACTGGAGTCATAAGTATGCATTTGCTGGGCATAGACATTCTACGTAGAGAAAGCAGACTGTAAGCAATAGAGGGGGCAGCCTGCCCAGCTGATATGAGTAATTCAGTGTTGTGTGTGTGTGTGTGTGTGTGTGTGTGTGTGTGTGTGCGCGCGCGCAGGTGTGCAGGTGTTTATGAAGGAGTGTTTATGAAGGTGTTAGGAGATTAAATATTGAAAGATGAGTATAGACAGGTTAGCATAGTTCAACTAAATATCTTTTACTCTATCCTGTGGGCAATCAGAGGCTGTTTTATATTTACTGGTGAGAAAGATTTCTGGCATAAAGCAGAGAACTGACCGGTGAAGAATGATATTAAAAGCAGAGAGAATTATACAGCACTTGAAGCAAGAGATGGCATGCATTGATGAGCTGATGCTACAACAGAGTCAGTGGAGAAGATATCTGGAGGCATGTTAACAGACTTGATGATGGTTTGAGTGGGTGCTGGATGTAAGGTGAGCGGAGGCATCTTGGATAATGTCTAGGATCACAGAGAGGACGGCAGAGGAGTAAATTGGAGGAGAATATGAGTTTAGTAGTGAAACAACAGGTGAAGATATCCAGGTGGAATCAATGTTTTTATTTGAAAAGCAATGGAAGAATCTGGTTGGAGGAATAAATTTGAAATTCATCAGCAACTGAGCGCAGATGAAGGCAAGTAAGAAAATGAAATTACCCTTGCAGAGTAGCAAGACAAAAGAAATAAGTTTATGTTTGTTTCGTTCTGAGCTACAATGTAAACAAGGCTGCTTTACAACGGCTTTATTTATTTTTACTTTCATGCAATTTTTTACACATCTTTTGGAGGGTAAACTTCACCATATCCATTAATAATCCTTGGTTATTTAAAATGGAAAAAAAAGAATGAAATTCTGGTGAATCTCCATCTGTAAGGTATAGATGGAGGAAGCAGAGCTACAAAGTACACTGAGAATTAATTGGCCAGAGAAATAGAAAAGAATTCATGTAAAAATGAAAGTTGGAGCATAAAGTGGTAAACAATATAAAATGTCATAAAGAGGGTCAGGTAAAAAGAGGAACAATTTTCTTTTTGGTTATAACACCTTGAAGGGCTTCGATGATGGTTGCTAGAAAAATTTTAACAGATTAGTGCTGTGTGAGGCCAAAGTGCAATGATTATTAATGTCAACAGAGGAGAAGGAATAGAGACATCTAAACAGTAGCTCCATGAGGTTTCATCTTAAAGACGAATAAAGAAAACTCAAGACCGAAGATAACATCAATCAAGAGTAAAAAGTAGAAGATACACAAAGAAAGAATAATTTTTGGACCAAGTTCTTCAAAGAGGTGAAGAGAAGTGTGAGGTAGAACACAGAACGATAGCATGAACTTGAATAGTGATGGATACATCTCTGCTAAGGCAGAGTGAAAAAAGGGGCATGAGAAGATGAGTGTGAGGAAGAAAAGCCAGAAAGTTAACATTTGCTTCCAATAGCCTTTATTCTCTGGTGAAAGCAAACACAGAGCTAGACAGGGAGATGGAGTGCCGACGGCTTCAATAACCACGTGAGGAATTATAGATGGGGGGATGAGAGAATGACTAAGGCTCCAAAGAGAACCGTTTTGAGTTCACAGCTAGTGACAGCAGATGACCCTAATGCAGTGTGTTAAATCTGTTCTCCAGAGGTATGAACTTCAGGCTGGCATTGGGCCAGAAGAAGATGATTGCTGGCTCTGTCCTGTGAAGGAGGTGTGGGTAGGAGGATTTTCACAGCGGATGCACTTGAACAGGTAAGGGATGGGAATCCCAATGGTTAGAAGAAACAATACAGAAATAGGAGGTTCTAAGGCATGTCTGGAAGTGTCTTATTTCTTATATCTTTACTTTTGCCACAGTGATGGGATTCTCCTTATCAAGGCCCAGCTTTTCTATTGATGTCATGCAGAGAGCAAGCCATGTAGTTCTTGCTTCCAGGAAATATTTTTTTCTGGGAAAGTATGGAAGGAATCTGTGTGCTCTGTGAGCTGCCCTGGCCTGACCACACAGCTGGCTCTGTCAAAAACCAAGAGGATTTTCAGATGTTTCCCTAAGGCAAAGATACATATTGTGTATATCCAGCAGTTTATTTATCTAATAAAATAATCACACATAGTTCTCCTACTATGGGCCGTAACTCTTTGAGCACTTTGTAAATATCAATTAATTTAACCCCCAGAACTGCCCACCAAGGTGAGTATTGTCATTATCCCCATTTCACAGATAGGGAAGCTGAAGTCTAGAGAAGTTAGGTGTGGTGTCTACAGACTCAAAGTGGGTAAGACACAGGGAGGGATTTGAACCTAGACAGTCCAGCTCTGGAGTCTGGATTCTTATCCACTATTCCAAGCTGTCTTTTTATAATCAAATAGTTAAAAGTTGTAAAATTCTGTGTGGTGGGAATTTTCTAACTACTCCAATTTCTTCCTATTACACTATCACCAAACATTTAATTAGAATTGGCAACTTAATAATTTCAATTTTGTTATCTTCTTTAAAGACATAAAGGTGCAGCATAAAGGTGAGCATTTTTATTTTAATGTCATAGAATGTTTTTTCCTTCACCATGAAATATCCACATCTTTGATTTCCATGAGTCATAGAACATTCGTGGATTCCCTGGACATCAGCCCTATTTTAACTCCCTTTGTTTCCAGAGCAGGTGTCTACACAGTTGGTCATGGTGACCTCTGTTTGTTCTGGGAGCCTTTTTGAATTATTAGAAGGTAGTCTACTATTAGCCAGTATTCCACTTGGCAAAGCCAAACACGTGTCAAGCCTGCTTGGAGATATATATATATATAAAATTTGATTTTCCTTATTCTTAGCCAGTTATACATCTGTGTATATATTATTAATTGTTATAAGTTTAATTTTTCCATTGTCCTATATATACGTATTTGTGTCTGGAAATTATTATCTTCTGTTTAAAATTCAAACACATTGTTTCTTTAGTTAATAGATTACTCTGTCTTCACAGAGATGTTGGTTTGATTTTCTAGAGAAAAAGTTCTGGGATTTTGAATGTTTTGTATTTTGAACACTGAGCCAAACTCTGACCACATTTTTTTAATGGAAACACTTCTGATGAAAAGATAAAGCATTATGTTAACCTGTAGTCTTTGGAGTTGAAGTCTAAACAGAAGTATAATGCGTGAATTGACTGATTATTTCCCGCTTCTGAGTTAGCTGGCTTTTTACTGTTAGCTGTAAGAGTCACAGGGCTCACAAAATTCTGTCTCCCCCTAACCAATGAGTAAGAAATGATGAGTTGTTTAATATAATACAAATCAAATTATAGAATGTTGCCAAAAGAATGACAACGGCAGTTTGATAATGGAGCAATTAAAGTTTAATTAAGAAAAATACATTTTTGATTTGGCAGATAATTGAGATAATATCTTCTACTATGATGTTGGAAAAAATATAAAAGAATAATTAAAAATTTTTAAGTGGAAATGAAGAGTAGAAAATAAAATCTCTAAGCACAAAACATTCTTAGTTTCCTCAGTGCAGTAGAAAGGCCAGCTTGCCTGAAGCAAAATGTACAAAAGTAGTTCTGAATCCCAGCATTCATAGCAGATCTGTGACTTATACTTTCGATAGCATTGTTCAGGAAAAATCCATGACCCCAGAATATAGGTGAGAATCTCATTAGTAATGATTAATGATTTACATGAGTACAGTAATTTACCTTTTGCAAAGTTATTTATTCATTTAACTAAAAATTATCTGTTGATCATTTACTATGTGCACAGCACTGTGTTAGATAATAGAGCAACAAGATCTTTACTCCCACTGAGTTTCCATCTACCCAGGAAGATGAAGCATGACATGTCATTTCAAATGTGATTATGTGTATTATGAAAGGCTAAGTACAAATTGCTATGGCAGCAAATGCTACGCGGGACTTAGGACACATAGACTCTGTCTACATGCTTATAAAAGATGGTTTTTAAAATGTTAGTGTGCTTAAAAGCTCTATACCCGTCTAATTGTAGCTATACATTACAGCATTCATCACATTCTATGTGTATGTATACCTATTCCGCCAAACATTGTTCTTAACTCTGATTACATAATAAGTGGTCTGCAGGGAAGCCCAAGCAAAAATATATTTTTAAAAGAGCTTCCCAGGTAATTCTACCACACAGCCATGATCAAGAACCACAACACGAGGCCACGAGCTTCTTAAGGACAGAGATACCTGTTGTCCTGAACTTTATGCCTAACATCTGGCATGGTAAGCTATACAGATTTGGTGTACAATAAACGCTTGTACATTGAACTGAATTGATTTGAAATGCCCTGGAAATGCATTATAAACTGCTTCCTCAAGAGAGAAAGTCTCAATATTGCATGTCCTTCTTTCATTTCTACTCTAGAAATGTAACATAAACATGATGAAACAGCCATACCAATCCGGTGAGTTATCTGCCTGTTCCCTCAGGGGGACAAAAAAATTAAAAGCATATTATTAAATAACTATAAAAAATTTGGATTAGGAAATATCCTAATTCACCCATGGCCTGTCTAGTCCACTCAGTTCTCAATGCACATGCCAACTATTGCTAAAACCATCTGTTCCCTTCCAGACATGGATGATCCCATCAAACAACCATGAGCCAAATTTGCTAACCATCAGCCTGCAAAAAGTACACAGAGTTTGACTTTTCACCTGACCAATCCTATCAGCACTTCGTGCCAGTCATAAAGACAAAAAAATCCAACCAGCTGCACTCTGTGAATGGCTGAACTGATTGAACTGCCTAGATATTTTGGTCAGGAAGACACAATCTAAGGCTTCCCCATCAACACAAATTTCCATGGAAACCAAACCTGGAGATAGAGTACATGTACTTTATTTTAGGTCCAATGGTTGTCATGAGGCCTTCCCTGTGTCAGTCAAGGTTCTTGGTATCCAGGCCAGTGCTTTGCTCCATGGCTGGCTATCGTTTGAGCCATCACTTTAACCAGGCTCAGACAGTACTTGCTTTGAATAGGCTCCAAAAAGTTTTCCATGGAGAACTTATGTCTATAGAACTGTCTGCTCACCCAGACTTCATAAACCCTTTGTCTATCCAGACAGGAAAAAAAATCAACATTGCACTGTTATTATTAAATTTATTTAGTATTATTTTATTCTTCTTAAAAATACAGCTACATTCCTCTCTTACCACAATATATCTGGAACTTGAAATTTTGTATCTGCTTTTTAAAACCATTTTAAGGATATCAATGACTTATATCCTAAATAGCCAAATATAAATTATCCCTTACTTTTCTTAACAGTCCAGAGCATTATGAAATGAAAAACCATGTTTTACTGTGAAAAGTTACTCTCTGATTTTTGTAAATTCGGATTTGGGCACATCAGGCCCTCCACTATTTAATGGAAATAAAAGTGGAGGTATAACTTCACATTGATGATATCAATCCCTATTTTGTGCTTTCAACATTCACATCTTTATTTGCTTGCCTAATGTGTTAGGAGGAATTCAAGTCAGTGCAGGACACAGAAACCACACTGAAGGTTTTAAGCAGGGACAGATTAAAATAGGAAATTTGTTTCTGACAAAATTATTGAAAGGGCTTGAAAAACAGCTTCTATGCTGGACCTCGTGGAATGACTTCAGAAACAAAACTGACCCACTAACCTCACTAAGGTGGTCACTGGAGCTGTGATGGAAGGGAGACGTTCCACTGACATGGCTCCAGGGTCCTTCCCACATCCAAAAAGCTAAGAGAATGAATACTGGGAGCTGTGATTCTGAGACTGGAAAGCCAGATCATGACGCCAGCACCTCTGCCCCTGCTTCTTGACACCATGGAAGCTTGAGAATGGACAGTGGAGCGCTGAATTAAGGAGACCTCCTATCTTCATGATCTCACTGGCCAGCAGCAACAGCTAAAAGCTACAAAAGGATGACTTCTCCCTCACACCCGCCTTTCAGATTTCATGGAAATCAGTCTAATTGGTGGATCGTCATTTCTTCTAAACCGCAGCTGCAAGCATATCTGGGAAACATAATTAATAATTTTTCAAACTCTTCAACTAGAGGAAAGTTGTGAGTGTACAAATAATTTTTCAACCTCTTCAACAAGAGGAAGTTGTGAGTGTATAAACACCTATATAAACAACAGAGGCACAAAGTAATATTCATTGCTTTATTTACACATTCAAGTTGAATATAGATAGAAGATGACAAAGTCTGATGACCAGAGACCCCAGTTTCAACACTGTTAAAAGGAAATTGAGGTCACATCAATCCTAAGTACCATGCATTCAGATTATGGTTTCAAGTTCAAATAACAGCTAATGACTCAATTCATATATATCCAGAAAGACAGCCCAAAATCACCCCAGAATAATACTCCCACGTCTCCACTACTTGACCTCTCTACCATTCAACTCAACTTTGATGTCTAATTTTTGCCTTGAAACTGCATAAATTCAGTCTTCAAAAGTTTATTGTTCTGTAGGACAACCAGAAATTTACACTCAGTTAAGAAACATAAGACGCAGTTGTCTTTTAGCGTGTCCATTCTTCTGAATGTATATCACTCATAATAATAATAACCAATACCTCAAAGCAAATAAAGTATTTTATGATGTGGCTTAGTGGTTTTATTTATGCCTCCTCAGGAAGCCAAGAGACCACAACACAAATCTGAAAAACAATTAGCCTGTTTCTGATTAAACATGTATTGCTTAAAGCTGTAGCAAGTGAACAAGTGAAAAAGTTTACTGCTAATTCATACAAGCAGTATTTTTTGCTGGGCCCTTTAAATAATGAAAGCTATGCAAATAGTGGCAAAGGATAAAAGAAATTAAACACAATTTAATTTCTTCATTTTGAAATGCAATCAGTAACTGTTTTCATTCATACTCCTTTGGATTTTCTTATCTATCCTGTGCACCAAGGAAATAAAATGTATCTAGAAAGGTCAATTGATAAATGCTTATTAGCTTAAAGCATGTTTAACCTAAAATCTTAATCCTAAAATTATTTGTTTAGTGGAAATTCAAAAGGGCAAGTCATATTATCAAAAATCATGTGGCTAATCATTAGTGTTTTATCTTTAAAACTACTTTTAAACTAACAAGCATTTCTCACAGTTTGCAAGTTGATTCAGTAATGTACCTTTGGCCTTCATGACCCACTCACTTATGACCCTCCAAATCTCCTACCTTCTAAGTCTGCAGTCAGAGAACACATATACAGAAGGAGCCTTAGGTGTTATGCTCACAGTGTAACTCCTTATATATTCAATTTAAAATACAAAAGTGCCTCATAAACAAATCTAATTTATAAAGTCTTGATAAAATGCATAGATGTTGGTGAAGATACTTATTCATTTAAGACACATGATGTAAATAGTCAAGTTCTCATGGTATGCACACAGACAAAAGGTGGAAAAATTTAGCAAATACTCATTTTTTTAAACAGGGTCTTGATCTGTTATCCAGGCTGGAGTGCAGTGGTGCAATCATAGCTCACTGCAGCCTTGACCTTCTGGGCTCACGTGGTCCTCCCACCTGAACCTCCCAAGTAGCTGGGACTACAGACTTGTATCACCATACACAGCTAATTTTTTTTTTATTTTTTGTAGACATGAGGTCTCACTACGTTGCTCAGGCTGGTCTCAAACTTATGGGCTCACGTGAACCACCTCAGCCTCCCAAAGTGCTAGGATTACAGGCATGTGCCACTGTGCCCTGTCCCAAATATTTGGATCTTTAGTTCCCAAAATACCGAGTGTCTGCATATACAAACATATCTGTATATTGGTGTTTTTAGTTTTCATTTGGAAGTTTTCCATAAAAACCACGATCTTAGTTTTCTTAGCTATGTGCCCTGAGTTGTGAATAATAATTTTGATAATGTTACTATCCCTTTAGGAAAATATTTAGCACAGAAACTCTGATAAATGTGTCTTGTCTGTTGCAATTGAGTATGTTTGCAAAAAGAAGAGGATTTGGAAAAGATATTTCAGTAATTCAACATAGCCAAAAACTTAACATTGTATAAGTATTAACACACTACTAAGACAACTAATCTTATTTTATGTACCACAATATACTTAATGAGTAAATTTAACTAAACCTATCACAGTAAAGGGTAAATGACTACTCCATGCCTTTTACATTTGAAGCGGGCACCAGTAATGCTCACTTCAGTGCAGGGTCTCTGCGGTGTCTGCACTCATTCCTCAAGGAGTAGCAGGCCACAAACTGGTTATTGAGTTTGGAAGGGGAAACTGAACAAATGTTTCCCACCCTCTTCCTAGTTCCTTCATCTAAAAAGCGTAAGGCTTGCAAGTAGCATGAATTTTCATATGCGCCATTTTGCTCCATGTTGTAAAGGATCTTGTCTCTATTGAGGAAACTTGTGGTTTTCCAGGACTGCTGTAATTGGCAATCATACTCTCCAAAAGCAGATTTACTAGGTTAAAAAAAATGTGGTAATTTGCTCCACTTCTTTTTTATCTTTTGTCTTCTCACTTGGTTCAGAACTTAGGCAGTTTAATAGAGTTCTCTTTATTGGACCCACTTGAGCCTCATATAAGATTTAATTTTTAAATTGTCTGAAAAAGAGTCTGAGGTTCCCAAGAAGCCTCTAGTTCATTAAACCACTTGACTTTCCAAATCTATGTGCATTAGCCAGAATCTATGTGCAAAGATCTACCTATATAAAAGCCCTTCTATAATTACAATTTCTACATGGGCTTTTTTTTTTAACAAAGAAATAGAAATGGGAAACTCAACCAATTTATATTTTTTCTTATACAGCTCATCATAGAAATAGATAGATATATATAAATAACTATATACATAGTTATATAAATAACTTTTCTTTAAAACATTTTTAAAAGCAGAACACATATTTAATATATATTAAAAGGTCACATGCCTAATATAGTTTTCTGTTGCTCTCTAATGAAAGATGCATGAGAGACTTATTTACAAGGTTTCTTAATTTCAGCATTGGTTGCTTACTCTGCCCCAAATTCACAAGTAATTGATGAAGGCCTATTTTGTTAATTATGTGAAGATCTGTTTTAATTGTGCCTTCTATTGGCATTTTCATACAAAACAAATTGAAATTGCAATTTAGGAATTTTCCAGTAAATTTGATCAATGTAGGCCACCAAGCTTATTAATTCAGGCAAAGAAACAGATGCTGGCTATCAGAATTGATCAAATGAGTGATGGTCAACAAATTCCTACTGTTTTGTGTACTATGGACACATAGTCTAGGAATTTATCCTAACTTCTCTTCTTCTCCATGAAATATATGAGAAATTGCCTGTCTCCAAAGCCAAAACTAAAAGCTACTTAAATTGACTGCAGATGCTTATGTATCTCAAGATTAATGCACTGTGGATACAGAACTCTCAACCCAGACTTCACAACCAAATCAACTGGAGCTCATATGGCACACACCTGTGGAATTCAACCAACTAAATTCTCAGAGATTTGGATACAAGTAGATATATTTTTATTACCAGAAAGGAAGGGTAAAAGCAGAAGCATTTTGTAAGACCTTTCTTAACAAGCAAGTATGTATTGCAAGGGGGCTCTGGGAAATGAGGCCTGCAGGAGGGGAGGGAGTAGACACAGGATGCACAGGAAAGACGATGGCAAGTACCAAAGAAAAATATCGTTGATTTCTAAAATTAGAAAATAGCATCAGTGACTGAAAAGGACCATATACAAAGTTTGTGGGTTCTTTTCATTGATTATTATAACCAATTGCAGGTTCCATTACCATTTTCCAAATCTGCTATCTTTTGGGTTCATAATTTGCTAAAGCTTTGGCCCCCAAAGAAGCATTCTATCTCCTATTATACACTAACTTTCCTAGCCAACATTTCCCTCTCAAGCAATGCATTTTTTTTTGCATTGCATGCATGAAATTTACAGAACGTATATCCCACTTGTTGAAATCCACAATGCTTATATTAAAAGGTAGAGAGATAATTAATGCATAAAACACTGAAAATAAATAAAAACCATTGTCTCCAGAAATAACTTGCCAAAAATGTAACCCTAGAGTCCTAAGTGGGGCTGGAAAGCAGAAAATGCTCATCTCAAACACCTTTATCTCTTTTTTTCCCTCCTTAGGAATGTCCAGAATGTCTGAGGTCCTTATGAATTCCTAACTTCTTGTTCAGATTGACTCACAGAAAAAAAATGCCCAATAAACTCATCCATGTTAAGTAATAAATTTGTCTACATTTTTACATTAATGCATCATGAATATTATCTTTTTCTGACACATACATTTCAACACCAAAACATTATATACAATAAGGAAATCCCAATCATTTTAATAATGGAGAAGAATTAACCAGGTCTCCCTTTAAATCATGTATTTGCCTACACAAGCTGGCTTCTTTCAGTGTACTTACTGTACATCTTGAGAAGCAACAGCTTCATATCATCTGGACCAAGCACAGCGAGAGTTCAAGGAAAGTTGACTATAACAGGGAGTTGCAATAAATCATCATTGGGAGTTTGAAGGTGACAGTGTCTTTGCTGCACTTGTAATCCCTTTCATGATACTGGAGAGGGCAGAGGGAGAGTTAAAAACAGTGGACATGTTCATCTCCAAGCAGCCTGACTGTGATGTTTCTAGGGGGAAGAAGTTCTTAAAACATCTTTTTGAAATTCTCTAAAATAGTAGTGCCTCATAGTGTCAATAATGGGGTAAGGGATTAGGAGGATAAATGGATATAACAGAATGAGACAAAGTCAGACTTTTAGGAAACCTACATCTCAGAGGTGAAGAAGATGGCAAGCAAGAAGCACAAATAAGATAATTAAGGATGATAAAATAGGAGAAGCTCTCCATGGGAAGAGATGTGAGGAGACATGAATCTAAAAATGAGATAGCGATGTCAAACACAGTGAAAAAAAAAAGTGCTCAGGCAAATAAACAGGACATGCAAGGACCCTGAGCTGGTCTCTGGGCCTCCCCGACAAAGACTAAATACCTACAACCTTCATTCCCTGACATAATGCTGTACATTGGGGGAAAAAAAATATGCCATTTGTAGAGATCACTAACAACAGCCAAACTGTTTTGGCTGTTTATACTAACAAGATTTGTCAATAGTCTGTAGACAGTTTTATATGTGATGCTATTTGATATGGTTTGGCTGTGTCCCCACCCAAATCTCACATTGAACTATAATAATCCCTATGTGTCAAGGGTGGGGCCAGGTGGAGATAATTGAATCATGGGGGGTGGTTTCCCCCATACTGTTCTTGTGGTACTGAATAAGTCTCATGGTATCTGATGGTTTTATAAGTGGGTGTTCCCCTGCACAAGCTCTCTTGCCTGCTGCCATGTAAGACGTGACTTTGCTCTCATTTACCTTCCACCATGATTGAGAGGCCTAGCCAACCATGTGGAACTGTGAGACAATTAAACTTCATTTCTTTATAAATTACCCACTCTCAGATAGGTCATTATTAGCAATGTAAGAACAGAGTAATACACAATTTAAATAATGTATAGGTAACATTTTTCCTGGATCAATCTATACGGACTTTGGATGAGAGTAAGAAGGAAGACAATGGCCTCTTCTCTTTAGAGTTGAGGAAGTGACTATAACAAAAGCTAAACATCAATTTGCCAAGAAAAAATGCAAATTTAGCAAGGATATTCCAGAGAACAGTACCAGCCAGTTCTGCTAACACCAAATGTAGCAGGGAAATAAAGAGAGAGTAATTTGTATTTATGAAATAGGGAAAGCAAACTACCTTGGGGATGACTATTTTCTTATTCCTAGTAAAAGACCCATTTTTGGGAAATCACAACAGTCAACAGAGAAGCAGGAGAAACAAAAGTCTTCATTTCCCTCAAAAACACTTTCCTTGACGTAAAAGGAGCTTCGTTTGTTCTCTTACTGCAGTCACAGCAGGATGAAACCATATCATAATTCTTAATTCCAGGAAATTTAGGACAAATTATGAGCAAGCTATTCTTTTAAAACAGCTGCTATTTTTAGTGTCTTTATAATTATTTAACTTCCTGGAAAGAATAACATATACAACTCTTCATCTTCCAGGCTCCAATGTTTGGGCTTTTTAAAAATGTTTAAGTAAATGTTAGAGTAGTTTTAATAAAAACATGCCAAATTCACCTTCTTCTACCCACAGTGTTTATAGGTTCTTCTGTATCACTATATTACCTAAAAAAAATGGTCCTGAAGGAAAGAAAAAGTGAAAGTGGGGGCTTTGAAAATTATATATTACAATAACTTTATATTTTGGTAATCATATCTTTTTTTGAGACGGAGTCTCGCTCTGTTGCCTAGCCTGGAGTGCAGTGGCGCAATCTCGGCTCACTACAACCTCTGCCTCCTGGGTTCAAGCGATTCTCCTCCCTCAGCCTCCTGAGTAGCTGAGACTACAGGCGTGTGCCACCATGCCCAGCTAATTTTTGTATTTTTAGTAGAGACAGGGTTTCACTATGTTGGCCAGGCTGGTCTTGAACTCCTGACTTCATGACCCACCTGCCTCGGCCTCCCAAAGTGCTGGGATTACAGGCGTGAGCCACAACACCCGGCCCAATAATCGTATTTTAAATAGTGATATTGTAGTTCAACCTGCTGGATTATGTTATTTCAACTCTATCCTTTCTTAGAACAGAGTAGCTAATACATACATTCAAGGACTCTTAGAGAATTTATACCACCTAGACATCGTGCAAGTGAGAGAACTGAATTCAGCCCGAGAATCTTCAACAACTTACCTATGATACCATAGGGAGAAAGTGAAAATGGCTGATGAGGGAAATATTTTCAGGTGACTATTTTGTTCAGAGAAGCAGAATAAAATTTCTCACCTGTATGGACCCAGATTTACACCCTGAAGCAAAGTAGAAACTTTTAACTGTGCCCAGCCTTTCAGCTTGTAGCCAGGGATAGATGGAAGGCTTTGCACTCACTCCCAACAAGAAAAGAATCCAGGGGAAAAAATCCAGTTCCGCCCCAGGCAGGCAGAGTGATGGTCCTGAGCAGAGCAGGCAAATTTTTTCTGTAAAAAGACAGACAGAAAAAATTTTTAGTGTCTAGGGACAAGAAACAAATTATACTATATACTTTTAAAATAAGTGAGAAAACAAATTCTCAGAATGTTTTCGTTGATGAAATTCAAAATACAATGATAAGTGAGTACTTTTTTTGTAATATAGGTCTACCAATGAGAAAAGCTGAATTCTTTATAGGGTGGATAATGTGTCACCTAATGAGATTCAAAGGTAAAAACTGTCTCTGGTGTGTGAGCCATACAAAAACAGTGAGCTGTATTCGACCCATAGGACATTGGGTACCCACCCTGGCATTCAGTGTGGCTCTATGTGGTACTACCTAAATGTCCTCCCATCCGGTAAAGAAAAACCTGGGCTAAATTTCTTAAGACAGGTGGGGTAAGATGTAATGTTTCTCAAGGAGAAAAACTCTCATTATTTTAAAGCCTGTAGCAAATACAGCAGTTGTACCACTGAAAAAGGCCACGGCGCAGCAAATTGAAAATGGTGCTAATGAGAACAGCAGGAAGACCTTAAGAATCATGACAGGAATGGTGTTCATGATCAAGGGGCTCTAGAGGAATTAGGCCTTGGTCCAGCCTTTAGGTAAATATCCATATTTGCTTTATGTAAATATCCATAAAGCAAAAACTTCCAAAATTGTTCTCAGGCTATGAAGTGTGTGCTTAAATTATCTTACTCCAAGGCAACATGCCCTGGTGGAGGAAGGTCACATATTCACATCTGTATAATCTTTTTGTTGCTTCTTAAACTCTGAGTCTTTAACACCGAAATTCTTTTGCCTCTCCCAAAGCTTGGTCATTCCGTTCTAATTCATCAGAGGTGATCAGTTTTCTAAGAGAGAAAGAATGAGATACAAGTGAGGAATTTTCAAGCTTTTGGAGATAAAGGAGGAATGACAGTGTGTAGTTTGATGCAAAAGGGAACACATAGAAGGAATATTCACTTACCAGATACACACTTGCTGAATAGATGTTCTAGAACTCTTGGGTCATGCCACTAATGGACATGTTACTGATGAGGTTCAAGAAGTTTCAAGAGCCCTGTGGAGATCTAAAATTGTAGGCCCTAAAAAAGTGGCTAAATTAAAATACAGGAGGAGTCTAGAGATAAATTTTGCTTCTAGAAGGAATTGCGTCCATGGCTGGAGCTTGTCAGCCAATGTAACTCACACCATCTTCGTGAGTAGTGTTAGCTTTGAGGACCTTTGTGATCACTGAGTAATTGCAGAACTTCATGTTCACTCAGGACAGTGATTGCTGGATTTAGAATGTGTGCAGCTTCCAATGACTAACTCTGTGCATCACTTTCTCTGACTCCATAATCCCAGTAGGCCCTTCTCCCATGAGAAACTAGGGAAGCTTTATCAAGAATGAAGACTATGAGATATTAAGCCACTTGCAAGCTAACATATTAGCCCCCACAGCTTCAACGTGATGGGCTGAAGACACTGGACTCCTAGATCAAAGAGAAAAGACTTTATTACTGAAGGCACAATGAGCATCCTTATCTTCATATTTTCCCAGGTGGATACAGCACACACAATGGGTTTGCATCATAGATGAGCAACCCCTTGCTGGCAAAACCCCAGTTTTTAATAGAGGTGCAGAAAAGAAACCCAACGTTTGCCCCAGATGAAGACATTGTATTTATTAGACTGCAAAGTAGACAAACACCTTTTCCTTCAGAGAGAGAAATCATCTCTATCTTCAAAAGCTGTTTGCTCTACCAACATCCTCGAAAAGACAGAGTGATCATCACCAATGCCTTTATTTGCAAGACATACATGGAGAATTGCCTCCCAATATGCCCAGACTTGCTTAAATTCATTCATGTCACATTCCCTATTGAGCTTCCAGATAATAAATGAATTACATCAACCTAATTCTTCTCTTTCCCTTCCCTGCCCAGTACACTAACATTTATTGGTTAGGCAGTGAGCAACTAATTATTTTTTTTATTTATTTTTTTTTGAGACGGAGTCTCGCTCTGTCGCCCAGGCTGGAGTGCAGTGACGGGATCTCGGCTCACTGCAAGCTCCGCCTCCCAGGTTCACGCCATTCTCCTGCCTCAGCCTCCCAAGTAGCTGGGACTACAGGCGCCCGCCACTACGCCCGGCTAATTTTTTGTATTTTTAGTAGAGACGGGGTTTCACCGTTTTAGCCGGGATGGTCTCGATCTCCTGACCTCGTGATCCGCCCGCCTCGGCCTCCCAAAGTGCTGGGATTACAGGCGTGAGCCACCGCGCCCGGCCAAGCAACTAATTATTGAACATCATTCTAAGACATGGCTTTATTCTTATGCAGCTCAAAGTCATTAGGAAAAACAGTCATTAGGAAAAAAAGTGAGTCATGATTTCTAACCACTGCAATAAAGATAACATGAGCCAAGCCATTTGCTATTTCTCAGATTCAATTTTTGCTTACATTTCACTGAACAGAACTTAGTGACATAGCCTCACATAGCAGGAAAGGCAAGGAAATGAATACATTGTTGCCTGGAATAACATCAGGATTCTGTTACTAAGCAATATGGGAAATATGGATAATGGGTGCAATTAAAATCTCTGACACAAGAAGAAAACCTGTAAAAGTTATCATGAATGATACATCTTTGGGAAATTATTCTGCTCATATAAAACCAGGTTTCCCCAAATATGATTTAGGTATTCCTGTCAAATGTTAGGTGATTATGTAACTGAACTAGAAGATAGAAAATTAGACTTAACATGCTTACTTATTCCATTAAACAACAGCAAACAAACAAACAAACAGATTCACTCTCAGTTTAGCATTTATATATGCCATTGTGTGGTAACTATCATGTGGTAATAATCTAACAACATAAAATATTGCTTTAAGATTAAAGTAAGATCATAAAATTTCCAAATACTAAGAAGTTACCAAAAATTGTATACTACAGACTCACTGTATACTATAGTTCCACTGAAGGTTGTTTCAAGAAGTTCTTTTAAAATTTAGAACATAAAGGGCAAGGAGGTGAAAATACTAGACAAAAAGGGAAGCAATCTAAAAAATAGCCTAATTCTCAAAACAATATATTAGAAATTTCAGAAGCAGATATAATAGACAAAGGAGAGATAATAATCAATAAAATAATAGTTGAGAATTTCTTTGAATTGAAGAAACATTAAATGTTAAAAACATGTTATGGTAGTAGAAACATAATTATACTGGAAAATATTTAAATATTTTTATAAAGAGGAGATAATAGATGGGGGAAAAGTGAATGTGTTTCTTTTCCACAAATATCAAATTTCAGAAGATAGTAGAGCAAAATTTCTAGAGTTTGAGCTTCAATACCTTCATGCCCAATCAACCTAAGATTTAACTGCTAGGGCAACTGAACAGTATTCTTACACATGCAGGAATAATACTACCCACGTGCTCTCCCCCCACAAAAAAACTGAAAAACTATTTCATCAATTGAGGAACTGAATAAAAATAAGACATCTGTGATGTACTGACAAGATGAAATGAAAAAGGCAAGCTCAAAATATGTCTTACAATATGAACGTTTTGTTTAAAAATAGATATTATACATGTTTAATGGAGATATGTATCTCTATTAAAAAGCTTAGAAATATATAATCAATATGTTAATAGTGGTTATGTTTTACTAGTGGGAAAAATAATTTTTAATATTTATGGTCTACACCTGAGCTGTCCAACATGGTAGCCACTAACACATGCAACTAGTAAATGCTTGAAATATGGCTGGTCCCAGTGAGAGGAGAGATATGCTATAGTGCATGCCAGATTTCAAAGACTTAATGTGAAAAATGAATATAAAAGATCTTATTGATAATTTTATATTAAATACTAAAATACTCATATCTTCAATAATTACATGAATAAATTTTATTTTTAAAATTAATTTTACCTATTTTTTAAAAAATTATCTCACAAATGTAACTACTAAAAAGCTTTAAATTATATATATTGTGAGTAATGGAAGTCTTATTCGAATTAACAGTTTTAAAAGGAAATCTGTAACTCATGGAGCTGGAAATAGTATTGGTATAACTCATGAGATGGAAGGAAAAGCTATGGGAACCAATATTCTGGTCATTATCCACCTCCCAGCTCTGTATTCGACTGGCTTCTTTCTGTGGGAGGCTTCTCTCCACCTAGCAGGAAACATGTTTGCCAGCAACTAAGTTTTGCATCCTCCCAAATAAAAGAAACATCTTTCTCTCTACATGTTGATATGTTTTTTGTTTTGTTTTGTTTTGAGATGGAGTCTTGCTCTGTTGCCCAGGCTGGAGTGTAGTGTCATGATCTCAGCTCACTGCAACCTCCCACCTCCCAGGTTCAAGCAATTCTCCTGCCTCAGCCTCCTGAGTAGCTGGGATTACAGTTGCCCGCCACCACGCCTGGTTAATTTTTTTTGTAGTTTTAATAGAGACAGGGTTTCACCATGTTGGCCAGGGTGGTTTTGAACTCCTGACCTCAAGTGATCCACCCACATTGGCCTCCCAAAGTGCTGGGATTGCAGGCATGAGCCACCGTGCCTGGCCCATGTTGATATGTTAACCAAAAAAATTACTCTGTTTGGCCCCACTTGAGACATATGGAAACTCCTGGACTAGTATTTTTTTCTGGCAAGGTTTGCATGGCAGGTAGACAGGGGACCTGCAGGAGGGTGAGAGACAGGCAGAATGGGCTTGTCAGGGTCCATGACCAGAAGGAATAAGACGGTGTTTTAAGAAGACAGCCCACTAGAACCGAAGTTTGAAAGCTGTTATGCTAGATAAATATTTCATGAAATGAAACATTATGCATTAGACCATTTGACTCACATCATGTCCCCTACACAAAAGTTTGGAAAGTGGCAGAAAATAGAAAGATTGAACAATGATTTCAGGGATAAAATGGACTAAGTATAATTGCATGATCTGTCTGTTCTTGCATAAATCACTTCTATAAGAAGGATTATATACGTTTTTGCTTTAGTTTGTTACCACCACAGTCTGGCATATAAACTATGCCTGCCTCTTACCCTTTGTGAACTAGAGATCCTGCTCTGTTTTTATTGCCTTAGACTTTCAGAGATCAGCAATTACAAAAGCTTCCAAGACTTTTCTCTGCTCAGAAGCTTTGTATATTTTTGCAAAAGAACATAGTTTGGGATGTATCTTTGCAGGCCACAGGTTCTTTCCCACCCGAGGGTCAGGAGGAGGACATCAAGAGAAAGGATCAGTGAAGACAGAGCTTAGAGCAATCACAGCTTTAGTCTTCACCATTTAGCTTTCTGCTCTCCTTCCCTACGTAGATCTATCTCCACTATTTATAGTGGAGAAACACAGATGTGCTCATTATTTCCTTGGATTGATTTAATGTAAATTAACTTATTAATAAATACCCTTTCTTACCTTTCCCTGTCCATTATCTCATAACATACACAGCACATGAAGCAAACAAGGAAGTTTCCTGGAGGTATTACTTGTTCATTTATCACCTAAGTGTCTTTATCCTGCTTTTGCTCATCTAAACTGTGTAGTATTGAAAGGAAAAAAGAAAAAAATACATGAGGAAGAACAGACATGTCCTTTCTTATTTGCATTTCTCCATCTCTTGTCATCATTCTCCTTTACTACACCTTGGCCAACATAACCGTTTTGCAATACCAGCAATTCCTACTCCCTTATGATAAATATTCACCTCTTATCTTCTAATATCTTATAATCTGCCCACTTGGGACCAGTAACACCTACACCAGAGACTATGAATGACTGGTGATGTAATTTAATAAAGGACCCAAGAATATTTGGAAACAGCCCAGTATTCACTGTCAGTAACAATGTTTGTGAATATCTGAGTTTTCTTTCGGCAAAATCCCTTAAACCTTATTTATTTATTTATTTATTTTTGCATTATAGAGGGCCTGTTCACCATAAAAAGCACAATTCGATAAATAGCAAGTAATGAGAACAAGGCACACATGCAGTAGTAAACCAGAAAAGGAAAATGTTACTGCTGTAGCAGCACAAATGAGGTCATCATGGTACAGGGGCTGTAATAGTCAGAGGCTCAACTTGGTGGTCACTAGCCTTTGATCAGCAATTTCCAGTTAGTCAGAGTCATGTCCAAGGACAGAGGGCAAAGCATGAAAGACGTATCAGCAATAAGTCAGAAGCAGGAAAATGGAAAAAGTCTTAAAAAAAAAAACAAAAAAAACCTGACTTGGAAACCAGGGATGAAACCAGGAACACAGGTTTCAGCTCCCAGGTCACATTTCTCCCAGGTCACAGCTGGGAGAAATGAAGCTGAAGGTGGAGAAAGCATGGAGGAGGTGAGTCACAGGCCAAGGAACAAAAGCCAGGGAACAAAGCATGGAACACCATGAGTCAGCCATGCTCAGGATAATGAGCAAAGACAGCCTTTCCATTAAACAGCTGCCTTTTGGAGGTGCATGATGGCTGGACTTTCAAGTCTTAAGTTAGCAGGAACATGGGGCTGCTTTGGGCCCTGCTTCTGGACACTTGAGGGTCTGATGGACACAAGAACCCCAGTGGAGGTACCTCTAAAAGAATTCAGATCCCATCAAAGAGGAAGGAGAGAGATTATTCCAAAATGTGATCATGTGATAAAGAAGCAAGTTGAGAAGGCAGATGGGCCCACATGGCGGAGGACTTAAGGAGGATTTAAGTTAGTGAATTCATACCCTGAAGGCTCTTTGGAAAAGCAGAATAACATCATAAAAGCAAAATTGTGTGCAGAAAAAAAATCAAGGACTTTCTATTGTACTTTGAATCTCTGTTTCATTTATGTTTTAAATGTCTAATTTAATTGTTGCAGTCATATTTCAAAATCGTATGGCCTAAGCAGAAATCATAAATTTTATTAAGTGCCCTGTTTCTTAGTCCAGCTGCTGTAACAGAATACCACAGACTTGGTAATTTATAAACAGAGATTTCTTACATTTCTGGGGGCTAGGAAGTCCTAGGTTGAAGGGGCCAGATCTGGCAAAGGCCATCTTGCAAGATACCATGGCAGAAGCCATGAGGGTAAGAGAGCATTGGATGAGGAAGGGAAGAAAGTGAGATGAAAGCATCCTTTTATCAAAAATTCACTCTTCAGATAAGCGACCTTCTCCAGCCAATAATGGCATTAATCCATTCATGAGGGTTAGCTCTCATGACCTAATCACCTCTTTCAGGTCCCACCTCTCAACAGTGTTAACTGGGGATTAAGTTTCCAACAAGTAAGCCTTGAGGGACACATTCAAACAATAGCATTATGATAATGTAAACTTTAAATAATAAGTAAAGAAATGAATCCCTTTTCCAAAACTTTCCAAATCTGTTTTCAAGTTATTAATCTATATTCTTTTATATATATGCATGTTTATATATGTGTCTGTATGTGTGTATGTGTGTGTATTCCAATAAGTTTAAGAAACACTAGGAAAACAATACTTAATAGGTTTCTCTACTTTAGAACTAATATTTTAATCTCCAAGATTGGGATCTGTTTGCATTACTTATCAAATTGTTTGACCCTGCACGATTTGTTCTTGAAGCACGTATTGGCATCCTTCCTGGTGCAAGTGTTCATTGGAATATCCGTTTGAGAGAATCTGTTTCAGTCTACTGGCTTTTTCCTAAGAAACCAAGCAGATTGATTGATGTTGCTCAACAAAAAGATGGTTTGGAATGAAGTAGCTATTCATGGCAGAATCTACCATCTCCCAAACCGTCAAATTATCGGTATTGTTCTCTCTCTCTCTATATATATATATATGTATGTATATGTATATATATACACGTATATATATATACATATATATGTGCATATATATACATATACATACATATATATGTGTATATATACGTATATATATACACATATATACACATATATTATGTGTGTATATATATATACATATATATACATATATATAAAATACTTTGAGTTCTAGGGTACATGTGCACAACGTGCAGGCTTGTTACATATGTATACATGTGCCATGTTGGTGTGCTGCACCCATTAACTCGTCATAAGAAAATGTTTCATGCATAATACACTGAACGTCTTCTTGAGAAAGCAGCGTCCTGCTTTCAGGATTCTGAAGGCACATCAGGATCTTTGGTGGCTTGTAATAATTATTTTCAAATTCCATTTTGCTGGTAGAACACAGAAATCCAAGTTTTAAAAGCTGCTTCTTAACATGTGGCTAGATAACTAAAGTTTATGCATATTCTGCAATAAGTATATCTTCATATATTTATACACACACACACACATAAAAGGAACTTTCATACACACCTTGCAACTGGTCTTGTTAAATTTTTTTAATGTTGGTTATGAATCAATGTATTGTATTGAGCCTGAGAGTCCTAATCTACAGAATGGATCTATTAATTTTTATTCTTCTGCTAAAGTGGGTCAAGGAGGTGAAAGTATTTTGTAAACTCTTTATGCAAATGCAAATGGTATTATTCAGTATATTTTTGTTGTATAGAATATATTTAGTGTCCTTGTTTAACTGAGTGGCTTAATCATTGGAATAGCTTATTCACCTGAAGCACATACTCTTTGGGTATGTATCTACATTAAAACCTAAGTCACATGAATAAAACAGATGTCAATCAAAATTGATATAGATTATCATTGAACTTGCAGTCACATCGTGTAGACCTGCCTAGGTATTAAATTGGGATGATTAGTCCATCTACCTCTAAATTCTGAAAAAAATACAGATATTTTCCCCCAAGGTTTGTGTTGCTCGCTGCATCTTCTAAATGTCACATGTAACTTATTCTATCCCACTCTTAGCCCTAAATTTTTGTCTACCAAATCCCTCTATAAAACCATGACTGTGAAATAAAGGGAGAGGACTGGATACGATGTTTGTGACAAAAAATACAGACTCATAATGCACCAAAACACAGCACTTAGATTCTGAGTATTTTTATTTTACTCTGAGAATTAAAAGCAGGCTGTTGACGCACATAGTCAATAAATCAAACACATGAAATCTTGGGCTTTTTCCCCAGTGTCCACTTTACCAGGGTTTCTAATAAAAAGTCCCATATTTTGAATTCAGCTCATTCAGACCTCAAATCCAAACATAGTTTAACAATTGAACAATGGCTGTTGTTAAAAAATGTCACAACCAAACGTTAAAAAACAGTTGCTAAAACATAGACTGTTCACCAAGCACTTTCACCTGATTTGTAAGTACGTAGTTAATAGATTGGGACTTTGCCTGTTTTTGTTTTTGTTTTGTTGCCTATTCATAAGACTCTTAGGAAGAAAAAACTGTCAATGTCTACAGCAGGAAGTTAAAACAAACTGAGCACTACATGTAAACATTGTTTGAACCTACGAGTTGGCTGAAAGAGTGACCAATTCCTGAAAAAAGAAAAGAGACAAGGAGTAACGAGAATATAAGTTCCCAACAGAGGCTAATCTATATGTTTTCTAAAGCTGGGAAAATAAAACGCAATCAGAATATCCAAATATTTTGCAAACACTACTAAGACATTTCATTTGGTCCAAGCCCCTGATTTATAGACATTATAAACAATTGGGCAAAGCACAAAGCTTGCTGGAGATTCTTCAAAAGAATGATACAAACAGCAGGAAGAAAATTAATAAGCAACAGATGCATGCATGAGCATTCTGTGTAACTGGCTGTGAGTACAGCATGTGCTGTTTTGTTTGTGCATGAGTTTCCTTAACACATGCACTATTTGTATCTGTAGATATCATACCAAAAAAATCACCATTACGAAACAGGCTTACATATTATCAATTACTACAATTTTAACAAAATGCATAAAGACAAGTATTCATGGTGAAAAAATACATATATTTTACCTCTCAGTCACATACCTTTTTTCCTTCAAAAACAAACAAATATTGGATAAGAAAAGGCAAAGCAATAGTTTGCCAGAGAATCAACTGATGCACTTGGTTGCGAGACAGGTTTTAAATGTGCAAATTACTTCCATCCAATAGTTCGCTTTTGTTTCAAACCATTCATTTTTTTATGTACGAATTTTTCAGACAAAAGTCATATGATTGACTCTGAATAGGTTATGCCTCCATCCTCTGTCCTTACTTTTACCTTTTCCATGTCTAGCTGCTTATAAAAGTGATACAGAACTACGATGCTGCTTAGGGCTAAACAAAAATCAAATTTAATGTGCTTGTCTCTACTCAAAAAAAAAGGTCAAAGATTGAATTATTTTCATCCCACACTGTTATCCTTTTATTCTTTAATCATAAGTTCTACAGATATCCAGTAATGCCTGTTGGGCACCAGGTACCTGGAACTGGGGGTGTAAAGATGAGAATGAAAGACACAGATTCTGTTGTCACAGAATTTGCAACCAAGCTAATAAAAAGCCAAAGATAAAAATACATTCAGTTAATTAGTTTTGACATCCAGCAACTGAATAGTCTTACCAACTCATATAATATGCTCATTCAAATATTCACACATCATTCATTCAACAAACATTTATTCTTACCATGTCTAGTTATGCCAGACACCACTATGTTAAATCCTGAGGTAGGTATAAGAAGCAAAAATATACTTGCTCTGGAAATGCTCAAAGCCAATCACATAAGATAGGCCTGAAAATATGTAGTGCTAGAATGCACTAATAGAAATGTGTACTGATACAATGCCAAGCACATAGTAGGTATGGAAAATAAGATGTTCTTGCTTTGGCAAAAATAGACCAAGGAGCTATTTGCCTACAGAGGAGCTAATTATTCTGCCTGATGAAGCTGGATAATTTTCCATAAAGGAAATGGCATTTGATTTGGGTTTACATGGATGAAAACACATTTCCCAGATGGTGAAGAACACAAAGACTGTTTTTGGAAGAGGCAAAATCACATGTGAAAGCACAGAGACCCATTAAAAATGTGTAGAATAATCACACATGCCCGATCTCAAGTTCTAAAATTCTAGTGAAGATGGATTTACTCTGTACATTATATCCTCGGGGAAATTTTAGTTTCCATGCACATGAATTTACACTTCTCCCTGACTTAGATTATTAGAGAAATAGGAAACTAGAAGTTAAGAAAAGGAAGCTGAAATAACTCATAAGGGAAAAGATAAAAGAGAGATGAGGCAATGCAATGAAACTGTAGGAGAGAGAAAGAGAGCTGGGAGAAGATTATCCCCAAACCTTGCAATTGAGTGTTTTGGTTTATGGGTGAAAACATCCCTGAAGTTATAGGTGAGGAAGGGCTTTCTTGTAAATTTACTATGTTCAGAATTGGCACCACTGGGCCCTGCACTGGGGAATGCAAGTTGAGAAATAAAGACTACGTGAGGTTAGTTTTTCAGCTCAGGCATCCACATGAATGTCTGCAGAAATGCGGTGAAACCACACTGATAAAAGGTAAATTAAAATCATAAAATCAGAGAGGCTTTGAAAATTAGACAGTGGACAAACACAGGGACTCTTCTGCACTGTAGATTAACACCATCAAACAAAACAAATGTATAAGTTCTGTATTTAATATATGGAAAAAGGAGAACAGAGATACTGAAAAGTCACTGGAGATCAAAGAATGATAAATTAATATATATCCATTCCATGCTATTAATTACCAAATGAAGGAACGTGTGAGATATTGACATTCTCATTATTTGGTGGGCTGTTTTCATGGCTCTATTTTAGAAAACATAAACTATGTTCATCAGATTTTTGAGAGATTAACTAATTATCTCATTTCCCCAATCCTAATTTTCCCTGGCGGGATTGTAAGTTTCTTACATAGGGATTTTAGTAATCTAATTTTATGTATAGAGAAGAGACTATTACATTGTGGCCGACTAAATTCACCACATCCCACGTGGTTGTATACACACAACCTTAGGAGAATTGCAAGAAGCAAGTTTGTCAAAGTGAAACCAAAGAGTTTGAAAAGTGTCCTGTAGCCGGTAAGAAACCAAGGAAAGATTTTAGGTAACTCTGTCTTGAAAATAATTGTTTATTACTGCCTCCTCTTCTTGTCTATTGAGAGTTCTTTTTGTAAGGTGCCATCTTTAAATTATGTTGAGTCTTCCTGGAAATTCAGTGGAAAATTCTTTTTTATTGAGAACATATGCATTAAAGGAAAGGAATTTTACATGTGTGAGAATACAAAATAACCAATATTCTAAGTTAAAGAGAGAGACGGAAAGAGAGTAACTTGTTTTGGGCTCCTTCACTGCAAAAGAAGGAGGTTTGGTATTGTTTTCATTTTTTTAACTGCATGCATTGCTTAGTGGACAAATGAAAATTAGGCAATTCTATTTGCCAAAGCTTCAAGATCTCACTCTTGAATCAGAATACCAAGTACACTTAAGATACAGCAAGAAGGAAGCTGCAATCTGGCATCACACATGAATCATATGTAAACTATGTACAGTAGTGATCTTCCCAGTGGCAGAAAAGCTCAAAGCCACATGAAACCAATCAACACCATATTGATGTCATCTTCTCAAAACTTCTCATCTGTTTCATAGCCATCAGACATTGTGATCTTTAAAGCAGATATTTACCCTCTCTGTTGCTAACTAAGCCAAATTTTGCATTACAGTAATTTTTTACAAAATATTTTTTTCAGATTGTTGAAAGAACATAAAATGTAGTGGTTTATTTATTTAGTGGTAACAGTAATTAACACTAATATTATTAACTAACTTATAAACTGTCCATTTAAAAACATGCTTATACATTTATTATGTGTCTTTTTTAATGACTAGATCAGCCAGACTCCTAATAGAAAATTATGACATTCTCAAACTGGATAATTGGAGTTCAATAAAACACCTATTTCTAAAAGTATGGATAAAGCTAAAAATGGTAGCTCAAATAATAGTAAAATACCTCTTTCTTGCAACCTCTGATAGGCAATTGCTCCTCTGGTTTGGAAACTGTCCCTTCCAGAACTCATGCTGAAATGCAGTTGCTATTGTGACAGTATCAAGAGGTGGAGTCTTTAAAAGGTGGCAGGCCATGAGGGCTTCACCCTTACATGTGGAATGGGTGCCTTTATAAAAGGGTAAAATTGGTTTCCTCCTTCTCTCTTGACATTCTGCCTTCCACCATATGATGACACAATAAGAAAGCCCTTGCCAGATGCTGGCACCTCAACCTTGGATTTCCCAGCCTCAAGAAGTAAATTTCTGTTCATTATAAATTACCACATCCGTGTCATTCTGTTATGGCAGCACAAAATGGACTAAGGCAGTTGTCAACAACTTGACAAATCTCAAACTCCCCCTTGGCATCTGAGGTACAAGGCAGAGACCCCACTGAGAAGTCTTCTATGTGTTTACATGACATGAGTGGATTTAGTTTTCCTCATCATAATCTGTCAGAGTTTCCTCTTAGACAAGCTTGTGAAAAATACATCGTCATGCCCTTAACACTGGATTGGAAAAACTGCACCAAAATCGCTTGAAGGAAAACCGACTGAACAAAGTTTCACAATAATGTCACTCCTACAATGCATCATCTATGCAAAACAAGATATCAAATTCTATAACTTTCCAGCACACTAAATTATCTCCCATTTCCTCTACTTTTTTTCTTACAAAAACACATACTACACTCACACACGCACCTTAATTGCCTATCAACAAAAACTGTGTACTGAAACTTCCAAAGAAGTTAGGTGAGGGTTTAAGTATTCCTTTTACATTTGCATGCATGTAAGCACCTGTGATCATAGGTCTTACCTTTCATGGTTTCCTAGGTAATAGGACCTCTTCGTTGATAGAATGATCCTAATATTGACATAGGAAAAGGGGCCACAAATAAGAGTTGGGCTGTTACTTAGGAAAGCTTGTCATTGTTACTTCCCCAGATAACAAGAATAAATGATGCAATAAAAGAATGAGTGCCTGCTTCAGCAACTCATCATTAAAAGTGAAGAACTACCACAGGAAGCAGAACTCGAAAAGAATGTATGCACTTATGCAACCTTTCTTGTAGCTTTTTGCAGCTAATTCTTATTATTATACATCAAGATAAGAAAAAAATCACATAAATCTTTGAAGAAAAATGAATGAAAGAGGGCTTTCTTTAAAGGTTACTAGCTAAATCCATTTCTTTACTTTCTGATTTTTTCTTTCTTTTCTTTTAAATAATCATTGAAGGCATTGATTCAAAGGAAGTTAATGCTGCAAAAGACCTAGAAATCATCTAGGAGTCTTTTGACTTTAAAATACTTTTTCTGAAGAATAATTTGTTCAAGTTCAGTAAAATTCCAACATGTGACAGAGCTTTGTTCTGGCTGAAGTCCACTTGGGTTCCCTTCCTCTTGTAGCTGACATCAGTAGTGGCTTCTACAGGGATTCTGGGTAATTCCTCCCAGAGCACTGGCCTGGAATAGTGCCCTCTATGTAGAAATAAGAAAAAAATGAGGCACAGAAAGATGAAGGGATCCACCATCACAAAAGTGGTACACAGCAGATAAACATCTCTTCTTTGCCTTTTTATCTCCTACATTTGTCTTCTCATCTTTAATTCATTTGGTAGATCTGCAGAATAACTTTCCAGAGAAGATCAACTGCACCACATAGCTAAAAGCTGACTTCCTTTTTTTTTCTTTCATTTCAAAAAATCAAAACACCTGGTTGTGAAATGCAACGTTTTCACAGAATATTTAATTTGGTCCACTTACTGATAGTATCAGTTTTATGTGAACAGTTACGTGGCAATTAAATTTCTCAGATTACCATTTTTTAAAGAGTTCTCCAGAGTGCGTCAATGGCAAGGGATCCATTTTTCCAAACCTGTCTTGTTTCCTTAGTGAGTCAGTCTTTCAAAGCTTATATTGCAGTCATTCTTTGTATTATAAAAGTGATCCCTAAAGTAAGAAGAACAACTACATGTAGTCTCTATAAAATTCCTAGCCTAAATAGTCATTTCAAATGCCTTGCTTTCTCAAGTATTGCTTAATATTATGTATGACTAGCACTGTACAAAATATAGAACACTTGGGAGAAGATTATGGCAACAGTGAGATCTGGGAACATTTGTGTATTGGAAGGAAAAACCATGATTCTGATGGGCAAGAAAGAGAATAATCTTGAACAACAAAAGAAGAATATAAGAGTTTGGCATATCATGCTTTTCCAAACGTATGGCTTCATTTAACAAACTTGGGACAGTCTTTATTTTTTCCATGATTACTTGTGTGTCAGCAGGCATAGCTTGGCCTTCTCCTTCATAGGCCTGACACTGAGTCAATGCTTAGCATCCAAACCACACATAAACTATTTTTTCCCCTAGAAAGTGCTCATTGGATGACTTAATAAAAGTATTTTAATGTTTGGAAAGGAAAAACATGTTTGCCTTATTCCTTTAGATTTACAGCTGCTTAGGGTTTATAGAAAATACCGTTGTCAACAATATTCAAAAGGCAGAATACAAGAGTTTGAGGATGCAATCTTGCTACCCCTATGTTACTCCTACCATTCTGATATGGTTTGGCTCTGTGTCCCCACTCAAATCTCATCTTGAATTGTAATCCCCACATGTCGAGGGAGGGACCTGGTGGGAGGTGATTGGCTCCTGGGGGCAGTTTCCCCCATGCTGTTCTCATGATAGTGCGGGAGTTCTCATGAGATCTGGTTGTTAGATAAGTGTCTGGCATTTCCCTTGCTCGCTCTCTCTCCCTCCCTCTCTCTCTCTCTCTCTCTCTGTCTCTCCCCTGCTGCCATGTAAGACATGCCTTGCTTCCTCTTTGCCTTCCGCCATGATTGTAAGTTTCCTGACACCCACCCAGCCATGTGGAACCATGAGTCAATTAAACCTCTTTTTTTCATAAATTACCTGGTCTCAGTATGAAAATGGACTAATACAAATCCGCATACCAGAAAGCCAGAGTGATGTAGTCTGATGCAGAACAGAAGTTACTATAGAAAGTGTGGCATGGGTGGCTGATTCTTGCAGGATGCTGACTTCTTGATGAGTTTTCAAACCTTGGACTTTGTACACACCAAATTGTTCTGAGATCAGGACAACTGACTTCTGATTCTAGCGAATTTATGCAATTCCTGTAAGAACAGAGCAAGGAAAGATGAGAGCCTGTAGCATTGAAGTCACAAATGATAACAATAGCACCAGTATAATAATAGCAAATGTTTTGGGAGCATTTACTATTCCAAACACTACACTAAACACTACATGCATCATTTTTCTTATTCTCACAATAAACCTTATATTTCTGTTTTGCAGATATGGAAAACAAAGCTTAGGAAAGTTAGGTAATCCATCTAAGTTCACAGAGCTAATAAATTATGGAGTGAATATTAGGAGTCTGGTCTTTCCCTTTAATACCAATACCCTGTTCTTAATCAGCAACAAGGCCACTTCCATCTCTGAGTGAGGAAGGTGGACTAGATCATGTATAAATTCCAGATAAACTCTTTCAAGCTTTTGATTTTATACTAAAAATCATCTCCTAAACTCCACTAGCAGAAAAATAGCATATCATCTCCAGGAACACAGTCCTCAACAGCTGCTTTTCCAACCTCATCTTTCAAAGCAACCTGTTCATACATTTCTCATATTCTAAGTGAACAATTTCCAAGGCCTTTCCACCTCTCTGACTCCATATTCACTGCTGTTTTTTATTCTCACTATTGTCTCCCTTCTTGCACTTTTACCTATCAAAATTCAAACTAGCTATAATTTCCAAACTAAATGCCACTTTCTCCATAAAGCTTTCTCATCAGATGATGTCTGCTCTACGAATAATTTTTAATTACCAACCACACATGTCCTGTGAGATGTTATAGCCTTTTGCCCTGTGGACCACACATACAGTGTGGACACTGTAAAAGGAAAAAAATTGTCTAATAACTCTGTCTAATTATCAATATTGTCTAATGACTCTGTTCACCTACTATGGAAGTGGCTGATTCTTCTCTTATCGCTCATCTTTACCTCTACATTAACCCAAGTCAAGTGCAGCCAATAAGGTCACAATGAACTGCTTATTTGTAATTATTTTCCAAAGGATTAAAAAAGTGCAACATATCATTTACAGATCCTATGTAATCAGGAATCTTTACATAAATAAAAGTCAAGCAATTTCAGAAAAATGCTGCTAGGAAACAATTCTGTCCAAAAATTCAGAAACAACAATACAACCAAGGGTATGCATGTGTAATCCTTTTGGTAGCACATTACAGACATACTTCTAATACTTCTAGTACTTTATATTCTGAAGTTGTATTTTCATTATGGTTTCTCAGCAGGAATTTCACAACCAGTGCTCAAAGCTAATCTCAACATCGCTGATCTAGTTTCAAAAAAAAATAGTAATAGCAACAGCAAAAATAAGGTTGAAGAATAGAGCTTTTGTATGATACAAACTTCAATTAGATGACACATCAATCTTTTCACATGCCATAAAACATACACATGTATCTGGAAACCTCAGTTGCAGTGCACAAGAATTAAATGAATATTAGGGAGATAAAGGGAGATTATTACAGATGTACAAGTAGAGAAGGAAGAAAGTTGGGGAGAAGGATCAATGAGTTGATGTTCAATGCTAAGAAAGCATAGATCCCAGGTCCTAGAAGCAGGGTTCTCTGCTCTCAGCATTCTTGACCAACCTTCAATGGCCTCAGTCAGATTTGAAGACTTCAAAATAACACATAGGTTTTCCTTTCCTTTAGAAAGGGAAAGAAAAATGAAGAACTGCATTTTCTTTACAGTGAGACCACAACTCTTCCACCTCTGTGCAAAATCTATAGGGTCCCAAGGCAAAAATAAGAAAATATAGCCAACTGCAGATATTAAATAAGTACATGCAGAAAACTTTGTAATTCAAATTTATTGGCTAGTTTGTAACGTGAGTTTTCATACTGAAGAGCTATAACATTTTTATTACAAAATAAAGCTTTTGAAAATGTTAACATTTATATTTTCAACAAACTCATGAATCAGATTTGTCTTATGTCATCTTATTAAGCATCTAATAGCTAATATCTTAAGCGTTTAGTGCTTGATAAACAAATTTTGTTGAGTTTTTCTTTAAAAATGGACATATTAAATTGACTTTTTAAAAAGCTTAATTCATAGCACATTGTTTTGAGTCATAACATCATCATTTGTTAAATTTTAGTTTTTATGAACATTATTTCTAAAATCTAAATCTCAGGTGTGTATTTTCCTTAATACACAAAACCACTATTAACTGTAAACAGAAAGAATTTGATATTAAGTCTAGGGGCAATCTACCTCTTTAGTCCTATAGATCACACCAAGGATGAATAAGACTCATAACAGACATAACAAAAATCTCTGGTAGGCCTAAGACATAGGTTGGGAAAGGGGAAATTATACAGAAAAAGACATAAACAAAAAGGATAAAAGTACTTAGGAAATAAAGTACATATAATAAAAGTGGTGGTAAGCAGTGGTGTGAAGACAGGGTACTTCAGGGGACATGTAAGTTTCATGTACAATAAGGCATAGTCATGGGATCAACTTCTCATAGAAAATACTGTCATCAGAGATACACTTTAAAATGCAAAACACCACAGTATAACTTCCAAACACATTAACCTGGAGAGGAAAACACAGACAAAAGCATTCTGATGTGAGAATACATCTTTCAAACGAATGCAATAAGCCAAGAACCACCTCCAATCTAATGCTTAGATGATTGGGAGCCAGGACCAGCTCAAGGCCCTGGTCAACTGTACATGCTTTTGCAGTTGTCTCAAGAATCTTCCAGTGATAAGCCAGACCACTAATAACTGATTCCAAGGTTATGGCGTAGAGAACTGAAAAGGTTCCTTAATTGAAAAGGTTCCTTACCCTTCACACTGCTAACACTTTGTTTCCTTACTCACAATTAACCTTATGATCTTAAATTATAGACCCCACGTAATAAAGCTGACTTAATAAGAAACATCCTGCCTTATTCTGCAAAACAATAAAGAAGTCACTCTGATTCATTCAAATTATGGTAAATTTAATTTTTTGTGAATTTCATGTAAAAGCTCTATTAAAAAATCTAAAATAAATACACTTGCTCAGATACAAAGAATAAAACAAATTGCAAGAACGTTAAGTCCTAATCTGGTGGTTCTCAACATTTGTAACAATTTAGAATCACCCAGGAAACATAAAAAAAGAGAAGATTCCTAGGCTTCCATCCTCAGAACAATTATATTACACTTTCTGGGAGGTTAGACTCGGGCATCAGTATTCTTTAAAAGCTCCTCAAGTCATGATAATATGCAGCCAAGGTAGAGAACTACAGGCCTCATCTATTTGCTTATGAGATGGTAGCGGAGTGATAGAAGGAAATTCTCCTATGAGATGAGAATTCAAACTCAAATTACACAGGATGAGATGTGTTGTTTGGGGCAAATGAATCAAGCTCTCTGTGCTTCAGATTCTGTATCCTTAAAATGGAGGACAAATATCTTCTCTTAAAGACCAGATACTTCTCTGGGTTGTTTAAGGATCAATTATCATAGAACAGCTGGCAAGTGGTGAGATTGCAACAAGCTGGAATTCCCTCTCACTCCTGAATGCTTCCTTTCTCCCTCTGCCATTGATCTGATATAAGCCTTTACCAACTAAGCGATTTATTCCCTTCATTTCACAAAATATTGCTTTCTCACGAAAAGAAAGTGGTGATTATTAATTTCTAGGGATACTAAAAATTAAGTATTTTTAAATTTATTCATTCCATAGTCGTTTTAATATATTTATTAAAAATAATCTAAAAATATGCATTATCTACCATATCTCAGTAGAACACTTACTCTTAAAATAGTAATCCTCATGCAAAAATGGTCTAGAAGGAGATAGACATTTAAAAATACAATGAATCACACAGGTACAATAATAGAAAAAAAACATATGATAAAATGGATGAAAAGAGAAGAAAGTGTCAGGAAATGCTTTGAGCAGAAAAAAAACTCCAGTGCGATTACAGATCTTTCTTACTAAATCTGCTTGCTAACCAAGCTTATTCTTTCATATAAAGGACCATTTAAGAAATCAGTACATTGTAATTTCTAATCTTCTAAATGACTGTTTGCCAAATTCACATCAATTTGACAAAAAAATCAATGAGAATGTCAAATATTGTAAAGAACATCTAAAATTATCAGAAAGACAGCATAATAAAGAAAACTATTTAAACTAGTTAAGGGTGAACACTGCGGACATTTATACATGAGCTATCTTTGCTGGACATAAACGGCATCTGAGAATAATCTAAACCGCGGTCACTATGTCTTTTGTATACGTCTTACCACAGAGCTCTGCCATTGGCACAGCCACCATCTTACACTATTTCTTTCAGTCAGGGTTGGATTTAGGAGATGACTTTTAAGCAACCAAACCATGCAGTGGCACACCTTTTGCCAAGGGAAGTTTTTGGGTTTTTTTTGTTTTTGTTTTTGTTTTTTTAAAATGGAGTCTCACTCTGTTGCCCAGGCTGGAGTGCACCAGCACAATCTCAGCTCACTGCAATCTCTGCCTCCCAGGCAATTCTCCTGCCTCAGCCTCCTGAGTAGCTGGGATTACAGGCGTGTGCCACCACGCCCGGTTAATTTTTTTTATTTTTAGTAGAGATGGGGTTTCACCATGTTGGTCAGGCTGGTCTTGAACTCCTGACCTCAAGTGATCCACCCCCCTCAGCTTCCCAAAGTGCTGGGATTACAGGCGTGAGCCACAACACCTGGCCAGGAACTGTTAATAGCACACCATGTGCCATGTAGACTACAATTTCACTATCAGTTCCCATTACTGAGTGCAGATGCTACATGCCCATGGGACCATTTCTGGTGAACTTTTTGATCATTGAATGGAGGGATCCAGTTTGTTCTTCTCATAGAGCCAAGAAGGTCTTTCCAGTGCTGCAACATCCTCATTTGTTAGGAGACATGAGGGTGAAGAGGTCGTTGGGCAAGGGCTTGATGCTGACCGCTAATATTTGCCATGTTAGCTCCCTCCTCTCCTTCATGAGCTATGTGAATTTTAAGCGATCAACCAGTATCTGTGGCCCTGAAAAGATCAGATGTGATCATTTTTCTACTCAACTACCAAAGTTAATTTTGTATCAATCAAAATAAGCAAAACCAATTGAGCTTTTTAGAAGATTTCAAAAATTACATATCTGGTACTCATTCATTTATGTCGTTCATGTTTCTAGTTATTTATTCATTCATGACCTACCCATTAAATAAATAATTATAAAGTCTCTATTATAAACCACATAATGTTTGAGGTACTGGAAATGAAAAGATAAATAAGACAGCATCCGTGCCTCAAGTTCTTTACAGTCTAAAACAGGATTTCTCAACTTCACCATTATTGACACTGGGGGCCAGGCAATTCTTTGTTACAGAACTTTTCCTGTGCATTGTAGAACATTTAACATCACCCCTGGCCTCTTCCCACTAGATGCCAGTAGCACCCCCTCACCACCTTCTCCCCAGGGTTGTGACAAGGAAAATGTCTCCAGACATTGCCCAGATGTCCATGGGGGACAGAATCACTTTCAGATGAGGACTGCTGGTCTAGAAGGAAGAGACAGACATTACAAAATACAATGAACGACAGGCACAATAATAGAAAAACACAGATGATAAAACATAGGAAAAGAGAGGGAAGTGCCAGGAAATGCTTTGAGTAGAAAAAGGCTCAAGAGTGTGATTATAGACCTTCTTTCTGACTAAATATGCTTGTTATTTCTACTGTGACAAGACTACCCCAGGCTGGGGTGAGAGGCATCATGTGAGGCCATCTCTTCCCAGAATCCCAAATGGGATCTTCTCATTTGATTTCTTACCCTTCACACCCTCCCCTGGATTGAAAGGGATAACACTCAACTGTGTTTCCCTCCTGGATAAAACTACTCTAATGCAATATCTTCTCTTTCTCTCGATCACAGTAAGCCTGCAGGTCCTTGCAGATTATTGCAAGCATGATTGAGCAGAAGGAAGGTTGAAGTAATGCTCTTGAGTGTCCCTCTGCTTCAGTGTGGCAGGAGAGGGGCTTAGAAGTCCCCGTGTGCCATGCAGAGGTTTCCAAAGGCAGGGAAATTAAGAGCCAGTGAGATTGCAGTGGGGGCTTCTATAGCAAGTGGCCGAGGTTTGATGGGGTCTACAGTGCCTAAAAGAGCCAGATGACATCAAGGCAGCAAGAAAGACCACTGTGGAGGCTCTTGCAGTGAGAAAAAAGGAGCAGAGAGGAAATCTGAATGACTGGACATAAACCTAAAGTAAATCTAACTATACAAAAATATAGGGAAAAACCAAAATACCATTAAAAGCATGTTAGAATTCTTTATTAGAGTAGGCATCATTCAGGAAGATTCTATCAGTTACAGAAAAGGAATCATCTCCATATTCTTTGTCCATCTGTATTTTGACGTGATGACTTTCTATTTTGCTACTCAATAACTTCAATATTAGAAATACAACTTTCTGCAGGAGCACATAGCACAGTGGTTTAAACAGGTCTTGGCACTCAGGGAAGACTGGAATGAAAACATATAATTTTGAACAGAGATTGGAGCATGAACAGAAAGTAGCCTGCTGAAGGTAGAGAGGACAAAAGAGAGAGGAAGGATATTCCAATAAAGGGGACAGATGCAAGGAGCTCCAGATGTGGGGAAGAATTAGGTGAGTTTGAGAACTGGCATATACACATGCAGTGTTTCTAAGGTAAAGAGAAACGTAATAGCCAATATTTATTCAGGATGTATTATATTCCAGGCACTATGCTACATGCTTTACAAAACTAATCTTGATTAAGGTTCATAACAATTAAGTAGGTAGTTGTACCCCCTCTTCCTCATTTAGTTATTGTTACCTTCATCATCATATTTTGTATTTTGGGAAATGGATACACACAAGGAATGAAAGAACAGATTCACAAGAACCATTTAAGAACCTATTGCTGCAGAGTAGGAAGAACTGAATTTCCAGACTATGCCATCAGTGATTGGAATAAAAAAGAATGAATGGATTCATGATTCATTTCAAAGGTAGAACTGAAAGAGGTTGGATGCAACCAACTTATTTTTAAAGTTCAAGAGAATTGTTGAATACGAGGCCAAAGCTTTAACTATGGAAAACAAGTAGCAAATTCCTGCCCCGAGATGGGTCAACAGAAGGTGGAAAGTGGGGTTTGGGAGGCATCCAAAAATATAAAAAAAATAACCTGTAAAATGGGGAGCCAAGATTTGCACTGCTCAGTTTGAGGTAGAACAGGTAGCTGGAAAAGGAGAATGGGAGCTTTGCAGGGAGAGATGGCCAAGGACGTAAGTTTAGATGACTTTTACTTTGAGGTAAAAGTTGGAGTCCTAGGAGTGATTAAAATGGTAAAAAGAGAAGGAGGCAAATTAAATCAAGTACTGATAGTTGTGGATCAAAAAGGATCCATACCGTTCATCTGTAAGTCCAATCTATCTTGCTTTCTGCTCAAACATTAACAATGCCAAGAGCCCTGGAATCTAAAGTACATATTGCTTTTCTGATTTTTTGCTCCAAAGAGATCAAGAAGAGCAACCACTATCTGAGAACTGCTCCTTTTCCAAGGCCTTTCCTGATAGAAACATTTCTAAGCCCTGTGCTCTCTATGGACCCTTCAGAGATCCATAGGCTCATGTCATTCTATGATCATACCCACGGACCTGATTCTCTTAACTATTTATCAGACTAAATGTCAGATCAGGTGGGGACTTGAGATGTGGGTGTTTTAATGTTGTTGAGGTAAATAAAATAGTGACCTCCCACTGAAGGGCACTGGGCCTTACAGCTTGGTATCGTTAAATGTGTTCAGTCTGATTTGTTGAAATGTTCCATCCCTGCTTTGTCATAAAAGAAGAAATTATATATTTAAAAGGGAATACAGCAAATGTTTAAAACATGTTGCCTTTTCTTCACCATCTGTCTTTTATTTATTAAATTCTGTCCACTTAAAATTATCCTCTCCCCAAACTGCAACTGTCAAAATCCCATCTTTCAACCTCTCATATCATCTCATCTCAAAACCCCATTAGAAAATTGTTCCCATTCTTCTTAAAGGGAATGAGTTGTCAATCACTCTATGCCCTGGGCATTTATATCTGCTAAAGCCTTTGCTGTGTTCTCCTATATTTTAGGGATGAGTGCATGTGTTTGTGCTTTTGTGTGTGTTTGTGTGTGTGTGTGTGTGCATGTGTGTGTATACATGTGATTGGAGTTTGTGATTGGAGTTGCTGAATGAAGTTGCTGAAAGAGACATATGGCCATGTAAGTAATAACAAGCAGAAGGGCTCTATGAAAACACAAGGCAGAAATCATTCACCATTTCATGTTGAAAATAACACTTTCAGCAGAAAAATCCTCATTTGAAAATAGCAACGGTATAATTAGCCTTCAACTTTACTTCCTTATTAGTGATGCAGTTCTCCATTCCACACAATGCAACACATTGTAATAAATGGATGTTCATATAATGGATTGGAAGAGCATAGAATCCAAACATCTGGATTCTTCCACACATGGCGCATTAGCTGTTTCTGCAAAAGCCAATAGGAATTCCATGTTGATGCAATTAAATGTGACTGGAATAATACATGCTTCTCACATTTTTAGTTATACATATGTATATGTTTGGCATACAATTCATTATAGTCACAGAAATTTTAAAAAAAGAAAAGCTTTCTACAGCCATGTCTGTTAACAATTATTGTGCTACTTCCTGGAAGCAGGGAAAAAGTGAGTAGTCCTGGGCTGCTGGCCACTTCACCACATTGCCATAGTGAGAGAATGCCTAGTCCATAAATAAATTTAGTCCAGTATTAGGACTTCAAGCCTGCTCTTTATGATGGCAAAAATATGCTTCAATTTGAAATTGCCCAGAATTGAGTAAAACGAGGGTTTTATCCAACATTTCTTAATTTGCAAGAACACAAAATAGGTGAATACTTGTAATTCTTTCTCTCGTCACTCTCATTCTAAACAGGCTTGCAAATGGTGTGGCCTACACTGAGTCAGAATGAGAACACAGCTCATTAGTTTCACAGCACTGGGAGAGCCAGCCTGGAATAAAATCCAATAGCAAGGGAATCGAGGAAGAAGCTGATTTTCACGCTTTCACTTTCATTCTCTCATTTCCAATTTTGCCCTTTATATGCTAAAGATACAGTAATCTATGCCCAAGTTGGAATGAGATTTCCTTCTTACGTTTCTGTGCACATGAGAGCCTCAGAAAGGGAGGGCATCCTCTCATTGCTCTTTTATAACTTTTACAAAGGGAGAAGATTCACTTAACCTTCCTTTATTTGATTATCTATTATAGAAAAATATTGAGTTACATAATCTCTATATTGTCTATTACCCGAAATCTCTCACTTTCATTCCAAACTAAGTAAATACGAAGCAAAAAAGTGGTATGCCGTTACTAATTTAGGTTGCCCAAACTGTCCCACAGGGAAACAAATAAGTATGTTGTCATTGATCAGATTTTCTGCATACAGACACTGAGATCTGTGCACAGGAGGTTTCTCAGCATGTCTTCTCAGGAATATTGCTTGTAAGGGAGTGAAGAAGTAAGACTTTTCCAAAGGAAAAGTTGAAATGTAGTAGAGTTCAATCAAAGGCTCCAGCCCATCCCACAGAGAGTCTGTAGAACTCTGAATCTGTGGTGACCCTCTAAAGATGTCCCAAACTGAGACAAAGGGGGCCAGGTGTTTATATACCCAACAGACTAGACACTGGACACTTGAGGGAGTGTTCTTCCATCAAGGGCAATTTCTACAGGGGAACACAGCTAGGATCCAACAGCAGCCAACATATTCAGGGTTGGAGAACGAGCACCTTGACTCTGAAGGCATTAATCTGGGTGACACACAATAGTATCCACTACAGTTCACTCTAATATACGATGCTTGGTTCTACTTGATTCTTGTAAATAAGCTCTCTCAATCTAGAAACATCCTCTTTGGGATCCTAGTTGGTCTCATTTTCGAATGCAATTTGTTAGAGGAATTTTGGTCCTCTCCACTAGGGCTAGTCTCAGGGCTGCAAATGATACTCAACAGTGCCCACCTTTACTCCCCATTCTATATTCCATACATTCTCAGCTTGCACCTCTTTTGGTCTAGGTTGTCTACCTGTTGGGGGGACCCAAATACTCATCTTTGAGGGGTCTGAGGTCTTAGCCACCATGCAATTCTTGGGTCACAGTTGCAAAATTTTTGTTTATTACCATCCTATCACAACAGGGAAGGGGAGTACTAAGCAACACACTAGTAGGTCAGTGGTGCCAAACATGTTCCTCCCTGCCCCAAGTGTGGTACAGCTACCTTTTCTACCCCTAATATTTGGGGTCAACTACCCTGCCACGATGTAGTCATTTCTTCCTACTCATCCTTTGATATAAGGAGCCTGACCAGACAGCAGTAATAGCTTAAAGCTCAACAGGACTTTCCTTGTCTCCCCTGGTGAAAGCATTTCCTTTTGAGAATAAGTACTTCTAGATCCACAAAACCTAAATTTTTTTAAAAAAAAGGAAGCTAAAACTCCCCCAAGTGTGCTATGGGTGTGGTCGTAAGCTGGGCCACTCCACCCTTTAGCTTCTAGACACCTACTGGGAAAATAACATCAGTTTACAGTTATTGATTTAGGGTACTTAACACCTCCTGGTGTATGCAACCTTGCAGACTATCAACACCAAGTTGGCCTATCATTTGTACCATAAAAAAGATCTGTTTCATCCTTCTTTCAGGTTGGCATTTTTTGGCTAGCAAAATATATCCATTCCAATTGTACATTTGGAGACACAGAGAAATGACCACTATCTAAATCTGGGGAATCAGTGGATCCACTGGGAGCCTGTCCTGAGCTAGCACTCCATTTATTACTTGCTCTCATATATGCCCATTCTAACAGTGGCATATGATTGTGCTTCAGTTCCTGAGTATCAAGGTCAGCTCAGACCTTATGTCCAATTATCCTCAAAATGCCTGCACATTCCTCTTTCCCCAGTATATATTACCCAAGTAATTTTCATATGCTCCTTTGGTCAAGGACCTGTGAAATTACTACCACATAAACTTGTCATGTTGCAATGTCCTTCTTTCTGAGGACCACCATCTCTTCAGTGAGAGACAACACAAATACATTGACATATATTATTTGACTTATGTCTTCCAAAGGGAGTATTTCTAGAGAGGATAAAGATCACCCCTATATACGTTGTCTAATTTTAATGTATAATAATTTCCATGCCTTCCACAAATAAAATAGAATACAGGGAAATACTTCTTAAATGACAGATGGCAATAATAAAATAAATCAAGTGTATCATTTGTACTGAGAATAAGAGTAAAATTATATATCTATACACTATAATTAGCTCTACCTATATATCTACGTACTTATGTAAAGCATTTCCTGACAGTAAGATGTGCAACTGGTGTTTTAGTGAACATGAGAGAAAAATATTTTTCTAACCTGGTGCAAGGGTAACATCAGTATAACGACTTTCACTTTGTGGCATCCAAAACTCTCTCGTCTTAAGCAGTTGCCACGTGTCCATATGGCAAGGGCACTACTACACATACTTTTCACACGATGTTTCTGGAGAGTCCCTGGGAGACAATAGTCCATGGGTCTCTCAAATTTCTATATGTTCAACCTTTCATTCCACATTATTTCTTTTCAAAAATATTTATGTGATGAGAAGCCTTAAAAGAGAGAGATAATGTCTTGCTCTGGAACAAAGAATTTATGGCCTCCTACTACATGGAGATGATGACTCCCTCCAAATTAAAAAGCATGCTTGCTTACTCTCCAGAGTAGTAAAGATAACGTCTCCTGCCAGAGAAAAGGGCAGGCATCTTATTTCTCATTATAAAAGATGTGAGTTCCCTAAGTTCAGAATTCCTTGACTGTAATACAACCCACTAAGCATACAAGTATCACCTGAAAATGTTTGCATCTTCCTGTGGGAATTGAGACTGAGGAACCAGCACAAAAATGTTAATACTCTGGCTACTGCTATTGCTGCAAATAATAAACTGCCTTTGTTTCTGACCCCAAAGTCTTGCATCTTCTGTCAGCATCCAGGTATCCACGGCAGGCTGATTTTTACATTTGCAAACAGGGTAAAAAAATCTCACATCCTTCACAGTTCTAGACACTTATGTATGTTGTTATGCAAAGATATACTTTAAACAGCAGCAGGAGTGTTATAAACACCATTCTAGGAAATACTATGCAAATAAAGTTATAATCATCCATATTCATGTGTTCTAGCCAGAAAAGAGAAGTAGTAAGTCATGAAGACATTATCTTTCCCAAATTACATAACTATTTTGTGATGGAACCAGGAGCTAAAATGCTGCTTGGGTAACTTCACTATAATAGGCTCTATTGGTAAAGTACTTCTTATCTCTATACTTTAAAGGAAAATCTTACGGTGTTTTGTATGAGGAACTCAGAGTGAGGACTTTTATATACATTTTGTTTCCCAGTTTCTAAACCTAAAAAGAGAATCAGCATTGTTTTATTCCTATAGGAATAGCAATTCTGTATTCTACATTTACACTACAATTTATTACCAAACTTCTCTGACATATGGATCTAACTTATTGTCTTAGCCTGTGTTCCTCAAAGAAGACTCTGAGATAAAGGTTTGCATACCAGGAGTTTATATACAAGTGGGATTCCAGAGAGCTAAAGGGAAGTCCAGGAACAGTGAATCCATGAAAGAGGAAAAGCCAGTACAAGGCTGCATTATCAAAATGGCCAACTGCTACAACAGATTGTGCCCAAACCCGCAGGACCATCTGATGAGTCTTACAAAATACATCTTAGAACTAGGAGAAAGCATTGATCAATGGACTTTCACCCACCCTATTCCATCAGCTCTCACCCACTATTGCATCAGCTCTCACCCCCTATTGCATCAGCTCTCACCCCCTATTGCATCAGCTGTCACCCCCTACTGCATCAGATCTCCTGCATTTCCAGGTTACACATGCGTGAGAACCAAGTGGGTTCCCACAGCAACTGCTGAGAATCCCCATGGCAGGAAGCAAAAGAGAGATGTCAGGTCTTATCTCTACATAGCTGGTGAAAGCCCAGTATACCCAGGCAGGATCTGCAATAATAGATGGGGCTGCCAGAATTAAGAATGAGATCCAAGAGTTAACTAAAACTAGCCTCCTTGGCACACATTTTCTGGTGGTAAAGACAGTAGCTTCTCTATTACTGATTAAAAACCAGACACTTTTAGTCTTCAACCAGACTTCTCACCCACTGAAGAAATTCTATTATTCTGATTTTTCACAGTATCCATTTCTTAAATCAGAGAGGGTATATAACATGAGAGTAGAAAAGACAGACTCTGGAGGTAGAATTATGTAGAGAGAAGCTCTGATGTAATTTGAGCAAGTTACATAACCTCTTGATGCTTCTGTCTGCTCATCCATAACAAGAAAAATAATAATCATATATGTGACAAAAATTGTTTATAAGGATTAACTATATTAATACTTACAAAGTGTTTAGAAAAGTGTCCAGCACACAGAGTCCATGAATATTCAGTACTACATTATTTGAACTTCAACATCGATATTTCTCAGCCTAAAGTTAATGAATGACACTTTCAGTAAAATGTATTATTTATTTGCTTGTAATGGGATCTAAAATGGTGGATGGAGTCTATTGAATTTGAGCACTATATGTTTCCGATTGGTTCATAACTTTATAAAAATGGAATGAAAAGAGCATTCTCAAATATAAACTTACTGAGGGTGCAAGTCTGCCTTATTCATCTCTAAATTCCCTAGACCCAGTGAGGTCCCATTTTCTCCATGCTTACCTCTACAGCCTCATCCTTTGCAACACATATTTCCAGGTTTCAAGGTTCATATGGTTTGGCTGTGTCCCCATCCAAATCTCATCTTGAATTTAGCACCCACAATTCTGTGTCATGGGAGGGACCCAGTGGGAAGTAACTGAATCATAGGGGCAGGTTTTTCCTGTGCTGTCCTCATGATAGTGAATAAGAGTAAGCTTTCCTGCACAAGTTCTCTCTTGCCTGCCACCATGTAAGATGTCCCTTTGCTCTTCCTTCATTTTCCGCCAAGATTGTGAGGCCTCCCCAGCCATGTGGAACTGTGAAGTCCATTAAACATTTTTACTTTACAAATTACCCAGTCTCAGGTATGTCTTTATCAGCAGTATGAGAGCAAACTAATAGAAAGATGTTCCTGGCTCATGTTGGCTTTGCAGCTCCTTGATCACACCATGATCTCTCCTGCTTCATGACTCTCACAAGTTATTCCTTTTGTCTTCAGCAATACTACTTCCGTTATTTGACTAATAATTGTCAGTCTTCAGGGCTCAGATTCTCCTTCTAATGGTAAGCCTTCCTGGATTCCCCAAGTCCGAGCAATGTTTCCTTCCTATGTGCACCCAAGGTGCCCATTATTTCCTTGTCATAGTACTTACTCTCCAGTACTGTTATTATCTGTCCTCATCTGTTTTTCTCACTAGATTTAATTGTGCAATGATTGTGTCATTTTCATCATTTAGCACTGTGACTGGCACAAAGTGAACCCTTAATAAATATTAGTGGAATCATCAAATGAAAGAATGAATGAACACATACATAAATATGTGATCAAAGGAGGGTATAGAAGGCACCAGCTAATTGAGTTACATGCACACACACACTCACAAAAATGACAGCTGACAGCATTCACTTGGTTTTCTCATTTTTGTCCTCCACTCTACTCACACATGGCTAGAGCCCTCCTCCTGGAATGTGATAGCAACATGTAATAGTGGCCCTTTCTCTGGACTGGTGCCTGACCATGTAGGGGTCTCACCGGGTTTCCAGCTTTGACTGAGGGTCAGGAGCAGAGTCCAACTCATTCTCCCTCCTAACAAGCAGAATTATATCACTCCTTGTGATTGATCCTTTTTTAATCTGACCCCAACTGCTGTCTTCATACTTCTTACGTAAGATCACCACCACTGTGTGGTGCATGGGAGACAAGAGTACGGAGTCAAATCCAAGGATACAAACTTGATCGGTGCATTGAGTGGAGCCTCACTTCAGTATCACCAAAGACAAAGTCATTCACTCCTCATCGACAGAGTCAACCCCCTTAATTATTTCAGCAGTCATTTCTCACTAGAATGTGATTATAACCCCAAGCAGTTCCTCATTATGCATGAACACAGTGGTAATGTTTTAAAGTGAACACAAACATTTTTAGGGTCTCTATCTTCTTTCTCAGTGCCCTGCTCCTCAGTGCCCCAGCCTTCCCCCTGGAGCTTCTTTCCCCAGAAGACTGTCTTTACCAGCCCCTGTGGCTCTCCAGATGACTCCCAAATCCACCAAGATGAGGGTATAAATCTCAAGACAGTGTTTTCAAAAGTGGGATTTTTGCATCTCCAAAATCTGCAACAACTCAACGCGGTGAACCAGATTGTCTTGGGGTGGGGCCCCCGAATGTCATTTTACATGCCCCAAGTGATAAAAATTATGCACTCTCAATATTGAGATCCACAGACTTCACTCTTTCCAAATATTTTCAAGTAAGGAGATAACCTTCAAACTACAAAGTAATGAAGCCTGATACGTATCTGAACTGAAGACCCTTTGCTTCCCCATAAGAATGGTTCTGACTCAGGTAATTAACCACATAGCAGTTTTAGATGTGAAGATCAAGTGGACTAACGGAGCCATATGGAATTGAGATCACATCAGTTTAGGAGGTTATTGACTCTGACATCTGACATCAGTTTAAATCTGAAGCCAGAATTTATGAGCTGCTTAAAGGTATGCTTTTAACTTCTAGGAACTAAATGTTCTCATGGTAGCAAGCACAGTTGGAAATCTTAAGAGACTTAGATTTGCTGGCTTGGGCAGTGGATATGCATGATTACCTGAAATACTGGAAAATGTAAGAGGAATATTAGTGACTCTGAAGAATTCAGTCAAAGTTGAAGAATCTGGCTATAGATTGCATTTGAGCAGAATCCAGAACTAGTAAATTGGTGAACAATGCCCTACGCACAATGTTACTAAATAAATAGTAAGCAGACAATATTTATTTCACGAGTAAGAAAAGTTTAAAGTAACCTCAGAACATTTTTCTTTAAAACCAAGCCATTATTGTCCTGTAAAGACAATTTCTTTACTAGCAGAAACCATATTTATAGTTTGATTTAGGTCATTGTTACATTATGGTGAAATTCCTCTTGAGTTAATACCATAAAAGGTAATTTAAGATACTGACTCTTTCCAAATAGAATATTAGTTTCTCTTGTAACCAAATACAATGGTGATACTCTCCAAAAGCAATCCTTTGACTAGAAGTTGGCCCTCACGTTGGGGCAAAGGTTTTAAGCTTGCTTCGTGCTAAATAAAGGCAGTCAATTCCTTCTTTTTCTTCTATATGGTTGGGCACTGATACTCCAGAGGGAAAGTTTCCCATAAAGGCAAACATAATATCTCTTCATCTCCTGATACTCCAAAGAGCTCCATTCCAAACAAGCTGATGTTACAGTCTAAAACTAGACTCTGTCAATGTATTGTTGCCATCACTCATTTCAGTTTTGCCAAGAACTTCTAAAGCGGTGACAGACCGAATCAGTCTAAGAAAACCCATATGGACATTCTCTCAAAAGCATATTATAGTAGCTAATGAATACTATATATCTTTAGAAATGATACGGTATAAAGTATTAGATATTTCACAGACCTACACATTGATATAAGTACACTTTTACTCTTCCCAGAATATGTTTAATTAAATAATAACAAGAACAATGAAAACCTGAATATAAGGTACATTATGTCAAAAGAAATGCTGGGCTTTGGGACTTTAATTTAGATTTTTTTTTTATTTTTAGTGAAGATCTATTAATTGTGTACTTGGGCCAAGGAGCATATTAAATATCAGTAATTTAAAGAATAATAAAAGACTGTCATTACCACACATAAATTCACAACTCAATAGAGAGAAGTGAACATATTACAAATAATTATAAAACAGAGTGTGTCACACCTGTAATCCCAACACTTTGGGAGGCTGAGACGGGTGGATCATCTGAGGTCAGGAGTTCAAGACCAGCCTGACCAAGATGGAGAAAGCCCGAGTCTACTAAAATACAAAATTAGCTGGGTGTGGTGGCGGGCACCTGTAATCCCAGCTACTCGGGAGGCTGAGGCAGGAGAATGGCTTGATCCTGGGAGGTGGAGGTTGCAGTGAACCAAGATCGTGCCATGCATTCCAGCCTAGGCAACAGAGTGAGACCCCATCTCAAAAGACAAACAAACAAACAAACAAAAAAAAAAACGGCGTGTTGTCACAGTACAAGAAAGACTTTTTACATGAAGTCTGGGAGTTCTCATAAAGATGACGCATGAGCTTAGTCTTCAACAATGAGTGAAGGAGGTGGGTAAGCAGTCACATGGGGAAAGGAGCAAGTGTAAAGTCAGGGCTGCCTGCAAACACAGTGTCTTTGGGGACTGGATATGGGCTGGAAGGTTCATCATTATGGCATAGAATGGATTAAAAAGAATATCAGGAAATAAGGCTAAGAAGCCATGAAAAAGTCTCCATCACTCTTCACAAAATAATGTTATTTTTTGATAGATGATTTTCTAAAGAAATAACGTAAAATTTCTTAATAAAAGTAGGCAATATGAAACTGTCCACCAAAATAGGAAATATTTGTGGAAAAAGAATACAATCTTATGACCACATACCCATGTGAAGCTGAAAATTCCATTTTACAGAATCATAAACATTGCTTTTTGAAGTCACAGACAACTCTAATAATTCATAATTATAAGGAAACTAAACAGAAAGATGCAAACTAGGTCAGGAATGTAGGGCACTAATCATCTGATCCTATTCTGTCTGTTTTAAAATCCTGAAGACTAATTCTTCCAATATGTGGAATTACAAGTTTGGCTTTTTTCTCATCTTAATGCAAAAGCAAAATAAAAATAAATTCAAATCTTTAGAACTAAAAGTGATGTGTGGGTTTTGGACCATTTCAGCAGGAATGGTAGTTTCTTGTGCTCTGTCCTCAGTATTATGGAGTAGTTCAGTGCAGTATTCACAGACATTCTGGGGAAAAACAATCTTATAATAAAGCAGATGAATGAGTTGTGCTTCAGCCACTCCTCTGCCTGTCCTTCCCTTACCCACCACACTTTAAGGCATTATATTACTGCAAAAGAAGTTTCTAAAAAAGCACTCTGCCAGATGACTGAAAAACAATATATATGTTTTTAAAAAGGAACATTTACTGAAGTAAAAAAAGATCTATAATTCAAGGAGAGTGAGATTTTGAATCTTAATCTTCCAAAATATGCTCTCATTTTGACTTTTTTGCCTTTGTGACTGTGTTCCCAGTATCCCTACCTTTTTTTTTTTTTTTTTGAGACAGAGTCTTGCTCTGTCACCCAGGCTGGAGTGCAGTGGCACCATCTTGGCTCACTGCAACCTCTGCCTCCCAGGTTCAAGGGATTCTCCTGCCTCAGCCTCCCGAGTAGCTGGGACTATAGGCGCATGCCACCACGCCTGGCTAATTTTTGTATTTTCAGTACAGACAGGGTTTTATCAAATTGGCCAGGCTGGTCTCAAACTCCTGATCTCATGATCCACCAGCCTCGGCCTCCCAGTGCTGGGATTACAGGCGTGAGCCACTGCACCTGGCCATTCCTACCATTTTTAAGGATGTTCATTACTGCCATCATATGTTGTGCTGGTCTTACGCAATTTGCTTTCATTTAGGACAGTGGATTCAAACATAAAAAAAATTAATTGCAACATGGCATGAAAATGAAATAAAACTATATGTTCTTAGATAATTTCTGAAAAATTCACATCATCTTTGCATGTTTTTTGTCTCCTCTACATGAACAACCATAATCTGTAAGTGTTGAGTCTTAAAGTAGAGCAATTTAAAAATGCGTTATTTTGGCAGGCAAATAAAAAACTTTTAAACATTTTTCTCTATATTTCCTAAAAAAAATTATCTTAACTTTCTAATGGGCTATGGAGATAATAACAAGAGGTCCCAGCTTCTATTAAGATCCTGGAAGGGCTATAGCCAAAACAAACCAAATCGTCTTTTCTAAAACTAAAACCCAACTTCAGATCAGCTCAGTCACAGACTGCTTAAGGCTAATCTTCACCTACTTTAATTCTCTGCCAAAAAGAAAAAGTAAATTCTTGCTGGGGGGAAAATACATTAGCAAGATCCCCAAATAATCCCTAAAATATTTCATTTCAATTATCTGACATTCAATAAAAAGTTACCAGACATACAAGGAAAACTGACCAAATGACTAAATTGAGAGAAAAATCAGAATGAATGAAGTCCAGAAAGAAGAACTACTAGAAATAGACCTTACAGTAATTACAATACATCTATTTAGTAAAACAGATGATAAGATGTAGAATTTCATTTCCCAAACACTGGAATGTATAATAAAGATTTAGTTCTAGACAATGGTAATAAACTAATTGTAGGACTAGCCCTAGAAAACCATCCTGAAAAATACAATTACTGAAAATAACATATCAATAGGTGAGTTTAACAACAGACCATCTATGATAGAGAATTAATGAGCTAGGTGATAGGTAAAAATAAAAAGAAGCAAAAAAGTAATTTATGATATTGGTTCAAGATAATTGCTGAGTTGGGGGAGGAGGAATATAGTGCCGAAATGCAAACATCTTCTGGTGTTTTGGCAATGTTCTATTACTTGAAATGAATAGCGGTTATAAGGGAATATTCACCTTGTGAAAATTCATAAAGTTATGCAGGTAAAAATGCATAAAACTTATCATTCATGTACTTTTCTATGTGTATATTTGAGTGAACAAAACATGGACTTTTGGCCTGGGAGTAAAAGCCTCCTGAGCTCAATTATCTTTCCTCCATTTTTTCCAGAGAAATTTTTCTATTGGTGGGGAAAATAGCTTCTGTTTTCATAATCACGCATGTTGCTGCAATGCAGTGATGATGTGATCAAGAGCACCTATCTGCTATGTAACCCTGAGTCATGAGTTCGTTTGACTAACCATATCAGAGAAGCTAATGGGGAAAACTCACCCTTTCAACCCAGAACATACATTGAGTGCCTTTTTGTTACTCTCTGCACATATCCTGTATAGCCTCTTCTGAGCAGCATTTTGCCATAGAGAAGGATATATGACCTTAGGAGGCGACGGATCAGTCTTAAATCTGCTCTTGGCAATGAATACATTTAACATCTGAGCATCTAAAACCATGGCATGGGAAAGGTTTTTTCCACTCTTAAAATAGGCTGAATTTATAGTGATTTGCTTAGTAAAACTCCATTTACTAGACAAAAAAATCAGTAAACTATTGCTCATGGACCAAACCCAGCTCATATCTTACAAATATACAAATGCAGATTATAAGCCCTGTGATCCAAAGATGTTTTTTACATTTTTTACAGAAGTTTTTTAAGAAGTGCTGTGAGATAGAGATTTTTTACTACCAGGTCCTATACAGAAAAAGTTTGTTTACTCTTGCACTGGATCTTTGATCATTTGCCCAAAGTACCTAACAAAATAAAATAAACTCCTGGTTGGAAAATACTAAAATCTTCAGTAATGGTTAATTTCATGTGTCAACATGGCTAGACCACAGTACCCAGATATTTGGTTAAACACCGGTTTTGATATTTCTGTGAAGGTATTTTTTAGATAAGAGTAGAATTTAAATCAGTAGACTTTGACTAAAGCAAATTATCCTCCATAATGTGGTAGACCTCATCTAACCATTTGAAGGCCTTAAGAGAAATGAGACTAAGGTCCCATGAGAGTGAATTCTGCCTCCAGAATGTCTTCAGGCTGGAGCTGCAACATCTGCCCTTCCCTATTTCTCCAGCCTACTGGCCTACTCCACGGATTTTAGACTTGCCAGTCCCACAGTTACATTAGCCAATTCCTTAAAATAATGTAGGAAAAGTAGGACAGAGATCTAAATTACAGCATTAGGATGATAGTTAACAAAATTACATTGCATACTAGAAATTTACTAAGAGAGTAATTTTAGCTAGTTTTACCACACACACACAGACATACATACAAGGGTAACTCTGTGAGATGACGAGTATGTTAATTTTCTTGTCTCTAGTAATCATTTCAATATGCATATCAAAACACTATGTTATATATTTTAAACATAAATTTAAAAAATACTGTGCATGTATATCTATAGATAGATGATATAGATAGACATACATATATCTTGTTTTCTCAGTTCTATTGCTTCTGTTTCTATATTTCTGTTACTCTATTGGCCCTGTTTCTCTGGAGAACCCTAACTCATACACCTTTGATAGCCAAACTCTGGCCAAATTATCTTCTCTCAATGACCCAAGAGACAACATATATGAGAAGTAGTAACCTAAAAGACATTAAAAGAGTAGAAGAGTCAAGTAATACTAGTGTTCTTTTGAGAAGAAAATGAGCTACTGTGATGGATTCATTGCAAAAGAAGAAGAGTGGTTTCAAATTTCTATTCATCTTTATATACATTTTCTTTACAATGTGATTTTGAAGCTCCTCTTATCTATTTTCCCACTCCTTGAATCTAGGCTGGCCTTGTGATGTATGCTATTCCAGCTCTAGACCTCGAAAAGCCTTCCTTACTTTCATTCCGTCTTTTGTTCCTTTGCCTTTTCCGTAAGACAAGTTCAAGCTAGCCAGCTAGAGCTGAAACACAATATAGAGTATAGCCTAGTCATCTCAGCCCCTAGCTCACCAGCTAACTGCAAAAACAATGAACAGCTGAACTCAACTCATATTAGCAGAATTGTCCAGCAAACAGAGATGCTTAAAAAATAATAAAGTATTGTTATTCTGGAATAATAAAATGTGTAGGAGACCATTGATTTATACTAAGCTCCTATGCTGGGTCCAACAAAGCAAATCAATATGGAGTCATTCATGTTAAATGAAACTAATTAACTTGAGAGTATACTTATAGCTGAGTTGCAGTTAGATACAGCTGCTGAAGTTTAGTCAATTGTGGATGGCCAGTGGATCCAAATAAGACAAAAGGCCAAGCTATAAACAATTAAATATGTTTTTTTTATTTTGTTTTGTTTTGACAGGGTCTCGCTCTGCTACCCAGGCTGGAGTACAGTGGTGTGGTTTCAGCTCACTGCAACCTCTATCTCCTAGGCTCAAGCAATCCTCTCACCTCAGCCTCCCCTGTAGCTGAGGCTACAGGCACAAGCCAACACATGTGGCTAATTTAGTTTATTTTTTGTAAAGACAAGGTCACTGTGTTGCCCAGGCTGGTCTCGAACTCCTGGGCTCAAGAGATCCTCCCACTTTGGCCTCCAAAAGTACTAGAATTACAGGCATATGCTACCGCACCCAGCCAAGTTGTTCTTTTTGCAGTACTTTTGTTTTCTGTTCATAAATGCTGTCTGACCATGTAGCAGGCAGAAGTTCTTAGAAACTGTTCTGGTTCTGAGGACTGCCCGATTTGAGAATTGTTGCTTTTGAGGATTTTTGCACAAATAAACGCTGATAAATTAAAACAATTTATCAGAGTTTTTTTTAAGTTGAGATTTTTTTAACACCCAGCAAACACAGGTGCATGAGAATTAATAAATTATTGTTATTCTAAGTAGCAAGTTTTTGAGGTGGTTTATTATATAACATTATTGTGGTGATAGAAAACTGATATATCCTAATTGAGAAACTGAGCCTGTTATTGTGTCTTTTACCCATCTCTGATCATCTAGCATCTGAGTATGGATGGTCTAGTTCACATGAAGGATGCTAATTGTGCTTAATTTCATACCCACAGAGAATACACAAAGAAAATCCTGTTTTTGTAAGTCTTGTCAGACATAAAGAATAATTTTCCTGGACTTCTGACAAAAACCAAACCAATTTCAGATTGGACAATTTTTTTTCTGATATAGCCAGAATTCAACATGAATGTGGAAAGACCAAGTGATAATTTAATGCAACAAAAACAAAAGCTGTAAATAAAGGAAGAACACAGGATGAATTATTTGGGTGTATATACAAGATTTCTGATGAATAGCTTCGAACCTTTTTGAGGAGATTATTAGGCAAGTTGAGATACATTACCTAGGGATCGAGTAGATTTGTTTCTGTTCATGAGAAAAAACTCATAAATAAAATGCAAAGAACTAGAAAATTATATGTTTAATTATCAAATTCAGTAAAAGCCATTCAATTATTTTTTAAGCAATCTTAACATTTTGGGGAAGCTTAGTCTCAAATTTTTCAGAAAATGCATCAAAGATGAAACAGCAATTCAATAACAGCAAAGAGTAAATACATGTTAGTGCTTATTAGTAAGAATCGGAAAACATATACATCATTTGCTACTTAATGAAGAGTAAAAATTGTAGTCCATGCCGATTCTTCATGTTGTTTATTCATACAGAAGTCTCAACATTAAAAAATTCTTCCGAAGAAAAGACATAGCTAAAATCAAAGGAGTACTGAACAAAATTGAGACACAAAAATCCATATGAAGAATCAACAAAAACAAAAGTTAGATTTTTCAAAGAATAAACAGGATTGACAGACTGCTGCTTAAATTGACAAAGAAAAAAAGACTAGGGTGACATTACAACTGATACCACAAAAATACAAAAGATCCTCAGAGACTGTTATGAACAGAAATGGATAAATGCCTGGAAACACATAACCTCCGAAGATTGAATAAAGACTGAATTGAAGCCATATACAGACCAATATTGAGGTCTGAAATTCAATCAGTAATAAAAATTCTACCAACCAAAAAAAAAGCCCCAGACTAGATAGATTCACAGCCAAATTCTACCAGATGCACAAAGAAGAGTTAGTAATAATTCTACTAAAACTACTCCAAAAACTTGAGCAGGAGGGACTCCCCTGTAATTCATTCTATGAAGCCAGCATCACTCCGATACCAAAATCTGACAAAGATACTACAAAAAAGAAAACTATAGGCCAATATTCCTGATGAACAAGACACAAAATTCCTCAACCAAATGCTAGCAAACATTCAGCAGGACATCAAAGAATTAATTCACCATGATCAACTAGGCTTCATTCTTGGGATGCAAGGTTGGTTCAACATCTACAAATCAATAAATGTGCTTCACCACATAAATATAATTAAAACCAAAAACCATATGATCATTTCAGTAGACATGGAAATGCTTTTGTTAAAACCCAACATCACTCCATTATTTTTAAAAACTCTCAACAAACTAGACATTGAAGGAACATACCTCAAATAATAAGAGTCATCTATGACAAACCCACAACCAACATCACACTGAATAGACAAAAGCTGGAAGCATACCCCTTGAGAACTGGAACAAACAAGGATGTCCACTCTCACCACTCCTATTCAACATAGTACCTGAAGTCCCAGCCAGAGTAATCAGGCAAGATAAAGAAATAAAAAGGAATCTAAACAGAAAGAAAAGAAGTCAAAATATCTCTCTTTGCTGATGATATGATTCTATACCTAGAAAACCCTAAATATCCTGCCAAGAGGCTCCTGGAATTGATACAGTATTTCAGTAAAGTTTCAGGACACAAAGTTGATGTACAAAAATTAGTAACAATTCAATACCCAAAAAACATTCAAGCTGAGAGCCAAATAAAAAATACAACCCCATTTACAATAGCCACAAAAAAATAAAATACATAGGAATATACCTAACCAAGGAGGTGAAAGATGTCTACAAGGAGAGTTATATAACACCGCTGAAAGAAATTATAGATGACACAAACAAGTGGAAAAACATTCCATGATAATATACTGGAAGATGTAATATCATTAAAATGCCCATACTAACCAAAGCAATCTACAGAATGAATATTATTTCTCTCAAACTACCAATATCATTTTTCACAGAATTAGAAAAAAAAAAACTATTTTAAAATACATTTGGAACCAAAAAAGAGCCTTAATAGCCAAAGCAATCCTAAACAAAAAGAACAAACCTGGAAGCATAACGTTACCTAACTTCAAACTATACTAAAACACTACAGTAACCAAACAGCAAGGTACTGGTACAAAAAGAGACACATAAACCAATGGAACAGAATACAGTACCCAGAAATAAAGCTTCATACCTATAGCCATCTGATTTTTGACAAAGTCCACAAAAATAAGCAATGGAGAAAGGAGTCCCTATTCAATAATTGCTGCTGGGACAGCTGACTAGCCATATGCAGGTGAAGCTGGACCCTTACCATTCACCATATACAAAAATTAATGCTAAAAAATTTAATGTGAGACCTCATATCTTGTGTACCCCATATATATTTATATAATATATATTATATATTAATATATAATATATACTATATATAATCTCAATGAGGTGTACATATATAAATATATAATATATATTATATTACATATTATATATAATGTATATAAAATATAATATATATTATGTAATACATATAATCTATATATTATGTACCCACAAAAATTAAAAATTAAAACATTTCATAATACAAAAAAATGTAGGACCTTAAACTGTAAGAATCCTGGAAGAAGAAAAGCTAGGAAACACTATTCTGGACATTAGCCTTAGGAAAGAATTTTTTACTAAGTCCTCAAAAGCAATTGCAACAAAAACAAAATTGGACAATTGGGACCTAAACTAAAGAGTTTCCGTGGCTGGGCACGGTGGCTCACGTCTGTAATCCCAGCACTTTGGGAGGCCGAGGTGGGCAGATCACCTGAGGTCAGGAGTTCGAGGCCAGCCTGGCCAATATGGTGAAACCCCATCTCTGCTAAAAATACAAAAATTAGCCAGGCATGGTGGCAGGCACCTGTAATCCCAGCTACTCAGGAAGCTGAGGCAGGAAAATCGCTTGAACCCAGGAGGCGGAGGTTGCAAGGAGCCAAGATTGTGCCATTGCACTCTAGCCTGGGGGACAACAGGGAGACTTCACCTCAAAAAAAAAAAAAAAAAGAGTTTCTGCACAGCAAAAGAAACTATTAACAGAATGAACAGACAAACTACACAGTGGGAGAAAATATTCCCAAACTATGCATCTGACAAAGGTCTAATATTCAGAATCTATAAGGAACTTAAACAATTGAACAAGCAAAAAACAAATAACCCTATCAAAACCTGGTCAAAAGACATGAACAGATGTACAGACACTTCTCAAAAGAAAACATACAAGCAGCCAACAAACATATGAAAAACAGAGAAAGTCAAACCAAAACCACAATGAGATACCATCTCACACGAGTCAGAATGGCTATTATTGAAAAGTCGAAACAGCAGATGCTGGTAAGGCTGTGAAGAAAAGGGAGTGCTTATACACTGTCAGTGGGAATGTAAATTAGTTCAGCCACTGTGGAAAGCAGTCTGGAGATTTCTCAAAGAACTTAAAATAGCAGTACCATTACACCCAGCATTCCCACTACTGGGTATATACCCAAAAGAAAAAGTATTCTACCAAAAAGACACATGCACTTGTATGTTTATTGCAGGACTATTCACAATAGCAAAGACATGGAATCCACATAAGGTACCCATCAATGGTGGATTTGATAAAGAAAAGATGGCAACAAAAGACACTGGGAACTACTAGAGGGAAGAGAGATGGAGGATGACAAGGGCTGAAAAACTAACTATTGGGTACTATCCTCGTTACCTGGGTAATGATGGTGTCATTTGTACCCCAAACGTCAGCATCACACAATATACTCATGTAACAAACCTTCACAGGTACCTCTGAATCTAAAATAAAAGTTGAAGTCATTTTTTTATTCTGTTAAGTATATATTATATTACAGTTGTTTTTGAAGGTTTTTTAACTAGACTACATACACTTCTTCATGAACAACACAAATGCAAGAGATTAAAAATGTGTTTATTTATTCAGGGCTAACAGAAATAATGTGTAACCTCAATATACCTTTATCCTGATGAATTGAGTTTGGGAGCTAAGTTATCTGGACAAGGGTCTTTAATAATATAAAATAATAAGTGTGTGTTTTCAAGCAAAACAGGTAACAATTCCCACGCATTTATCTAATGAAAATTATAACTCATCAACTGGAAAAGAAGAAATACTTTTACCTAGATATAGTCAGAATGAATACGTATTTTTAAAATTTTCAATTTAATTTGCTATAGTAGCATTGTTTATTGCTGGAAAAGTTGCTTGGGAAATATTTTGATCACATTTCTCCAAAATGTAAATCTAGCCATATTTTATTGCACAACTCCAAAACTAAACCTCATCTTTTTTATGAGTTAAGTAACCAATACAAAATATCAGAGCCTCCTGAGTTTCTCATACTTTAAAAAAAATAGAAGCAGGGAGAAAAAAATGCCTTTTATAGAATTTCAGAACAACCTCATACATTCTAACTTTTATGACAACCTAAGATTTTCAGATTTAAAAGGGGAAATTAAAGATGGTTTCACATTTCATCAACAGTGTGGGAAATAAACATTCAAGAAATTACTTTTGCATCATGTGTCATAATTCATGTGACCTTGGCTCAAGGCAAGCTTGTACTACAGTGTTGAGCTGTCAGAGAGAGAGGGGAGAACAGCAGGGCTGAGGCTGAGAGAGATTGTCTTAGCTATGGGCTGACTGCAGAGAGGTACCGAACAGTCTAACAGTCACACTGTTATGGGGAAGAGAGGGCTTCAGTTTGATCTGCACTGATGTTATCCTCCAAGACAGCATGGTCTGCTGAGTGTGTATATTTATAGAACTATTTGCCTGTGGGTTCATGCCTGGCTCTCCTTCCTCTCCTTTAGCCCCAACAAACCAACTCTGTTCTGTAACATAGCAGGTGGGGTCCACCCTGCAGTCTGCATATCCCAGATCTCAGTATTTGACTTTCTAGCTTCCCATTGAGTTCAGCCAATAGGGAGAACCCTCGGGAGATGTGATGATGGAGGGAAGGAAGAAGCTTGGGTAATCTCTCTGTTCCCCTCTGCATTAGGCAGAGTATCCGGAAAGGGCTATAACTTCACCAAGCTCCCGTGCCCTCTGCACTAAAACTGCTGTGGTTCTAGCTTCTATTAGGCCACTCTATTCCTGGAGTCTGGCAAAACTGCCTTCTCCAGTCCTGTAATAACTAATGTATTGGTTAGCTCCCCATTCCTTTTGGTATCTCAGCTCTTCCGCCATCTATGTGATCAATTTCTACAAATTAATCGTTCTTGGTTTTAATATTTGGAATTGTTTCCATTTGTTCTGACTGATACAATGAGAATTTATCTGTCCCTTGGATTTCATGGGTAGAGGCAGTAATTCCACTTGGAGTGGGTGGGCTCTTTCATAGTGGTTCATGAGGGCTATGGACTATAAAGACAGGATGTATGCCCCATCCTCATGCGGAAAGGGATTGTAAGAGATGTTTAACAGTCCCAGAAAGGTGGGCTGGGAATCACAGCAGATACACAGTCTAAAAGAAGGATCAAGAATACACTCAGGTTCCAAGGCTGAGGCCCATTCACACGACCTATAACTGTAGCAGGAGTGGTTGAGGAGGGGGGGGTGGAAGGAAAGTCTGTAATTCAGGGGATATATGGGCTCACTCTAGGCACACAAAATATTTTATTTAAGGAAGCAAGTCTCACACCAGTCCCAAATCATGCATGGTGATAGCCTTCCCAATTCTTCCCAGATTAGTGAAAATTGGCCCAGGGACTGGGTGAAGCTGAGCTCATCAAATTTAAGGGTTTGGGAATTCACCTTCAGGTAAAACTGAAATAAACATCTTTTGAAAGATCCCAGCAAAATTATTGCTAGTGATAAAACCAGCTTCCAAGATTTGGTAATGTTTTCTATTCTTCTAATCACTCTTCTACTCTTGTAATTCTATTCAGACCATTTGTCCTGTTTTCTCTTTCAAAATACCATTTATCTTCAATGTCAATAATCCTTTCTAGAATCTTGCTGGTCAAAGTGTGGTGCAAAGATGGGCAGCCTTGGTATCATCTGGCAGCTTATTAAAAATTCAGAATCTCAGGCTCCACCTTAGGTTTACTGAATTAGAATCTGCATTTGAACAAGATGCCCAGGGGATTCATGCATACATTAAAGTTTTAGAAGCACTTTAGGAGAAAGTAATTTAATTCAAGTAGCAACTAATATGATTAAAACACTCTTAGCATAGTATTAGAGCACAGAGAAGAATTTTTTTCCTTAAATATTACAGTGAACCATAAAATACACACAAACAAAAAAGTTAATGTGAGTTCAGGATTTTATTTTTTTACTTATATACTGCATGAAACCAACGAGCCCTAGATGATTTATTTAACCCTTTTCTGTTTATTCTACATGACAAATATTAATATAAGGGCTGTTGGCATAAAATGAGAGGCAGCAGCAAGAATGAAGACTGGTCAAAGGGACAAATCATAGGACTGAACATCAAAGAACCTTAATTTTCTTCCCATGTTTATGACCTCTCTGCTATGTGCTTGGATGCATAATGCCTCTTCCCTTGCTAAAAATGTTTATTCCACTGGAAGTTTATCGTATAATCAGAATGAATAATGGTCATACTATGCAAATTTTATATAATATTAGAGAGTCTTGTAGAATTTTGCTCAAAATGCTAATACCAAATTACAGATTTACCAAGATATTTGGAATAGAAAGTATTAAAGTGGTTAAAGGCTGGTGGGGGAAAAAGAGTAGAGCTTTCCAGGTTAAAAAATAAAATAAAAAAATAAGTTTTGTTTTTATGTCAAAGTCTTTTTGAAAATTATTTTTCTTTTTTTGGAGAGAGGAGGCATCTTCCTAATAACACCAGAAAATATATTAAGTATGTAAAGAGAGAAAAGCTGTCTACCTAACATCCTGAAAATACTGAGTGATTGAAGATAAGAAGACAAAGGAGTCGTAAAAGCTCTGGAAAACATTGAGGGAAAGTAATCAATAAACTTTCTACCATCAAGATTTTAAAGTAAAGCTGTGTATTATGTCTGCTTTAAGTTGTATGACTCCAAGTCCCCAGTAGAGAGGTAACCATTACATTACAGTTTCCTTTGATTCCTTACCACTTCACACGATTTTTTGGTAAAATTCCCTATGTAGTGGCCTTAAAAAATATTATTTAGTATATTTAAAATTTGTATATGTTATAATATAGCCTAAGTTTTTAAAATATGAGTGTATTTATGACTCATTTTTATTTTAAGATGTAAGTACATATTCCTAAATCTGATATAGGGTTCTAGTTGCACTGACTGTTGAAAACTGACATCTGAGTTGGAAAGGAGAGAAATGTTTAAAATAGAGACATGTTGAACTCACCAAATAAGGAGGGAAAGAAGAGAGAAGAAGAAGAAAAGAAATAAGAATGTATGTTTCTGCAAGTTCAACAATTACGTGTGTTAACGCAGGAGCTTAAAGTAGGAGCTCTGGAGTACACAGACTCAGAGCACCATGAACATAGTTGGGAGGCACAGCAGGTTAACAGAGATACGGAGTGAAGAGATAGCTGGAGGATGCATGGCCTATAGGATCTATTGCTTGGAAGAAGTCAGGAGGGCACAAGACAAGCTGAGACTGCAGTGAAAGACCTGAATTTTCCACCTTGAGAGGATGAGCTATAGTGAAGTGCCTTCATTTGCCCAAGCCCTCAAAGCTAACTCAGAAGTTAACTCCTTAATACAGTTTTCTTTAATGTCCAGATTCAAGACACCCTTTGCTCTTTACTCTTCCCCAGTACTTTTCCTCTGCATACTCTTATAAATATGGTAGCCATGAATCTCATTCTGCAAACCCAATTTTTTTAACTTTAAAATTTTTAGGCTTTAAATCCAGCATTTTAAAAACTTTTGATCTAATTTAATCTGTCTCAGAGTCCCTAAAATCCACAGAGATTATGAGAATGTCAATCCCAAACAACCCTGAAGCCACTACTGAGGTAGGAGACCAGCTGGACTTAATTCCAGGTTCTGATGGGATGAAATGAAAAAACCACCAAGAACCAGCAGATGGCCAAGAAAGTGATCCCTAGCTGGCCTCATTGCTCATTAGCATGAGACACTCCCACCAGTGCCATGACAGTTTGCAAATGCCACTGCAACCACCTGGAAGCTACTGTCCCTTTCCATGACAATGACCAGGAGGTTACCACCTCTTTGCTAAAAAGTTCTGTATAACCTGACCCTCAATTTGCATTACCTCACCCCTTGATTTGCATGTAACTGAAAGTGCACATACGTGACTATAAATACAGTTTCCTACAGCCAACAAGCACAGCTCATGGCTCTAGGCACAATGTCTATGAGTTCTGGTCTGCAAGGAACAGCTCCAGTTCAATAAAAGATCACTATCCAGCACCACTGGTTTACCCTTGAATTCTTTCCTGAATAAAGGCAAGAGCCCTCTCAGGCTAAGCCCCAGTTTGGAGGCTTGTCTGTCGACCTACATCAATATAAGTCAAGAGCCCTCTCAGGCTAAGCCCCAGTTTGAGGGTTTATCTGTCCACTTGCATCTCTACCATTGCAGGGCAGATCCAGAATCCAAGATGCTAATGGGTTTCCCTAAAATGGAAAAGGAGGCTCTTACCATCTGCCCATTATAGCCATGACTGAAATTTATGGTTTCCACTTGGTGGTGGTATAGTGACTCACTTATTTCAATCCCTGTTTGAGATTCAGCCTCTAGGGTATGCTACCTAAGGACAATACCAACTAGAAAGTCTTGGGTCCATGCTCTCTCTGGAAACCACTACTCTACAGTTTCTTTCAATTCTTGGCAATCTCCCTACCCTCTACTCCCACTCACTGTCAAAAGTCTCTTCACTTATCTACCCCTCCCCATTCTCTGTTCAGGATACCTATCACAATCTCTTAGGAGGACTTTGGCTTTTGCAAAAGACAGGAAGGGAAATATGGTGAAGGCAACTTCTGCTTTTGTTCCCATTATATACATCTCCCTTTAGTGAAAAAAAGTCTGTCAACGTGAAAGGGGCAAAAGGAAAAACAAACTAATTAATATGTTAGCTTTGTAGTCTGATTTATTCTTCACCTAAAGACTCTCTATTGTCATCCCAGAGAGATAATTTACTCTCCATCTAGAGGCCATCCCAAACAAGATGGAACCATGTTTGTATCCTGAATTTGGGTTCTTTGGGATATTAGTCCTAGCATTCAAAGATTAGCTGACTCAGTTTTCCTGAATCTCTCCAATTACTACCTAGGTAAGCCTGGCTACTAGGCAAGTTTTCTGCTTCCTAAAGGGCACTATCTTCTTTTGGAGAAATTTCTTCCAATACACACTGGCTACATTCCAACCAGAGAAATAATTTAATTATTAAATCAAAAAATCTTTATTGAGTGTTTACTACATGCCAGACACTGCTCTAAGCACTGAAAATAAGACAGTGATCAAGGCAAACAAAAATCTCTACCTTCATGGAGCTTACATACTAGTGATAGGGGCAGACCACAGGGGCAAAAAAATAAAATTACTAAGATAAATAACATGTCAAATAAGAATAAATTCTTAGGGGGAAATTTAATCAGGAAAAGGATCTCCTTAAACCATCATTTGGAAAGGGCAAGGGGTGCAATGGGGAGGAAGAAAGTGGAAGAAAGTGTGAAAAAATTTAAATTGGGTTGCCAAAAAAGGTGTCAGCCCCAGAGAGTCCAGATATGTCTTTGGTGTTTTTGCATAATTGCATAAAGTAGAGGGTGGGAGGTGGTGAGGTTTAAAAGTAGCCAGGTGTAGAGTCAACTCTAACAGGTGGTGAGCTGGTTCTCCACCTGACTCCATTTTCATCTCTTCACCAATGAGCTAAGACTCTCTCTCCAATTTCCTCTACCAAAAAATTGGAAGGCCATGCCATGCTCACTAGAGTAAGAGCTGTTGGGTACTCATGATGATTCATGCAACAGGTGTCAACCATCAGGTTGAGAATCCAGCCCCTAGCTACACCCATCCTTGGTCTTGACATTTTGAAACAAGCTGAAAAGGTACTGACTGAGCTGAGACTCCTGTGGGATCAGAGCAACTCCACTATGTGATCCCTTTTTGGTTTCCTGAGACACCTCACCAGTATTTTATTTCTACATTACTTTTTGTGGTTTACCCTTGTGGGTGCTATCTTCTAGCAAATGTAAGGCCTAAATTCTAATATTCTCCCTCTGAAACTAAGCAGGGCTCTCTGTAGGCCTAGTATGGGTTCTGGTCTTCACTGAGACAGCATATTCCCAGATGCACTCCAGATCCATCAGTGGCTGTGTGATGGTTCACTTTACGTGTCAACTTGGGCTGGGCCATAGTGCCCAGACAGTTGGTCAAACTTATTCTGGATGTTTCCATGAGGGTATTTTTTGGCTGAGATCAATACTTAAATGGGTGGACATTGAATAACAAGTATCCTCCATAATGTGGGTGGGCCTCATCCAATCAGTTGAAGGCCTTAACAGGACAAATGCTGACCTTTCCTGAGCTAAAAAGAATTCTGCCAGCAGACAGAATTACCTTTGTCTTTGGACTTAGGCAGCGTTCTTCCCTGGGTCTGCAGCCTGCCAGCTTACCCTGAAGATTTTAGACTTACCAAGCTTTCACAATCACATGAAAAAAATTCCTTGAATAAATCCTTCCCCCTCTCTCTCTCTCTCTATATATATATATATATATATTTACACATGTACAGTTGGTTCTATCTGTCTGGAGAACCCTGACTAAGGCAGGCATATAAAGTTTATTTGGTGGTTCTTCATTTAGACAGCTTTTGTGATTGACTATGAAAGAGTTCTCCCCAAAACCTTGCAAAGCAGTAGTGTAGACTTTTCACAGCTGTGGTATTCCCCATTTGTCACTGCAAAGAGCCATCTGTTTCTAGCTTTCTGGCTTAAAGAGAGGTGCAACCAATTCTATTTCTTTCTCCTCTTTTATCAGTTTCAATAGTATTCAATAAATCAGTCTAGCACACAAAAACATGTGTTTTCATCTTCATCACTAGAGTATAAACCCCTCAAGGGCACGAACTAATATATACCACCACTGTAGCACCTCTGGGGCTACCTCACACGTTGTAGATGCTCCATAAGGAAAAAAGACAAGGTTGAGCAAATTGTACTGAGAAACTGGATGAGAATGGTTGGCCTAATTTTACCCCAAGAATTAACCCAAGCATGCAGGTGTATCTGGTTTAATTTTGCATACCTTCCGTGAAAAATGACTTACCAAGCAGAACTTCACACATTGCGGTTATGAGAATGCATTTTTTCATTGGCTCCAGTTCACATGGTTTAAATAGCATTTCATTTCACTATGAGCTTTATTTTAATTTGAAACTTCACAAATACGAAACCATTTGAATCAAACCAGATGCAAGCACTCAGAATATCCTGCTCGTTCCTGTCAGCCTGCTTCACTTGAGAAACAATTCAATTTCTCTTGACTTCAAGCAAACCCTTATTGAGCAGGCCTCTTTTTCTCTAATTGGCTTTTAGACTTCTCCACCCTTTACTAGCTGGTTTGTGGAAAAAAGCAAGTAATCTTCAAAAAAAAAGTTACACCTTTTTTCCTTAAAAACAAGTTATTTTGTTTGGCAATTATAAAATAATACAGAAATATGAGTATGCATATTGCATCTATGTGTTTTGCTTGCATATTCAACTCATATACACACATTATCCTTTTAGTTCACTGTAGTTTTATATGAACCTATAATAATAAGCCAGTTCAGGAATGATGCCTGCCTTATTGTTAACAAAAATATGAGGATAAAGTTTTCCGCTATCACATCCACTACTGTTTGGGTACATAAGCTTCCAGTGTAGTTGGCATATGAGAGGTGAGTAATACTTGTTCCAGATTCAACTTGGAAGCCCGACCTAGGCTAAGCATTGTGTATTTTCTTACTTTTGCAGCATAAGACTTACACATCTAAAAAACAAATAGATTTGCAACTATCACATACTCCCCTTTACCAATGTCCATTTTCATTCAAACTCTACTTTGAAAAATCTATCTCTAAAACAAATGGCAAAGCAATGAGCATTACTAGACTAGTAACAAGCAATACTAGACTAGTAACAAGCAATGCTAGACTAGTAACAAGTAAGGCCATTTTTTTAACCCAAACACCAAAGCAAATGACCCCTATTACAGTGAAGACTGTTGGATTCATTTTAGAAGTCCCCACATTTCAATAATATATCTTTATACACAAACAACCAAAATATGGAAATGTCTTTGTATAGTACCCACTTAGGAGAAATTGGTTTTTTAAAAAAACAGAAATGCAACAAGGAAGAATGATGATATACATTAAAATATAGAGACATATGAGAAACCAGTATTTTTCTTTAAAATCTAGGATGGGAAATTACACAGAAAATACATGAAATGCAGTCCCTTTGTCCTTTTGGCTTTTCTGAATCATCATCATCGTGGTTTAAGGAGAAGAAGAGGAGGTAGAAGTTTGATGCCTGAAAGGTGACTTGGTAGCCCTGGAAGGCCCACTCGGTGACCCACTTAACTAATGTTGACAGTTCCAATCGGATATTCAGAATACAGACTTACACTACAAAGAATGATTACATGTACTCAATGTCTACTACATGTGGCAGGTACTTTGGAAGCCTTACTGATCATCTCAGTCATGAGTATCATCATACTCCTGCTTCTTATGAGGAAACAGAAGTTGAGCAGAAGCAAGTACGTTGCCCCCAAAATCCCAGAACTAATAAGTGACAAGTCAAGATCTGAATTTCAGAACTGGCTTACTCAAAAGTCAATGCTTTTTCTACTTTTATACTCTAGAAGAAAAGTTCTTTTTTAAAAATCCTCCTTCACTGCCTCTTTCTTAATGATTCCAGATGTCTGCTTTACTTCCTGGCCTGTTATAAAGACTCTTAGTTTCTCATGTTTCAATTGTTGATCAAAATAGTTAACTCTATTCAGAAAAAAAAAAAAAACAGAGAAGAAAAAAGAAAGTCTTACACATTCTAAAAAGAAAGGAAATGGGTCTGTTCTCTGTTACAGGTTATAGGTTGAATGGTGGGTCCCCAAAAAGATATGTTGAAATCCTTGAAATCTTAACCTTCAGTCCTTCAGCATGTGACCTTATTTGCAAATAGGGTCTTTACAGAGACAAGAAAGTTATGATTAGGTCTCTTGTATTTGGACACAGAGACAGACACACACAGAGAGAAGACTGTGAGTGTGAATTGTGAATGTGAAGACACACAGGGAGAAGACAGACATGTGACTGGAGTGAGGCATCTATAAGCCAGGGGCTCCAAGGATTGCCAGTGACCAGCAGAATCTAGGAAAAGGCAGGAAGGCTTTCCCTACAGGTTTCAGAGGGAGCATGCTCCTACAGACGCCTTGACTTTGGACCTCTAGCCTCTGGATCAATAAATTTGTTTTCAGTCACCCAGTTTGTACTACTTTGCAATGGCAGCCCTAGGAAACTAGTACAGCTTTCAAAGAATGAAAATAAAGCACTGTAAAGCCTCGCCACTCACAGTGTGGTCCTGGCACCAGCAGCATCTGCACCCGCTGGGAACACGGTGGGGTAGAGGCCAGATCTAGTGACTCAGAGCTACTTTTCACCAGCCTCTCCAGGTGATTCGTGTACCTTCAAATAGAGAAGAGAGATTGCAAATGGAATGCACAGTAAACTTAACTTGTAGCTCGGATAAAAACATAAAAGTACTTCCCTTTTGAAATCCTGTTTCGGGGGCTGGAGGCTCCAGAAGGTGCATAGAAGAGGGAAAAATGTGTGCCTCTAGGCAGAAAGTGAATGTGTTCACCAGCTAAGACTAAGGATATACTGAAGAAATATGCAGGTACCTGGAATGGCTAAGAAACAGGCATCAGAAGGAGACTCAGGATGGCTTTAGGAAAGAAAAGCTAAAAGTGGTTTCAAAACCAAAGGGAATCTAAGAGACACGTGTGTGACAAAGGACAGTAGCAGAAGTGGTGTGGGCAGGCCCAGGAGAAGGGAGAAGTATTCCCTGCATCCTTCTTTGGTGGCTGAATAACCAGGGGCCTCCAGGGAGGGCTGGGGGCAGAGCAAAACTCTTGGTCATAACATGCCTGTTACAAAGCCAGTTTAGTAATTCCTATTAAGTAAATTTTGTCCTATTATATTTTTTTTCCAAAAGTATTGAGTTAGGAGTGCTTACAAAGGGGAAGTCCTAAACCATATCGAGCTTGTCCTCATAACATGCCTCTTACAAAGCCAGTTTGGTAATTCCTATTAAGTAAATTTTGTCCTAATTTTTTTTTCCAAAAGTATTGAGTTAGGAGTGCTTACAAAGGGGAAGTCCTAAACCATGACAAGCTTGTCCTCCAGGGGCCTGAGGTCAGGAGGTCAGATATCCGTATCTTTTTCTTTTCCCATGTATGGCCATCACATTCCAAAAGTCAATATAATAGAGTAACAAGAGAAAATCTGAATCTTTGCCTGGAAATAATTCAGATCTCTAGTTTTTCTCCAAATTCTTAAGTTTAAATCTCTCAAACAATAAAACAATGCAATGAGTCATATGGAACCCTTTATTAAACTCTGACAAATCAAATCATCAATCCATTTTAAATTCCACACTTTTCAACTTTGAAGTAATTAAAATATTCCCTTGAGATGAAAGATTTGAAAACATAATTCAATAGGAAACTTGTGACAGAAAAAAAGGATCTGTTTTATAGATTAGGTGATTGCTGAAAACAGTTTTCTAAAATTATTGCATATGCATTTATTTGGAATTGTTGCGTCTTGGAATCACAAAGTGGGGTGGCCCAAAAAAATCTGTCTAAATGTGAAGATCAGCATTCTAAATAGCCCTACTTTGAGAGTAAATGAGATTGGCACATCAACACTCAATAACTATAACATGGATTGCAAAATACTGAAAGACAGAAAAGAAAAACCCTCTGGAAATGCTATCTTCCACCACCCTCTCCTACACATATACAGACAAGATGTTTTCCATTTTTTTTAAATACAGGAAACATTTGTGGGACAAATGTAGAATAGGAAGAATTGAATCAGGCTCCGAAGTCAGCTAAACTTGAAATAAATCAGAATTTAAGGTCACAGATACCTTTGCCCTGTTTCTTCCTGTCTGCTTGTCATTTCTCAAAGCCTAATACAAAAACTACAGCCTTCCATGACCTTTACTTCTTCTGAATTGCAATTTTATTGATTGTTGGAACCAATCATTGTTTCCTTTTATTGATAGACATTTTAATTCATATACATATATGTTTTGGAGAAAAGAAGATAAATGTCTTCAAACATTGGGTCTGGATTTCCCATATTAAAACTAGATTGACGGCTGGGCGCGGTGGCTCACGCCTGTAATCCCAGCACTTTGGGAGGCCAAGGCGGGCGGATCACGAAGTCAGGAGATTGAGACCATCCTGGCTAACACCGTGAAACCCCGTCTCTACTAAAAATACAAAAAGTTAGCCGGGCGTGGTAGTGGGCGCCTGTAGTCCCAGCTACTCAGGAGGCTGAGGCAGGAGAATGGCGTGAACTCGGGAGGCAGAGCTCGCAGTGAGCCGAGATCACACCACCGCACTCCAGCCTGGGCAACAGAGTGAGACTCCGTCACAAAAAAAAAAAAAAAAAAACACACTAGATTGACTTCTGTTATTATTCGAAAGAATTCAATTCAAATAGTAAGAGAAGATTAGATTAAATAACGCATTTTAAATGAAAGACTGTGGCTGAAATGATTGACAAGAATCAATCACATGTCAATTCATGCAGCCAGTCTGTTAAGGTGTCTCTTTGTACATGACAGAATTCCTCCCTAGCAACTATTGGGACTAAAATCAGTTTCAAGATGGCCACTGTCTTCCCCTCAAAGCTTTATTGTCAAGAGTTTGACCACAGCTCATGTGTGTACTCTACTGTTGAGATTTCATATCCCAGGGAAACCCAGATTCAATATTGAAGAAACTTTCTCAGAAAGGCAGAGTTGAACCCAGTATGTGTTATAAAACAAGCTTCCAAGCTGCCAACCTTCCCTTGGCTAAATGTTCTTACATAACTGTGGGTTTATGACTTGACACCATCTCATTCTATGCTCTCTAGACAATTGGAATAAAGCAGGGAAAATTACGTCAGACAAAACCATATGATGTACTTACTTCATATGTCATAGTGTTAAAGTAGACATCCCACTCTAAATGGACTCTTCAGAGCAGCCTGGAACATCACCACCTCCCCTTCATTATACTGTGCAGTGCACCATTATTATTAAGCCAGTTTGTTCTCTTTGCCTCCCTTCCTGTTTCCCTCCCTCCCTTTTCGTGAAGCAAAATTATACACGTAACACTTTCACAAATGTTAAAAACAGAGCTATGGGTTTTGTGATTTTTCTGGCATTGCTTCATACCACCAATCATTCCTTCTCTCCAAACTTGATGAAATCATAATGATTCATAAGCTTTGGTTGGAATGGTTGTATGATATACTCTTGTAGAGGCAATAAGCCTATTACATTACTCAGATAAATCGGTTTAAAAATAATAGAATAGTTGCACCCTTAAGTAAATCTAATGTGTCAGAGGCTCATACAAAATTTTGGTCATATTTGACATAATTAAAATTAAGCCAGCATGAATGCATTGAGCTTAAGAAGTAACAGTCTCTCTGTCCCTGGAGGTGAACAAGAAGAATTAGATGAGGAATCTATCAAGCCTGTTTTGAATAAGAGGTGACACTCTAAACTTGGCATCCTCAAATTTCATGAAGCCCAGATTCTAACACAGAGAATAAAACAACTAGAAAGAAAGATTGAAAGGTGAGAAATCCGAAGTAAAATAATTTAATTTTAAGGGGTCAGATTAAAAAAATGCATATCAAAGGATCAAAAGGAAAGAAAATACATCCAGGTGTGGTGGCTCATGTCTATAATACTAGCACTTTGGGAGGCCGAGGCAGGTGGATCACTTGAGGCCAGGAGATCGAGACCAGCCTGGTCAACATGGTGAAACCCCATCTCAACTAAAAATACAAAAATTAGCTAGGTGTGGTCGTGCATGCCTGTTGTCCCAGCTAGTCAGGAGGCTGAGGCAGGAGAATCTCTGTAACCCGGGAGGTGGAGGCTGGTGTGAGCTGAGATCATGCCACTGTACTCCAGGCTGGGTGACCGAGTGAAAATAAATAAATAAATAAATAAATAAAACATGTTGACCCAAGTCCATGGCCAAAATGAGGCAGAGAATTATATTCTGAGGTGAAAGAAAACTTAGAAGTTACATAATTCAGTCCTTACATTGCACAGATAGAAAACTCAAGCAAGGCAAACACAATGTCTTACCTGAGGACATCAGTTATGAGTAAGAACAGAGATGCAACCCAGAGCATGCCAATCCCAGTATAATTCACTCTCTACCACATGAAGGAAGATTCCCACACATCGATAAAGTTTTCCAAACATCATGGACAGATGGCACAGTTATAGAAAGGTAATGATTATTCAGTTTCATGAATGCTATCAGCATCTTTCTATTTAATTGGAAATGTCCTAAAATTTATTAATTAACCCTTTCACCAAGTCCATTCCATATTTTCAGAGCATATATTTCAACTCTACTGTTTACAGAATTTTTTTATTGTTTTGTTTGTTTTTGTTTTTGCTTTTTTGAGATGGAGTCCTGCTCTGTTGCCCAGGCTAGAATGTAATGGCATAATCTCAGCTCACTGCAACCTCCACCTCTTGGGTTCAAGCAATTCTCCTCCCTCAGCCTCCTGTGTAGCTGGGATTACAGATGTGCACCACCATGCCCAGCTAATTTTTTATATTTTTTTAGTAGAGACGGGGTTTCACCATGTTGACCAGGCTGGTCTCAAACTCCTGACTGATCCACCCACCCCGGCCTCCCAAAGTGCTGGGATTACAGGCGTGAGCCACTCCACCTGGCCTACAGAAAGTTTTTCTAATGAAGTTTTCCTATCACATACCTATCGAGTTTGAACACCATTTTTTGTCATCCACCAAAAAGTGAAACAGAAAAACATGTTGTTTTCACTATGTCGAGATGGTGCCACCAACAAAAGGAATCACAATTCCGGTTTCTTCCTAACAACACTCAGTGTCTACTGTTGATTATTCATTACTTGGCACAAAAGAAACATGCAACGTTTCTTCTCACTCTCAAGAATAAATAGCTTTGAGCAGAGAACACAGTGTATCGTACAAAATGTCACTACATTCTAACTGGAAACCATGTGATCCCGACATTTGCTGCTGTCCCATCGTCTCTTTGCTAGTGCCATGTCCAAAATTTACAATCTGCGGAGAATATTTAGAGTCCAGAAATTTATTCCAGTGACACTCTGGTGGTGAGATTCTAGAGTTCTCACAAAACGAAATTTGTCATCATTGGAAAGCTTGCCAGCACCCAGAATGCAAGTATCCATGCAACTATGAGAAGGAACATAGGGTTGGTCATAGGGCAGCAAGGACAAGATCCTAGGAATGTAAGAACTACAAAAATAAACGAAACCCATAATCTATTTGCCTACATACCACCCTTCTCACTGTAGCACCAAATAGAGTAAGAGAATTGTGAATAAGGAGATGAGTAAACTTGGCACAAGTAAACATTTGATTCTTGCCCTTCTCACTGCTTGATGCCCAGGCCAGTTGGCCAAGCTCAGAAATATTTCCTTCTGCACCTACCATTTTGCCCATCTTTTGTTCCTTTTCCTACAGAGCAGCAGATCTCCTTGTTAGGAGAAGGAATTCCCTTAGGAGACTTCATCTGAAAACACAAGTGGCTTGGGGTGACGCTTAGCATGCTCACCCAGCCAGAGGCATTTTATATCTTAAAATGAGAACTTGTTGATCTATAGGAATGAATTGCTAATGCTGAGATTTTGGCTGCACATCTTGGGGTTCAAAAGGCCTCTCAGCACTTTGTAAATTTTGTTAGATGAGCTTCCACTCTTAGCTCTAGCGTGGAGCCAAAAAGTAGAAATCTCACGACTTTAGATTCAGGACACTGTGGGGCTGGTTCTGGTTCCTCAGAGTGAAAGTCAAGCAAATCACCACCTCTCCTTCATTTAAGAAATAAGATTCATCTAAGAAATAAGATTTAGAATACCTACCTGAAAACCCATTCTTGGAGATTGTTAGGCTAATATGTATGTATTTTTAAAACATTAAAGTTATCAAAAATTATTATTTTTTTCACGGATGTCAATCATAAGACAAATACCTCCTAATGATTCCAGCTTTCCAGAGGATTCTTCTAAAGTCGGTGTTGGCAAACTTTTTTCTGCAAAAATCACTTTGGATTTGCAGACTAGTCTCTGTAAACTATAAAACTTCTGTTGTAAGGAGAAAGCAGCCATAGGCAATATGTAATGGAATAAGCTTGGCTACATTTGGCCCACAGGTCCTAGATTGCCAATCCCTGATCTGTAGAACAAACTACCAAAATAGGGATATACATTCATTAGAACTACGGAGCAGCTGAGACATCTATTTTGAAACTAGTCATTCATTTTTTCCACCTATTAGAACAAAAAATATACCTCCCAGTACCTGTTTCCTTGACTTAACCCTAGCTACCACACAAACTGGTTGCCCAACAAGCAGCCCATAAAACAAACAGTACAAATAATATATATTCTTAAATGAATGCCATATATTCTCCACCCCATGATCCTACAAGATTGCTGGCAGGCTCGAGTGGTGCCAAAATGCCCGTGGTAGACCTGCTGGAGAAATGGCTTCCTCATTGACTCCCCTCGCATCCTCTCTCAGGTTCAGTGCCCTCATAGATTTGGACAAAGTGTGATAGAATTGGTTGTCATAGTAGCTGAGTGTTTCTCCAGATTTTCTCTGGAAGCGTAAGCCAGGATTCTCAGGAGTGCTGTTTGTTTCCTTGACTTGGGAGGAGGGATTTTCCCTCCCTCATGCCTAGGCATCAGTCTGCACGCCCCCAGGCTTACGCACAGCATCCAACATGTGGGTGAAAGGAGGCTGAGAGTGGGAGGACATGGAATCTGAGCAATGAACTGTGTCGCCTCGAGCTGCTCTCTTTGTTGGCATTCAGTGGGAAGGCTGATGCTAGGAGGGGCAACTTCATCAAAATATTGCATGCTCCTCTAAGGGCAGGGGCAGGGGCTATATCCCTAGGAGCTAGGTTAGTGACTGGCTCAATACATATTTGCTGAATGAATGAATAATGGAAAGAAGCAATCAATCAATCAATGAACAAATGCAGGAATAGTCCAGACTCAGAGAGACAGTGAGTTGAATACCTTGAAGGGCATTTTTGTTATGCATAGGCATGATTTTTGACAGACTAATTCAACACATCTGCTTGTTGGTTTGCTGTTTGGGAATGAGATTTTGAAAAAGGCTGAGTATAAGAGATAGTATGAATTATACTCTCTTTCTGTGATTATTCTCTCTGTGATTGCACTATTAACCCAAGCCAATAAATAGTAACCTTCTAATTTATTCATTATTCCTACTGTTGAAATTATGACAAGACTCCAACATAACAGCTTCTCTCTATCATCATTTTGGACAAGCTGAACATTCTTTAGAAGCATATGGGTATGTGAGTGTGGGCCTGTGGTGCGTGGTGTTGGGGAAGGATCCTGGAGGCCTGGAAAAAGTAATACTCTCAAACTCAAAAAGCAAATTGCACCTATTTCAGCAAATTGGAAATTGATGGTGTGTAACTCTGAAGGCCCAGCAGTAGCTATTATTTCCATCCAGGCTATTATTAACTGGTAATATTTTCTCTAGTAAACATTCAATTACTATAGCAACAGGAGCCATGTCACATGGACCAAAAAGCTCCCTGACTTTGCCAGAGAAATGGATGGTGTTTCGAAGGCATTTTAGAAAATGGAAAGAGGCCTGCCAAAGACGATATTTTTTAAGTACTACACTGAATTTTTACTTGAGATAAAAGAAAGAAGAAAACTCTGATAAAGTGGAAACTGAAGACTTCTTATAACCCCTGCTTCTATATACTGTATCTAGTGTCTTCCCAGCAAGCATAGAAGTTCCTTTCCTCCCATCTAAGCCAAATGCTCCACTGTGTTCTCAGTGAGATCCCATGCCTCCATTGCAGGTACTGATTCACAATGCCAAGTATGACTTCTAAATCCTCTAGCTTCAATTTCTTCCCCCTCTACATCTCCCCAACAATACACATCTGTATTGATATGCAGCATGCATATAAACAAATAAACAAATCATAAGAATACATACAGCTCAATAAACTATTTCAAAGTAAACGCACCTATGTAACCAGTACATGGTTAAAAAATTGAGTGTGACAACACACAGAAAGTCTTCCTATAGCCTATATAATAGTCTTCTCACACTAAAGGAAACCACTATGAATTAGTTTTCTTTGTGTATGAAATGTATATAAATAGACTTGTATAGTCTGTACTTAGTCTAGCTTCATCCATCCAAAGATTTAGTCAATAGAATCATCCATGTCATTGCACGCAATAGAAGGCAGTTGTTTCATTGCTGTGTTAGCTTCCTAGGGCTTCTGTCATAGTTCTGCAAACTGAGTGGCTTACAAAACAGAGATGTATTTTCTTACAGTTCTAAACCTTCAATTACCATATCAACAGGAGTCACCTTGGTAGCTAGAGGTCTGAGATCAGGCTGTCAGCAGAGTGGGTTTCTTCTGAGGGGTAATGATGTTAAGAGCACTACATGATCAACTTTTCTAAAGTCTCCATGTCCCAGTTTTCCCATCTCTAAAATTGGAGATCATAATATCTCCTCAGCAGATAGCTTTGCAACTGCTTTTAGGAGTAAATGAGATTATCCGTGTCTGGCACACATTAATAAAACAAATAATTATTGTTGCTGTTATTATGTTGTCATTACAATTTTTTAACAAGGCCCCATCTCAGGTACCAAATGCAAAATACCAGCAGTTTATAAGAAGCCAATTATAAAGTGCTGAAATTAAAAATCACATTGCAGTATCACGGAAAACAATAATCCTTAAGTTGTAGGCCACAAGCAAACACTAAATGTTTTTGTTCCTTTTTATATCAACCTGTCCTTTAAGAAAAAGGCTAAGAACGGCCGGGCGTGGTGGCTCACGCCTGTAACCTCAGCACTTTGGGAGGCCGAGGTGGGTGGATCATGAGGTCAGGAGATCAAGACCATCCTGCTAACACTGTGAAACCCTATCTCTACTAAAAATACAAAAAATTAGCCAGGCGTGGTGGTGGGTGCCTGTAGTCCCAGCTACTCAGGAGGCTGAGGCAGGAGAATGGCGTGAACCTGGGAGGTGGAGCCTGCAGTGAGCGGAGATCATGCCACTGCACTCCAGCCTGGGTGACAGAGCAAGACTCTGTCTCAAAAAAAAAAAAAAAAAAAAAAAGGCTAAGAAAAGACTTACTTCATCTTCTTCTGCAAAACCCTTCTGAGCTAGGTATACAGGTTATTATGTTGCTTTCGCAACTGAAGAAACTGGGTCACATGGAAGTTCAGTGATTTGAGTGTCAATTTGGAGTCTGTGGAAGATCAGCTGCTACTAGAATCCATTCTTTCCCTACAAGTGTGGTTCACAGATCTAAAGTAAACTGACTTTACTCCTTTCTTTGATGATTATACACAGCTTGATTGGAAAGTTACACTATAATTTCACAGTGATTACATGCCCTTGAATATCATTTTGTAAGTAAATGTTTTGAAACCAAACATAATCACTGTTATACAACCATAACCCTTTTTCTTATGCCATATTCTCCACCAAGAATTTAACCAAGCTAAAGTTACACTTCAGACTCTGAGTAGCTGGCTCTGGGCTCTACTCTGTGTTTCTGGAACTCCAATTCCACTGGGCTATCTGGAGATGAATTACTGCTCTTTGGCTTCGGGGATAACCTTTATCCTTTCAACTGCAGGGCACGTACACAAAAAGCTGCACTGTGCTGTCAACATGAGTGCTGTCAAATATAGTATGTTAAGATGAATCAGAACAGAGGCTTTGCGTAGTAAGACATTCAAAAGTGAAATAGCCTATCCAGACGCCTGGAAACATACTCCTACAATCTGGACATCATGAAGCTCCTCCTCTCTTTTAAGAAATTTCCTCCAGCCTGGGCGACATAGCAAGAATGTCTACAAAAAAACAAACAAACAAAATCAGCCAGGCATGGTGGTACATGTCTGTACTCCCAGCTACTTGGGGGGCTGAGGCAGGAGCATCACTTGAGCCCAGGAGTTCGAGCTTACAGTAAGTCATCATCACGAGCCATGGCACTTCAGCCTGGGAGACAGAGTCTCACTCTGTCTCAAAAAATAAATAAGTAAAAATAAATAAATAAATAAACTTCCTAATTGCTTGGCCAGTTTGTCTCCAGAAACTCCAGAAAGTTGTCTCCAAATTCAAGTGTTCTCCACTCTAGGTTAGTAACTCAGAGATACCCCTACCTAGTAACTCTTGAGGGCAGCTCATAACCTTGGCATTCCTTAGTTCTCTATTTGACCAATAAAGCAATAAACCACAGTATTAATTCCCTTTTTCTAGATTATCTACAGTTCCTGCATTTTCAAATCTGTTGAAATTTTTATAAAGAATGATAAAAATTTGCCCATGTATAGACCTATTCCCACTCTCATCTCAGGGCCATGATTTCCTTGTGGCACCCTCTCGTACCCAATTCTAACCTGTCTTGGAGGGTCAATCACGGTGTTTGCTTTTATAGACCAGGAATGGATGTGTAAACCACAATAAATTAATCAGAGTCTTTTGGGATTTGGGAATTTGGAGAAGAACAGAAGCTCTGGTAAAAACACAACTTAATTATTTTAACTGCTATTAACTAAACAGATCTTTCAATCTGAATTTCCCGGAGCTAGCCTGGTTCCTAGCCTCTTTCAAACCATAATCTCCAGATTTCCCATCTGTGACCTATTTAGTACTCTGCAGTAATCAGTTGTGTTACTTTTATCTAAATAAATCGGATCAATACTGAGTCTCTCTCTTTTTCCCTGAAATGTCTGTAAGCACAGCTAGGAAGAAGTTTTTACACCACCACCAAGTGCTACTCTACGTAAGTTCCCTCAGTACATAGAGACATTTATACAAATTAGATCCTAAGAACAGACTTCAGGGCCTATGGCTTATCATGTTGCAATGAATTCTAATAACAACCTCCAATAATGACTGCTACATTTTAGAAAAAGAACTGCGTATCAAACAAATCTATCTGCAGATCAACATATAAACTCAGAACATATCTGCATCCATATTCCTTTATGCATTGAGTCACTCAGTCTGGATACCTGAGGACTTTAAGTACTTAACAATGGTGAGAATGTGTTTTTCCCTCATAAGTAAGTCACAATAAAATGCGATTTACTTTTAACATAACTAGCCAGAAACTTAACTCTTAAATGGAGAAATCATCATATTGGGGTTTTGGTGGTTTTACCTTTGTTCTTTCTGGGGAAAATTCTAGGCTATGAGTTTTTTCTGATATGTGAACTGTGGATGGGGTATACAGTCTGGCAGAAAAGGTCAAATATGGGTCTTCTCTTGGTATTACTGGTTATTACCCAATTTTTAGGGTCTCCTTCTCTTGTACACTGCAGGAAAAGAGGACCACAGGTATGTTTTTGTTGTTAGCATCATAAATTCTTAAATTTGGAAAGGACTACAAAAGTCATGTTATTCTATAAGTCAAGCCATATTGCAATCTTGAGTTTTATTCAAAGTCAAGTTATTTTGTTCTTCATCGTACATCATAAGCTATATTTATGTCTAAGGTGAAAACTGAGCCAATTAATCAGGTAATATAGGCCTAAAACACAGGTCAAGGAAATACTCAAAAAGTAAGAGTGATGGGAGCTTTCAGGAATTATGGAGATGACTTCAAATCTTCATTTTACAAAGCACATCAGGGATCACATGCAGAACACAGTAAGTGAACTGGCCATGTCCTGTCTGAAGTAGGACATAAAGAAAGATGAACAACCAATGTCAGTGGGATGCCATTTGTGTTGTCATTTGTAACAATTAAAACATCAAGATTTAGCTACAGTTTGTCACTTAACTTAGCATGGACCCCTGTGTCACCTTTTAAATATTTAAGCATAAATTTTACAAAATATAATGGACAAGCCTATGAGACTGAGTAAATTATTTTTTTCCTCTACATCCAACAGTTTATGGATTTAGTTTAGAAAAAACTGAATAGACTGCTGACAATACTTTATCACTAAAACTTGTAATATGTTCATGCATTTATTAGAAGTTAAGATTTATATCAGATTAACCTTTGTTTGCCTTTTAGATTGTTTTATCTAACAGGGCTTTAAATTTATGAATTCACTTGTATGTTATATTTTATAAGTATATTATTTCTATATCATATTCTTGCATTTTAAATTGTCTTTGAACTAATATTTCTACTTTAATTTTCTTGCGAATATGATCTAAAGAAGGCATTTAAGGAATTGAAGAAAATATGTCAGAAAGTGCTAACCAAACCATTAAGAAAATTTTATTAGATCAACAGTAGAGACCACTGTAAAAACTGACAATATAAATTGGAGTTATCTTGCCATACCCTACTAAATTGGAGTTAAGAGGCCAGGGGAGAAAAAAACATTCGGGGCACAAAGCACCCGCCCAAAGACTGTCTCTAAAGCCAGCTGCCAAAATGACCTGCTATAACCTTAAAATAAGTTTTACCTTGTAGCTGCTAAAATGAACTGCCATGAATCTAAGGCTAGTTTTTTTTTTTGTTATTTCATTTTGTTTTTAATTTTTACTTTTTAATACTGAATTTTTGTGGGTACATATAGTAGCATATATGTTTATGGGGTACATGAGATGCTCTGATAAAAGCATGCAATGCATAAGAGTCACATCATGGAGAATGAGGCATCCATCCCCTCAAACATTTATCCTTTGTGTTACAAATCAGCCAATTATATATACTCTTTTAGTAATTTTTAAGTGTACAATTATGACTAACTGTAGTTACCCTATTGTGTTAGGAAGAATGAATAAGATTTAAGACTCGTTTTAGCCAGTCACCATTTACACTCTCACTCACCAGTTTGCCAGCTCCCAAAACCTTCTCTAGTGCCAATTAGTTTTCTTTCAAAACAATACACATTTTTTTCTAATAAAACCCCCAGTCTTTTCCTTGTTCTTCAAACACAGAGAACATCACCCCAGTCTATATGTATGCCTCAAATTGCAATTCTGTTTTCCCAAATTAAATCTTTTGTTTAGAGATTCATCTTTATACTTTTATTTGACTCTTTCATACTTGACGTTAGAAGCAGAGTCTGAAGTAGACTCACCTCAGAGAGATTAGTAAGCCCTGGAACTGGGTCACATGGTACCCACACTCTGGCCCCTTCCGCCTCCCCACTGCTTCCTCAGGGTACCCCTTTCCCCCCAGTGAGTCTCTCTTGCATCAAACTCTCATTTTTCTTTCGGTTGAGTTCTTCACGGATTTGTTTAAGAGTCTTTCCCCCATCCTATCTATGAGGCCTTCTGCTTATGAGGGATTTTCTACCTGCTGGACATAAGGCCTCCTGTTTATGAGGGATTTTGTCCATCCTGGTTATGAGGTCTTCTGTTTAGGAGGGATTATATTCCCCTCCTGTTAAAGAAAGCTTGTCTTTCCTGATGAGTACAAACTTTATCTTTCAGTTCATTTGCGCGCTCGGATTTTATTTTGGCTTTGTGTAGTTGGCATTAAACTGAATCACCTAAATGAGTTTATTTACAGTTTGGGCTCTCAAGGTTGAAACGCATGGCAAGATAGATTCCCCGTTCTGGAACTCCAGCTGGTGACATGTTATGGGGATTATTCAAACAGTTTGTTTTTCTTAGAAATAAACTAAAAGACCATTGCTATAAAATCATACAGTCCAAACAGGGCACATATCTCATTCGGTATCTTAAGGCTCCAAAATGCATTCAGGACTCAAAGATTACCTTGCTGCAAAATGCTGTCTCAAAGCTAAGTGAGGCTCTTTCCTCCCCAGGCCCTTTCCCTCTCCTTCTACACCTCCTCCTCTTTCTCCTTCTCTAAGCTAAACTCTCTTTTTTTCTGAAACTCCTCAGCTATTCTGGCATATTGACTAAGTTAAGTCTGTTGAAAAGTAGTAGATACCAAAAAAAATTATTTTGACCTTCATGCTGTTTCTTAAAAGCAAAAGATGAAATTCCCAAGTAAAGATACCCTCTCTATACTAGAAAGAAAGGTGACACTCTTATCTTCAAAAACAAGGAATTGAAACCAAGAGAACACTGTACAGACTTTGTCAGTAAAACTCTTATCTTTTAAGTCTCCTCATGTAATTCAGTCACATTTTTACAATTAACTGTTCTTTGTCCAACCCAGCTGTATTAGTCTGTTCTCATGCTGCTAATAAAGACATATCCAAGACTGGGTAGTTATAAAGGAAAGAGGTTTAATTGACTCACAGTTCTACATAGCTGCGGAGGCCTCAGGAAACTTACAATCCTGGTGGAAGGGAAAGCAAACACATCCTTCATGTGGCAGCAGCAAGGAGAAGTGCAGAGCAAAAAGGGAAAAGCCATCAGATCTCCTGAGAACTCACTATCATGAGAACAGGACGGGGAGAACCACCCCCCATGAATCAATTATCTCTACCTGGCCCCTGCCACAACACATGGGGATTATGGGAACTATAATTCAAGATGAGATTAGGGTGGACACAGCAAAACCATATCACTAGCCTTCATAGGCTTATTAGGACAAATAAAAAATCTGAAAGTTTAGCTTTATTCATTTTGTCAGAACTATAATTTGGCTCCAACTGTCTTCATATAAGCTAATAAATTTCTAATACTATATTTTACTCATTACTAATTTTTTTAATGAAAACTGTCATTTCTTCACCTGTATGTTTTTACAATTTTTAAATTATATAGAAAGATAGATGATAGATAGATAGATAGACAGATAGATAATAGATGGATAGACAGAGAGATAGATGACATTTTATTACCAAATTATTTCAAAGAGCTCTATTAAAGGGAAAAATAAGTCCTTAAATGAAGTACATTAGAAATATAAAAATTAACCCAAATGTCTTTTAGGTCATATGATATAAGTAAATTTTTGATAAACATGCTGATTTTAAATATATTGATAAAATTAAAATGAAGATTTCTAAGAATTCTTAGTGTGTGTATACATATATATGTATATATACACACTAACTAGTGTATATATACACTAATTGTTAGTGTGTGTTTATGTATATAGTGTGTGTATATATACACTAATTGTTAGTGTGTGTATGTATATAGTGTGTGTGTATATATACACTAATTGTTAGTGTGTGTGTATGTATATAATGTGTGTGTATATATGTATATATATACACTAATTGTTAATGTGTGTGTATGTATATAGTGTGTGTGTATATATAGCCTGGATTTGCTGGCCAGACAGGGTTATGTTTGTCTCTGCTATTTTTTTTATCATACTTTAAGTTTTAGGGTACATGTGCACAACGTGCAGGTTTGTTACCTATGTATACATGTGCCATGTTGGTGTGCTGCACCCATTAACTCGTCATTTAACATTAGGTATATCTCCTAATGCTATCTCTCCCACCTCCCCCGACCCCCCAGCAGGCCCCGGTGTGTGATGTTCCCCTTCCTGTGTCCTTGTGTTATCATTGTTCAATTCCCACCTATGAGTGAGAACATGCAGTGTTTGGTTTTTTGTGCTAGATGTTTTAATATCATAAAAGTATGAGTTTGATCTAAGAACAAAGGTACAGATGAAAGTGCAATGCAGTGCCCATTGTTTCCTATATATAAAGCACACCAATTTAACCTTCAGAAATTTTCTCGACAGGAAAATTACTTAAAATAACAACTAGCTCTGTTTAATATCTCAGTTTTCACAAGTAATCTAGGTAGAATTGTTAGAAATAAATAAATTAGATAAATGTAAATGAGATAAATGTTTATAGTTTTTTATAGTATGAAATTTTAAAGTTATGTTGAATTTAATAATAGATATTCATAAAATCTGAGTAATTTCTAAATAAATAAATAAGATAATGAAACAATTGCCCAACATAGATTAAAGTTTATTTAGTTTTGGCTTTTTAAACCTCATAAAAAGACAAATATTTGGATACATTAACAAAATGTCCTGTTCCACATTAAAAGTTGTTCTATAAAATCTATTAAGATGATAGATTACGTATTCATGAGATGTTAATATATAACAGTTTTAAATTACTTACTTTTCAGTTTTTTACTAAAAATTAAGATTTCTAATAATTAAAAGTTCTAATTAATATGTTATTCTATATAAAAAACATACAAAAAATAATTTTTATATGAGAAAGAAATTTGTATAGTCTCAACGATAAAGAGAAAAAAGGTAAAATTTTGCCCAAAGGCAAAATGATTGGTTATTCCGGTATAAAAAAACAGAAAGTATAGAACAAAGACTGAGAGTTCAAGAGAATGATGGAAAATGTAAGTCGGTCATGGAGAGTTTCAGAAGGATGGGTCTCGTAAAGGGACTTTCTTACATGATGAGATTGGCTGGGTTGGAAGGGAATTGTTGATAAGTTTCTCTAAGAATTGAGCATTGGTGTCAGGCGTGCACTCATGTAGGGCCGAAGCCTGATCCTCTCTGTTTGAAACAGCAGGATTTCTTGGAATGTCAATTTTCCCGTAGTAAAGAAAAATTGCAAGAGGTTTTGGTTTTAATTTTGAAATGTTTATTTACATTTGAAACCATTATCTGAACAACAACTTTTTCTGGTTTTATACTTTCTACCTGATTTCAAGTTGGAAGTGCTGTCTTCTTTATTTAAAATTATAATTTCATGTCTCAAGGTAGCGCTTTTCTCTTAAAGCTTTTCAGATTCACATCCCCAGGTTCAGCATTTTATGGATCTCACTACAGGTGATTTGTAGATCATGCACTCTTGCCTTCTGCTCGTCTTCCTTCTCTCTGAAAAGGTGTATCTTTTTGCTTAACAAAAGATATGACTCTCTCCCTCAATTATTTTTGTCAGTTCCTATAGCTTTTTATTGTTGTCCTGACTCTGCTATTATGGTCTCATCCTGAGAATCTTCTTAAAAGCCTAGAAGAACAATGCTTCCTATAGTATAACTTGATTGTATACTCTTGGCTTTTCTTAATGTGTGTAAATTTTTTCTGCATAATCAGTCAATTTAACATGCTTTTACTTTTTCCTAAAGTTATGCATTCCCCTGTTTAGGTACTGGTTTTCTTGCTTATATTATTCTTCCATAATATGATATATACTCCATAACCTTGGACACATATTCTTTTCATGTCTAACTGAATTCAAACACCTTTTCAGGACGTTTGGCTTTCAGATTATTCAAACAGGCTTTCCATGATGAGAAGCAGTCATACTGCAGGATTTTTTTTTTTTTTTTACTTTTTAAGGAATTAGCCTAAGAAACAGATATTTTGTATTTTAAGGTAGTATCTTATGCTTCGTGCTGTCTTTATTAGGTTTTTGGCTACTTGAGAAAATTAAGTCATCTCTAACACTGGTTTAAGTTTTCTTTTCTCTCTCAATTATGCCATTTATTGTTTTTGCTTTTGAAGTCTTTTAATTATCACTCATTAAATAAAATAACTATTATCTCTCAATGAAATTTGCTTATATTTTAATTAAATGTTTTAAGCCTTTTAACGTCTTTGACAAACTTTCCCAAAATGAAATTCTAATTTGTCTTTTTAATCTAAAATTGACTTTGGAATTCACAGTTGGACCACTGGAAAGATTAAAAGGATGTATCTCTCATTAGGCTTATTAGATATGGTGGTTTGTATTAAAAGCATTATCAAATAAAAAAAGCAATACTAAATATTATTTAAATTATATTTATATGGCTATGTTATTGATGTGAAAGTACTAAAGATTATATAAAATTTATAAAGGTCTACTGGTCCTGTTTTGATGTATCATTCATGATTCTGGTTGTTGTCTTAAAATTTTGTATGCAATAGAAGCTCCTGAATTTTCCTGTTTATTGCAGAATTCTCATTATATTGTAACTATGGCTTTACTAAGAAAAATCATCTATAGTGGTGATTCATTTCTAAAGGCAATTGCAATCAGATTCATAAAAAAGTCTCTAACAAGTACTCATAAATATGTTTCTAATAACTTTAAGAAAAGTGGACTAAATAAAAATTTCCAAAACTAATAAAAAAAGATGGATTAATAAAAGAAATCAAGATCAAGCAAAACAAAAATTACTTACATGAGAATATATAACTGATAAAAAATTATGAATTGTGTGACTTTTGTTTGAAACATTGTTGATTCTTTACTTAAATGTTTTGTTTTCCAGATTTAAGAAAGCTTTCTTGAGCTACCTATAATTTACAGTAATCTGGTATGCTTTTATGAACAAAAGTGAAAGCATTTACTTTTGCTTCCTACTGATCCCTCCAAAATTTGAAAACTTTTTGTATTTTTTAATTTTATGACAATATATTTACATAAGTTCAATAAAAATACGTTTTTTACAATAGGATGTAACTAGAATGTTAATTATATTACCAAGGCTTAAGATATTATACTTTAAAATGTTGATATATACTACAGATAAAATCTGAAGCCTGCCTTGATTTGGTTTCCCAGCCTCAACATTTTGTTAAAGAGATCCAGTCTGAGCTTCAGTCATTGTTCTTGCTATAATTACATAAATACTTAGGTCAAACCAGACAAAGCTAAATCTATTTTACAAACAAATTTATTTTCCTCTAATTATGTTCAGTAAAAATTGAAATGTCTATAACAACTCTGTTATTGTACTGTAGCCCTGTACATTGTTTTCAAGTTTTTATTATCAACCTGTAGACTGGACTGAATCTTAAATTCTTCTATGTTCCTCTAATCCAATTTTCTCCTATGTGATTACTAAGAACAGAAACTGCTCTTTCTTAAGGCCCTATAAACTAAACTCAATGACTTAATACAAATTTCAAGGACAAGCTTCATGCTTGATGCATGGGCCACACAGTGAGTTCATTAAACTACCCAATGCCATAACCAGAGACATTTGACATTTGAACTGTAAAATTTCTAACTTCACGATGTAAACAATTTTTCCCGAGACCATCAGAACAAGACTCCATATTATGAGACTCTTACCCCTCTTAATGCCTACCTTTTGCACTTGACAGGATAATGCTGTAATTAAAATTTCACAATCAGTAACTGCTGTGGTTAAGTTGACAGAACTTGACATCAGAAATCCTTTAGTCCTAACAAGGTGAAACCCCGTCTCTACTAAAAAATACAAAAAATTAGCCGGGCGCGGTGGCGGGCGCCTGTAGTCCCAGCTACTCGGGAGGCTGAGGCAGGAGAATGGCGTGAACCCGGGAAGCGGAGCTTGCAGTGAGCCGAGATTGCGCCACTGCAGTCCGCAGTCCGGCCTGGGCGACAGAGCGAGACTCCGTCTCAAAAAAAAAAAAAAAAAAAAAAGAAATCCTTTAGTCTACCTGGTAAGTAACTTTGGCAATATCCCTAACACCAATATTTGTTTCAGTTCACTAGTGGTCCCTTTTATAGAGTCGGCACTTTTTTCTTTAATTCAACCCAGTCATGATATGCTGTAGCATATCATGAGGACAACAGGTTTCACCCAGCTCCCCAACGGTCTTTTGATTTGTTTAGTTGATTACTCTTAGGTTTGAGCTTTTAGTCCAAAACCATTGTACAAACTGAATATATGTACTATATTGTTGCTGATTATTTTTTGTATTATGATTTTTAAGCTCTGTTCTTGTTGCCTATCAAATATTTGTAAAGCCAGTTCTCCCAACAGAATAATGTTAGCCCAATGCTAATGTTCATGGGACTAATAAGATAGGATTTAACTCTAAATTTCAAGCAAATCTGTCCTAAGAGGTTTTTTTTAACCTTTCTGATCTCTTTGTTGCTCAAATGTGGTCTCTGTCCTTGATATTGATTCTCTTAGTTTCCCCCAATACGGGACCAGAGATCACCAAATCCATCCTGTTACCAAGAGACAAGTGAGCCTAACTTCAGGCTAGTTGTCCAGTGATGCTTTCAGAGAAAGATCTTGATCAAGAGAGAGAAATGTGAAAATTGACTATATAAATTAAGATTATCTTTCCATACCCTACTCAATTAGAGTCAAGAGTACAGAGGGAAAAAGCACTTGGGGACCAAAGCACCTGCCCAAGGATTATTTCAAAAACCAGCTGCTGAAATGAATTGCTACAACATTAAGACCAGTTTCACCTAGTAGCTGCTGAAATAAACTACCATGACTCTAAGACTAGTGTAACCTACCACCATCACTCACAAATTACAGCTTGCCAGCTCCCCAAAACTTCACTAGTGCCAATGAGTGCCACTGAGTTTTCTTTCAAAACAATATGTAACATTTCTTTTTCTACTAACATTAAAACTCCCCAAATTCTCATTTTAATTTAGGCATACTGAAGACCACCTTGATCTCTGTAAATGCCCCAAATTGCAATTCTGTTTTCCTAAGTAAATGTTTTGTTTAAAAATTTGTCTCTATATTTTTATTTGATTTTGAAACCATTAATATTACTGATTAAAGTCAGATACTTGGCTTCAAGCTCATAAGACATACTTTTTTTAGGAATATATTTGTATGCATTTGATTCATAACATGTCTATATATTGGAAAGTACATATATAACAATATAAGCATAAATATACATAAATAAACAAATATAATATACATAAATAGTATGTATAATAGTATATAAAATGAAAAAATCTTTTTCAAAATATAAAATACATAAAATAGGTATGTAAAATATATAAATATATAAAATGTATTTTTAAATTTCTGAAGATTAAATTACTACCCCCATATAGGTATGGTATAAAAATTATTTTTGAGACATATACAGCTCTATCTCCATTGAGCCATATTATTGTAAGGTAATAGAGGGAAGATTTAACTCATTTTATTTAAACATGCTCCAAAGCAATTTTTATTTCCACTATAACAACTGACAGTGTTGAGTCAAGTGAGAGCTGGGGAAGAAAACAGCCTAGGATGAGCATGCCTTCATGTCCCAGCTACTAAACAGAGTTCAGGCCCAGCAGAGCTTCATTTGTAAAAAGTTCTGCCTACAGCCAGGACAGACGCAGTGAGAGGAGTGGTCTCCAACTGATTTCTATATTTAGTATGGTAGGTTAAATAATGGCTCCCTCAAAGATATCCAAATCCTAATCTTTGGAATCTGTAGGCATGTTACTTTACATGGCAAAAGATTCCTTGCAGATGTGACTAAATTAAGGATATTGAGATGGAAAATTATTGTAATAACCCAGGTTGGCCCAATGTAATCACAGGGGTCCTTATAAGAGGGAAGCAGGTGGATCAAATTCATCAGTGGGAGATATGACAAGGAAAGCAGAGGTCAGAGTGGGAGAGAGATTTGAAGATGTTACACTGTGCATCTCAAAAATGGAGAAAGGTGCCAAAGCCAAGATAATGCAGGTGATCTCTAGGAGCTAAAAACATTAAAGAAACAAATTCTCTCTACAGTCTCCAAAACAAACAATTCCTCTAGCTCCTTCACTTTAGAACTGTAAGGCTGACTTTTTACTCTTGACCTCCAAAATTATATGATAACAAATTCATGTTGTTTAAACCACTAAGTTTGTACTAATTTGTTACAGCAGCAATTGGAATATAATACACTTAGATTGTGATAGAATATTCTTCATAGGTAAGCACTCTCCCATCCCCCACCTCCTTATGCAAGATGTACTCCCTGCCCCTTGACATTGGATTTTGTCACATGACTTTTTGACCAAAAGGATATTACTGAACGTAGTAGATGTAATGTGACTATATTAAGCTGTTCTTGCATTGCTATCAATAGATATCAGAGACTGGGTAATTTATAAAGAAAAGAGGTTTAATTGGCTTATGGTTCTGCAGGCTTTACAAGAAGTGCGGTACTGGCATCTGCTTGGCTTCTAGGGAGGTCTGAGGTAGCTTACATCATGGCAGAAGGCAAAGGGAATGCAGGCACATCACATGATAAGAGCATGAGAGTGAGAGAGTGCATTGTAGGTGAGGAGGTACCACACGCTTTTAAACGACCAGACCTCATGAGAATGCACATCATGAAGACAGCACCACGCCATGAGGGATCCACCCCCAAGATCCAAACACCTCCCACCAGGCCCCACCTTCAGCACTGGGGATTACAATTCAACATGAGGTTGTGGGGAGTGTGGCAAATGTCCAAACCATATCATTCTGTCCCAGCCCCTCCCAAATCTCATGTCTTTCTGACATTGCAAAATATAATCATACCTTCCCAACACTTCCCCACATTTTAAACTCATTCCAGCATTAACTCAAAAGTCCAAAGTCCAAAGCTGGGTGCTGTGGCTCTCGTCTATAATCCCAGCACTTTGAGAGGCCGAGGTAAGCAGATCACCTGAGGTCAGGAGTTTGAGACCAGCCTGGCCAACATGGGGAAACCCCATCTCTACTAAAGCTACGAAAATCAGCCAGGCGTGATGGCATGTGCCTGTAATCCCAGCTCCTTGGGAGGCTGATAGAGGAGAATCGCTTGAACCTGGGAGATGGAGGTTGCAGTGAGCCAAGACCACACCATTGTGATGAGAGTGAAACTCCATATCAAAAAAAAAAAAAAAATCCAAAACCCAAAGCATCATCTGAGACAAAGCAAGTCCCTTTCACCTATGAGCCCATAATAACCAAAACAAATTAGCTACTTCCAAGATACAATGGGGATGTAGGCATTGGGTAAATGTTCTCATTCCAAAAGGGGGAAATCAGCCAAAAGAAAGTGGCTGCAAACCCCATGCAAGTTTGAAACCCAGCAGGTTACTCATTAAATTTTGAAGCTCCAAAAGAATCTCTTTAGGCTCCATGTCCCACATCCAGGGCACATTGGTGTAAGGGACGGGCTCCCAAAGCCTTAAGCAGTTCTGTCCCTGTGGCCTTGCAGGGTTAGCCCCCAAGGCTGCTCTCATAGGCTGGAGTTGTGTGCCTGTGGCTTTTCCAGGTGCAGGGTGCAAGCTGCTGGTCTATATAACATTCTCTGGTCTGCAAGATCATGGCCCATTTCTCACAGCTTCACTAGGCAGTGCCCTAGTGGGAACTCTGTGTGGAGCCTCCAACTCCATATGTTCTTTCCACACTGCCCTGGTAGAGGGTCTATGTGAGGCCTTTTCCCCTGCAATGGGCTTCTGCCTGGATGCCAGGTTTTTCTATATATCCTCTGAAATCTAGGTAGAGGCCTTCAAGCCTTCTTCATTTTTGTATTCTGTGCACCTGCAGGCTTAACACCACATTGAAGCAGCTTATGGCTTGCATTCACCCAAGTGGCCAACTTGAGCTATACCTGGGCCCCTTTGAGCCAAGGCTGGAGCTGGAGCAGCCTGGAGGTGGGGGCCAGTGTCCCAATACTACACAGGGCAGTGGGACCCTGGGCCAGGCCCAGAAAACCATTCTTCCCTCCTACATCTCAGGGCCTGTGATGGGAGGGGCTGCCAAAAGGTCTCCAAAATGCCTTCAAGGCCTTTTTTCCCGTTGTCTGTGATATTAACATTTGGCTCCCTCTTAATTATGCAAATATCTCCAGTAAGTAGTTGCTCCACAGCTTGCTTGAATTCCTCTCCCAAAAAATCTTTTTCTTTCTCTGCCTCATGGCCAGAGTGCAAATGTTCCTAACTTTTATGTTCTGCTTCCCTTTTAAATTTAGGTTCCAACTTGAAAGTCATTTCTTTGCTTCTGCAATTGAGCATAGGCTGTTTGAAGCAGCCAGGCCACAACATCTTGAACACTTTGCTGCTTAGGATTTTTTTTTTTTTTTTTTTTTTTGCCAGATACCCTGAATCATCACTATGAAGTTTAAACTTCCACAGATCCCTAGTGCATGAACAGAATGCAGCCAAGCTCTTTGCTAAGGCATAACACACATGACCTTTGCTCCAGTACCCAGTAAGTTCCTCATTTCCATCTCATACCTTGTCACCTGGACTTCACTGTTCATATCACTATTAGTATTTTTATTATGACCATTTAACCACTTTCTTAGAAGTTCCCAACTTTCTCTCATCTTCCTGTCTTCTTCTGAGCCCTCCAAACTCTTCTAACCTCTGCCTGTTACCCAGTTCCAAAGCTGCTTCCATATCTTTATAGCAATGCCAACTCCTCAGTACTGGTTTTTCTGTATTAGACCATTCTTGCATTGCTATAAAAGAAATATCTGAGACTGAGAAATTTATAGAGAAAAGAGGTTTAACTGGCTTATGATTCTGCAGGCTTTAAAGGAAGCATGGTGCTGGCATCTCCTCAGCTTCTAAGGGAAGTGTCAGGAAGCTTACAATCACGGCAGAAGGCAAAGGGGGAGCAGGCACGTCATATGGCAAAAGTAGGAGTGAGAGAGAGAAAGAGATTGGGTGGGGGAGAGGTGCCACATATTTTTAAATGACCAGATCTCATGAAAATTTACTATCACAAAGACAGCACTAAGCCACGAGGCATCCACCCCATGATCTAAACACCTCCCAACCAGGCCACACCTCCAGCACTGGGGATTACAATTCCACATAAGACTTGGTAAGGAACAAATATCCAAACTATCTCAATGAGCAAAGTTTAATGAGCGATTAGGCTTGCCCCACCCTTGTCATCATTGTGAGAAGAGCTGTCCCTGGTTAGCTGCTGCTCCTTCAGCCAGCCCCAGAAGAAATAGGCACACAATAGAAATGCCCCCACAAAAAACTCTCAGTTTACCCAAATCTGAAGCTGAGCTCTCTGCCAAGCCCAGCCAAAAACAGCTAACCCCAGACAACCCATACATCTTTAAAACTGATGAGTTTTGTTTTAAACCACAGCATTTTGGTAGCACTAATAGTTGAAGGGTGCACAGATCATCCTTCAACATAGGAAGTGATCAGTGTAAAGTCTACATTCTTCTCCCCTTTCTCCAATCAACTAAGACTGAGCACAGGACTCCCAGATGTCTAATGGAAATACTCTTACTGAATGCATAGTCCTAATGGAAGCAAAAATAGGCACTGTGCTCCCTGAAGAGGGCTGCAATCTCCACAGGAGCATGGTCATGAAGATGTAAAACTCATCTTTCCTCAGACTATGGTCACCTTATGGCTAGGCTACCTGATAACCTTGTACCCTTATTCTCAGCCTTTTGGAAAACAATTTTGTAAAAAAAATAAATAAATAAGGACATTTCTATTCCTGAAGCTGAGTTATCAAAGAAGCTTAAAGTAGTAACTTACATTTAAATATAGCATTCTTAACTTTCTCCAGAGTTCTTCTCAATCACAATAAAGAAATGTATACATACATAAGGCATAAAACATCTACAAAATGTTATTTCAGGATATCTACTTGCATTACATTTCACATAGGTTATCTCATTTTATCCTCACCCCCATTTGTCTGGTGTTATCTTCCTAACATATTATGGATGAAAAAAGGTAGCTTTAGGAGTTTGTGGGCCCTTCCATTTTCGCAGTAACCGATGTGTTTTGCTACCTCAGGGTCTCCGTATTGCTTTCTACTGTATGGAAACTGAGACCCAGAGGTTTAGAGTCTTCTTATAGTCACGCAGTTGGTCGGGGTGGTAGAGATGGGTTTCCTAACACACAGGCTGCAATTCTTTATTCTTTGGACTACCTTATTTGTGCTTAATCCCCACAGTAAAGAGCAAAAGGAAAATATCTTGACAATCACAGCTGCCTTTGGCATTTGACAGTAAATCACATTTATCAGCTACCATTATTCCAGAGTAATGAGATAAAGTGTGACATTCTTTTTAGATAACACAAAAAGTTCTTACATCTAAATTTTTTCAATCTCTGTCACTGATTTCTCAGAACACTGTCACCCTCTTCTGTGGTCACATAAAACTCATTTGGAACACATAATGTTTCTATTGACTTGCCTTTTTTTTCTATTTTCACTGTTCAGGGTAAAAATAAAGCTTTTGGGGGCTCAAAAATGTTTTTCACTGTTTTTATGGCAATGGTTTTTAGAGATAGAAATGATAGCAGTTTCCATATTCACATTGCCCAATAAACGTGTCGTCAAACGTTCTCAGAGAACTCTCATTAATCAAAATTAGTTATTTCTTCCATGCAAATGAGGAGGCCTTGAAATGATTTAAGCTGTGCTTGCAGTGAATGCAATGTCAAAGTGAAAATGCTATTACATGTTTTCAGGGAATTGAAGATATCCCTCAATAATTTCTGGGTATGGATAACACTAGGAGATCTCTCTTCCCTGAAAATGGAAGACAAAGAGAAGGCATCTCACGTTTGAAGCAAAAACAGAAAAAGAAGGAAAAAAAAGCAACATCTTTAAAACAGACTTCAGAAAATACATAAATTAGATTTCACAGTTTATCTTGTGCTTATTTGAATCTGGTAGATATTGTCTTGAACATTCTATTGAAATCAGGAGATAATAAACAATGGAGAAAATCAAAATGAAAGGTTAAGTCCTTGCATGTGTATGGATATGTGTCCCTGTGTGTGTTTTCTTCAAATGGGCAAACCAGCTTGTAGTTTCTTTCATCTGAAACCTGCTTTGGCCCAGGCTGGCCCTTACAGAACTCCGGATAAACTACTTAGGTGGGATTTCTGGATTGGTTGCTGGAAATGTGATCTCAGTCTGCCCCTGATTTCCTGTGTAATCTTGAGACCTTAATCTCTGCACCCTGTTTCCTCATCAGTAACTCTATTCAAACGCATGTGGTTGGGGGAAGGGTCACAAGAAGGCCAAGAGGCCAAAGAGGGAAATACAGGGATAATTTCTTTTAAGCATCGTAATGTAGATAGCCTGAATATCTCATCAAGTCTGAATGGGCCACACAGTTCTGCCAGGAGAATTCATTCTTAAAAGCAAGAAAGAGAAAATATTTTGTAGGTACATCTATCTGTATATCCAAAATCATTTGTAGTTCTCTAAAGTTAGGCTCTGAGTAAGAAATAGAACTCAGAGTGAATAGTATATGTTTCTACATATCTGTGATCCTCTCATCAATTAAGACCACAAAACAATCAGCTTGTAAGCAGAGAAACAAGAGTGAGAATATTATTTAAATTGTGTTAGCTTTCTTAATGTTACTATGATACAGTGGTTTTCTACCCTGACTGTGCATTAGAATCTTATCTATATCTTTTAAAAAACATAAATATGTAAGCTCCACACCTGAACAACTGAATCAGAATTTCTGGGCGTACTATTAAATCTCTACAGGTAATTCTGATAAGCAGCCAAAGTTGGAAAATATTTAGGCCTGAGTGATTTCTGTTTGTTTCAGAATGTAAAACAAACAAACAAACAATCTAATCACTGACTACTGTTTTTCTTGTTCACTTTTAAAACATTAAGTAGACATAGTCTGAATTGACCACTTGAGTTTCTGCCAAATTTCACAGCAGACATATTCTTGCCTGACATGGTCAAAAAAGTTATTTTATGATTCAAATCCCTTCCACCCCATCAGACGGATAGTAGAACGAACATTAACCCTGAAAACATCTTCCTCTGAGTCAAGGTTTCTCGCCATTGGCAGTATTGACATTTTGGGTTGGATAATTCTTTACTGTAGGGTCTGTCCTGTGCATAATAGGATAGGTAGAATCCCTGCCCTCTACCCACACAATGTGAGTAGCATACCTCCTATCCCCAGTTGTGACGACTAAAAATGTCTCCCATCGTGGCTGACTGCCCCATGGAGGGCAAAATCAAGGGCAAAATGAGCTCCCATTGAGAACCATTACTCTGCCTGAAAAGAAGAATCATACAGCAATTGAATTACATGAAATATTTTTCACGTGTCAAGCTTTCCTTGATTTGGGTCGCCCAGGTCACTGAGGGGACCATTCTAATGAACTAGCGTAGCATAAATGGAAGGGAGCTCTCCCTGTGGCCATCTTGTTGTACCCTCCAGTTGGCCATCCCCACTTTTACTGTCTCTACCACCATATTACAACTCCATTCCATCATCTCTAGGGCAATGACAGAGCTGCTGAAATGGCCCTGCTTCCCCCAGATCAGGTTCATCTCAGGGAATTAACAGGTGGAGGCTCTCAGCCTCCAGCATCATTAACCTGATCTTGACTCAGAGGTTAAGTGGACCTGGAAAGAAAGTAAATTGTCTTTCCTCTAAGGAAATTTATGTTTAATTGTTCATCATTGTGTTTTGTCATTTACCATATTCTTCCCCCAAACATTCAGTAACAGCAAGAGATTTCTTTTTTGAAATCCAAGACAGATAGAGGCTGAAACAATGAAGCTACTGAAAGTGCAGTATACCTTTTACAAATCTATAACACAGTCAAATATCTTGAAAGCCAGGATGACACATAAACCCCTCCTGGGACCCAAATCACTGCCAAGAGATAGAAGACAAATGGAAAAGAGATAATTTGAACAATAATATTTAAACACAAAATTGATAAATGTAAATGCAGAGTGATTATGTTAACTTTAATTGGAAAATCAAATTTTTCTTAGCAGAAAGGAGGCTGGAATACTTAAACTGGGATATAGAGAAGTTATATTTAAAATTATGCTTGCAGGTGTAGCTGCTGTAAATGTTTAATGACAACCCCCTACACCATTTTTACCATGGACAGAGGACTCTGAGCTCCCCAAATGAGCCAACCACATTTTCGTTTCCCTTCACTGGATAAGCAAACTGGATTCTGTGACAATTTTTTCCTTTTTTTTTAGTTTTGTCCTCACGATCAGTAATACCATGAAAACATTTAAGTTCACAAAGTGATTTCTTATACATTATCTTAATGATTATCTCCATTTTACAAAAAAGAATCAAAGGTGAAATAATTTGGTCAAAGTTAATAAATGACAGTCCTCATACTAACATGCAGATTTGTTGATTCCAGAATATAATGGGTACCTTACATTGCAGCCTGGTAGCTTAGTAGTTCAAATTGCCTTTTGGTTGACAAGAATTAGTTTTATGAATGTCTTATTTTATATAATAATTGAAGTGGAAGACCACATCTCAATGTTTGTTTATTGCTCTGTTTGGTATATAATAGAGCAATATTGCAAGAGGCACAAATGGAAGTTAGATACTTAGGATGTCATTTTCCTTTGTGTAGACACCAGTTTCTCTTGTCATATTCCTGGTATGACCTCCTTTGCATTTTGTGTATTTTTAATACTGTGAAATGCTCTCTGAAATAAGCCTCATCTTGTACAGAAAGTCTGTATGTTGGAATGGGAAATTGTTTGCCTTAGAATCCAAGTACTGACTGGGCAGCTTCCTTTATCTCTTCCTCTAAAAGTCAATGTATAATGGAATCATTACCACTCATGCTTAGATGTGAACAGCGTGTTCAATTTAATATTCCATTCTAGTAAATACAGTGAATACCTGTTATTCCTCTTCCTGTCCACACCCTTCCCAAGGACCCATAAAAACGGGAGGGGACAGGTGGGGTTTTCCCTTTTCATAAATCAAGTTTCCTGGAGTTTTCTATTGTTTCAACTGGGATTGGTCTATTAATAAGCAATTAATATCCTGAAACTATCATCCCTTTATGGAAATTTCCATATTCTTTCTGATAAATAGAAATAGTTTTCCAAATGTATTAAAGGGAAGCAGGAACATCCCTACCCACTTGTCCTTGTACAGGAACATCTAGGTCATAATCTCTTTTAATTCTGATTTTTTAAAAAATCCATTCAATATAAATAGCAACTGCTTCATATTGGCTAAGACTAGGAAATTTCTCAGACAAAATACTATTAATTTTGCATCTTATTAACTGGATATTATTCTCATGCTTTAACTGCTGCCTGTTTGTGGAAACTTAAGTATATGTTAATTATGCTAAATATAATAATTAGAAAAATGAACTAGCTAAATAAAATTCTCAGTAAGCTGGCTAGAAGGAATAGAGAAAAAGAGGAGCAGCCAGGAATGTGGAAGGTAGACAGTATTCTGTAAACATCTGTCTCAGTACAGAAGCGAAATCATTATAGCTATAGCTCTGGCTTCCCTTAAGCTCCAGAAGCTTGGCAAAAAAAAAAAAAAAAAAAAAATCCTAAATATACAGTTTTTCTCCTATGAACATATTTTTAAGGTACAAATTTTCATTTCTGTAAAAGCCCTTTGAGATTTTATAAAACTGTATCTTTTGCTATTTAGGTGATCTCATCTTGTTCCATGACTACCTCAGACTGGACTTCTCCCTTTGCTCCCCCAAAGTCAACTGGACACCTTTGCTCAGGTGTTTCTGAAGTAACAGAACCTCATCTGTCTAAATTGAAGAAATTCGTCCGTAAATTGAGCAAAATGGAACAGGCATCTGAAATTTCTAAATATGCAATATTTTATGCCTGTTCAATAAATATGTTTAACAAGTGAATGCAAAAACAGGATATGCTACTTAAAAATCTAAATGGGCCTAGGGAAATTCACACCTTAATTAATTTTATTCAAATGATTGCTTGCTTCTTTGTTTTTCCTAAAGTCATGAGTAGTTATTAGGCTGAAAAAATTAATATTAAATACCTTTATTACAATCAGAATGTGTTCCTATTGCATCATTTTCTCCTAAAACTTTAATGTGTCTTCTTGTCTCCTTCTTCCCATCCTTATTTGCCTTTTATTTTTATTTTTTATTTTCTTTCTTATCCAGGAATTTTAAGGATCAATTAATTGAAAAGATATGACTAGCTATCTAAATAGATTTTTTATTATCAAAAACAAATATGAACTTTTAGTCATTTAAAAATCAAAATAATATATCAGAAAATAGGCATTTTTGCAAGTGGGCTTTTTTTGCCACCAGGTTTATGGTTTTACTGCTTCCAACCTACCAGTTTATAGAGATAATATTCACTTAAAGCAATTTCATAATACTGTCAATGGTTTGCATTTTTTACACTCTACCTAACCATAACAGTATCTGTATAACATTGTAGTTTAGCATTGTTACTGGTTAAATTCCAAGCTAAGAACTTGATTAGAATAAGACACCTCTGATCCTTGAATCAACCCTTTTCATACAGTCTATTTTTAGAACAAGTTATGTAGTGTGTGGTGTGTCCAATAGGGTGAACGTGATGAAATGTATAAAACCTTACAAGTAAGAATGAAGCCCATTAGTCAAATTGTGCTTTTAATCTGTAAAGGCATTACATCATAAGTCATTTAGAGGAAAGGGTAGAGTTTCCTCTTGAATTCATTACAGCATGAAAAGTAACATTTAGAAGGTAGAGTTTACAAAATGAAATTGTACCTCTCAGGTAGAAGCAATTTTCCCATGAGAAAGTACACCTTCTACTTAAAAAGAGACCAACTGTATTATTTCTCTATTCCATCATGTATAAGTGACTGGAAACTTCTGAGCTCACTAGTAAACTTTCTAGAACTCTCAATGCAAAGAAAATGAGGCAGTGCAAATCAGGGCTCTATAAAAATACAGCAAAGAGAGGCCATTTCATTTGAGGAAATGTTATATGTAGATATTTTTAACTTGAGTCTAGAAAATTTTCTAGAAGTATAAATATGTAGCTTAAATATGTTTCTTAAAGATCACTGGATAACTAAAACTGATGGCTTGCCTCACATCCTTGTTTTAAGATTCACCTGCTTAATACCCAGGAACTCCTGAAATTTAAATACTTGATTAAACATTAAGACACCTGAAAATTAAAAGTTTAATGTAATCATCTGACCTCAAATTATGCCAAAAATAAAACTGCTCCTTTTCTAAAATGATTAATAAAAAAGATGGCAATGAAAAATTGTAACACAAAAAGCAGATGGGTATCGATTCACTTCTCTTCCAAACAAAGTCTTTGCAACTCAGCTTTCTCATTGTAAATGTAGAGTTTTACAAATCCTTACCTACTTTTCAAATTTAACTGGAAAATAAATTGAAATGATGTATGTGAAAGTATTAAAACTATGAGCCATATCAGTGCAATATGATGAAGAGTTGAGGTAATTTGAAAATATTTAGCCTGGAGAAAAGAAGACTCACATGAAATAGGATAGATGTCTTAAGATACTTCAAAGGCTGAACCATGGAAGGGATTAGAACTATTCAAAATGACCTGCAAAACACACATACACACACGCACACACACACACGCACACACCAATAGATAGAAGTAACAGAAAAATAGATTTGGGCTCAATAAAAGAAAATACGTTTCTAATAGAGTTTTTAGAAGCTATGAGCTTTGCCACACTAGAAATGCTCCAACGGAAGTAGAAGACATTATTATACTAATGCTGAGGGGATAGTTCATATCTCAAACTGGCAACTGAGCTATATGATCTGTAAAATCCCTTCCAGAGTCAAGAATCTAGTATTTGAAACATATAGAGTATAATTGTTATTGTTTTTATTGTATTGTTATTTTCAATATTCTCTTCATAAGTGTCTAATGTACCTTAAGCATCGGCTTCATAAAGCTATAAGATCCTCTCACAGAGGCAAGATTCTTATACCTTTGTCATCTCTACAATTTGGAGAAAGTAAAAGGCAGAAGTGTCAGGAGTGAGCATACCAGGAAATACATCCAACCAAGCAAATATGCAACAGGCTGGAAGAGAGACAGGTAGGAGAGGCACAAAGACAAGGTTAAGGAGTTATCTAATGGCATTACTTTCCCTGGGACTAGTTCTGTGTCTGCACACAATGGAGAAATAGATGTTTTGTATAATTTCAGTTTAGCCAAACTGATAGGATCCATGATGCTAAGATCTTTATATACAGCTATGAGTAAATAAAATGTGCATAAAGAATTGATTATCAAAGTAATTTATTATAATTATTAAGAATAGAAACATGTATCACTTAATTAATTAGATTACATATAGTCTAGTTAACTCAGACCTTATCCTTTTCTTTTCTTCAATATCAATGTTCTTGTTGTTGTTTTGCCATGATTACCCAGATAATTTCCTCAAAGCTCTGTATCTTTGCCTTTCTGGAAACACGCTGGGCATGCTCTGAACACAATGCTAAGTCTCAGAAAATGTTCTAAAAACTTTGCCAGCCCATTTGCCTAGGAAGTCTGGAACTGCCTGTTAGGCCAAATCCTTCAGTATCAAATTTAAAGCATCCCCAATATTAAATCAAAGGGACATCAAATTTTATTTAATAAATATGATAAGGTGTTTTGTCGCTCAGAGTTGGAACTATAAAGATAAACATCATCAATGAGATACTGTGGTCCAACAGACCTATTTTCAATCTCTCTGACTCCCATTCCAAAATATGTAAGTACACTTATCTACTTGCCTCAGATGAATCCAGATGAATCCAAGTAATTCATCCAAGATGAATCCAAGTAATTCATCCAAGATGAATCTTTTTAAAGAAATTTCACAAATAAGGTAAATATTAGTTCTAAAACCCCATTAAATAGAATATTAAATTGACTGATACATTTGAGTGTGGAGCAAATGACAATTTTAAAAAGTTGATTAAATGTAAAGGAATACATACAATCAAATAAAGAAATTAATTTCAAGTATCATTTCTTAAATTAGCATATAATTATACATAGCTGAAAAGTCCATTTAAAATAAATATGGCAACATAGTTAAGTTGTGGCTTGCCTAAAGCTGAGAATCATTAGTGTTCAGACATCTGACAAGAAATGGAAACTCTGGTGAAATCCAAAGTTCTTGAAGTATTCAAAAAAAAGTCACTCTGTTATAAAAACAGCACTGTTTCATTCCTCAACCTCTTTTTTTTTCTTTTTAGCCACTAGAACCCACTAAAATAATTGTTAAGGTTATAAATCATTTCAACAGAAAGCAAAAGCTCAGAAAAATCAAACATTTAGCTGGCTGGAAATCACACACTAAACGAGAAGTTAAAACTAAACTTTTGAATTTATAAGATGATAACAGTTATTTGTGTTTTATTCAAGTCTGAAAATATTTAATTTGTTGCAACTAAATAGAGTTCAGATGAAGACAGATAAGTAAAAATTCGCTTCTTTCCTGGTAGTGCAAAATGATAATGAAAACACAAAATGTTTGAAATCAGCTGAAACATAACACCAGGAAAGAACACGCGTACACAATTCTTTACTTGCCTTGTTTCATCTTCTCTCTCTCTCCTTCATGAATCTCCATCCTTTTAAGATGGAGAAGACAAGAAAGAGTGAGTTGGAGGGGAGGGTAAGAGGAGGTAGTCAGAACTGCTACTAAAGAAAAGCTTGGGCAGGAGAGAAAACATTGAAGCAAGATTCTTCAATCTCAGCCTGCTCCTTTATGAAACATATATATATATATATATATAATCTGAGTCAATAATGGTATGTATCCAATTTGGAAGCATAATTTCTATTATGCCTAAGAGCATGGCCAATTTCCTGGGTGTTACACTTGGGTAGTTGCACAGGGCAACTACAGAAAGGGCCAGGCTCTTGGTCTAATGCTTTGCTGTAGTCATCTTGACATTTTAAGAATCTCACCTTTGAGCCTGTGTTTCATACATTTAGTCCACAGGGACAATGAAACATGTACGTGAGCAGGGGACATACCCTGGAAAGCAGCCAGGGCACGCAGGGACTCAGGCCCTGTTACTGCTAGCAGTCAGCAGCAGGGAGCATTTGGCCTGGTCAACCACTGCACACACCTGGGGCAGTCTTGGGCACCTTGCAGCCTCAAGGGGGCAGCCTAGCTAAGACTCTGGCCCAGATTGTCACTGACAATGGCGGCAGTATCAAAAGCAGTAGTAGTGAGAGTAACAGCTGCAGCCCTACAGGAAAAGAGAATCTCCCAAGGGGAAAGGACCCTCAGAATGAGAGACCAGCTGGCCTGGCTATCCTGCAACCAATTTCTGCAGTATCTGTGCAAATACCCACTCCCTGGCCTACGAGCAGGGACAGGAACTTCCAGTGCTCAGGCAGTATATTTTATCAGTAAGCGATTACACTTTAAAAGCAGGCACATGGACACTGCAATAAAATAAATTAGGGAGCTATTAGGATTTTTCAGAGTTTCGGATCTCTGGTTTAAAATCTGCTAGAATATTGCAAAGTAAATATCCATAGGCTTAGAAGAAGAAACTAAAAATTGTTGCAATTGATGGAAAAGAGCATTCTTTTCATGTGATACTTCAGATAAATTATTAGTGAGAATGAAAATTTTAAATCTAATTTAACTTGTAACTGAAGATAAAGTGATAGAATGTATAAACAAATATATCCAATTCTAAACAAATCATGAACCACTTTCAGTTTCTTGTATGACCTCCCTAAAATACAGAAATGTCAGAGGAAACATTAAATGCCACTATATAAATGTGCATTTAATTCATATTTCTACAAAACTGATTTGTATGAAAAGTTAAATCTTTTTGAAAAAACCGTTCCCCGAGATTCTTTAGCTCTAGATGTACTAAAATTTATATTTTGAAATAATTTATCAGAAAATAAATTCATTAAAAGTATAAATTGTGTTGTACCAATAAATAAATTCCCAGATAAGCAAGCCAGAAAAATTATGCAATGAATCATTATATCCCACCAATAAAGTTTTATAACATATTCTGTTGTCACCAAAAATATTACTGTTTGCATTTATAAGTTTATGTTTACTCATTTATTACTATTGCCCTTATTGCATGTTATAAATAAAATATTTTTACATGAAAAGGCTTTATATTAAGGTTTTGGTCCAGTTTTGCTAAAATATAAATTCCAAAACCCTATGCTGAATTAAGTGTGAATCCACTGTTATGCCAACCATTCGAATCAGAATCACCTGGAATTCTTATTAAATATACAAATCCCTTGGCCTCACCCCAAACCTATTCTGTCAAACCCCCTTGGGAAGGCAGGGCTGCAGGGAAACATGAGCATTTGCCTTTATAATGAGCTCCCAAAGTTCCTTTAACCACACTTCCTTTATTTGCTTTTTGAAGAAAGGGCACTGCGTGTTAATTTTGCATTTTCCCCCACAAATTATGTAGCAGGCTCCACCTGAGAGGAAGTAAACTTTGAGATCATTTTATGACTGAGAAGACTGAAATCCATGAGGGTTGAATGGCTCAGCCGTGATTTCAAAGCTAGCTATGGAGAACAAATTTCTAGACTTTGAATTTGAGAGGATAGAGCCTGGAGCTGATCAAGAACCCACTTAGAAACCTCCAAATTATTAGAAGATATGGATCTGCTCCTTAGAGCTAACTTTCCTGGGTAATCAAGACCACAGGGAAACAGAGACGCAGCTGAGGGTGCACAGTAAGCAGCCAGAGCATAGAAAACAAAGAAGGGGATGCTCTGCCAGCCTGCCATCCAATAGGGAAATGAGTCATTGGACTTAGCCAGATCTACTGATCCTTTTCTTTTCAGTGAACACTTGCAAAAACAAATCTCAAGCAAGAATGGATCAAATAAACGTTTTCTTTAAACACTTTCATGGTAAGGGTGTGGTGAAATTGTAATCCTTGTGGATCGTTGGTGAGAATGTAACATGCTGCAGCCACCATAGAAAACAGTTCAGAGTCTCCACATAGAATTACCACATGATCCAGCAATTCCATGACTAGACATAGACCCCAAAGAATTAAAACAGAGGCTCAAACAGACCAATGTTTGTAGCAGTATTATTCACAATAGCCAGTTAGAAACCCAAGTATCTATCAACAGACGAATGAATAAACAACACGCGGTATACACATAAAATGAAGTATTATCTAGCCACGTACAAGAATGAAATCCTGATGCATGTTACAATATAGATAACTTTGAAAGCATTATGCTAAATGAGATGGCAGACACAATATTGTATAACTTCATTCATATGAGGTACCTAGAATGGTGAAATTCACAAAGACAGAAAGTAGAATGGAGGTTACCACAGGCTGAAGTGGGGGGAATGGGGATTTATTGTTTAATGCGTACAGAATTTCAGTTGTGATCATGAAAAAGCTCCGGAAATAGAGACCAGTGATTATCACACACCATGGTAAATGTACATATTGTCACTGAATTATACATTTAAACATGGTTAAAATGGTAAGTTTTATGTTATATGCATTTCACTACAGTAAAAAATAAACTATGATAAGATATAAATAATTTTTTTAAAAAACTCTAGGCCCCTACAAAACATATTGTCTGGGTTCCAGATTATTTTCATTTCCTTATCAATTTAATATCTCAGAAATTAAAATCAAAGTTCTAAAAATATCCCCAATCTTTATTGACATTTGAGTGCCCAAAGGCAATGGTAAATCCAATTTATAGTAGAACTGATTTGAAGAATATTATGAACAAATGAGAAATGTGAGAACATTTAACTGTCTCAGAATCATTGAATTTTAGAGTTAGAGAGAACTTCAGATATCTTGTTCAATGTTTTCCAAAATGTATTTCACTGACCACTCATCCCACAATATATTCCATCATAAAAGGGTTCTATGCCAAGTCATCATAAAGAGACTACACTTTATTTTTTTATTATTTATTTATTTTTTTGAAACAGGGTCTTACTCTGTTGCCCAGGCTGGAGTGCAGTGGCCCCATCATGGCTCACTGCAGCCTTGACCTCCCTGGGCTCAGGTGATTCTCCTGCCTCAGCCTCCCAAGTAGCTGGGACCACAGGCATGCGCCACCATACCCAGCTAATTTCTGGGCCTGGGTTGGCTTCTCTCTAGCTATTTGACTTTAGGTGAATCACCCCAACCTTCTGATTTCCAGTTTTCTCATTAGCAAAATGAATGGGTTGAATTAGATCAATGTTTCCTCCAAAAGGACCTGTGATTAAATGAGTTTGGGGGGAAAGGAGGTAAAAATAAGCAGTGGTCTATACTGCGTTGATTCTGAAACCATTTCCACAGAGTCATCCACCACAGATTTACCCAGTATATTTGGAGAGAGGGGGGTTTGTCACGTTGCCCAGACTGGTCTCAAACTCCTGGGCTCAAGCTATTTGCCCTCCTGTAGACATCAGCAAATCAGCCCTGTGCATTTTAAATAAACCAGACCTGTTTTGCATGCCAGTGATTCTCAAATTGTAAAGAACACAGTAATCACCTGGGGGTCTTGCAGAAGTGCAGATTCTGATTAAGAAGGTCTGGGTGGAATCCAGGAATTAGCATTTTTAACAAGCTCTCAGGGCTGCTGCCGCTGTTGGTCCTGGATCATATATTCTGAGACAAGGCTAGAGAAGGCACTGCAACCTCGGACAGCACAGGGGTGAGAGTGTGCAGGTAGGTAGGGCCATACCAGTTGTGAAAATATTGACATACTTCCATGCTGACTGATAAGTAACCACTGAAGGAGCATCCAGACTCCCCAGGATCCAGAAACAAATACCAGATTCCACTTGGGGGTGATATGGTTTGGCTGTGTCCCCACCCAAATCTCACCTTGAACTGTAATAATCCCCATGTGTGAAGGGTGGGGCCAGGTGGAGATAATTGAATCATGGGGGTGGTTTCCCCCATACTCTTCTCGTGGTAGTGAATAAGTCTCATGAGATCTGATGATTTTATAAGTGGGAGTTCCACTACACAAGCCCTTCTTCTTGCTACCATGTAAGACATGACTTTCCTCCTCCTTCACTTCTGCCATGATTGTGAGGCCTTCCCGGTCATGTAGAACTGTGAGAATTAAACCTCTTTCCTTTATAAATTACCCAGTCTTGGGTGTGTCTTTATCAGCAGCATGAGAACAGACTAGTAGAGGGGGTCTCAGAGCCACTTCAGAGTTGCAGCCAGCATTCATTCTGATTGGTCAATGACAGGCTGAACAGTTGTTTACTGTTTAAAGTAGGTTACCCTGGAAAAGGTCTTACCAGACAGGCAGCTCCCAGTAAATCTGTGGTGGATGACTCTGTGGAAATGGTTTCAGAATCAATGCAGTATAGACCCCTGCTTATCTTTACCTCCTTTTCCCCCAGACTCATTTAATCACAGGTCCTTTTGGAGGAAACATTGATCTAATTCAACCCATTCATTTTGCTAATGAGAAAACTGGAAATCAGAAGGTTGGGGTGATTCACCTAAAGTCATATAGCTAGAGAGAAGCCAACACAGGCCCAGAAATCTGTTCTTCTCACTCTCACAGTCATGCCCAATTGAGTTTTCCTAATATATAAGATGGTTTAGTTCAGCAATTGTAGAAGAGGGATAACCTATAAAGCTTATATTGCAAACCAGGTAAACTATCTGAATTAGCATTACTTTAAAGAAGAATCTCTATTTCTTTAACTCCAAACCCTCAGCTACGAAATATATTTTTATCAGGGTTATAGAGGTATTATGTGAAAATTCTACTGTATCTAAAATCTTCAGGTCATGCTGTCCAAAACCCCTCACCAGAGATGCAGAATTGAGCTAAAGTGACTTGCTTAATGTCACCAGCACAATGGCTATTTAGTGACAAATCCAAGACCAGTACCCAGATCTCTTTACTCTCATTGTGGAGCTTGTTTCTGCAAACCGCAACTGGATTCACTTTAGTTTTCTAAAGGAAGTATCTGAATGAATGACTGTTTAGCACAGCCCAAGCTGCTGTGTAACTAGGTCACTGAATACAAGTTTACTTTTCTTAAGAACAAGGTGTGAACAACCACCATCTGAGCATGAATGAGACCTGCAATGGTGTACTATAGGCTTGAGGAAACTGCCCTCTGCTGGGATGCAGTGATGCTGCCTTTCACCATACCTTTAAAAGAAGGACTGAACTATTAAATATTCCCCGAGGTTCAATGAGGAATAAAGGAGGCACGCAGAGATATTGGTACACGGAAGCAAAACGTTTTGCCATATGCCTTCTTAGAAAATTATTTTCCAGCTGCAGTCAAATTCCCTTTAACAACTGCATCTGCATTTGTAACCCCTACGCAGCATCCCGGCTGCTCCACGATGGCCTTGGGGGATATCTGTTACAGGGCTGGATGCCCTCTTATGAGAAATCTGGGAGTTGTATGCCCTGATTCTCACCCACCTCAAACCAAGAGGACACAGTGGTTACCGTTGTGTGTTACCAGATAAGGTTACAGAAGGGATCAGAGAGGTGTCTGTGATTCAGTTCAAGGCCAAGGTAATTGCTACAACTTCAGCACTGAAGCGTTTTACAAAGGAAATAGCACCATCAGGTTGCAACACTGGTTTTCCTGTTCAATCTTAAAAAGGAACTGCCCTCAATAAATCATCTTCCTAATGGAAATGACAGAATTATTCTCCCAGGAGGACAATACAAACCACACATCCCTCTTAATAGGAAGGAAACACAGAGCCACAGCTGCCTGGGAGGATCCAAGGCTTCCAAGGGATTTGTTTCCCCTTTGTCCCTCTGAGGTCACTTTTTACAAATTTTCTAAGTCATTGTTTACATGTAAACATAGACCCCCATCTCCTCAAATATGTTGTCTGTTTCATTTTTTTCTAAAAACTATGTCTATGGTTAATGTAAGGGAAAAAAATCATCATATATCTAAAGCAAAAAGTAAAGTTGTAAATCAGAGTAAGGTATGTTTTTGTTAATAATGCCAATAAAATTAAATGCAAAAAAACAGAGTGGTAGCTTTTGGAGAAGACTGTGTGATTATCTCTCCTTCTGCGTTTGTCTTATTTTTAAATATTGTATATTTTTATAATTGGATTATAAAATTCTTGTTATTTAAAATCATTTATTCGATCATGTATAATCTACCACAAGGGTTTGATGCATACCAATATCACTAGCAACTTTTAAAAGTGGAGCAGAAATATATAGATCATATAATGGGATTTTAAAACCAGAACTAATAATTCACTTTCACGTTCTCTATCAATTGCATTACGTTTATTAAGAATTAGTAATAAACTTTGCATATGGCATTTGGCAAAGAAACTTCAATTCATTTCTTTAAAAATGAATTTGTTAGAACTCCAGGTTTCTTTTCCAATCAAAACTTTAGGAAATGCCACTCCCAAACCAACTGAACAGCCAGGCTTTTGGTTTCTGAGAAATTCTTGCCCAGGTCACCAGAGAATGAAAGGTCAACTTTGAGGAAGTTTCTGGAACAAGGAAGAATATCAGTGAAATTGGCTGGAATTTTTTGAGCGGTGAAAAAAAAAATCCCTTGACTATTAAGTAAGCTATATGTGAGTAAGGTCACCGTTTTATCAAATTCATCCTGGGCATTTGGTCAGATCCTTTGAAACTTTTTCCCATGGTTAACATTCTATTTTGTTGCATTTTTGGCATGATGACTAAGAGATTTGGGGCACTGGCCCAAAAATCATAATTTTTTTTTGTTGTTGTTGTTATAACAAATTAATAAATTAGAGGAAATAGGTGTTCTTTTTTTTTTTTTGGAAATTCACAATGAATAGCCTACTTTGGGGAGAAAAACATCACAATTTGTTACATGTTCTTTTTGCATTCTTAATTTTTATTTTTTCTGCCATGATAAATCTTATGGAGCTCTTAAACAGAAGCGTTTTCCAAATACGGTTCTTAAGACCCTACAGTTTTCTCCCGCTTCCATCTAAAGATCTGCATGAAGCCAAAGTTTCTTTATATGTTTCATCCAAAATAACATGTTGTAATAGACTGAATGCAGAAGCAGATAAAAGAAATTGTCTTCTATTAAGCCAGACATAAAAGATTTTCAAAAATGTGAAACAATGACGTTTTCTCACTTTCCTTGTTTCAAAAAATAGTTACTTTTCACAGAAATATGTCATTTATGGAAATAAATTTAGTATTTTTCATTAATTGCTTTTGTCCATTACTATTATTTGTAATGTATTAGTAAATACATATTTTTTATTTTCTCAATATTAATTTCAAATACAGTAAATAGCAACAGAAAGAACCAACCGAAATAGAAACTCTTTGGGATCCTCAAATTTCTAACAATGTAAGAAGGTCCTAAGATCAAAAAGTATGAGAATTTCTAAGATAGAGAAGCCCCTTCCTTTTTAAGTTTCATGTACACGTTTCTGGCGGGAATAGAGCCTGTACTATATCTCTGCACAACTCTCAGAGATACTTCTTTGAACCTTTGAGATTTTAAATAGACTATTAGGGTTGACCACCCTGCTCTCAAACAATGTGTAAGGGTATTTACAATCTGTAACCCTGCTATAAGTCATAAATAAAATGGAGCTAGTGAAGAGAACTTTTTATCTGGGGTAATCAATAGGTGCTGAATTTAAGAAGACAGCAGCATTGTCCTCAGGCATAAAAGGCAAATAAAAACAAACGCACACATCCCATCATGCAGGAGTTTAAACACCACGTATAAGTATATTTCCATATCTTAATTGATGAATTTATGATCTATTCTGTACAGATATTCTGATTTATACTAAATATAAGCCAGTTTAGCCCCCCCGAAGCAGCTCAATACATGCCTAATTTTGTATCACACGCTGTAGAACCAAACTCCTTCTTTCTATTAAACTACTACTACAGGCTTCATTTATGTTGTTATCCTTGCCTAAAAAAATGCCCCCTATTCTTTCCTTTACTTTCAAAGCTCAAGCTAAGTTGTACCTTCCTCTACCAAGATTTCCTTGATAAAATTCAATGAAATAAACTGTTTGCAAACATGGCCCTAATTCTCTACATCTCCCTGTATCCATACCCTTTCCAGGTGGCTTTAAAATTTCTCTCATCGAAAAGTAGAGTCTGTTTTCCTATTCTTTGAAACTTAGCCTACCTTGTGATTCACTTTGTCCAGTAAAATGTAATGCAAGTAACAGCATACTAGTTTTAAGCAAAGACCTCTCTCTCTTGCTCCTTTGTCTTCCTCACAAGAACGAGATCACAAGAGCAGTTGGAAGATGACAGACCACATGGAGCAGAGCCTTATCATCCAGGTTGAGGCCATTCTAGAACAGCAAACTCCAGCTGGCCTACCATTTGACTGAAGATGTGTGAATCAGCCAAACCAAGAGCATATATTTCTGGCCTAGGTGAAAATAACCAACTAGCCAAACTATAAACTTGTGAGAAATAATAAATAATTTTTGTTTTAAACCACTAAGTTTTTGAATGGTTTGCTATGCAGCATTATTTTAGCAATAGATAACTGATTTGCTAATCCTCTAATTTCCCCAGAGAATGAACCATATATCTGCAATGAGTCCTAGACATTTTTCCTTCATTATATACTGTCTTAGGCTGTGAATTGGTGTTTCTGAACTACTTGAGAGACTATAGTACACCTTAGCTTTCCTGTTTTTGGCTCAATAGATATCTAATTGGTACATGGAGCAATTGGGAAACTTAAATTTCTAGACATAGAAGGATTCTTCAAAATTACTAATTTCTTACCTGACATACATTTTCCCCTGAAATTACAATTTTAAGGAAATTTGTCTTTTAAGGAACGAATTTATCTTTCTTTTGCTTATTTTTCCTCCAAGACTCAATCTCCATGAGTTCCAAGACTCAATGAGTATGCAGAATTTATAACCACACAACTACAGCTTGATCTGCCAGAAGAAAACATTTTCAATTTAATCGCTTTCTCATTTCTATCACTGAAATTCTAGAGCTCTGTAATCTACTGTCTCCATCATTTTTGTTATTAATATTATTTTGGAAACTGTTCAAAAAGAAAGCGAGTCACTTTGCCTGAAAGGCAATTGGCTCCTGCTCCAGGGTGGCCTCAAGATGCTACCTCTCAAGAACACTCTGTTCATTCCCTGAAAACTTGTGCCATGAGCAGCCAATGACAAAGATGCAAAGCTTGTCCTCCAGAACCTCACATTTCTTTTTCTGTCTGCCTTTACGCCTTTCTGGTCACTTATCTCCCCAACATCCTAAAAAATTCAATGCCTTAAGCCTTTTTCTGAATAACAGAAGTCCCACAATGTGAAAACTATTCTCCCTTCAAAATGCTCCATGACCGAAAGGTGATTTGCCTTCTTCCCTGAGTCCTTACCAAAGTCATGATCCTTACCAAAGTGTCATTTATCTCACCTCGGTGTCTGGTAGAAGAATTTTATTAGAATTATTCATGTGAATAAGTGGTAGCTTAATAAACTAACTAGAACAATCATTTGCATAAAGAGGATGATTGTTAATAAAATTATAGCAGTGGTAATAAACTATTTGTGGAAGGATCTGCTACCTGTTCACCAAATATCATTGTCTACTCTTCTTCCTGGGCACATTATTTCTCACCCAGGGTTACTCAGAAATTGCACGTTGAAGAATTTCCATTTACCAGGTTTCCTGAATTACTGCATGAGGAGGGACTGCTTTTCTAACCTGTTAACTGTTACGTGAACAACAGAGAAACTTTAGTTTTGTTTAAATTATAAAAATATTGGGGTTTATGGAAGCTAGAGTTACCCTGAATAATTCACTATACTTTATTCATAATGTGATTTATCCTTTTAAAGAAACTTTTTATTCATTTATTCACAAGCAAATTTCACCAAAATTTTTCTATAAAAGGCCAGCTAGTAAATATTTTAGATATTGTAAGTCATATAGTCTCCGTTGTCACCACTCCACTCTGTCATTGTAATATGAAGCAAGCCATAGATGACACATAAAACAATGGTCATGGCTATGTTTCAATAAAACTTTATTTACCAAAAGAAGAGGGAGGTAGGCTGGATTTGGCCCATAGGTATATTTTGCTAACTCCTTTGATAGATGATAGGTAAGTAAAACTAGAACCATACCTTTATGATATTGGCTGGGGTCACTCCCACAACTGCATTCAACAGAGTATTTGATGGTGTCTGAAATTTTAAGATAGTTTCATTCTTACATCTGGTGCTTTATCCACTGTAACTGAAACATCTGGGGGCTCTCTGAGCTCAAACTTCTTCACATGGTGCTGGATCCCAAGAGTCAACCATGGGAGCTGCCAACCTGAAAACCTTAAAATATGTAGAAAATTTAAGTAGGGCAACACCTGTTTGGCCCCAGTGAAGAATGTATTGGAATGGAAGCTGAGAGTTTATGCTGTATCTCATCCAATGAAGAAGGACCTGAGGTCACCTGCAAGAAGGGTAAAAACATAAAGTCCCACATGGCACAAAAGACTTCCCCAGACACTATGCTCAGAGACTTGACCAAACTTTAGCTTGACTTCCTCCTGTCATGGGTGGAAGCCATGTCCCTAACAGTGACCCCAGCCTTGTACCGAATCTTCACCCAAGAACGTACAGCACTTCCAAATCATAAAAAATACATTGTTTCAACCCATCTTGCCAAACCATTCGCAGTAATTCTCCACCTACCCCTTTCTGTAGTTTTTCCACTTCCACATGGCTCCCTAGTCCATTTTTCCTTTTTTATTTCCCCGTAAGTCCTTTTTTGTGTCCTATCTGTTCTCCCCTTAAAAACCTCAGTTATCTTTGTCTTAGTTGGAGTTGAGCTCAGGGGCTCAGTCTATACTGGAGACTCTTTACTTACTGCAGTAAGTCTAATTAAATAGTCTTGCCACCTTTAACAAGAGCCCAGCACTGTTTTTCTCTAACAAGTGTAGACAGAAATAATTAGAAGAAACTGGAGAAGGGCTCCATTATTTTCAACAAATACATCAGCCATACTTTATTTCCCCTCCTGTAAGGGAGGTATCTGAAAGTAGAATAATGTTTAGATTTGGTAATTGTATTAGTTACCTATTGCTACATAAAAGAAATCCCAAAACTTAGTGGCTTAAAATAGCAATGACTTTTTTAACGATTCTATAGATTGGCTGGGCTCATCTACATGATTTGTTTTCTCTTCCTGATATTCGCTACATGATATTGACTCCTAAAGCTGCATTCAACAGGATGCTTGATCAGGGCTGAGCTACTAAGATGGATTTATCTTCATATCTAGTGACTCATTCGGTGTGGCTAAAAGATCTGCGAGTCAATGGAACTCAAGCTTCTTTACATGGTGCTGGGTCCCAAGAGTTCAACAATGGAAGCTTCAAGGGTTCTTAAAATCTACCTCTGGAATCACATGTTTTTACTTTCTGTATATTCTACTAGTCAAATGAAGACACAGGGTCAGCCCAGATTCAGCAGGAAGGGAAGTAGACTCTTCCTCTTGAGAATGAAGTGGCATAGAGCTGCAGACATGGGAAGAATTGGCAGCCATGTTTGCAGATCCTACTACAACAGTTCACATCCTGTTCACAAGTGTTATTGAATGGTCATAGGAGAATTCTACATTCAAATTGAACAGGAAAAATGGATTGAACCTAAGTTGGGAGTTTGTGGGGAGTCTCCAACAGGGAACAGCAAAGAGCAAGACTGCTGGGGGCAAACTTGAAATAGTTCACGTGCAAGAACATAGGATGGGTATAAGATGAGTAATGAAGTCTGTGAGGTGAAGGAAGAGCTGATAGACTTATATATTTATCCCATTTGATGAGATAAACCATCTCTTAAGTGCAGAAATATTTGATGATGGTTTCCTTTCCTCATCCTCTTTAATTATGTCACTGGATGCTGCTCTTAATACAAGGAACTGTGAGTTTCTAGTAGAATCATTTTGTCTTGCAAGCTTCTGCTTGAAAAAAAAATTAAGAAGATAAATTTCAGCACCTTCCTTTCAAATAAGCAACTGCACAAACTGTAATAACCGTTACAGATGGTTGTTTTACCTTCAGCATCTGCATTTCAAAACCATGAGGAAAATAAAATTATAACTTCTAGCAATTTTTGATAGGAAATTCAGTATTTTATAGAAGCAAATCAATTGACCAAATCAATTGACTACATTTTATACACATCATGCAAGGTCAATGTAGTAAGCAAGGTTTACACATCTCAATGCAATATGCATATGGAATAACATATAATGGAAGAAAAGTATACAAGATCAGCATGAGAGCCTTAACAGGCTCAAGGCAGTCTGGATCTCTCAAACCTTCTAAGGCTGAGAGACTCAGCAGTGAAAAGGTAAATATAAGAGGGTTACTTTCCAACACAAAACTAAAAGACATCCTTTATTTTCCCCCTTTATTTAAAGTGAGAGTGTATTGTGAAAGGGAAATAGACTGGAGGAAGAAAGAATAAGTGCACAGGAATTCCCAAGGAAAACCACTGGGAAATTTTTGACCGGTACACTGAAAAGTCTATTGCTGAATTTCACATCCTTCTCTTTCCCTCCCAACTCCAGAACTCTCCTCACTACACAAGTAGTGGACCCTTCCTAATGTCATAAGGCTGCACTAGGTTTTTCTCAACTCGAAACAGAGAGATTGAAAAATTGACAGAATAGGGATAATGAAAGAGAGACGTATAATAGATAGATAAAAATAATTACTTTTATGTTGTCTAGTTTGGTCTTCTTTGCTAAGGAGATTTTTTAAAAATAGACTTTATTTTTTGACATAAGTTTAACGTTCACAGAAAAGTTGGGAAGAAAGTATGGAGTTCCCGTATACCCTCTGCCCCACGTGCACAGCCTCCCCCACTGTCAGCATTCCACACCAGAGTGGTCCACTTGTCACATCATCATCACCACACTCCATAGTTTACATTAGGGCTCAGTCTTATTATAAATTCTACGGAGTTTCGCAAATGTATAACAAGATGTATCCACCATTATAGTAGCATATAGAACAGTTTCAATGCCCCTAAAAATCCTGCGTTCCACTTATTCATCCCTCCCTCTCCTATAACCCCTGGAAAATACTGATTTTTAAAAAAATTTTGTGGGTACATAGGTGTATATATTTATGGGAGACATGAGATGTTTTGATACAGACATGCAATGTGAAATAAGCACATCATGGAGAATGGGGTATCCATGCCCTCAATCATTTATCCTTTGAGTTATAGATAATCCAATTACACTCTTTATTTTAAAATATACAGTTATTATTGACTATAGTCACCCTGTTGTGCTACCAAACAGTAGGTCTGATTCATTCATTCCGACTACTTTTTGTACCCATTAACCATCCTGACCACCCCTCACTCACCCTGCCATTATCCTTCCTTTTCCAAAATGTCATATAGTTGGAATCATACAGTATGTAACATTTTCATATAGATTTCTTTCATTTAATAATATGCACTTAAATTGTCTCCATTTCTTTTCATGGTTTGTTAGCTCATTTCTGTTTAACACTGAATAATATTCCATTGTGGATATACCACAGTTTGTTTATTCATTCTCCTACTGAAGGACATCTCGGTTGCATTCAAGTTTTAGCAATTATGAATAAAGTTGCTATAACCATCTATGTGCAGATTTTTGTGTAGAATAAGATTTTTACATATTTGAGTAAGTACCAGGGAGTGATTGCTGGATTTTAAGATTATGTTAAGTTTTATAAGAAACTGTTAAGCTGTTTTCCAAATGGCAATACCTTTTCACATCCCACAAGCAATAAATGAGGGTTCCTGTTGTTCCTCAACCTCACCAGCATTTTGTATTATCAGTGTTTTGGATTTTAGCCATTAGGGATGTCTCTTTTTTTTAATTTACGATTCTCTAATGACAAATGATGTTGACCCATTTTTTTTCTTTTTTTTTGAGACACAGTCTTGCTCTGTCTCCCAGGCTGGAATGCAGTGGCACGATCTCAGCTCACTGCAACCTCCGCCTCCCGGGTTCAAGTGATTCTCCTGCCTCAACCTCCATTTTTTTCATTATTTGCCATCTATATATCTTCTTTGATGGAGCATCTGTACAAGATTTTTGCTCATTTTTAATTGGTTGTGGGTTATTTTTTTCCTATTGTTGAGTTTGTTCTTTGTATATTTTGGATAATACTCCTTTATCAGCCATGTCTTTTGCAAATATTTCTATCTGTGGCTTGCCTCTTCATTCTCTTGACATTGTCTTTCACACAGAAGAAAATTTTGATTTTAATAAGCTCCAGCCAATCAGTTATTTTGTTCATGGATCTTGTCTTTGCTGTGTATCTAAAAAGTCATCACCACACCCAAGGTCATTTGGATATTCTCTTATATTATCTTCCTGGACTTTTATAGTTTTTTGTTTTACATTTAGGTCTGTCACTCATTTTTTGTTAAGTTTCATAAACAGTGCAGGGTCTGTGCCTAGATTCCTCTTTTTGCATGTAGATGTCCAGCTGTTCCAGCACCATTTGCTGAAAAGACTATTTTGGTTTCATTGATTCCCTTTGTTCCTTTGTCGAAGACCAGTTGGCTATATTTATGTAGGTCTGTTTCTAGGCTCTCTATTCCATTCTATTAATCTATTTGTCTATTCTTTTGCTAATATCACACTGTTTTTATTACTGTAGCTTTATAGTAAGTTTTGAAGTTAGGTAGTGTCAGTCTTCTGACTTTATTCTTCTCTTTCAATATTGTGTTTGCCATTCTGGGTCTTTTGCCTCTCTATATATACTTTAGAATAATTTTGTCAATATCTAAAAAGTAACTTGCTGAGGTTTTCAGTGGCACTGCATTGAATCTATAGATCAAGTTGGGAAGAACTTACATCTTGAAAATATTGAGTATTCCTATCCACAAACATGGGCTATCTCTTCATTTATCTAGTTTTTCTTTGATTTTTTAATCAGAGCTCTGTAGTTTTCCTCATATAGATCTTGAACATATTTTGTTAAATTTATACTTAAAGTATTTCACTTTGGAGTGGCTAATAATGTAAATTTTGTTGTGTTTGTAATTTAATATCCACTTGTTCATTGCTGGAATATTAAGAAAGTGATTGGATTTTATATGTTAATCTGTGTCCTGCAACCTTGCTATATATATTTATTAGATCCAGATTTATGTCAATTTTTTCAGATTGTCTACATAGACAATTATGTCATCTGAGAACAAAGACAGTTTTATTTCTTCCTTCCTTATTTGTATACCTTTTATATCATTTTTTAATCTTACTATGTAAGTTAGGACTTCCAGTTAAGAGATTGAAAGGGAACATCCTTCTTTTGTTCCTGTTCTTAGTGGGAAAGTTTCTGTTTTTTCACCATTAAGTAAAGGCTAGCTGTAGAGTTTTTGTAGATATTATTTATCAAGTTAAGGAAGTTCCTTTTTCTATTCCTAGTTTGATGATTTTATCATTAATTGCTTTTGTATTTTGTCAAATGCTTTTCCTGCATCTATTGCTATGATTATGTGATTTTGGTTCTTTAGTCTGTTGATGTACTAGAATATGTTAATTGATTTTCTAAACAAGCCTTGCATAGCAAGCCTTGCATAACTAGTATAAATCCCACATGGTTTTAGTGAATAATTCTTTGCTGTAATGTGTAACTGGATATAATTTGTCAAGGAATTTTGCATCTATGTTAATGAGAGATATTGGTCTGTAGGTTTTTCCTTTCAATACAATGTCTTTGTCTGGCTTTGGTATTAGAGTGAAGCTGGACTCACAGAATGAATTAGGAAGTCTTCCCTCTGCTTCAATCTTCTGAAAGGGGTTGTAAAGAACTGGTATAATTTCTTGCTGAAATGTTTAGTAGAATTCCCCAGTGAATCCATCTGGGCCTGATGCTTTCTGTTTTGGAAGTGTGTTAGTCTGTTTTGCATAAAGGAATACTTGAGGCTGGGTAATTTATAAAGAAAATAATTTTATTTGGTTCATGGTTCTGTAGGTTGTGCAAGAAGCATAGCACCAGCATTTGCTGCTGGTGGGGCTTCAGGGAGCTTCCACTCATGGTGGAAGGCACAGAGGAAGCACACATGTCACACTGCATGAGAGGGAGCAAGAGAGATGGCGTGCTATACTATAGTGAATATGTATAGTAAATATGTATATTTACTAAATATATATGTTTAGTTCTATATATTTATACATATATTTATAAACATTATGTGGCATACCTTAAGTATACACAATAAAATTTATTTTTTAAAAAGATTATGTCTTTGCAGGAATTGGTCCATTTCATCTAGGTTATCAAATATGTATGGGCATAGAATTATCGCTGGTATTCTGTTTTCTTTTTTATGTCCATGGGATCTGTAATAATAATCCCTCTTTTCTAATATTAGTAATTTATGTTTTCTCTTATTTTTTTCTTAGCCTTGCTAGACATTCCTCAATTTTATTGATTCTTTTTCAAAGAACCAGCTTTTAGTTTTCTTGATTTTTATTCATTGATTACCTGTTTTCAATTTTATTGATTTCTGCTCTAATTTTTATTATTTTTGTATTTATTTTCTTCTGCTTACTTTGAATTTAATTTGCTCTTCTTTTTCTGTTCTGAAAGTGGAAGCTTAGATTATTGATCTTTGATCTTTCTTCTTTTCTAAAATATGTGTGCAATGCTATAAACTTCCCCATAATCACTGCTTTCACTGCATCTCACAAATTTTGATAAGCTGCATCTTCATTTTCATTTAGTTCAAGATATTTTAAAATTTCTCCTGAGACTTATTCTTTGATCCATGCATTATTTAGAAGTGTGTCGTTTAATTTCCAAGTATTTTGAGATTTTCCATATATCTTTCTGTTATTAATTTCTAGATTAATTCCATTGTGTTCTGAGAGCATACATTGTATAATTTCTATTCCTTTAAATTTGTTGAAGTGTGGTTTATGGCTCAAACTGTGTTATATCTTTTGAATGTTCCATGTGAGCTTCAGAATAATGTGTATTCTGCAGTTGTTAGATAAAGTATTCTATAGATGTCATTTATAACATATCCAGTTGACTAGTGGTGGTGTTGAGTGCAAGTATGTCCTGATTATCTGTCACTGAGTCTGTTCATTTATGATAGAGGAGTATTGAAGTCTCCAACTATATAGTGGATCCATCTATTTCTCATTTCAGTTCCACGTTTTTGTCTCAGATATTTTGACACTCTATTTTTAGGCATGTAAACATAAATAATTATTATGTCTTCTTGAAGAACTGACCCTCTTTATCCCTAATAAGTTTCCTTGCTTTGAAGTCAGCTCTGTCTTAGATTAACATAACTACTTTCTTTATTTTGACTAGGGGTATCTTTCTCCATCCCTTTACTTTTAGTCTGTATATTAAAGTCTGTATTAGTCTGCTCAGCCTGCCATAACAAAATACCACAGGCTGGAGTTAGGCATTCTGCTTTCCCCAGGTCAATTAGGTGCTGATAAAACACCAATGTGTTGGGCCCTGGAAAATAATTTCTCTTGAGGCCAGGTAGGTCTTGCAAGAACAGAATCGTTGACATAAGCAAGTTTAACTATGACTTGATTTTATTTGCATTATTAATTAATTTGTCTGTTAGGCTGAACGTCCAAAGAACATTTTTTCAAGTTCACTATCTTTACTAGGCTTTATCATGATGTTGGTATACCTGGGTTGTTTGGTTTCTTCATCAATTTCCCATTGTTATATAACAAGTTGCCACAAATTTAGCAACTCGAAACAAGACAAATTTATTATCTTATGTCAATGAAAAGAGTCAAACTCTGTAAAATATTTGAATAGATTTATTCTTAGCCAAATATGAGTGTCCATGGCCCATGACACAGCCCTGAGGAGGTCCTAAGAACATGTGCCCAGGGTGGTCGGGGTGCAGCTTGGTTTTGTATATTTTAGGGAGGCATGAGACATCAATTGAATACATTTAGGAAGGCATGAGACAAAATTGAATAAATACATTCGTTTGGTTCACAAAGTCAGGATAACTAAAGCAGAGGTTTCCAGGCTATAGGTAAATTTAAACATTTTCTGGTTGACAAGTGGTTGAGTTTATCTCAAGACCTGGGATCAATGGAAAGGAACATCCAGGTTAAGATAAAGGATTGTGGAGACCAAGTTTTATTGTGCAGAGGAAGCTCTCAGCAGACTTCAGAGAGAGAACAGGTTGTAAATGTTTCTTATCAGACCTAAAAGGGTGCCTGGCTCTTAGCTGATTATCTCCTGGATCTGCAAAGAATGGAAGGAAAACAAAAGGGGGAGGGGATTCTTTATAGAATGTGGATTTTTCCCACAAGAGACTTCTCAGGGCAATTTCAAGGTATGGCAAGGAAATATATTTTGGGGTTAAATACTTTTTCCTTGTTTCATAATGTTATGCCAGAGTCAGATTGAAAAGTAAGTCACGATATATAGGGTCAAATAAAACCCATCTAATGAGAACTGATGGTTTGTAGGGCATGAACTCCCTAGACCTCTTGGGTAAGAATTTGGCCAAGATAAAAAGTCAGAGCTTAATCCTCACTACAGTATCTACGGGTCAGAAGTCTTGGCAGAAGTTAGCTGGATCCTGTGCTTATTAGGGTCTCACTAGGTTGAAATCAAGGAGTCAGAGGGGGCTACCATCTTTTCTGAGACTACTGGTCATCTTCCACATTCATGGGTTGTTGGCAGAATTCGATTGCTTACCTCTGTAGGACTAACACCTAGCTTTCTTGCTGGCTCTCTGCTGGAGGCCACTGTCAGCTCAGTTTTGAGAGACCACTAAGCCATTTCAGGCCAACAGAATAGCCTTGTTTTAAAAGACATTATAACTATGTGTCTTTCCTGAAAATATTGGTAGAGGTCATTCTTTTCATGCATTACTTGTTGAGTTATAAATTTAGTCTCTGCTTAATTTTTATAAAGGATTTTTAACAGCATTTTAAGAAAATATAGTATAAAAAATAGGATGAGAAAATTGAGGCAAGGAGAAAATAAGTACAGGTGAAATAATGCCCAAGGTGAACGTTATATCCCAAACTGCATAATATAAAATTCTACTATATAGCTGTCCTACATTTACAATCTAAGCATGCTATTAATAGTTAACAAAGCAGAGAAGGAAACTGACATTCCTTCAGAAAAGCTTTTTTCAAGCACAGAAACCTAATCGAAATTTCTTCCATGAATCCTCATGAAAAGGGCACCAAGTGGTAGAGTGAGCAACATTGCAACTGGCCTCCCTAAATAAATCCAAAGGCATAGTTCCAACACATAAACTCTATAAAAATATTTAATAATTGTATAAGAAAACAAAAATGTGGTTTAATTTGGCATGATCTAGGCATGGAATTTAAAATACATTAAAAAACGCATAGACTACAAATTCTTTAGTAAGTTATCCATGAATAGCATTACTCAAACTGAGTTTTTGATAAAAATTACATGGCAAAGCATTTTAAGTTACATTCTCTGGCTAAAACCTGAAGGTTATACATGGCATGTAGGGAATAGCTAGAGGATTATCATGCTTTGACAATCAAATAGGCCTGCAGGGATACTGACATCCCCTTATTAAAATGAGGAGCCTAACTAAGACTTGGGCTTGGATAGACTTTCATCCAATGACTGTATGGAGTTGATTCAAGGTAGTGACTTTGGGCAGAGCCAACATTTTACTCACTCCTGGGGCTGATGCAAATATGGGCAAATCAGTAAATGAAGGTCTAAATTCTCCATGAAAGACTATGGCTGCAAGAATTTTCATATAGAAAATGTTATGAACAGGTGTTACAAATAACCAGAGCACCCATTTATAATGTTGGTGAAGTATCCATAGAACAGTGACTATAAAATCCTGAAATTAAACTATGTTTGTCTTCTGATGATTCTTTACAGTAAATCAGAAAAGCATTGGTATAGATTTTTCTCCAGCCTACTTAGAAGCCAAGGAATAGAAAAATTTGTTTAGTTACATTGGTCCAGAGTTTGAGATTGTCAAGGTGTCATGACAAATCTACCATAAATTTCATAAAACCACCAAAAGGTATTAGATCTGGAGAACACAGCAGAGTTAAGAACTTGACAATTATGGTGAGGGTTGAAGGACAGGCAAAAAGGGAGCAAGATAATTTGAGTGATAAAAATAAAGGGTCCTTTTGTTAAAGTAGGAAATTTCTGGCTTTCAGTTTCCTAAGAGAATCAGATCCGGTGGTGAGAAATTTCAAGGTATAATCACACACATGAATGGCTAATGTGAAATTAAGGAAAGTTTATAGAGTAGAAAAGCTTAGGAATGGTGAGTCTAGAGTTGCTGAGGACTCAATGTCCAACAGCCAAAATATACTCACCTACTTCAAAAGAACTATACTCTGAGCTTCAATTATTTGCTAGTTGTTATTTCCTATTTACTTATGTAAGTTACTTAGTTAAACTGGTTTGAAAACAATAGCCAGCAAATAAAGTGCAAATTGTTTCATAACTAATACACTTTGTCAAGCTAATTGAACTCTACGTGCTAAGGACTTTGGCATCAACAATGATGACTAATAGCTGAAAAGGGAGATGAAGAAAAGTTAATGTGAGGGAAAATGAAAACTTGGATTTATAGTGTAGTCCAATTGACTAAAGTTTCAAAATAATATTGACATACTGATAGTAAATGGAAAAAACGAATGGTGGAGAAAGCAGTCACGATTTCACAGAAAACCACTTCCAATAGAAATACCATTTTAGATTGCTCATCTTCTAAATGAATGTTTAAAATGCAATTTTTAAGAGAAAGTTTTATTTCCATTGTGGTTACTAATGCATCTGAGTCACTTGTATATTCTTCTCCAGTGTGATGTAAAAAAGGCCAATGAAGAAATAAATCACTTTGATAAATACCTATGTTTAACAGAACATCTTAGGAAGGTCATCCTTAAAGACCACGTGTTAAGTTGGCTGAGTATCAATACAATGAGTATGCATTGATTCACAAGGAACTCATGTCCCTAGGGCTCCAGTTTCTAAGAGTGGTCCACAGTGGTAGCTTCAAGCTGAACTCTGAACGTGAAATGAAATCCTATGTCATTTGAATTTTTTCTTTTTTTTTTTTTTTTGAGACCGAGTCTCGCTGTGTTACCCAGGCTGGAGTGCAGTGGCGCGATCTCGGCTCACTGCAAGCTCCACCTCCTGGGTTCACGCCATTCTCCTGCCTCAACCTCCCAAGTAGCTGGGACTACAGGCGCCCGCCACCACGCCCGGCTAATTTTTTGTATTTTTAGTAGAGACAGGGTTTCACTGTGTTAGCCAAGATGGTCTCGATCTCCTGACCTCGTGATCCACCCACCTTGGCCTCCCAAAGTGCTGGGATTACAGGCGTGAGCCACCGTGCCCGGCCTGAACTCTTTTTCTATTCTCGAAATTGTGAGATCCTCTGACAAATTCTGCTAACAGTTCCAAGGTTTAAAACTGGGGAAGTTAGAGACATGTTATTATTATTTTTTTTAATTTCAACTTTTATTGTAGACACAGGGAGTACATGTGCAGGTTTGTTACATGGGTATATTGCACCCAGGTATTGAGCATAGTACTCAATGGGTAGTTTTTCAACCCACATCTCCCTTGCTCCCTCCCCTGTCTAGTGGTCCACAGTGCCTAATGTTCCCATGTGTATGTCCATGTATGCTCAATACCATAATCCTAAGTGAATTAATGCAGGAACAAAGACATGTTTTTGTTTTTGTTTGAATGCTACATCTGGGGCTGGCTAGGATTGAGAAGACACTATGTCTTGCTGATATGTCAGTCGCAACTTCAGCCTCTTTTGTGTGTGTGTGTGTAAAAAAGAAATCTTTTTTATTTATTTATTTTCAAATTATAAATTCATAGGGTACATATGCAGGCTTGTTACATGGGTGTATTGCATAATGCTGGGTTTAGGCTTCTAGAGAACCCATCACCCAAATAGTGAACATAGTATCCAATAGGTAGTTTTTCAATTCTTGTCCCCCTTTCCACCCTCCCCACTTTTGGATTTCTCAGATCTATTTTTTCCATCTTTATAGCCACCAACATGAGTCTTTTGATGAAATAATGTTTGGCTGAGGTCCACAACTTAAAACAACATTCCAATATAGATTCTCATGATCCCTGAAGAAGTGTGTCTGATGTGGCTAAACATCATCAAATGAGTAAGTCAACATAGTAAAAGAAAAGAACAGTTCTTTATCAGATTAAATGAGCGAAACAGCTAAATGTCAAGTGACAAAACATTGGGACTGACTGTATAAAATGCTAATAACATCTACCAAACAGTTTACATTGTGCTAAACAACTTATGCACATTATTTCTTTGATTCTTTTTAACACATGGTTGTGGGCTGAATGGTGTCTCCCAAGAAGTCATATGCCGGGATCCTGTCCCATAGTGCCTCACAACGTGACATTGTTTGGAGTTAGGGTTGTTGAAGATGTCATTAGTCAAGATGAGGTCATACTTGAGTGAGGTGGGTTTCTAATCCAATGTGACTGGTGTCTGTGAAAAGGGGAAATGTGGACACAGGTCCACATATAAGGAGAACACCATGTGAAGATGAAGGTAGAAATTACAGTGATGTGTCTACAAGCCAAGGAACACCAAAGATTGACAGAAAATCACCAGAAGCCTAGAGAGGCATGAAACATTCTCCCTCAGAGCCTTCAGAAGAAAGCAATCCTGCTGGCACCTTCATCTTGGACTTTGAGCCTCTAGAACTGTGAGGCAATACATTTCTGTTGTTTAAGCCACCCAGTTTGTGGCATTTTGTTACAGCAGCACTGGAATCCTAATGGATGCTGTATTAGATAAATATTTTAGGCTTAGGTAGGTATTTTTTGATCACTTCTATGCAATGGCTTGACTATTGTTCTATTTGTCCCTAAATCTGGTTCTTCAGCCTCCCCAGTGATTCTGTGAGCTAGTGATCATCCTTTAACAGCCTTTTTATGATTAAGTCACCCAGGATAGTCTCTGCTGCTTACATCTTCACAGGAAGAAGAGAACTGTAGACATGCAGCAGCCATCTTGTGGATATGAGGGAAGAGCCAAATAGACTACAAATCGGTTAACACAGAGAACTAAAATTGTGGAGCTACTGAATGAACCAGCTATGGAATTGTCTGTGTGTGGGCATTCAGATGGACATACCGGATAAAATTCTGGACTGGTAAGAGTGTGGGGAAATTGCCAGTCTTAAGCAGTGCTGATGGAGGTGTGAATTGGTAAAACAATTTGAAAAGTAAGTTGCTAGTTTTTATAAAATTTTTAAAAATAAATGTATTCTCTGACCCAGTATTATCTTTTCTGGGAATCTATTTTACACATTAAAAAAGCACTAGATTGTCATATACTATATATATATATATATGTCATATATAGTTATACATATAAGCCATATATATTTATACACATAATTATATATCTATTAAAATACCTGAAGGAATGGTCAATATAAAGAGTATCATCCAATTTTTAAAGAAGACAGGGATAAAAACCCCTCTGTGCTTTTTGGGGGGATCTATTTGTATGGAGCAGATAAACACATGGAAAGATAAGTATCAAACTGTTGCCATTGGTTACTTCAAGGGAGTGAGTTTATAACAAGAAAGTGGAAGCAGATAACATTAAAGTTTTCCTTATATGACTCAGTATTATTTGACTCATTTCAATAAGCATGCATTATTTTTTACATAAAACACATCCGGAGTGGAAAAGCTTTTTCCAAACACTGTCATTATGTCATGCTAATAAGTGAGTTTTGGGAAGCAGCATAGTCCAGTGGTTGTGAACACAAGATTGGAGTAACTTCTGGATTTAAATACTGGCCTTTTACTAACTGTAGAGTTTGAGCAGAATACTTTCTCTTTAAGTATAGCTGTCCTCATTTACAAATGGAGATGGTGATATCTGTTAGTCCCCTGCCTTCTACTGCCTGCTGTAGGACAATTTCCCATTCCTTTCAGCAACCCTTCAGTGAAGAGAGGGGCCACAAAGGCAAAGGAATCTTAGCTAATAGGCACTATAGCAATTTTCTAAATACTTTATTTTTTTTAGAGCAATTTTAGGTTCACAGAAAAACTAAGAGTCAGGTGCAGAGATTTCCCATATGCTTCCTGCCCCACATGCATAGTCTCCTGCATTATCAACATCTCCCACCAGAGTGGTACCTTTGCTACAATTGATAAACCTATATCAACACATCACAATCATCCAAAGTCCATAGTTAATATTAGGGTTTACTATTGCTGTTGTGCACTCTATGAATCTGGGCAAATGTATAGAGACATGTATCTATTACCATAGTACCACACAAAAGCATTTCCACTGCTTTAAAAACTCTGTGTCTGCCTATTAACCCTCCCAAACCATCATAGTAACCTATTTCATGAGAGACCTACAGCTTATTACCTTGCTGTGTGGAATGAAAACTCTCTCACAAAGAATAGGAATTATCTTCTCTTAGTTGGCCTTGGAATAAGTACAGAGAAGTTAGCAAATGCAGATGCTTGAAATCTGAGCTTGCTGTTACCCTGAAAACAAAGCACACAAGACTGCCATTCTTTGTGCTAGCAATTTTCTTCATTTGCTGTATATCCACAAGGAATGGAGAAGTGTCTTTCTTTTTGCCTCTGTCTGAAGAAATATACACCATACCTTATTTATTCAAGTATTTGATTTAATTCATAGGTATAACCTCATAAAGAAAGTTTTTAATCCACCCTACCTAAGCCTAAAATATTTATCCAATACAGCGTCCATTAGGATTCTAGTGCATAGGATTGCATAGAAGTGATCAAAAAATACATGTTTGAGATGAAGCATATGTTAATTACCCTGATCTGATCACTCATTCTGTCGCCAGGCTGGAATGCAGTGGCGCAATCTCGGTTCACTGCAACCTCTGCTTCCCCGGTTCAAGAGATTCTCCTGCCTCAGGCTCCTGAGTAGCTGGGACTACAGGCGCACGCCACCACACCCAGCTAATTTTTGAATTTTTAGTAGACACGGGTTTCACCATGTTGGCCAGGATGGTCTTGATCTCTTGACCTCGTGATCCACCCACCTCAGCCTCCCAAAGTGCTGGGATTACAAGTGTGAGCCTCCGTGCCCGGTGTTTATTTTTTCAATTTTTAATACATTAATTTAATGAAAAAATAAACAAGACCATTCCAAAATCATGGAAAATAAAAATGCACACTACTACCAATTCTGCACCAAAAAATTAAACTTGCAGTAACTGCCAACTGCCTCTAGATAATTTTTTTTTTTTTTTTTTTTTTTTTTTTGAGACAGAGTTGTTCTGTTGCCCAGGCTGGAGTGCAATGGTGCAATCTTGGCTCACCGCAACCTCTGCCTCCTGGGTTCAAGCTATTCTCCTGCCTCAGCATCCTGAGTACTGGGATTACAGGCATGTGCCACCATGCCTGGCTAATTTTTGTATTTTTAGTAGAGACAGGGTTTCGCCATGTTGGGCAGGCTGGTCTCAAACTCCTGACCTCAGGTGGTCCACCCACCTTGGCCTCCCAAAGTGCTGGGATTACAGGCATGAGCCACCACGCCCGGCTGAGAATTTCTTACTGTGATATTGTGAAATATATATTTGGTATCTGCACCTGGTTCCTGAGACAGAGCTCCTAATAACCTCGTAGATAGGGGTGCTAAGAGAATCTTTTGTTCTAATGTTTGGTCTCTGAGCCCAGTTTTGGCACAGAGCTTCTAAGACCTTTATAATTTCCTGAGTGCTAAGAGTGTCTGACAAAGAACTTCTAAATCCCTTGGAATTTCCTAGGCAACAGAAGCATCTTCTGTTCTAATGAAGTGACTCTTGGTGTGTACCCGGATAACCTCATGACTGGAGTTGGTTGGCTGCTAGAAGAACAAATCATGTGATTAGAGTGTTGGAACTTTCAACCTTAGCCCTCAACTTCTGGGGAGGGGAGAAGCGCAAAAGGTAGAGTTGACCACTAATGGCCAGTGATTTAACTAATCATGCCTATGTAATGAAGCATCCATAAAAAACTAAAGATCACGGTGCAGAGAGCTTCTAGATTGCTGAATAAGTGGTAGTTCCTGGAGGATGATGCACCCAGAGAGGCATGGAAGCTCTGTACCTCTTTCCACATGTCTTTGCCTATGCATTTCTTCCATCTGGCGGATCATCTGTTTGCTTTGTAGTATTTTGTATTTAAAAAATGGATAAATGTAAATAAAATGTTTCCCTGAGTTATGTGAGCCACTATAGCAAATTAATTGAACCAAGGAGATCATGGAAACCCCAATTTATAGCTGGTTGTTCAGAAGCACAGGCCAAAGCCTGGAGCATGTGATTGGCATCTGAAGTTGGGGGGAGTCTTGAGGAATGGAGCCCTCGACCTATGAAATCGGACACTAACTCCAAGTAGATAGTTGGGTGAATTAGAAGACACCCAGCTGGTGTCCACTAGAGAATTGTCTGGTGTTTGGGAAAAACTCACACCCAGTTTGGTGACCAGAGTTGAAGTGTAGTGTTGAGAATAGAGAGTAAGAAAAAAGTCTGCTTTTCCATCAAAGGTACCACGTCTGTTTCTCATACTACTTGAAGGAGTCTAAATCATACTATATGGGAAACCGTAAAATGTAGCATCTAAAAGTTTACAACTTTTGGTAGGAGGCAGTCTGTGCCTCCCACCAAAACTCATAAGGTATGAATTCATCAAACTGTATTACAGAGAGTTTTGGTGCTAGGTGGCAGAAAAGAATAATCGATGTGTGCAGTGTATCTTCTTTTTGAGTTTAGCCATTCTACTGGGTGAAAACTGATTTCCCATTCTTTCTCTTATAACATTTTCCTAATACTATGTTTAAGATATGTTTTATTTCATTTTCCTAATTTGTACTTTTATCTTTTTCAATTATTAATATAGTTTTGTGCTCTTAAATTTTTAATGCAATTTATATTTTGGTAGTATCTAAAGTATCAATCATTTTATTATTCATTCACCTTAAAATGTGGCTATGGTTTGGACATTTGGATTAAGTGATGACATTGTAATTCAGCCAGAACTGGCAGTAATCATCAGTGTTTGGCATGTTTTGAGAACAAAAGTCCCAGTTCCTGGAAGGGTGGCCCTTTATGTGAACACAGAGTGCACACTCTGTATGGTGTAATCCAAGACAGTTGAACGGTCTGCCTGCCAAAAATATGCCTTCCACCAGGTTTTTATAAAGACTAGTATTACCAGCTTGAAGGCCATTTTCTGATTTAGGGCATTAAAACCTAAGGACCATGTTAAAAGACTGAAATTAACATTCACTGACTTGTTCATTCATTAAACTTTTTTAAGTTTTTTAATTGACAAATAATTATATACATCTATAGGGTACAATGTGATGTTTTATGTATGTGTGTGTATGTATACATGTGTATATATATATATATATTTTTTTTTTTTTTTTTTTTTTTTTTTTGAGACGGAGACTTCTCTGTCGCCCATGCTGGAGTGCAGTGGCACTATCTCAGCTCACTGCAAGCTCCGCCTCCCGGGTTCACACCATTCTCCTGCCTCAGCCTCCCGAGTAGCTGGGACTAAAGGCACCCGCCACCACGCCCAGCTAAATTTTTGTATTTTTAGTAAAGACAGGGTTTCACCGTGTTAGCCAGGATGGTCTTGATCTCCTGATCTCGTGATCCACCTGCCTCAGCCTCCCAAAGTGCTGGGATTACAGGCATGAGCCACTGCACCCAGGCGATGTATGTGTGTATTATAGAATGATTAAATCAAGCTACTTAACATATCCATAACCTCACTTACTTATGTTGTTTACATGTGCTATGAACATTTAAAATCCACTCTCATAGCAATTTTGAAATATACATTACATTAACTATTGTCACCATGCTGTGCAATCGATTTTAAAAACTTATTCCTCCTATTTAACCAAAACTTTGTAAATATTTAATGAGTGCCTCCTATTAGCCAGACCCTGTTTGAGGCACTAATGACACAGAGTTGAAAGTCAAGTTTGAACCTCTCTTCTTAGGCATATAACTGTAGGCAAATTGTGTCAACTCTGGCCAGTTTTCACATTTAAAATAGAGATGATAATGCTGCCCACTTAATGGGTTTGCTCTAAGAATTAAATGATATTGTTTACGGTGCCCAGAAGGAAGGTAGGCCCACTGGCAGTCAGCGCACGTAATGGACCAAGGGGTCTTTGAAGAAAGAACATATCCAAGTACAGGCGATGAGCTTGTATTTGAGCACAATGGGGCAATGTTGAATGGCAGTATGGGAGGTGCTATCTGTGATCCTCCCACAGTCTGATGACAGGGCCAACACCAAAAGGTGTGATCTAATCAAGCACCAAGCGCCCACGCAAGGGTGCTGTCCAAACCAGAGACAGCCTATGGGGACTGCCAGTTAGCTCTGCCAAAAAACATCCTTCCTGTCCAAGTCTCCCCCAAGTCTCTAATAAGAAGAGCCACCTTGAAGCTTTGGACTCCAAGCATGGCTTTCCGGTACAACTTTAACACAGAAGTTTATATTCAATTACCTACAGATACCAAAATTATCATTACTATCATTATTAATAAACATACAGTTAATTACAACAAGGTACGACAAATCTATAATAGACGTAGGCTAGGCTGCTATGGTTGATGAGAGTATAGAGGGAACAGCACTTCCCAAATTGGAGCAGAGGAAAGAAGGTTTATAGAAGGCACCCAGAGGAGAAAAAACTTGAATCAAGTCTTCAAGAATGAATATGAGTTATTCTGGAGAAGAAAGTATGTGTGTTTGGCAGGAAGTACAAATGCTTGGAGAAGACAAATTAAATAGCACATCCAAACTATGGGGATGTGAAAGAATGTGGAGTGTTGGTAGACTTATGAAAGGGTAGCGTGGGCCAGGACATAACCTAAATGTGGGAGAATGGAGAGAAAGGATGCTGTTCAAATTATGGATGGCTTTGTGTACGACATTGAATTGAGACATTGTGTTCAATAATATAAGGAGACATAAAATGACTTTCAGGGTGGTGGATGGTGGGAGGTCATGATTATCTGTATTTTAGACTTTCTACTCAGAGAGTAGTGGGGAAGTTGACTGAAGGAGTTTAAGATTAGTAACCAGGAGAGCCCCATCATATCAATGCAGTAATCTCATGGGGAGTGGCAATGGCTAAAGTAGTAGCAGTAGCAAGGAAGGAAACAATTAGATACACACTTGAGAGGTAGAATTGGCACTTGAGACAACTGGCTGAAGAACAAGGAGAACTCTTCAAATATTACCAGGTCCCTGGCCTGGACAACTGAGTTGATGTGGCATTATCAAGCATGGGATGTAGAAGACCAGGGTCAGTTTGTTGATTATGTGTAGACTCTGAGATGTCTGTGGAACACTATTCCAATGAGACCTGGAGCTCCCTGTATATAGTGATATTTTCAAGTTGTGACAGATGTGTATTTTACCAACTGGATGATCTCCATGTCTCATATTATCTTCCCCACATGATTCTTGTGAGTATGGGCCTCAAAAGGCACCTGGTGTGAGATTTAGAAGACAGAAGTGAAGTCGCATTGGATTATTTTTATGCTCCAGAGGTTGGAGCTGGGTATGAGATACAGTAACTACACAGTCAAGTTCTACCTGCCAACTCACCTTGGTGGCAACATTCAGCCTCATTCCTGTATAATCCTCTGTTCCTGCTGTAGCTCCTTCTTCAGCATCTCTTGGGCTGGGTGAATAAAAAAGGGGACTGGCTTCTACAGGACACCCATGTTATCAAGGGTTACTTCTTAGTAAGAGACTGACGTGTGTTCCAGTTCATCTTCATAAGCCAACTCATCCAGAAGGTCCCAGTTTTTCCTCCTGGGTTCTAGCTCAGACTGTCAGGTTCCACTTTGTCCATGGTTTCTTTCTTAAATGCCTGCTGTGATGACTTCAGGCTGATATAGAAGAAAAGAGCCTCCCATATTACTATTGAATTGCCTCCCAAAACTGCAAAAGGTCAAGTCTCTATGGATAATCCTTACTGGTTCTTCTACTCTGATTGAAGCCTGACTGACACAACAAATGTGATTTTTATAAACCTCTTTTTCATTGTATACAGCTTGGTATACATAGTCCAACTATCCAGACACTTTGGTCCCTGGGACCAAAGGTTAGCAGTTTTAGAATTCCATCAGTCTAGCACCCTGCTGTTCAGTTAGCATTAAGCCAGTGGCCCATCTCCTCAAGCTCAGAAATCATGTGTACAATAGATTGAAAATCTAAAGCAGGGGTTGGCCTGCATTTTCTGTGAAGTGCCTAATAGTAAATATTTTAGGATTTGTAGCCCATAAAGTCTTTATTGCAACTATTCTGCTTGCAATATTGAATAACAAGCAGCCATAGAAAATATAGAAATTTTAAAATATGGCTGTGTCACAATAAAACTTTACTTACAAAAACAAACAGTACAGATTTGGCCTATAGACCATGATTTGACAATGCCTAATTTAGACAAAATAGTATAAGTTCTTTATCATAAAAGTACATTTAAAATGTTCACAAATACATTTAACATTGAGAAAAAAAATCATTTCAAGGTCAGACAGCCTGAGATCTAATCACAGCTCTGCTACTCTCTGATGCTCCATTTTCTCATTTTAAATAGAGGCAAGAAAGTAAGTGCAGTGTTTTAAAATATATCCACAAGTTTATTGACATGCTGTCTTTTGAAAGGCAACATATAATTCCCTTTCCCCTGAATATGGACAGGACATAATGACTCTAAATGAATAGAAAGTTGCAGAAGGCGTATTTGCATAATTCCGAAGGCTAAGTTAGAAAAAAAGATGATTCAGCTTCAACTTGACTCCCTCTCAGGATAATCACACATAAAACACAACAGCCAAGCTGTGAGAAACCCAAGTGGCCAAACAGAAAGGCATGTCGAGATGTTTTGACCAAAGGCCCCACCAGAGGTCCCAGCCAACAGCTAGCATCATCTGCCAGACATGCAAGTGATTGGGCCACAGATGATTCCAGTCCCCAACTTTTGGGATAATACAATTGATGCCAAATAGAGCAGAAATATTTGTCTACACAAACCTCACATAGATTGCAGAAACTTAAGTAAAATAAATTTTGTCATTATCTGAAACCACTAAGTTTTGGGGTCATTTGTTACATAGCAATAGATTGCCAGAACAAAAGGATTCCCAGAGACTCCTCACTTATTACAATAAGATAATTTTGTGGGAATCTCCCTAATCTATTGACCTGCTCACTTGGATCTTCGTACCAAAGACAATATATGTGTGCACTTGACCATTGAAGAAAGCTTCTCAACCATCAAGGAGAAGTCTGAGAAAACAAGCCAGAATACCATCAAAAGCCACAGAGAGAATTTAAGAGGCTGAACCTAATGATCCAACCTGGAATTTGACCAAAACTCTAGGCTTGACACTTCCAGCTCTTTTTAAAACGATGTCATGGGACTTTCAACAACCAGCCTAGATCAGGACTACAGCTGGCCAAACCATCTTTATGTGAAATGGAACACCACTGCAGAAAAATAGGCCAGTGAATTTTGAACTAGAAAGTTTGGGCTTTAATTTATTTTGAGCAGAATTCTTTTCAACAGAAATGTAAACCAATTTTAAAAGTTGGCTTCTAAGAGACATGAATGGCTACAGGTCAGTTACAATTGGTTAATTTAAGGTTCATTCTTAAGTTCAACATTATAAGATGGAGTATAGGAAACAGAATGCCTACACTTTTTGATCTAAATATTGGGATAAAAACCTCTATGGCTAGAATAATTCTTTCATAAAGACAAAGATGATACTAAGAATAAAAGAGAAAAAAGAGAATAAGCCTAGAAACACGGGATTGTAGTTTGATGATATGATGTGTGGATGGTGGGTATGAAAAGAGAAGGCCTCGGTTGTGTAAGTGAGTAGGTGTGAGTGAATATAAATATTGAAATTAAAGAACAGGACTTACAGAGAATGGAATATGAGAAAATTCTTCAATTACATTTCTTTGCAGCACCTTCTTTCTTTCCCAAAACTATGTGCTTTAGTGACACTGACCTACTTACTCATTCTTCAGTTTGCCATTTTTTCCAAAATGATATAACTTTGCTACTCTAGGCTCTTTCATAGAATGTTCCCAGAGCAGTGCTTTGAAGTAGAGGAAACATGGAGTCATGCAACCATGGATTCAGAGGTCACATCTGCCTCTATCAAACTGTGTAAACTTGAGCCTTTGTTATTTACGACCATTAATTTCAAAACCTGTAAAATGGGGATAAGATATCCAGCCATATGGTGATCATAGGGTTCAAGTAAGGCAATATTCATGAAACACTGACCACAATATCACAAGACAACATGTAGGACAAGTTTAGTAAAGATTAATCTTCCCAGAGCCCCCAATTTACTACTCCGTGACTTCTACTTAGGCTTCACAGTCCGATGCAGTGTCACCTCCTCCATGCAGTCCTTGCCAAAGCCCCCAAGCAAAATTTGGTATCTTTCTCCAAGCTGTCAAAGCATCTTAGTCATATTGTATGGTCTTAGTATGATTACATGTCTATCTACCCCATGTGGATTTGGACTTTATCAATTTCTTGTGTTTCGTACCTTCATCATGATAGTCTAGGGATTTCTGTTTTGTAACAAAGGCATTCATCAAGATGACATTTACAAAAATTAGTATGTACTATCTGAGAATGTTGAAATGTGGATTACTCAGTTCTTGGAAGTGTGTTAGCCTGCACTGCAGAGACCATCACTCTCTCTCTCCTCTGGTTCCCGTTTGCCCAGCTATCACCCTTAATTGATTTATGGGGGACCCTGCTCTTCTTTATGACCTTGCCTCTCATGTTCTCTCAAGTTAGTTTCTTTTTGTAAAACTATACCTTTGCTAATGAAATACCACCAATGGACGCTATAAGGTACTCTTGAAACATGTAATACAACACATTATATACTGCCCAAAGGGGTAGTACTAACTACAAAGGATGAAAAAACTACGACTACTGTAAAAGTTTACTTTTAGGAATGTGTTTTTTCTCCTTATGTTTTAATCTCAAAAAAGGTTTACACTCCGATCCCTTTATTTCAATCTACATATTCTTAAACTGCTAAATGTCTAGAAATAATTATAATACAACTAATGTTTACTCAGTATTTACTATGGCACAACACCAGAAAAGCTTTTTATGTGTCATCTCATTTTATTGCTATGGCAAACTTACAGGAGAGATATTATCATTATGCCAATTTCACAGATGAGGAAGTTAAACCATCATTAGACTAATTCTAATTTTAAAAGCCTAGTTTGCACATTATGCACTATTTATACATGGACTTATATATTGACAGAATTAGCTACCTCCTAGGGTTTATGATATTTTCATTATTTTCTTTTCTAACATTTAGGTACATAAAGAGCCTATGTTAAGATTTTTCTAGCTATAAATAAAGCAGCTTTGTTTATATGATTGCCTTCTGTCATTTGACAGGAATGCATATAAATAGGAAACCAAGTAAATACATTTTATTAAAAATAGGAAGCAGACAAAGAAAAAGTCAAAAAGTTCAGGATGGATGCTTCTTACTGCAGGCACTGAAGGGGAGGAACTGTGGCAGTCAAAGGGTTACACAAGAACTTACAACTTCCTGAGCAGTTGAAATAATCAAAAAGAAACAGAAGCTATCCTAATAGTAACATTTATTTACTTTTACCAAAATAGTAGGTGTCTAAGATCTACAGTAAGCTACTGATTTTTGCATTTACTCTACTGATTTCCTTGTAATAAACAGAAAACTGATCAAAGGCAGCCTTCTCAAATTACTTATATTTATTACAAGATTATTCTACCATAACAAACAAATCTCCAAAATAGAAAAATTTGATTTTTGTGGACCAAATGTTGTTATTTATACACATTCATTCTCCTCGACAGGCATATTCCTTTAGGGTAGAGGTAAAAGCCCTTAGGTGAGTGCCTATCATGGTCCATTAATGTCTTAGGCCATTTGGGCTGCTATAACAAAGTACCATAAACTAAGTGGCTTATAAACAACATAAATTTATTTCTCAAAGTTCTGGAGGCTATGAAACATAAAGCCTTCTGTTGCCAGCAGATTCAGTGTTTGATGAAGGCTGAATTTCTGGCTCATACACAGTAATATGGTTTTGTTCTCTGTCCCCCCAAAATCTCATCTCAAATTGTAATCCTATGCCAAGGAAGGGAACTGGTGGGAAGTGATTGGATCATAGGGGCAGTTTCCCCACGCTGTTCTCATGATTGTGAGTTCTCACAAGATCTGATTGTTTAAAAGTATTTAGCAGCTCCTCTATCACTCACTCTCTCTCCTGCTGCCTTGTGAAGAAGGTGCCGGCTTCCCCTTCACCTTCTGCCATGATTGTAAGTTTCCTGAGGCTTCCCCAGCCATGCGGAAATGTGAGTCAAACCTCTTTTGTTTATAAATTACCCAGTCTCAGGTAGTTCTTTATAGCAATGTGAAAATAGACTAACACACACAGCATCTTCTTACTGTGTCTTCACCTGGTTAAAAGGGTGAGGGGTCTGTCTCAGACCTCTTTTATAAGGGCATTGATCCCATTCATAAAAGCTATGTACCCATGACCTAATCACCTCCCACAGCGCCCCCCCTCCTCCCAGTCCTAATATCATCACCTTGGGGATTAGGATTTCAACATATAAATTTGGGGGAACAAACATTGAGACCACAGCAGATAGCAGTGTCTTGGGGGGATAATGACTTGGGGCCCTTTTTACCATATATCAAATGGATGCTTTCTCCCTGGTAGCTTCCTAGGCCATTGCTCTAGATTGAATCCAATAAGAAATCTCTCATGAGAGCAAATTCCAAAAAGCAGACCTTCCGGAAGGAGGACAGAAGAGAGAGAGCATACCTGTGCATGTTTCAGTGGGAGCAATTGCCATGGAGTGTAAGAAAAAAGAGATCTTATACCCCTGTATTCTGATTAGTTCCTCCAGGAATTTTTCTGTTCACATCCTTGATAAGATGGCTTGCACACAAATTATAAAACAACAACATATTGTTTGTAGATATGATTAGTGCCTATGTTGGTTCTATTATCCTACCAAAACTAGCCTTTATAGTCATGCAAATAAGGTATCCCTAATATACTGATGTTAATAAATTTAGTGGTGTTGATTAGTGGTATGGCCAGAAGTGGACTTAGAATCATAATTCATGCATTCAAACACTCGGCAATTTTGCAGTGAAACACTATGTTGCAGTAAAAGGCATCATTTTTGAGATCAGAGAGTCCTAGACTTAAATACAGCCTTTGATATTTATAAGATACATCAAAATAATTAACCTCTTTGCATCTTATTTTCCATCCATTTAAACCAATAATAGTAATATTTTCCCTGAAATACTATTTTGAGAATTAGAGATAAGTGCTACAAAATTCATGATGCTCACATTTGGAACATAATAAAAAATTATTAAAATTATTGTAAAAGAAAAAATACAACAGAGAAAACCAAAACACAAATGGATTTAAATGATTAACAAAAACCGATAAATGACTAAAAAGATTCTTTTAAAAAGGAAGGACACATTAATAACCAATTACCAATATCAGAAATAAATGTGACAATATCACTATATATCTTACATACATCCAAAGGCTAATAAGAAAATATTTTCAGCAAATTTATACCAATAAATTTGATAATTGAAACAAAAATTTTCTTGAAATAACACAATTCCCCAAAAGTGACACAAAAAGAGACAATGTGAATAGCATTAAAAAAATTGAGGTCATAATCTAAAACTTTTCCACAATGGCACAAGAAAGCTTCAAATCAAGATGGCTTCACTGATGGATTCTATCAAACATTTACAATCAGTTTTATATAAACTCAGAATATAGGAAATAAGGGACTACTTCCCAAATGATGTTATGAGATCAGCAGGACTCTGATGCCAAAATATAATTAGGGCATTATAAGAAAAGAAATTACAGATGAATATCTCTCATGAAAATAAATGTAAATATTCTTATCAAGTATTTAAGTCAGATCAGCAATATATAAGAGGCTAATACCTTATGATCAAGTATTCAATATTTTACATTTGTAAATCAGTCAACATAACTGATTAACAGTATAAAAGAGAAAAATCTTATGAACATTTCAGTGTATGCAGAAAACATTTTTGACAAAATTTAACATTAATTCAGGATTTTAAAAAATCTCTTAGCAAACTATAACTACAGAGTAACTAAATCAATCTTACAACAGGCATCTGCAAAGAAACCTACAGCTAACATATTTCTTAATGGTGAAATAGTGAACCCTTTCCCAGATCAAAGATGTCTACTTTCACCACTTCTATTTAATATCATATGTAGGTCCTGCTGAAGAAATAAGGTTGTTAAAAAGAAGCAAAGTAATAAAGGTTGAAAAGAAGGAAACACAAATGTATTATGAGACTATATGATTATATACATAGAAAATCCTAATGAATAGTATTGATATTCAGAATATCCCTAATGTCAAATTAATTATGTGCCTAGAAGCAAGAATAATATCCGTTCATTTCCAATGCATTTTACCAATTACCATATTCATCAATAAATTACACATTATATTTGACCATTATGTGTACCTATGAATAGAGGAAGAATATTAATTCAGGAATAAAACATATGTTGAGTATTATGTTCCATACCTACCATCACAATTAGTCCCTGCCCTCAAAGAGTTTACAGTCTTGTGAAATCCAAGACTTAATATGGGACTTAGATAACATTTACATTTTACAGTTAAATTCACAATTAATATGCATGATGGTTCTATTTTCCATGAGTCACAACTTACCGGTCAGCCTCTGCTGTTATTGTCACAGGTAAGTCAATTGTCCCCATGGCCATTTACTAGTCAGATGGGATAATAAAAACTAAATCTGAGATGTGACAAGTCTTGGGTAGAGTACAATGTATGGTCCTCTCTACTTCACGCTATAATCACACTATTGCACTACAGCCTGATACCTTGTCCCTATTAAAAAAATTAAGAAAGATAACTTAGAGGGTTCTACTTCTTAAACTCTACAGTTTGTTTGCAGGTTTCTAATAAGCTAAGCAAGTTTGAATAATGACATTTGAGCTCTCTGATTTTTCCTTGATGTAATTTTCCCACCAATTAAAAAATGATTATGAGAGTGGGCCATAATATGTAGCCAACTGGAGTTTCAGAAAACTTAGCATGTGTTAATGTTTGAGAATCTCATTTATTTTTTATTAACCCCTCAAGAACAGAGAAAATCTTATAAATCCTGCCAGAAAATATCAGAAGTTTGGACCATTTTAGATGGTGGTAACTGCCCTAGTGGCTTTTAATTAGCCATATTGTGCCTACCATTTAGAATGTTTATTTTTGCTCTTGGAAGATTTTCAGAAACAATTAATAAGAGCCAAACCATTTATAGATGCACATAACCAAACCAAAATCAGAGTATTCACAAACATGTTAACCCAAGTATGCAGATCAAACAAAACATTAAACTAGGCACACAGAACCAAAGTGCATAGATGGGGGGACCTCTCTCCAAGCCAAGGGAAGCAGTGAGGGACTGTGCTACCCACCAGGGGTACTACACTTTTTCCACAGATTTTTGCAATCCATGGATCAGGAGATTCCCTCATGAGCCTACACCACCAGGGCCCTGAGTCTCAAGCACAAAACCAGGCGGCTGCTCAGGCAGGCACTGAGCTGCAGGAGTTTTTACCTACTGCAGTGGCACCTGAAACTCCAGCAAGACAAAAGAACCATCCACTCCCATGGAAACGGGGCTGAAGCCAGGGAGCCAAGCAGTCTCGCTCAGTGGGTCCCACCCCCATGGAGTCCAGCAAGCTAAGAACTACTGGCTTGAAATTCTCACTGCCAGCACAGAAATCTGGAGTCTTCCTGGGATGTCCGAGTTCCCAGGGGGAGGGGTGACCACAATTACTGTGGCTCTAGTCAGTGGTTTTCCTCTGACAGTGCTAAGGAGACTGGGAGGTTTAGACTGGGTGGAATTCCCCACAGCACAGCAAAATGGCTGTGGCCAGACTGCTTCTCTAGATCCTTCATACCTGGAAGGAGGAAGTCCAGCAGCTCCAGGGGCTTACAGACAGAACTCTCATCTCCCTCGGACAGAGCGCCTGGGGGGAGGTGCTGCCGTGGCCTCAGGTTCAAAGGGCTTAATCTTTCCTGCCTGCCGGCTCTGAAGAGAACGGCTGATTCTGATTAGGTGGATTCGCCCAGCATAGCACACCAGCTCTGCTAAGGGAGAGACTGCCTCCTCAAGTGGGTCCCTGATCCCATGCCTCCTGACTGGGTGAGACCTCCCAACAGGGGTGGACAGACACCTCATACAGGAGAGCTCCAGCTGGCATCAGGTCTGTGCCCTTCTGGGACAAGCTTCTGCAGAAGAAGCAGGTGGCAATCTTTGCTATTCTGCAGCTTCCACTGGTGATACCCAGGTGAACAGGATCTGGAGTGAACCCCCAGCAAACCGCAGCAGACTTGCAGAAGAGGGGCCTGTTAGAAGAAAAACAAACAAACAGAAAGCAACAACAACAACCACATCAACAAAAAAAGACCCCATAAAAACCCCACTTTGGATTTCCGTAACCTCACAGAAATCCAAAGGTCAACAGCCAGCCTCAAAGATCAAAGGTAGATGAATCCACAAAGATAAGAAAAAAACAGCACAAAAATGCTGAAAATCCCAAAAGCCAGAATGCCTCTTTTCCTCCAAATCATCACAACACTTCTCCAGCAAGGGCACTAAATAGGGCTGAAGCTGAGATGGATGAACTGACAGAAGTGGCTTCAGAAAGGGGGTAATAATAAATTTCACTAAGCTAAAGTATTATGTTCTAACCCAATGTAAGGAAGCTAAGAAACATGATAAAAGATTACAGGAGCTGTTAACTAGAAAAACCAGTTTCAAGAGGAACATAAATGACTTAATGGAGCTGAAAAACACAGCAGGATAACTTCGTGATGCAAACACAACTATCAATAGCCAAATCAACCAAGTGGAAGAGAGAATATCAGAGCTTGAAGACAATCTTGCTGAAATAAGGCAGGCAGACAAGATTAGAGAAAAAAGAATGAAAAGTTGTGAACAAAACCTCAAGAACTGTGGGGCCATGTTAAAAGACCAAACTTACGACTGATTGGAGTACCTGGAAGAGATGGGGAGAATGGAAAAAAGTTGGAAAACACATTTCAGGACATCACTCAGGAGAACTTCCCCAACCTAGCAGAACAGGTCAATATTCAAATTCAGGAAATCCAGAGAACCCCAATAAGATACTCCACAAAAAGGTCTACCACAGCAGAACTCTCAGTGGAAACCCCACAAGCCAGAAGAGATTGGGGGCCAATATTCAACATTCTTAAAAAAAAGAAGTTCCAACCTAGAATTTCATATCTGACTAAACTAAGTTTTATAAGCAAAAGAGAAATAAAATCTTTTTCAGACAAGCAAATGCTGAGGGATTTTGCCAGCACCAAGCCTGCCTTGCAAGAGCTCCTGAAGTAAACACTAAACATGGATAGAAAAAAACGTTACTAGCCGCTGCAAAACACACTGAAGTAAACAGAGCAATGACACTATGAAACAACTACATTAACAAGTCTGCAAAATTAACCAGCCAGCATCATGATGACAGGATCAAATTCACACATAACAATATTAACCTTAAATGTAAATGGACTAAATGCCCCAATTAAAAGAGACAGAATGGCAAGCTGAATACAAAGACAAGACCCATTGGTGTGCTGTATTCAAGAGACACATCTCATGTGCAAAGTTGCACATAGACTCAAAATAAAGGGATAAAAATAAAGGGATGGAGGAAAATTTACCAAGCAAATGGAAAGCAGAATAAAGCAAGGGTTGCAATGCTACCTTCTGGCAAAACAGACTTTAAACCAACAAAGGTCAAAAAAGACAAAGAAGGGCATTACAAAATGTTAAAGAATTCAATTCAACAAGAAGAGCTAACTATCCTAAATATATATGCACCCAATACAGGACAACCCAGATCCATAAAACAAGTTCTTAGAGACCTACAAAGAGACTTGGACCCCCACACAATAATAGTGGGAGAGTTTAACACCCCACTGTCAGTATCAGACAGATCACTGAGACAGAAAACTAACAAAGATATTTAAGACTCGAACTCAGCTCTGGACCAAGTGGACCTGATAGATATCTACAAAACTCTCCACCCCAAAACAACAGAATATACATTTTTTTTCAGTGCCACATGACACTTACTCTAAAATTGATCACATAATTGAAGTAAAACACTCCTTAGCAAATGCAAAAGAACTGAAATCATAACAAACAGTTTCTCAGGCCACAGCGCAATCAAGATTTAGAAGCCCACTCAAAATCACACAACTACATGGAAATTGAACAACCTGCTCCTGAACGACTGCTGGGTAAATAATAAAATTAAGGCAGAAATAAAAAAGTTATTTGAAACCAACTTTGAGAACAAAGAGACAACATATCAGAATCTCTGGGATGTAAAGCAGTGTTAAGCAGGAAATTTATAGCACTAAAGGCCCAATTCAAAGAGCCAGAAAGAGGCTGGGTGCGGTGGCTCACACCTGTAATCCCAGCACTTTGGTAGGCTGATGCGGGTGGATCACGAGGTCAGGAGATCAAGACCATCCTGGCTAACACGGTGAAACCCCGTGTCTACTAAAAATACAAAAAATTAGCCAGGCATGGTGGTGGTGGGCGCCTGTAGTCCCAGCTACTCGGGAAGCTGAGGCAGGAGAATGGCATGAACCCAGGAGGCAGAGCTTGCAGTGAGCCGAGATGGTGCCACTGCACTCCAGCCTGGACGACAGAGCAAGACTCTGTCTCAAAAAAAAAAAAAAACAAAAAAACTAGAAAGATCGCAAATCAACACCCTAACATCACAACTAAAAGAACTAGAAAACCAAGAGAAAACAAACTCCAGAGTTAACAGAAGACAAGCAATAACCAAGACCAGAGTGGAACTGACAGAGATAGAGAAAAGAAAAACCCTTCAAAAAATCTATGAATCTAGGGGCTGGTTTTCTGAAAAAAAAAAAAAAAATCAATAAAATAGACTGTTAGCAAAACTAATAAAGAAAAAAAGAGAGAAGATTCAAACAAACACAATCAGAAACAATAAGGGGGCTATCACCACTGACCTCACAGAAATACAAATAACCATCAGAAGACACTATAAACACCTCTATGCAAATAAACTGGAAAATCTAGAAAAAATGGGTAAATTCCTGGACACATACACCCTCCCAAGACTAGACCAGGAAGAAGCTGAATCCCTGAATAGACCAATAACAAGTTCTGAAATAGAAGCAGTAACAAATAGCCTACCAACTAAAAAATATCCCAGGTCCAGATGGATTTACAGCTGAATTCTACCAGAGGTACAAAAAGGAGCTGGTAGCATTTATTCTGAAACTATTCCAAACAATTGAAAAGGAGGGACTCCTCCTTAACTCATTTTATGAGGCCAGCATCATCCTGATACGAAAACCTGGCAGAGATACAACAAAAGTAGAAAACTTCAGGCCAATATGCCTGATGGACATTGATGCAAAAATCCTTAATAAAATACTGGCAAACCAAATCCAGTAGCACATCACAATGCTTATCAACCACCACCAAGTTGGCTTCATCCCTGGGATGCAAGGCTGGTTCAACATATGCAAATCAATAAATGTAATTTATCACATAAACAGAACTGAAGACAAAAAAACACATGATTATCTCAATAGACATAGAAAAGGCCTTTGATAAAATTCAACATCCCTTCATGTTAAAACCTCTCAACAAACTAGGTATTGAAGGAATATACCTCAAAATAATAACAGCCATTTATGACAAGCCCACAGCCAATATCATACTACAGGGGCAAAAGCTGGAAGCATTCTCCTTGAAAACTGGCACAAAACAAGGATTTCCTCTCTCACCACTCTTATTCAACATAGTGTTGAAAGTTCTGGCCAGGGCAATCAGGCAAGAGAAAGAAATAAAGCGTATTCAAATAGGAAGAGAGGAAGTCAGATTGTCTTTGTTTGCAGATGACATAATTCTATCTCTAGAAACCCCATCATCTCAGCCCAAAAGCTTCTTAAGTTAATAAGCAACTTTAGCAAAGTCCCAGGATACTAAATCAATATGCAGAAATCATAAGCATTCGTATACACCAACAACAGACAAGCAGACACCCAAATCATGAATGAACTCCCATTCACAACTGCCACAAGAGAATAAAATACTTAGGAATACAGCTAACATGGGAAGTGAAGGACTTCTTCAAGGAGAACTACAAACCACTGCTCAAGGAAATCAAAGAGGACACAAACAGATGGAAAAACATTCCATGCTCTTAGATAGGAAGAATCAATATCGTGAAAATGGCCATGCTGCTCAAAGCTATTTATAGATTCAATGCTATCCCCATTAAACTACCATCAACATTTTTCATAGAATTAGAAAAAAATTTAAAAGTTATATAAAACCAAAAAAGAAATCGCAGAGCCAAGACAATCCTAAGCAAAAAAAAAAAAACAAACCAAAGCTGGAGGCATCACACTACCTGACTTCAAACTATACTACAAAGCCACAGTAACCAAAACAGCATGGTACTGGTACAAAAACAGGCACATAGACAAATGGAACAGAATATTGAACTCAGAAATAACACCACACATCCATAACCATCTGATCTTCAACAAACCCAAAGAAAACAAGCAATGGGGCAAGGATTTCCTATTTAATAAATGGTGTTGGGAGAACTGGCTAGCCATATGCAGAAGATTGAAACTGGATCCCTTCCTTACACCTTGTACAAAAATTCACTCAAGATGGATTAAGACTTAAATGTAAAACCCAAAACTATAAAAACCCTATAAAAAATCTAGGCAATACCATACAGCACATAGGCACAGGAAAATATTTTATAATGGAAGTGCCAAAAGCAACTGCAACAAAAGCAAATGGGATCTAATTAAACTAAAGAGCTTCTGCACAGCAAAAGAAACTAGCATCAGAGTAAACAGACAACCTACAGAATGGGAGAAAATTTTTGCAATCTACTCAACTGACAAAGGTCTAATATCCAGAATCTACAAGGAACTTAAGCAAATTTACAAGAAAAAAACAAACAATCCCATCAAAAAGTGGGTAAAGAATATGCACAGACACTTCTCAAAAAAAGACATACATGTGGCCAACAAACATATGAAAAATAGCTCAACATCACTGATCATTAGGGAAATGTAAATCAAAACCACAATGAGATACCATCTCATACCAGTCAGAACGGCAATTATTAGGAAGTCAAGAAACAACAGATGTTGGCAAGGTTTTGGAGAAGTAGGGACACTTTACACTGTTGGTGGGACTGAAAATTAGTTCAACCATTGTGGAAGACACTGTGGAGATTCCTCAAAAATTCAGAACCGGAAATACCATCTGACTCAGCAATCCCATCACTGGGTATATACCCAAAAGAATATAAATGATTATATTATAAAGACACATGCATGCATATGTTCATTGCAGCACTATTCACAATAGCAAAGACATGGAATCAACTCAAATGCCCATCAGTAATAGACTGGATAAAGAAAATCTGGTTCATATATATTGTGGAATAATATGCAGCCATAAAAAGGAATAAGATGATGTCATTTGCAGGGACCCAGAAGAAGCTGGAAGTCATTATCCTCAGCAAACTAATGCAGGAACAGAAAACCAAACACCACATGTTCTCTCTTATAAATGGGAGCTGAACAATGAGGACACATGGACACAGGAAGGGGAACAACACTTTTACTGGGCCTGTCAGAGGAGGGAGGTGGGGAAGAAAGCAATAGGGAAAAGAGCTAATGCATGCTGGGCTTAATAGGTAGGTGATGGGTTGATAGTTGCAGCAAACCACCATGGCACATGTTTTTCTATGTAACAAACATGCACATCCTGCACATGTACCCTGGAACTTAAAAAATACAAATAAAATACTTATTTTTAAAAAAAGACAGAGTTGCCAGTGGCATTTAAAAAAAAAAATTCATTCATCTGCTGTCTTCAAGAGATCCACTTCACATGTAATGACATACAGGCTCAAAGTAAAGGGTTGCAGAAAGATCTACCATGCAAACGGCAAACAAAAAAGAGCAGGGGATGCTATTTTTATATCGGATGAAGGAGATTTTCAAACTAACAACAGTAAAAAAGAACAAAGAAGGACATTACATAATGATAAAGGGTTGAATTCAAAAGACTAACCTATCCTAAATATATATGCGCCCAACACTGGAGCACCTAGATTCATAAAACAAATTCTTGGAGACTTATTAAGAGACACCAATAACCACACAATAATACTGGGAGATTTCAACACCCCACTACAATTTTAGACAGATCACCAAGGCAGAATACTAACAAAGATATTCAGGACCTAAACTTGACACTTGACCAAATGCATCTAATGACATCTACAAAACACTCCACCCAACAAAAACAGAATATATATTCTTCTCATGTGCAAATGGCACATACTCTAAAATTGACCACATGCTCGGCCATAAATCAAGTCTCAAAAAAGTCAAAAAACTTTCAAAATCATATGAACCACACTCTTGAACCACAGGACAATAAAAATAGAAACCAATACCAAAAAAGCTCTCTCAGAACCATGCAGTTATATGGAAATTAAACAATATACTCCTGAATGACTTTTGGGTAAATAGTGAAATTATGACAGAAATCAAGAACTAATGAAACTGATGAAAACAAGATACAACATACCAGAATCTCTGAGACACCACTAAAGTAGTGATAAGAGGAAGTTTAGAGTGCTAAATGCCCACATCAAAAAATTGAAAAGATCTTAAATTAGCAACCTAACATGACACATAGAGGAAACAGAATAAAAAGAGCAAACCAATTCCAAAGCTAGCAGAATAAAAGATATAATCAAAATCAGAGCTGAACTGAATGAAATGAAGATGAGAAAAAACATGATATTCCAAAGATCAGAATGAAACCAAAAGTTAATTTTTTAAAGAATAAATAAGATTTATAGACTTATAACTAGACTAATAAAGAAAAAAGGGAGAAGATCCAAATAAACACAATCAGAAATGACAAAGGGAGCATTACCATTGATCCCACAAAAATACAAAAAAAAAAAAAACCCTCAGAGACCATTAGGAACACTTTTATGCACACAAACTAGAAAACCTAGAAGAAATAGATAAATTCCTGGAAACATACAACCTCTTAAGATAAAACCAGGAAGAAACTGAATACCTGAACAGACCAATAACAAATTCTGAAATTGAATCAGTAATAAACAGCCTACCAAGCAAAAAAAAAAAAAAAAAAAGCCCCCGGACCAGAACGATTCACAGCCAAATTCTACCAGATGTATACAGAAGAACTGGCACCAGTCCTATTGAAATTATAAAATATTGAAAGGGAGAGACTCCTCTCTAACTCATTCTATGAGGCCAGAATCATTTTGATACCAAAATCTAGCAGAGACACCACAAAAAAAAAAATTTAGGCCAATGTGCCTAATGAACATAGATGCACAAACCCTCAACAAAATGCTAGCAAACCAAATCCAGCAGCACATCAAAAAGCTAATCCACCAACATCAAGTAGGCCTTATTTCTGGGGTGCAAGGTTGGTCCAACATATGCAAATCAACACGTTATTCACTACATAAACACAACTGAAAACAAAAAACATATGATCATCTGAAATACATACAGAATAGGCTTTTTCTAAACTTAACATCCCTTCATGTTGAAAATTCTGAACAAACTAGGCATGAAGGTACATACCTCAAAATAATAAAAGCTATCTATGACAAATTCACAGCCAACATCATACTGAACAGGCAAAAGCTGGAAACGTTCCCCTTGAGAACTGGGACAAGATAAGGATGTCTGCTCTCACCACTCCTATTCAACATAATACTGGAAGTTCTAGCCAGAGAAGTGAGGCAAGAGAAAGAAATAAAAAGCATGAAAATAGGAAGAGAGCTCTCCCTCTCCCTCTCCCTCTCCCCATGGTCCCCCTCTCCCCACGGTCTCCCTCTCCCTCTCTTTCCACGGTCTCGCTCTGATGCTGAGCCAAAGCTGGACTGTACTGCTGCCATCTCGGCTCACTGCAACCTCCCTGCCTGATTCTCCTGCCTCAGCCTGCCAAGTGCCTGCGATTACAGGCGCGCGCCGCCACGCCTGACTGGTTTTCGTACTTTTTTGGTGGAGACGGGGTTTCGCTGTGTTGGCCGGGCTGGTCTCCAGCTCCTAACCGCGAGTGATCTGCCAGCCTCGGCCTCCCGAGGTGCCGGGTTTGCAGACGGAGTCTGGTTCACTCAGTGCTCAATGATGCCCAGGCTGGAGTGCAGTGGCGTGATCGTGGCTCGCTACAACCTCCACCTCCCAGCCACCTGCCTTGGCCTCCCAAAGTGCCGAGATTGCAGCCTCTGCCCGGCCGCCACCCCGTCTGGGAAGTGAGGAGCGTCTCTGCCCAGCCGCCCATCGTCTGGGACGTGAGGAGCCGCTCTGCCTGGCTGCCCAGTCTGGAAAGTGAGGAGCGTCTCTGCCCGGCCGCCATCCCATCTAGGAAGTGAGGAGCGCCTCTTCCCAGCCGCCATCCCATCTAGGAAGTGAGGAGCGCCTCTTCCCAGCCGCCATCCCATCTAGGAAGTGAGGAGCGTCTCTGCCCGGCCGCCCATCGTCTGAGATGTGGGGAGCACCTCTGCCCCGCCGCCCCGTCTGGGATGTGAGAAGCACCTCTGCCCGGCCGTGACCCCGTCTGGGAGGTGAGGAGCGTCTCTGCCCGGCCGCCCCATCTGAGAAGTGAGGAGACCCTCCACCTGGCAACTGCCCCGTCTGAGAAGTGAGGAGCCCCTCCGCCTGGCAGCCACCCCGTCTGGGAAGTGAGGAGCATCTCTGCCCGGCAGCCACCCCATCCAGGAGGGAGGTGGGGGTCAGCCCCCGCCAGGCCAGCTGCCCCGTCCAGGAGGGAGGTGGGGGGGTCAGCCCCCCGCCCAGCCAGCTGCCCTGTCTGGGAGGTGAGGGGCACCTCTGCCCAGCCGCCCCTACTGGGATGTGAGGAGCCCCTCTGCCCGGCCACCACCCCCTCTGGGAGGTGTACCCAACAGCTCATTGAGAACCGGCCGGGATGACAATGGCGGTTTTGTGGAATAGAAAGGGGGGAAAGGTGGGGAAAAGATTGAGAAATCGGATGGTTGCCGTGTCTGTGTAGAAAGAAGTAGACATAGGAGACTTTTCATTTTGTTCTGTACTAAGAAAAATTCTTCTGCCTTGGGATCCTGCTAATCGGTGACCTTACCCCCAACCCTGTGCTCTCTGAAACATGTGCTGTGTCCACTCAGAGTTGAATGGATTAAGGGCGGTGCAAGATGTGCTTTGTTAAACAGATGCTTGAAGGCAGCATGCTCGTTAAGAATCATCACCACTCCCTAATCTCAAGTACCCAGGGACACAAACACTGCTGAAGGCCGCAGGGTCCTCTGCCTAGGAAAACCAGAGACCTTTGTTCACTTGTTTATCTGCTGACCTTCCCTCCACTATTGTCCTATGACCCTGCCAAATCCCCCTCTGCGAGAAACACCCAAGAATGATCAATAAAAAATAAATAAAAATAAAAAAAAAGAGAGAGAGAGATTAAAAGTCAAAAAATAAAAAAAAAATAAAAAACATAAAAAGAAATAAAAAAGGAGGATGTAAGAATAATTTAAGGTATATTATGCAAGTATCCACAAAATGAATTTTAATAGAAAATAAATTTAAATTCTGGGTACCCATGCCTAATATTTCCAAAAAAAAAGAAAATAGGAAGAGAAATTCAAACTATCTCTCTTTATAGGTGATATAATTCTATGCCTAGAAAACCCAAAGGCTCCAAGATTTGATAATCAACTTCAGCAAAGTTTTAGGATACAAAATCAATGTACAAAATCAGTAGCATTTCTATACAGCAATAATGTCAAAGCTGAGAGTCAAATCAAGAACACAATCCCATTCACAACAGCCATAAGAAGATTAAAATGCCTAGGAATACAGCTAATCAAGGAGGTGAAGGATCTCGGCAATGAAAATTACAAAACACTACTCAAGGAAACCAGAGATGGTACAAACAAATGGAAAAACATTTCACGCTTATGGATAGAAAGAATCAATATTGTTAAAATGACCATACTTCCCAAAGCAAATTATAGATTCAATGCTATTCCTATCAAACTCCCAATGACATTTTTCATAGAATTAGGAAAAAAATTCTAAAATTTACTTGAAACCAAAACAAGAGACAAAACAGCCAAAGCAATCTTAAGAGAAAAGAACAGAGCTGGAGACATCACACTACCCAACTTCAAACTATAGTACAAGGCCATAATAACTAAAACAGCATGGTACTGGTACTAAAACAGACACGTCAACCAATGGAACAGGTTAGAGAACCCAGAAATAAAGCCACAACCCTACAACTATCTGATCTTCAACAAAGCTGACAATAACAAGCAATGGGGAAAGACTTCCTGTTCAATAATGGTGCTGGGGTAACTGGCTACCCATATGCAGAATATTAAAATTGAACAACTACATTTCACCATATATAAAAATCAACTCAAGATGCATTAAAGACTTAAATGTAAAACCTAAAACAATAAAATTCTGAGTAGAAAACCTAGAAAGTACCATTCTGGTCATCAGCCCTGGTAAGACTTCATGAAGAAAATTTCAAAAGCAGTTGCAACAAAAATAAAAATTGACAAGTGGATTAAGCTAAGGAGCTTCTGCACAGCAAAAGAAACTATCAACAGACAACATATAGAATAAGAAAATATATTTGCAAACTATGCATTCAATAAATATCTAATGTCCAGAATCTGTAAGGAACTTAAACAATTGAACAAGAAAAAAACAAATAACTCCATTAAATGGACAAAAGATATAAACAGACACTTTTCAAAGGAAGACATACATGTGGCCAACAAATATAGAAAAAAAAATGTTCCACGTCACTAATCATCAGAGAAGTACAAATCAAAACCACAATGAGATACCATCTCACACCAATCAGAATAGCTATTATTAAAAAATAAAAAATAAAGAACAGATGCTGGCGAGGCTACAGAGGGAAGCAAATGCTTGTACACTGTTTCTTCCAGCCACTGTAGAAACCAGTCTGGAGATTTCTCAAAGAACTTGAAACAGAACTACCATTGGAACCAGCAACCCCATTACTAGGTATATATGCGGAAGAAAACAAATCATTCTACCAAAAAGACACAGGAACTCACGTATTTATTTCAGCACTATTCACAATAGTAAAGACATGTAATTAACCCAAGTATGCCTCAACAGTGGGTTGGATAAAGAAAATATGGTATATATATACCATGGAATCCTGTGCAGCCATAAAAAGAACAAATCACGAGGTCAGGAGATCAAGACCATCCTGGCTAACACGGTGAAACCCTGTCTCTACTAAAAATACAAAAAAATAGCCAGGCGAGGTGGCGGGCGCCTGTAGTCCCAGCTACTTGGGAAGCTGAGGCAGGAGAATGGCGTGAACCCCGGGGGACGGAGCCTGCAGTGAGCCAAGATTGCGCCACTGCACTCCAGCCTGGGCGACAGCGAGACTCTGTCTCAAAAAAAAAAAAAAAAAAGAACAAACCATTTTCTTTGCTGCACCATGGATGCAAGTGAAGGCCATTATCCTAAACAAATTATGCAGGAACAGAAAACCAAATATCACATGTCCTCACTTATAAGTGGGAGCTAATCATTGGGTACTCATGGACACAAAGATGACAACAATAGAACTGGGCAATACTAGAGGGGGAAAGGAGGGATGGTCACAAAAGTTAACAAACTAACTATTGGGTATCATGCTCACTATCCGGATGATGTGATCATTCATAACCCAAGCCCCATCATCTCGCAATATTCCCAGATAACAAACCTGCACATGTACCCTTGAATCTAAAATAAAAGTTTTAAAAAAGAGAAAAACAACAAAACAACAATTGACTTTAAAAAATAAAGACTTTGTGTTTTATCCAAATGATTTTCTTTGTTGTCTTTATTAGATTTTTGATTATTTAGGAAAATTGAGCTTTAAAAAAGTTAAGGACTTTTTACATCTATTTAACTTTATTGCTTTTGCAGTTTTTTTAATTATAACCCTGATTAAATGAGTAACTATTGTTTCACCGCGACTTATGATCTTGTTTTGATCAAGTGTTTTAAGCACTTAATAGTGCTTGAAAGTGCATCTTTCATAGGCTTCCCCAATATCCAAATTCAAAATTAAGTCTTTTTAACCTAAAGTTAGCTTAGAAACTTTCTTGTTGGTGCCCTGAAGATCTTCAAAGGATGTATGTATTCATTTGTGTAGATAATAAATGATTCATATTATTTAGTAAATTATATGAGAAGTATTATTGTCAGTTACATTTATGGGTATGTTATTGATATAAATGTTCCAAACTTGTATGAAAATCTTAAAAATCTGATATGACATCAGAAATAATTCTGGTTATTATGTTGTATCCATAAAAAATAACCAAAGTCCCCTGTCAATTGCTAATTAAACTTCCATTAGATTTTTAACCATTGCTATTTTAAGTCTCTGTCACCCACAGTTATTGTTTTTCTTTTTCAGTAAAAGTATTTGCACTCAGATTGATGGAAAAAAGTCTAAGTATACTTAAATATAAGTTTCTAATAACTCTAAGATTTATGAACATAATAAAAATTTTCCAGAACTCTAAGAAAGAAATTAATGGGTTCCTGCAACTGCAAATTAAGATCAAACAAAATTTAAAAATTAATTATATGATATGAAATAACATCTGAAGATAACATTTTTATAACTTTTATTTGAAACATTCTTGGTTCTTCGGTGTTCTGTTTTTCACATTTAGGGAAATTTTCTCTCTTAAGCTATCTATTGTTTACATCAGTTTGGCAAAGCACATTTTTATGAACAAAGCTGGAAACATTTGCTTTTTCTCCTTACTTGATCTTCCAAAATTCAAAAGTTATCCATGAGTATTATTTTTTTGGGGGGACAAAATCATTATTTTCAGAAGTTTAATAAGAATCTACATTCTTTATAACAAGATACAATTGGAAACACTGGTGACATTACCAAGGTTTTGATTAAAATGTTATATCTGAGAACGTGCATTGAATGTCTAACTTCAAGAATTCATAACCCTACAGTGAATGAATAAAAACTGTCAATTCCTGGCATGCCCAGAAACCTTAAGACTCTGGGTAGAATCTAAAGTCTGTTTTGCTTTGGCTTTCTAGCCTCTAGAGGCCTCTTAAAAACCTCCTGAGGTTTTTAAATCTGAGATTCCTATATGATCAATGTAGAGAGAAAAAGTTATGTTCCTAAAAGAAAGACTATACTATACCTATTAATAGACTGTAGCCCTGTGCATCATTTTAAATTTCTTTTCATCTGTCTGTAGTAGGCTGGACCAAATCCTAAATTATTCTAGGTTCCTCTTTCCAACTTTATTTCACAAAATTACTAAAAATGAAAGCTTCTGTTTCTGAAGCCCTATTAGCTGAAGCTAGATAAATTTTAAGAGGCAAGTCTTGTGCCTGATGTATGCCTCATACAAAACGTTCACCAAACTGCTTAATGACATAACCAGAGACATTCAAACTGCAAGCCAGTATAAGAACTTGACAGCTTCACACTCTAGACAGCTTTTCTCAAGATGTCAAAATAAGATTCCACATCATAATGAGACTCTTTCCTCTCTTAATGCCTATCTTTTTCACTTGGCAGGATAATGTTCAATGCATTTATTCAACTGGTTGCCTGTAAGCCTAAATACTTGGCTCGAAACCATTATGCAAACTGAGATTGTAATATTACTATTAATTTTACTTTGTATTTTCCCTTTTTAAACTTTATATCATTATTTGTTAAATTTTTGCTGAAGTACAACTCTTAACAGAATAATGCTGGCCCAGCACTTTGAGATGATAGTAACAAAATTGAACTTAACAATGGACTCCAAGTAGACTTAGCCTGAGAGCCACATCCCTTCAAACCTCCCTTACTGCTCAAAGGTGGCTAAAAGGGTTTCGACACTGCTTCTAGCTGTCATTCACTCTCTCCAGCATGGACCCAGACCAGCAACCAGAGACAGGTTCATCCCAGCACTGAAGAACAATTAAAACCTAACTACAGGATGATTTGCTAGAGATGCTTCTGGGGAAAAATTTTGATCAAAAGAGGAAACATTAAAGTTGTCAGAATCAAAATAGAGTCACCTATGATACATACATACACACACACACACACACACACACACACACACACACACACTAGAGCTGGGAAATGCCATGAAAGGAGATTTCTCATGCATAAATGGGTGACAAGAATTAGCGCAAAGACTCTGCAAAAATTACAACCTAGCAAAAAGGCTATCACAAGCCTACACACACACACACACACAAATACTTCTATAAGGACATCTGCCCAGCAACTGCTTGTCCAACCTTGGACTGCAGCCACTCTTTTTGAGACGGAGTCTCACTCTGTAGCCCAGGCTGGAGTGCAGTGGTGCAATCTCAGCTCACTGCAACCTCTGCCTCCCGGGTCCTGGTTCAAGCAATTCTCCTGCCTCAGCCTCCTGAGTAGCTGGGATTACAGGCCTGCACCACCATGCCCCACTAATTTTTGTATTTTTAGTAGAGATGGGGTTTCACCATGATGGCCAGGCTGGTCTTGAAATCTTGACCTCGTGATCTGCCCGCCTCGGCCTCCCAAAGTGTGGAGCCACTCTTATTGATCCTTGTGGCCACGGATAGATAATTGTCCCAAAACAGTTATGTAATCCTCCCTATTTTTCCTTTAAAGTACTCTTTCTTTACCTCTCTGCATATACACATAGTTTACCATGGCACGCGTATTTCCATTGCAAACCTCTATTTTTAAGAAATATAATTTTCTTTCAGAGACCCTCTCTCTTATTTAGGTTGAAAATTCAGCATGCCCCATAGTAAACTGCAAGAAAATCCTTGAACAAGGAGAATCGGTGTGCTTTTATTGAAGGCAGCAAAGAAGCAGGTGTTTCGGGAGACTATTCCTCACGCTGAAGTCAATGGACAGAGAAAAGAACTGGAAGATTTCTCAAGCAGAAATGATCAACAGGCTGAGTTTTGGCATCTGTTTTATGCTTCAAGAAAGAAAAAGAAGGAATTGGTCCAGATATAGGGAACCCAAATGCCAAGCAGTTGAAAGTAGGTGAAGTATGTGCAGAACCCCCACCCATGTGACAGAAGAACAATGACTTGAGTAGTTAGGTAGAGCACTGTCTCTGCCCCCCCACCCCACCATTTATGGCTTAGGTTGTACTTCTTAATAAACTTGCAGATCATGGAAAAGCCAGAGCTTTAGGTGATGAGGCTGCAGCCAGTACAAGAGGTATTGTCAGAAATCACAAAAAAAAAAAACAAAAAAAACCACAATGGTTATTTCAGCAGGCGTAACTGGAAAGTTATAGAGGATATAGTTTCATTTCTTTCATTGTATAATTTCATGGGATTTAATGTAATGCAATATTAGTCATTTTTACTTTTTTGTATGTGTTCTTTTGTATTTTTAGAAGACAGTTATTAAATTAGTATCATCAGAGTCAGCAAAATAGAATGTGAAAAGTGCAAGACAAGTATGACATTTCTACCTTACTGCCATTCCACCATACAAGGCACTCTTCTGAGCTCAATTACTATTTGAGCCACCAAACTCTCTTACCTTGCTCTGTTTCTATTAGTATTTCCATTATTATATTTATTATTTATATTACTATAATACATAATATAATACATATTATATGATGATTTTTAATTTTATATTTTATAACTATAATGAAGATAAACAGTATCATATTATTACAAATTATTAATTATTCTATTTTATTATTGTATCTTATTCAGTCACTTTCCCTTGCTTTGATCCATAATAGCCCTTGCATATTTCAATATCTTATACTCCAAAATATATGCATTTGGGGTGAGTTAGATAAATAAGTCCATTTCTATAGGAAATAAAATTTTAGTTTACAAGAATTGAAAAGTTGCTCCCTCTCATATGAGTAGAAATCACTCCAGGAAAAAATATGCAACTCACCCTAAAATGCTGCAAGACCTGCCTTTGGCAGTGACGTTTTTTTTGTGCTGTGTATTCACTAAATTCTTTGGAGCCCTGTTGTATGGGGCAGAACATTTGGATATGTTTTGATAAGTCAAGTTCAGTGTGACCTCTTATGCTCTCAATTATTAAGAAGATTACTAGCTTAAAATGTCTACAAATATTTTGTAGAAGGGAAGACAAATGGCTGTAAGCAACAAGATAAATAATTACTATTCCAAAACTGAAACTAATCAGGTTGGAAAAGGTAATTTATTGCTCCAAAAATGTGCAAAAGGAGATCACATCAGCATAGATTGATGAAAGTATTATCAAATAATTGAAATATCTTGCATGTGATCATTATTTGGGACACACTGATAGTTTTCAATATGATTTTTTCATATTAACTATCAATGTGTTAATTTATTTCCTTAAATAAAAATTAGTTGCAAAAAGCAACCAGAATGTTATTGGTGATTGATTAGTCAAAAAAAAAAGCCCAATGTTCTTTTTGTCATACAAACAAAATTTGGTTCTGGATGGTCATGGAAGTAGGTAAGCTAAAGCATATAGAATTTAAAAGCTGAAGAGACTGGAAAATTAGAGCTGTCTTCCTGAAACTGAGTAAGTTCAGTTGATTTTTGAGGAAGTCATGAAATTTGGGGAGGGTTACTGGGGTGATTTCGAGGAGACCCAGAGAAAAGGTTTAAACACATTTTTATAACTTAAAGAAAATAATCAAAGTATGTTTAATACTGTATCTAAAAGTGTAACATTGAAGCCAGACAAGAGTGAATTCAAAACCCAGCTTCCAGGGTTGCTTCTCATTTCTTATCTCATTTATTATTGCACATGCCAATTTAATGGCAATTGCACATGCCAATTTAATGGCAATTGCACATGCCAATTTAATGGCATGTGCAATAAATGAGAGAGAAATGAGAAACAATTAGCTATTAATTTTTACTGTTGTTACATAAAGATGAGTTTTTGTTGTTACATAAAGATACTTTTTATTATGATAATTAAGAGTCTAAAAAAGATATTGCTATTCACCTATCTGATGATGTTTTTTATTAAGCCTACATTTAACAACATATTTTCCTCCCAAGGACAAAAACTTAACATTTTACTGCTTCTTTTAACCTTCCCTTTGTTTCTTTTACTCTTAACAAGATAACTTTATTCTTCTCCCTAAAGATGATCAAGCTTTGCAGGATAAATCAGAGAAAGTTCAGCACCTGCTCCCACCGTGATGTGTTTTGCAGCTTCTAAGAGAAAGGAGTACAGGGATACTTGTCCTGGTCACTCTCTGTAACTCCCGGGACAGAGATAGCACCAGCAAGAGTCCCTGTACAATGATCTTCCACTGTGGGAAAAAAATATATAAAATAAAATAAAAACTGTTTATATCAGCTGATTCATTCATATGTTTTTACAAAGTACCAAACACTTATTGAACAACTACTATATGCCAGGACACTGTATAAGGGCAGATGATTAAGTGTGTGTGTGTGTGTGTGTGTGTGTGTGTGTGTGTGTAAAACACAGTAACTGTTTTTCAAAGTGACTCATGGCCCAAGTTTTGGACAGAAATATGCTTTCAATATGTTACATTATTCAGTTATTTTGACTTTATGTTGCACCTAGGATTTTAATCCACTCAATATGAATGTGGAATATAATAAAACAATAGCTTTTTATTAATAAAATTAAATTGTGGCATTATCATAAAATACAAGATTGAGTTCCTAATGTTTACACTACCTATCTTAAACATTTTGTGAAAGCAAGCTAATACAAATTCAATATCACTATTAAACAAGTTCATAAATTCATTGAAAATTATATAATTATAGAATAAACTGAAAATGTTATCAAAGACTACCTTCGAAAGGTGACAGGTAGTTTCAGAGGTGAATTTCTTCAAATGCTGATATATAATTCTTGTGTTATTTAAGCTATTTTTTATCTTACAGAAAGAAAGTAAATTCTTTATGTAAAATCATATTAGTAATACAAAAACACAAAAACTATAGACAGTCATCACTGAGTATGGGTTTTTAAATCCTAAGTAAAATATCTGTAAATAGAATCTTGTAGTAAAACTTATAATTTGTCACAATTGTAAATCAAAAGAAAAAAATTATATGCTCCTAGTAGGAACTGAAAACTTAATTTGTAAAATTTAGCTTCCATTCTTAGTTATATTTTTTGGAAAAAAACCTATATATAATATGAAAATAAATATGCACACATATATAAATAAAATAAAGTCATGCCTAATGGTGAGATTAAAACATTAATCTTACTAAATTCAGCAAATGGCAAAGATGCCTATAATTTTTATTATTATTCAACATTTTCCTACAAATGTTAAATGCTATATTTCCTAGCCAATGAAATATAGCATTAAAAAATAAATGAGATTTAAAAATATTAAAGAGCAGAAGGAAGCACCATTGCAATTATCAATGCTACAATTATATATCTACAAGCCCCAAATGAAAATCAACGAAAAATAGTAAGCTCAGAATGGTGACAAAGAGCAAACTTAAAATAGCTATAAATCAGCAGTCAGTTGGAGTGTCCCAGTCTCTTGAAATTCAGTTAAAATGAGCCATTTTATGCACTGTTGAAGCTCAAAGCTTACCTCAATTCGTTTTTAACTTCTAAGAGGTTTATGTTCTCATCCTCACATTTGACCCTGGGCTCTTGTTTTTGTATATGCTGTGTTTCTTTCCTTACTATATCATTTTACTTGAGTCTGAAGATCATAGGAAATATTGAATATATAGGTTTTAAAATAGAAGTGTGCACAGAAACATAATTTATGAATTTACTCATTTTTCATCCATGCAAAAATCAGATAACAGTTATAAAACTGTTAAATAAAAAAGGAAAACATAATCTCTCTTCAATTTTTGACTACTTATTGCAGGATAAATGGTATAATATTTAAAACTGAAACAGGAAGTCTCTTGTCCCTCATTTGGTAGAGTGCTTATTTTATAAGTTTTAAATTTACTGAAATGAAGGAAATTGTCAACTCTATTAAAGAAATACTCATGCTATTGGAATCTTTGTAAAACAAGATTTCTCTTTTATATCTCTTGGAAATTCTTACTACAGATATGAGAAATATTTGAATTGAGTGTTTAAGCTGTAAATAATGTGATCATCATTTCATGATCACATTAATTCAGTGTTACAAAACCATGTATTTTCTTCATTTTTATTTCACTTCAGATATCTTAATAAACTGATCTGCCTAGCTCAGCGTTCCTTGACAAGCTGTGAATGTTTTAAATTACTAAAACTATACTTAAAATGTCTTCTACAGAATACAGGGCAGAGATTTATTCTTGGGAAGAATATCCTAAGGGAAAAAATGTTGCTTAAAGTAGTTCTTGTAGAAGAAATACTTTTGAGTAGATCTTTTAAAAGATTTTAATTAATTTAAAATCCAGTAATTAACCAGAAAAAATATTTGAAAATGATGCAACATAAATTTTAAGCACAAAGCTCATTAAAAAAATTTTAATTTTCTTTTAAGACTCTCTTTTTTTAGTTATTATTGGGTTGATTCTATGTGCCTGATATCAACCCTGTGTTCTTTGATCTGGACAAATTCTTCAAGCTAGTTAACTAGTCATTATTCAGGACAGTAACACAAAGAGAAAGAGAAAATAACTGATATTTACTGAGTACTTACTTAACACTTGGGCTTCTACCAAGCACTTTTACATGTATATTTTTATCCACATGGTCATAGAGCACTGAGCTTAAGAAACCTGGATAAGATTAGGTGAAGCCAGAGTACAAAATAGGTATCAATAGATATAATGAGATTTATTATAAGGTATTATAAGGTATGGGCTCACATGATTATGAAGGCAGAGAACCACCATGATCTGCATTCAACAAGCTGGAGACCCACAAAAGCCAGTGGTGTAATCTGAAGGCCTAAGAGTTGAGCAGAGAGCAGGAGAAAACCAATGGCCCAGTTCAAGCAGTCAGGTGGAGAGTGAATTTAACCTTCTTCCTCTTCTTTGTTCCATTTAGGCCCTTGACCAGTTGGTTGATGCCAGTGGTGGACTGAGTAAGGCAGATGGCTCTGTTTCACTCTGCTTTTACCCAGTCTACCAATTCAAATACTACTCAGTTTCAAAAAGACTTTTACAGGTACACCAGAAATACTGCTTGACCAGCTATCTGGGCATCCTGTGGCCCAGTCAAGTTGATACGTAAAATTAACCATCACAATCACTGTGGATTTTTTTTGTCTTTTTAATTGAGGTATTATTTACATCCAATAAAATGCAGAGTTCTTTAGTATATAGTTCAATAAATTTTGACAAATGTATATCCCCACATAACTACCACCCAATGAAGACACAGACATTTCCATCAACGTAGAGTTTCCTTCCTTCCTTTTTCCAGTCTATCTCACTCCATACTGCCTCAAAGGTGGTTGCCTCTGTTTTTATTTCTGTAATGTTACATAAAGAGAACCACATAGTATGTTCTCCGTGTTTATTCTTTCACTCAACATAAAGTTTCTGAAATGCATCCATGTTGTTCCACATATAGGCAGCTTGTTCCTTTTATCATTGAGTGGTACCCTTTGTATGATCACACCACACATTGTTTAATTATTCACCAGTTGATTGATATTTGGATTTTTTTCTGTTTGGGGTTATCATGAACAAAATTGTAATGAGCATTCTTGGATAAATTTTTTATGAGTATATGTTTTCATTGCTCTAATATAAGTACGTAGGAAAAGAATCTCTGGGTCATATTGTAAATATATGTTTAATGTTATAAGAAACTGCCAAACTATTGCCCCAAGTGTTTGTACCATTTTATTCCCCAACCAGCATATATGAGTTCCAGTTGCTCCATGACTCTGTCAACAGTACTGTCAGCCCTTTTAATTTCAGCCTTTCTTGGGGTTAAGTGCTATCTCATTGCAGTCTTCAGGAAAATACATTTCCTTGAATATTAATGATATTGACTACCTTTCCATGAGTTTATTGGCCATTCATAAATTTCTCTTGTGAAGTATCTCTTTCAGTTTTTTTCCCTATTTTAAATTAGGTTTGTCTTTTATTATTGAGATTTGGAATTTTTAAAATATCAACACAAGTTATTTGCCAGATATATGTATTTTTAATATATTTCTCTATATGTCTTATCCCCATTTTCTTAATGATGTCTTTCATAAATAGAATTTTCATTTTTATAAAATTCAATTTATAATTTTTTATGGTTTCTCTTTATTAATCCCATTTAAGAAATCTTTGTGCCATGATTATGAAGATGCACTCTAATGTTTTTTCCCAGAAGCTCTGTAGGTTTAGCTTTTACCTTTCTGGGTTTGTTTTGTTTTGTTTTTTGAGATGGAGTCCCACTCGTGTCACCCAGGCTGGAGTACAATGGTGCAATCTCGGTTCACTGCAACCTCCACCTCCCGGGTTCAAGCAATTCCCCTGTCTCCACCTCTCGAGTAGCTGGGATGGGAGGCGCCTGCCACCATACCTGGCTAATTTTCATATTTTTAGTAAAGATAGGGTTTCACCATGTTAGCCAGGCTGGTCTCGAACTCCTGACCTCAAGTGATCCACCCGCCTCAGCTTCCCAAAGTGCTGGGATTACAGGCGTGAGCCACTGCGCCCAGCCCTAGCTTTTTGGTCTATGATTCCTCCCAAATTAATTTCTGTGAACCATTACCTTAAGATGTTGAGATTTAATGTCCAGAATCTCATTTGTTCACCTTTGAAAATTAAGAAACCCTGGCACAGTGTTGACTGGAGCCACTTACCTTAATAGAAAATAAAGCTCACATATATCCATAATGAAAAGCAGAGACCAGCACAACCATAGTCACCTGACAGTTTTAAAATCCAAGGCCAGGATCTTCTCAACTCAGGCCCACTCACTTACTCCACAACATACTTCTTCTTTCCTCAGCATCTACTACTTGTGCTGGGACCTTGGTCTTCCCATTGTTCATGTCATTCTTTTCCTCACAGTTCCCATTCTTTTCTCCCTGAAATAAAGAAATTTCAAAATATACCATGTTTCATGAAAAAGACAAAAACATAAAATTACCTTCAGGAAGATGTATTTTGATATAAGTTTTCTTTATCCATAAGAAATTAATAGATTTGCAATAAGCATTGATATTCTGGGAAATGAAACACCCTTGTTTTGCCCACCTAACAACTTTTTATTTCCAAAACCCAAGACCCATCCTCAACAATTTACTTTACTTAACAACATATCTAGGGTTGCCAGATAAAATGCAGGTTTCCCAGCTACATTTGAATTTCAGCTAAGCAATAAATAATTTTTAGTATCTATCCTAAATATTGACCTTATATTTTTTAAAAAAGTGATTTATCTGAAATTCAAATGTAACTGTACATCATGTAGTTTTATTTGATAAATCTGACACCCCTACCCACATCCAATTCATCATTAAACCCTCTAAATCCTACTTCCTCAATATTACCCAAGTCAGTCCATTTATTTCTATTTCTAGTACCCTTACTTTTGAAGAAGACACCACATTTATATCGATTGTTTTAATGATCTTTTAATTGGCTCCCAAACTCCAGTCAAAACAACCTTTACTCTCTGTTAAAGCTAAAACAATTTTTTCAAAACAAATCTGATTGTATCACACCCCTTCCATTGTTTCCATTAATTTAAGATCAAGTCTAAACTCCTAAACTCAGCTGTCATTGCTATATCCTATCTCTAAACAATCACTGTTTTGCACTCTGCATACACTCCAGCCATTTTGAAAAATCTTTCAGGCTCCTGGAAAAGCTTAACTCCGCCCTTTGTTTCCAATATTTACATATAAATTTTTTTCTATCTAAAGCATGCTTTCAGCCAATAACATAAATCTCACTACCCCTTTCTGCTGAACCTAAATCTTTTTGCCCTCAGATAGAAAGATAATTTTCCCTTCTCCTGCTCTGCTCTGATTCAGCTCTCCATAACAAGGTTGTAATCACCTCCTATTCACCCTTCTGGTGAAGGAAGGATTTCCACCCTCAGGTGATGGGGATGGTTGAACATCCAACACCTGAAACAGGACAGACGATATTGACAGTACTTGTTAGTTGCATATAATCACAGACCAGTGGAAACAGATGAACCACACAGGGCCACAGCGGGGTTTCACTGGGGAACAGAGTGAACAATCAGGAGGTGTGGGAGGCAGGTTTAGTAGTTTAAAGAGGTTGAGGTGTCCCCCTGGATCCCATGGGAGGATCACATTGGCTCATTTGAATTATCATACGGACTGGCAGGGAACTGAAATCTTCTACTCAGGGATAAGCAGAAACTGTCCCTGGTTTCCTTGATAAAAAGGGTTGTTTGATAGGGGACCTTATCCATGGGAGGAAAGTGAGGAGGGAAATTTGTGGCTAAGCCATTCAAGGCCCTCCCAGTTTTACTAGATGTCAAGGCAGCACACGTAATATTGGGACTTAATTTTAGCCACATAACTAATAAATTTGTAAGTATGTGCAACGGCTCACACTTGCTTCCAGAATGGCACCTAAAAAACAGATTTACCTCTCCCCAAATTCAGATATGGAATTAAATGTAATGTCAGGAAAATTGTCTAAGAGTTGGAAATGGGAAAAAAATGTTCTTTTGGTGGAGTTATGGACTCCAGAGGTTATCAGATTCTATTGAATAACGTACTTTTGATTGTATTTGTAACAATTAGGCTATTTGTGAACTCGGTAGGGGTAGAAATCGAGTTGTAGAAAATGGATGGTAATGCAAGTGATTTTTGACCATATCAATGCAAATGAATTCTGTTGGTAGAAATATTCATTTCCACACTGTAGATGACCCTAAACATATGTCATTACATTATATTTTATTGCCTTATAGACTATTAACCAATTTTGAATCATACAGTAGCAAATTTATTTCAGCATTCTTGTGTGTATGTGTTTATATATACACGTGCATATGTATTTAAGATATATAATTGTATATTCTTCAAATTCTTCTTTGAACAGGTTTGAACCTCTTATTAGTTTCCTCATTAAGGAATTTAATAAGACCTTTAATGCATGTTTGTATTTTCATGAGAGTCATTATTTTACCTTTCTGGAAGTTATACTTCAGCAACCATGCTTTAAATAAACCATGATTTAAAATAGCTGTCTTAGAAAAAGAAAATAAAAGTATACTTAAATGTAGATGTCTATTTTTTAATGTTTTTATTAATTTGTAAATTTAAATAATATATATTTAAGAGAGCTAAGTAAACATATCATAATACAAATAGAATGGAATAAGAATGACCCATGTCAAGGCAGTGTGGCAATTTTTACCTATTCAAAATTGTGCATATTTGTTAGTCTGATTTAACACCAAGAGCATTAGCCTGGATCCAATTCCTTGCTCAGCAATGTTGAAAAATATTACCCTTGGGGCATGCAAAGGGCCCCAGTTTTGCTTTCCTATATATTCAAAGTTTGACTGCTCACTCTGGTGACTGAACTTTCTGTGAAAAAGCTTAATTCCCAAGTTCTCCTCATCGTGTAAGCAGCTTACATCATGACTAAAAATTTCAAGCATCAATTTGACTGACAAAGCATAAAAGAAGAGAGGCAGTGAGTTTTCTGGTGCAAACAGATGTCAGATCACAATTCTGAATCTCTAAGAGATCATTAAGAAATCTGACAGTAGGCAAAAAGTGAGATTTTCTTGTCAAAAGTGAACACCATCAATTTCTGAATATAGTTGATAGGTGACTCGGCTTCTACCACTTTGTACACTTCTTACGTAACTGAGCTGGTGGGAAGCAGTGTCTGTAGGCAGCAGGTGGGCAAAGATCCTCTAAGAGAAGCAAGCCATTCTCCCCCTCCAGCACAAATGAAAGAAAGAACCTAGAAATGTACTCACTTCACAGTCTCTTGGCCTGTTCCCATCATGACGGGGCCCAGAGAGTTGGGCAAGGGGCAGTTCTCTACAGAGCCCTGCAAGGTCACATGGTTTGGAAAAGGAATGCAGCCTGGGAGAAGGGCTAGCACGGGCAGGGCAGAGCTCTCCAACAAGTGGCTCTCTGGATCCTGTTTAGCATCCCACCCCACTCCCCACCCATTTGAGCAAAACAATATTCCCTGGCTTCTGGTGCACCATCTCAGCCATTTTTACCAAGTTCAACTAGCTTGGCTAAAATGAGAAAAGTTTAATGCACTTAAAAAAAAAAAGACGACGAAGAAGACAAAGCAACAGCTTTAGTATGCACAGTGAAAGTGCCTGCCCTGTTGCCTGCAAAATTAATGAAAAGAAAATATCACTGAAATTCACTACACACTCAGCCTCCTCCATGAAACTCCCTCCAACCCAATAGTCGACAATTATCCTCCCCAACCTGGATAGCTAAAACACTTATTGTCTCCCCTGCCCTTTCTGCTGTGTGCATATCCTGTTCCTGTTGTGATTCACAGCTTTCTGTATAGGTGTTTCCCTTCCCAACTAGAAAGTAAAGTACTAAAAAATCCTGGGAAATCATGGGTTGTGCCTCTTATATCCCCAGTTCCTAGTATGGCCTTGATCAGGATCCATATTTAAGCAAATAAGGGTTTAATAATGATGAATTTACCCACACCCCCATTGCCAACGTGAATAATGGCCTTTGTTCTGGTACCCACGAATCTTATTTTTTTTAACTTTGGAAAAACAGTAAAGGGTCAGTATCTTGTCCCTTAATACCAAAAATGAAGGCCCTTTTGTCAAGCAGTTTCACTGTGCACTGGTTACTACCTTGTCTGAATCTGGTGAGACAGAACATACTTATTCATACACGAGTTATGTGGAGTGGATTCATTATCAGTTTGGTGCAAAAGTATGGCTTTTTTTTTTTTTTAAACAGCTAGGCAGCAAGGAACAAAAGAAGCCTAGGATTCATTGTTAGCAAGTCCCCTGAGACTCAAGAAAGGTACCCAGGGCAGAAGGAGTCTGGACTGAGCGTGGTACAATTGCACCACAGCTGAGGTACCCAGGGCAGAAGGAGTCTGGACTGAGCGTGGTACAATTGCACCACAGCTGAGGTACCCAGGGCAGAAGGAGTCTGGACTGAGCGTGGTACAATTGCACCACAGCTGAGGGAAACTTAACCGCAGCCCACCCTGGGTTACATACCTCAAGGGCAATGTCACTCACTGCACTAAAGCTTTGAAGGAATATACTGCTTCCAGAGGAAAGAGGAACAAAGCCTGTTCTTCCTGAGCAATTTCTCCCTAACTCAAGATGTGATATTCCCTAGGAGAGACAGGGAAAAGGCCTAGATCGTTCCAGGCAGCTGCTTTCTATCTCAGGGTATTGTATTCCCATTCCCAGCACATTCTAGTTAGTCTTGAGAACTACAAGCAAGAAAGCGGTAAAAACTAGGTTGGTTTAAAGCCACCTAGAGAATTGCCCTGAACTTTTGTTATCCAGCCAAATTAAAAAGGAAAATTGAATCCAATGATCTTAGTAAATTCTGGAATGCAGTGTGAAGCTTGCAATGGCTGATACATTTTAAAAGGGGGGAAAATGTTTAAAATGCCCTAACACTTATGACTGACAATGTAGATATAATCTTTCACTATGTTCCTAAAGACTAGAGACAGTATTTACAAAATGCAAACTGTATTAGTCTAATTTTTATGCTTTTTCTTATTATATTATAACCAGCAGAGTGTGATCCAAATTAACTGAAAAGGAGCCACAAACACTGAAGTGGTTATTTCACCAGTTGGGATTAGTTTATTGCTGAGGGTAATGGAAACTGGAATAGCAAAGGACTGAGCTATTCAGTTTTCTGTTTGGGGACCACTCAGTTCACACAGTTTAAACTGAAGCTGACACTTTAAATGAATTTATTAGTCTCGCTTTGTTCCAGGACCAGACGGTAGTCCAGCTCACACTCATAGACATCTCTGGTCTAAATAATTTAATCCAGAAGGGATATATTAATATCATTTTTTTTCTCAGATGGTAAGCTTTCCAAGGCCAGTTCTTTGATTTGATGTCATGTTGTCACTTGGAATTGAAACTTCCACTTAAACCACCTGGGGGGAATCAAGTATGTTTTACCAGTAACATATTATTCTGAAAATTGTGTATCATGGCCTTCAGGGTGAGACTTTTATAAGACAGAGGAGTCACCCTCTAAAGTTCTGCAGAGGGTCTGCCAGGGCTCTCAGTCTTAGAGCTAAACATTTAAAGTGAGAAGGAAGCCCTCCCAGAGGACTAAGAAAATCAAATTAAGAGTACATAGTAGAGAATACATTAGGAAAGATTGAGAGGAAATACTATAATCAGTAGCTTTCTTCATACAAAATAATTTATTTCATTGACTCCAAGATACACAATTATTGATATCTTATAAACAGTAGTAGCCAGGCTGTTGTCACAATGTCATTGCCATTGTCTACATATAAATAAATTTGGTGTTTTTCCCTGATGGTATAAAAAATCAGCCAGCAAACCACCTAAGGACTACTTGAGGAAGAAATATGAATCCTGGTTGTTATCTGAAAACCTTTTATACTAGTTGATAATATCAAGACAGTACAACCATCAGGGTTTTACAGAATGGGTGTCATTGAAAGAGAATTTCAGAGACAATAGAGGAATATTCTAAAGAAATGTGGTACTATCAATGCTGTTGATGACATAGTGATATTATTGGAAAAACAGTATCAATGAGACTGAGTCAAAAGCTATTTCTGAAGAGTTGCTATCTGAATGTGAAAGCATTTTTAAAATACTTTGAACAATTTATTTTATTTTTTACATAGCTAAAGAATTATGTAAGATGAAAATACATTTCTAAATATGAAAGAGATATTTTAATGATTATAAAATAAAAATTCTAGGTGAAAAGAAAGCATTACTACATGATTCAATTGGAAGTGTTTGTTAGTAGTACATAAAATAACGGAGTTTCTTCCAATAGATGGTGTCTTAATTTAATGACACACAATGGCTGTAGATTATTGAGCAAAATGGCAAGACCCAAGCCAGAAACCCCTTCAAGAATTCTGTCCTCTCTTTATCCAAAGCATGCAGACCCTGTGAAAAGTCCTCCCTGCCCTCTGGTCACCACTGAATGAGAAAGTCTGAGGTCATTAAGGGGATCACAGAAGAACATAGACCTTGAAATAGGGCTACGTCATCAAAATGAACATCTGAATAAAATCATTTCCTGAACACGTCGTTTCAGGTTTTGCATAAATCATGGTGCTCAAGAGTGTCTCATCATTTTAATTCTATTAAATGATTTCAGAGAACATGTCTATCTTTGTACCATAATTGGAAGTCTTGTTAAGACAGGTGTGTTTAGCACCACAGCCATATTTTGCCCAAATTGTGCAGCATTGCATGGTTCTGTGAATGATTTCCCATTGTTATCATAAACAACTGCTATTTTATGCTCAAGAACAGAAAGCATAGCATCTACACCCATACAGCTCAGTAGTCACATTAACAGGACTTTACTCTTTCACTCTCTGTTAATATAACTTTACTATTTCAGGAGTATAAAAGTTTCTAATCACTTTATTTTTCATTCTAGGATCATCTTGAAAGGTCCTTCAAATTTTCAATAGAAAGAATCAAAAGAAAATGTACAGGAGTCTCTGAAAGCTACATGCCAAAATCCTCAGAGTGCACACCAGTCCTAAACAAATATATCACAGCCCTTATCCAGTCCTAACCTGTACTGAAAAACTCACCTTAAAGTAGACTCCACAGTCTCAAAAATATTCCAATTTTGCCCTTTCCAATCTAGGATACTATTAAAATTCTCTCAAGGGAGTTCTTTTCTTACCCTCGTAAGAATAAACTCAACTTTGACTTATCAACAGTTAATTTTGGTGGAGCTGCCATTCAACACAAAGATTATTTTGTAAGAATTATCAATAAATTAGGGTGTCAGGAACTTGAATTTAAGTTGTAAAGATTTTATTTACAAGAGCAAATCAGTAATAATGGAATCAGTACTTACTAGTACATTGAGGACAGTTATAGTTCTGCTCATAGCTTCTGAGTATAATTGAGGAAGATAAATAATTAAATTAATTCATTATCTCTAAAGCCAGTTGAAGAAGTTCTGTTTATAATAATATCTTAGATCAAAGTCTTTCTAAAATATATCTCAAAAATGTCAGGAAAGCAAAACCTTTTAATTTAGGAGAAAAGCATATAAGAAAGTAAGTGGGGTCACATCTCATTAAAGTGAAAACACCACTCCAGAAAGGAAAGTTCCCCACACTCTCAGGATGTCAAAAGGGCCTGGTGGAATGGTGATCAGTGGGCCCAGGGGAGCAGGGTACTGTGGACTAAGCCTTGGACTTGGGCGGAGTAGGAAAGCAAATTGGAGACAACCCTATGTAAAGCTGGGGCTGATAGAGAGCTGCACTATAACGGAGAGGGTGAAATTGATGAAAAAGGGCACAACCGAGATAGGAAGCAAAGAAAATCATCTGTCTCTCCAAAACAAGAGAACTAAGTCATCTACCATGACACAAATGTCTACTATGTACCAAAGAAAAAGCCAAAGCTGAGAATTTTAGTTAAAAGTGGATATGGATAGCACCCATGAATACTTGGCAGAAACAAAGACAATTCCTTTCTAGATAAAAATATCTTCTACTCAAGCCTCACAGGACTTAGAGGTGATTGCCAGTATATGCTCACAACTTTCTTAAAAATCAGAACTGCCAGCACTTGGGGAGGCTAAGGCAGGTGGATCACCTGAGGTCAGGAGTTCAAGACCAGCCTGTCCAACATGGTGAAATCCCATCTCTACTAAAAACACAAAACTTAGCTGAGCATGGTGGTGCATGCCTGTAATCCCAGCTACTCAGGAGGCTGAGGCAGGAGAATCGCTTGAACCTGGGAGGTGGAGGTTGCAGTGAGCCTAGATTGTGCCATTGCACTCCAGCCTGGGTGACAGAGCAAGACTCTGTCTAAATAAATAAATAAATAAATAAATAAATAAATAAATATCAGAAGTAATCCAATAAATGTATCACCTTCAGTGAAAATCAGCTGAAACACCAAACCAGACCCATAAAGGCTCCAGGTATTGGAATTATCAGATAAAGAACATAGAGTACCTATGTTAACATGTGTAAGGAAATCAGAGAAAGATCAAAACAAAACTACAAAAAATGACAAGGCAGACTTTTTAAAATAAAGAATTTCTAGAAATAAAATTATAAAACTAAAATTTCAAACTCAGTGGAAATATAAAGCAGCAGATTACACAAAGTTAGAAATTAGTGAGTTGGATGACATATCTGAAAAAGAGTGTATGGACAATATGAGAGAAAGGTTAACAGACATGGAGGAAAGAGTAAGAAAGCCCAATATTTGTCTATTCTGAGCTCTAGAAGTAAATTATAGGGAGAATAGGGAAGGGGAAACATTAAAAAAGATAACGGCTAAAAATTTTACCAGATTATTGAAAGACATAAATCCTCAGATAAAGAAGTCCAATAAATCTTGAATAAAACAAATTATAATATAACCATATTGAAAGGAAGGAAGAAATCATAAGGCACAGATAGTTTAATCCTCCACCACAATAATATCCAGTAAGTAGATATTCCCTAAGATTCATGAATTATAAGATGGCAGGATGCACATATTATTTATAACACTAGTGATACACAAATGCTAGGAGAAAGATAGATTTAAATGTTGCCCCTGGGAAAGATCTGGGAGCAAGAAAGTGGTGGGATAGAGAAATGGTGCATTTGCAATAAGCATCTTTGCGATGTTTGAATTTCTAAACCAGGATTATGCATTAAAAATTAACTTAAAAAAACTTAAATTAGTGGAGCTAAACATTATGCATATGTTTGTGAATAAAAAGGCTAAAATTTTCTATCACAGTTTTCAAAGAAAAAGTCTTATACCACCATAAAAAGATTGAAGAGGAATCCATATCTGTCTTTTCAGGCTGCTACCACAATATCTTAAACTGGTGTTAAAATAAAGCAAAATGAGAACAGCAAAATAACTTAGGTTATTTCTTGCAAATACCTCTGATAATCATAAATAAAGCTTCAGCTGTCTTCCAAAGATAGTATAAGATGATTGCTTGCTACCAATCCTCTGCCATCTCAAAACCCCCATGGTAACAACGAATCACTGCAAATGCTAAACAACTACCTCATTTGCATTTTATAAGCCATCCTATAACGCCATGCCTCTGAGTTTCCTCTTATCACTTTCATCTAAGGATTCCTGGTTTGCAAACTGTTCTTTTGTATCCACAATAAACTTTTAAAACTTTCAATTGTATCTGATTTTATTTTTGACACTGAGTAGAGTATAAATAACAGAAATTTCTTGTTTACAGTTCTTAACACTGGACAGTCCAAGACACAGACTCTGGTAGAGTCCATGCCTGGTGAGAGCCCACTTTCTGGTTCATAACATTGTGTCTTCTCACAGGGGGGTAATGAATGAACTCCCTTGGGCCTCTTTTATAAGGGCATTAACCCCACCCATGAGGGCTCTGCCCTTATGACCTAATCACCTCCCAAAAGGTTCTACTTTCTAATACCTTGGGATTAGGATTTCAACGTATGAAACGTGAGAGGGTGCAAACATTCAGACCATAGCAGCATCTGTATATTTTGTGTAAAAATAAAATATTTATGATTACAAAAAACTAAATTCAAGAAAACCCAGTAAGAGACAGTTTAGCCATAAAAGATAAATTAGCAATCTAAAAATTGCAAGCTATCCTATTTTATAGTAACACATGGGAAATGGAGTAGGCATATCAGACAAGGAAATAAACAAAAAAAAAAAAAACACTTCAAACCCAGGCTCTATGATCCCACAATGCTTGCTCTAAACTACTCATGCCAATTTTTACCAAGCTTGATGTTTCCCTTGGAAGATTCAGTCACCTAACCTGGGTTGTGGGTTGTATTAAATTGATTTTTTATTATCTTACTCTAATCCTTATAATAGTTGTGATATATTTATATGGTAAATTATAAATATAATAGATTAATTGGTTGGTTTTTAAACAAATAGATTAGTTCATTGATCTACTCACTCCTGGTGATACAGAAAGTATGTGAAATTACTGTGACAAATTTCTAAGACACTCAGTAGTAGGCAACCTAAAAAACTAATTTACTACATGGGTAAGCCACCTTTTCCTTCTGGCATAGGTTATTTGTTCTTCCTTTCCACAAGTTTCCAATTGTGGTTACTAATGGGTGTGTTCAGCCCCATTTCTTAATAATTTACTGTTATCCCGCTAAATGACATTTTCAACTATCTACAAATGCCAGTGGAGTTGGATTTTTTTAATTTAAAAAATTGATCTACAGTCTGTCATCTCTTCACTTACTATATAATGAAGATTCCAGAAATTCAAAATGCAAACTGAATGTTCAGAAACTCTTCTAAGCCCAAATAGATAAATAAATGATCAAGTTTTATTGACCATCATAGTCCCCTAGAGGTGACTCATTTGTTTGCAGAGATTAAAATAGCATACTTTGGTATTCTCCACATGCAGATATATGCAGAGAGCATTTTGGTCAAAAGACAAGGAAAAGTATGATGTTGCAAGACAACTTGTATGCCAACCCCAGCTGCAGTTGGCAGAAAGATCAGGACTATTAAATGCAGGGGTGTTCTCTCTTCTTCCCCAGTGAGCGTCTGAAACTAATATAAGCTCTTGAATAGCTAAACATTCATAGATTTCAAAAGACAACTTCTTAGATCTTTTAAAGGTAGACATAAATTATGTGGCAAATAAAATTCACACATTGTAAAAAGAGACTCTCCACATTCTTGAAGTAATATTTAGGCAAAGTGAAAAAAAAGTGTTGTAAGAAAGCTGATTTGGGGCACCAAAAAGGCCTATCAAGCTTCTTGCTCTACCCATTACTTCATTTAGTGGAAACTGTCACCCTCACACTACAGGCTCTGCCCCAGGAGCAACTTTAGGCAGTTCCTTACATATTGATGGTTTATTCCATAACAGCTACACATCTTTTCTGTGACCCAACCCACCTGATTGATCCAGGACAGCTAAGGGCTGAAAATTTCAAAGTTTGTCATCCCACTCAGTCGGTGACCAGGATTTAACAGAAGTCCTGCCCAATCAGAGATGACGATAAGCAATTTACCCGATCAGATTGTTGGGGTGGAGAATTCAAACCAGAAACAAAAGAAGAAAGTCAGTCGATTGATGAAAGGTACAAAAGTTGAAAAACATACAAAGAAAGAGCAACATAGATGTAATAATGCAATAGAAGCCATGGGTGAGACAGAAGAAAAGAGCTAAAAGGATCCGGGTGCGGTGGCTCATGCCTATAATCCCAGCACTTTGGGAGGCCGAGGAGGTCGGATCACGAGGTCGGATCACAAGGTCAGGAGATCGAGACCATCCTGGCTAACACGCTGAAACCCTGTCTCTACTAAAAATACAAAAAATTAGCCGGGCGTTGTGGTGGGCACCTGTAGTCCCAGCTACTCAGGAGGCTAAGGCAGGAGAATGGCATGAACCCAGGAGGCAGAGCTTGCAGTGAGCAGATATCACGCCACTGCACTCCAGCCTGGGCAACAGAGAGAGACACTGTCTCAAAAAAAAAAAAAAAAGAGTTATTGAGCCATACAAAATCATCTCAAATTACTATCCCTAAGTGAAAAAACACCAGTCTGAAAAGATTACATACTATATAATTTCATTTATGTAAACTTATAAAAAAGGCAAAACATTATAGTTGATAAACAGATCAGTGGTTATCAGGCTGTTGAGGAGAGAGGAGGGTTTAATTGGCAAAGTACAGGCAATTTTTTAGGGAAGTGAAACTATTTTGTATTATTCTGTATTGAGGTATACATGACAATATGTATTTATCAAAACTCATAGAACTGTATAGCACAGAATGGATTTCAACATATGCAGTTTTTTAAAAAAACCATCTAGGAGATCAAGGGATTCCAAGATGTTACAAAATCATATAACTATATTATAAATATATAAAACAACCTCGCTGAGGGGGTTGGGGGAGAAAGGTATTACACAAAGTAACTTTGGAAATGAGTGGAGACTGTAAGACAGGCAAAGGAACTTCACATGGGCAATGTACTCTATTGATAAACTCGTTTGCTATGGGCATAGGGGTTAACAATTCTGAAAGCATTATGCATGTAGGCTGAAATTAAATAATTAAGTAAAGGACAGTGGACAGTGGGAGCCAAGTTTCTCAGTTTTGGCCCAGGAGGTTACAGACAAACAAAAGAGGAAAACTAGAATGATCCATGTGGTATACTAGATTTGAGTTGGAAAAATCAATATGAACCCATGCTTTGCTTTGATATAAAAATGGATACATATAGAAATATTTTTAGATATGTATGTATAGGTTGATCATTACTAATTCAAAAATTCAAAATCCAGAATGTTCCAAAATCTAAAAATTTTGGAGAACATGATGTCACAAGTGAAAAAATTTCACACCTGACCTCATGAGATGGATTGCAGTCAAAACTCAGGTGCATAACACACAGTTTTCTTTTATTCAGCATCCTCAAAGGAAGAAGACTCTCCCAGCTTCCTTCAGCTGCGATATATCTTTCCCACACATTTCCAGATTTCCCCATGCAAACACGCCCACAAAAGGTAATAAAATGGCATGTATGGAGGCTGGACGTGCCAATAACAGGTTCCCCATGATGCCCCACATGGAGCTAAGACTAATCTGTGTTACTCTCTGTTTTTGGCTTTTTGTTTTTTGCTTATTCTTTGCTCTTTGGCATAAAGATATTGTTGAAATGTCAACAAAGCCTGCAGATTCAACTATGGGTAAGATTGATAAGAAAAAGAGGAAGCATTTATGTTTATCTGTAGCACACAAAGTCAAGCTGTTGAAGAAACTGGACACCAGTGTAAGCGTGAAACATCTTACAGAAGAACATGGTGTTGGAATGACCACCATACACAAACTGAAGAAACAGAAAGATGAACCATTGAAGTTCTATGCTGATAGTAATGAACACAAATTAATGAAAAATAAAAAAAAACTGAATAAAGCTAAAAATTAATATCTTGATCATGTGTTGAAAGAGTGATCCATCAACACTGCAGTGAACACATGCCACTTAATGGTATACTGATCATGAAACAAGCAAAGTTCTATCATGGTGAACTGAAATTTGGAAGGAATTAAAAATACATGCAACAAGCTGGCTGCAGAAATTTAAGAAAAGACACAGCATTAAATTGTTAAAGATTTGTGGTGATAAAGCATCTGCCAATTATGAAGCAGCAGGGAAATTTATTAACTGATGAGTTTGCCAAAGTCATCACTGATGAAAATCTGGCACCAGAACAAGTGCTGATAAAACATCAATGCTTGGGCGTTATTGGTCCAAAAAGACACTTGCTACAGCTGACGAGACAGCCCCTCCAGGAATTAAGGATGCCAAGGACAGAATAACTGTGCTGGGATGTGCTAATGCAGCAGGCATGCATAAGTGTAAACTCTGCTTAGACAAAAGCTTGCATCCTCTCTGTTTTCAAGGAGTGAATTTCTTACCGGTCTATTATTATGCTAATAAGGAGTCATGGATCACCAATGACATCTTTTCTGATTAGCTTCACAAACATTTTGTTACAGCACCTCCTGCTGATTGCAGGGAAGCTGGATGGATAATGACTAAATGGCAAGAATGTGTTATTCCTTCACAACTATTTGGCTGATCCTCCAGCTGAAATTCCCATAAAAAATAATGTCTATACCATGTACTTTTTCCCAAATATGACTTCATTAATTCAGCCAATGTGACCAGATCACATTACATAAAAAAGATTACATATAAAAACACTTTCTTGAGCAGCAGGCTAACAGCAGTGAACAGACACTTGGGTATGGAAGGTTTTCAAGAGAAAGTTAGCATGAAAAATGCCATATATATGCTGTTGCCAATCCTTGGAACACAGTGACTACAGACACAGTTGTTGCATGCCTGGCACAACTTCTGGCCTGTGAGTATGTTCAGTGATAATGATGAACAAGGTGGTGACTTTGAAGAATTTTGCACGTCAAGTGAGAAAAAAAAATGATGCATGACGTCCTTACATATGCAAATAATATATTTTCAGAGTCCATCAGTAAGTTGAACAAGCTGCGTATCTAATAAGATTTTATTAACTCTTATTTTAAGTTCGGGGTACATGTGCAGATTGTTTATACAGGTAAACTCACATCATGGGAGTTTGTTGTACAGATTTTTTCATCACCCAGGTACTAAGCCTAGTACCCAATAATTATTTTTTCTGATCCTCTCCCTTTTCCCACCCTCCACCCTCTGGTAGGCTCCAGTGTCTGTTGTTCCCCTATATTTGCCCATGAGTTCTCATCATCTAGCTCCTACTTATAAATGAGGACATGGTGTATTTGGTTTTCTGTTCCTGAGTTCGTTTTCTAAGGCTAATGACCTCCAGCTCCATCCATGTTCCTGCAAAGGTAATTGTCTCGTTCTTGTTTACAGCTGCATAATGTTGCATGGTGTGTATGTATCACATTTTCTTTATCCAGTCTACTATTGATGGGTTTTTAGGTTGATTCTATGTCTTTGCTATTGTGAATAGTGCTGCAAGGAACATACGCATGCATGTAATTTTATGATAGAACAATTATATTCTTGTGGGTATATACCCAGTAATAGGATCGCTGGGTTGAACGGTAGTTCTGTTTTTAGGTCTTTGAAGAATCGCCACACTGTTTTCCACAAAGGCTGAACTAATTTACACTCCCACCAACAGTGTATAAATGTTCCTTTTTCTCCACAACCTCACCAGCACCTGTTATTTTTTGACTTTTTAGTAATAGCTATTCTTACTGGTGTGACATGTTATTGCATTGTAATTTTGATTTGCATTTCTCTCATGATCAGCGATGTTGAGGTTTTACACATCAATAGTGAGGCAGTAGTTGTGCAGTCATTGACCAATGGAGCCAAAAAGGTTCTGAATCAAGATGATCTTGATGAGAGTGATGATAAAGATGATGTCATTAACACGGCAGAAAAACTGCCTGTAGACAATACGTGAAAATGTGTGATGGGCTTATTGAAGGACTAAAACAGCATGTATTTATAACAGAACAAGAAATCATGTCAGTTTATAAAATTAAAGAGAGGCTTCTAAGACAAAAATCATTCTTAAGGAGGCAGACGACTCTGGAGGAAACATTTTTAAAAGCCATCCAGCAGAATGCCTCTTATCCCTAGGGGACTCATTTCCTGGTCTTTCAAATGCTTCTGATGTTTCTTCTCACATAAAAATATAAAATACAGCATACAATAAGCTTTTAATCAAAACACGGCATCAGAGGAGGAGACTGAAAGCTTACTGTTGTTGCTGCTGTTGTTGCTGTTGTTTAACAGCTGATCCAGCTATTCTTGGGTTTGATTTTACTGCACAAAGGACATGTCGTATTTTTTATTGTTAAGTACTTACATGAATAAGTGTAAGAAAATGATTATTGATCAGTAGCATTTAAATTCAGAGTCAGGAATTATGGTGATGCCAAACAACCACAGATTATCCACAAAGGTGGACATAGTGGCACCTTTGCTTTCTGATGATTCCATGTAAACAAACTTTGTTTCATGTAAAAAAATTATTAAAAATATTATATTAGCCAGGTGTAGTGGCACATGCTTATAATCCCAGCTACTTAGGAGGCTGAGACAGGAGAATTGCTTGAACCCGGGAGGTGGAGGTTGCAGTGAGCCAAGATTTGTGCCATTGCACTCCAGCCTAGGTGACAGAGCAAGACTTTGTCTCAAAAAAAATACATACATTATATTAAATTACTTTCAGGCTATTTGTATAAGGTGCATATAAACATAAATAAATTTTAGGTTTAGACTTGGATCTCATCTCCAAGGTATCTCATTATGTGCATGCAAATATTCTAAAACCAAAAAATCTGAAATCTCAAACATTTCTGGTCCCAAGCACTTCAGATAAGATACTCAACCTGTATACGTGGATTAGTATGTACACCTATATTTTCTTGCTCTGATAGTTGAAAGAAGTAACAACATCACATGAGCAATGAGTAGACCCAGATCCCAGGTCTTGGTTTCTAATACTGTTCTTCAATACAAACAAACATCACTCTTCAGAGAAATGGCTGATTCCAGGGCTAGGGTCAAAATATACAAGATGATCCTGGAGCACTTTGTAGTGCCACTAAGTAAGGAAGTACTCAAAAAAATTCATGATAATGAATGTATGTCAAAGAAACACAGGAGCTAAGCGAAAAAGCTCCCAATGGCCAAAGCTGGAACAGTTTGTGCAAAATAAAAAACAGTAGTATTGGGTTATAACCCAAGTATAAAATAAATATTCATGAGTCCATTTAGATGTAAATAAATGGCTACATAAGTAAATAAATGAAGAGAATAGACAAATCTCTCTTGCAGAAGAATTCCAAATATTTTATGTACTCTACCCTCATCGAGGTAGAGCATCATTCATAGTGACTTCCTTCCAAAAAAGACAGTTTGGAAAAGAGCTGGGGTAGAGCAACTTTCAACAGCAAAATTTGACAAACACTACTTCAGCTACCTGATCAAGGTTAACATCAACAGCGATAAGTGACATTGATAGCATTTACCCTGACATGATGTGATGAGAATGGCATTTTACCTCTGTGATCTTGCTCTCAAATACCCAAAACCTCTGTTTAATTGTGAGAAAAACATAATATAAACCCAAATTGAGGGACATTTTACAAAATATCTGATCAGTACTCAAAACTGTCAAGGTAATAAAAAGTAAGAAAACTCTAAGAAACTATCCTAGCCAAGAGAAGACTGAGCAGACATGAGGACAAAACTTAACGTGATATCATGTATGAAATTCAGAGATAGAGAAAGGATAACAGGGAAAGACTAACGGAATCAAAATAAAATGTGGAATTTAATTAATAATAATGTACTCATATTAGTTCATTAATTGTGACAAATGTACCAAACTAATGTAGGAGATTAACAATAAGGGAAACTGAGTGCATGTTATATGGAAATTATGTGTACTATCTTCACAATGTTTCTGTACACTTAAACTATTTAAAATAAAAAATTAATTTTTATAAAAGCAGTCTGACTGCAGGGTGCATGCTCTTAAACCTAGGCAATACTGCCTTTTTTATATATGAAATTCCTATTTGACTAGCTATTATCTACTTCCCCAACAGTAGGGGGTAGTTGTAACTTTCATTATAATTTCAAAACTAATTTTCTCCCAAAGATGATTAATTTTAAGTGATAATAAACATCAAATTTTTAAATCTAAATCTCTTTTTCCTTTGTAGACAGCACTTAGTTGTTTTTGTGTCATTGAATACTAAACCTAAACTCTCAATTTGTGCTAGAATGAAGTTTGTTGTCCTGTATAGCAAAGAGCCATTCAGCATTTACCAGGGCTATTAAACCATATTGCTGCATCGTTCACAATAGTTGAAATTGTTAGATCACTTTCCTACTGTTTGATTCCAGGCTTTAACAAGTATTTATTGGCACCGAAGCAGAATATGAAGTTGGAATGATCAATTATTTCCATTATATTATACACAATATATTTTTAAAAGCTATAGCAGTTATTATTTTTTCAATTTTAAATTTTTGTGGGTACAGTAGGTGTATATATTTATAAGATACATGAGATGTTTTGATACAGGCATGCAATGCATAATAATCGCATCATGGAAGATGGGGTATCTGTATCCTCCAACGTTTATCCTTTGTGTTACAAACAATTCAATTATATTCTTCTAGTTATTTTAAAATGTACAACTACATTATTATTGACTATAGTCACCCTGTTGTGCTATCAAATACTAGGGCTTATTCATTCGTTCTAGTTTTGTACCCATTAACCGCCCCCACATCCCCCTAGCCACCTCCCCCTACCACAACCCTTCCCAGCCTCTGATAACTATCCTTCCACTCTCTATCTTCATGGGTTCAATTGTGTGATTTTTAGGTCCCACAAATAAATGAGAACATGTGATGGTTGTCTTTCTGTGCCTGGCTTATTTAGCTTAACATAATGACCTCCAGTTTCATCCATGTTGTTGCAAATGACTGAATCTCATTTTTTATAGCTAAATAGTACTCCATTGTGAATAAATACTACATTTTTTTAACCATTCATCTGTTGATGAACACAGGTTGCTTCCAAATTTTGGCTATCGTAAACAGAGCTGCAAGAAATATGGGAGTGCACATATCTCTTCGATATGTTGATTTCCTTTCTTTTGGGCATATACCCAGCAGTGGGATTGCTACATTGTATGGCAACTCTATTTTTAGTTTTTTGAGAAACCTCCAAACAGTTCTTATTTTATTTTACTTTATTTATTTATTTATTTATTTATTTTTGAGACAGAGTTTCGCTCTGTCACCCAGGCTGGAGTGCAGTGGCGCGATCTTGGCTCACTGCAAGCTCTGCCTCGCAGGTTCATGCCATTCTCCTGCCTCAGCCTCCCAAGTAGCTGGGACTACAGGCACCTGCCACCAGGCCCAGCTAATTTTTTGTATTTTTAGTAGAGACGGGGTTTCACCATGTTAGCCAAGGTGGTCTCGATCTCCTGACCTCATGATCTGCCCGCCTTGGCCTCCCAATATTTTATTTTTTTTGAGATAGAGTCTCACTCTGTTGCCCAGGCTGGAGTGCAGTGGTGCGATCTCAGCTCACTGCAAGCTCTGCCTCAGCCTCCCGAGTAGCTGGGACTACAGGCGCCCGCCACCACACCTGGCTAATTTTTTTGTATTTTTAGTAGAGACAGGGTTTCATGGTGTTAGCCAGGATGGTCTCAATCTCCTGACCTTGTGATCCACCCCACCTCAGCCTCCCAAAGTGCTGGGATTACAGGTGTAAGCCACCGCGCCCAACCCAAACAGTTCTTATTATTATATTTTTTTCAAAATCTTCTTAGCCTAAATTAGGCAAATCTTTCTCATAAATTTTCTGATCTTCTCAGTATTACAACAAATAACACATACACTAAATCCCTACATTTTGTTCTAAATTATAAGTGATGTAATAAATCTCTCCCTGAATCTGACTATGATATGTATTGTTACATATGAATAATTCTATAATCCAGGATATACAGTGAAAGAGCTCCCAGTAATTACCAAGTCAGAGAAGGTTTAATTCAGAATATTCACATTATCATAATTTGCTGCAACTCAAGCAAATCTTGATTTATTTTTCTTTTGAGAAAACTACAAATGGAATTACCAATGGAATTTTGTGTTTTGCTTAATCTAGTAACCATAGCTAGAGTCTGTAAAAGATAATTTAAATTCAGTCTTGGCAGATGGAAGATACGCTAATTTTAATTCAAGATATTTCAAGAAATCATTATATATTACTGGGAATTTTAAAAGAAGTGTCTCGATGGACAGTGTGCTCCATACCGAAAATGGGAAAATACTCCTGGAAGTTAATAGGTCCCATAGCTTTCAGTAATAATACATAATTAGAATTAAGTGCCACAAATATACACATTATTTTTTAAAGATACATAATTTAGAAAGAATTTTCTTAGCTTTTTTTAATTCAGATCCCAGCCCTCTATTAAACTAGCCTATTTTGATTCCTACTCTTTCAGTCACTTTGGGAAATCAATGACCAGAGCATTCTGCTCTGATGAAAGAAACAGACATGCTAAATATATTAATTACTTCAACACAATAAGATATGATAGGCAAAAGGGAACAAGAATGTAAATGAAAAAGTCTGGCAAAAGCACCACAGAAAATTTAATATTTGAGCTAAGTCTTGAAGGATAAATAGCACATCAACAGGTGAAAAATAAAAAGAATGACATTTTAGACACAGGGAATTGCCTGAACAAGCCAGCCCATAGCTTACTCTTGGAACTGTCAGGCATCTGTTAAGGAGAGAGGTGGGTGAGAACAAGAAAAGAGACAACACTGGAAGGTGAGTGAGCACCATTGTAGAAAGTCTTATAAATCATGCTAAATACTTTCTACTGTATTCAGTAGACAAGGAGTAATTAATAGAATTTTTAAGTGATTCAGGGAAGTGATCAAATTCTTTTTCTGGTAGTTTTGAGGGAAGACTTGAGAAACAGCAGACACTGGACCCAGTTAGGTTTCTGTCATGATGCTATATGGAATACATCATTAACTAGGCAGTACCAGTTTGGAAATGGAGAAGAAAATCCTGATGAGAAAGACATTTGAGACAAGGAATCAAAAGGACATTTGCCAGTCATGCACCAAGGACACTTATCAGAAAGAAGAGAAGTACTTTTAGGATGAGAGACCTGATAAGGATTTTAGGCTGATGGGAAACAGTCATAAGAGATGAATTTTAGAAGTTTCTAAGAGAAGGGAGATGGGATGAGGTTTTTTTAAAGGTGAAATTGCAAATCCTATGTAGAAATAAGTATAGATATTTCCTAGAGACAAGAAGGAAGTATGAGTTCAGATAAAGATAATTTGATGTTAAGGATGGAAGAAACTTGAACAGAAATCGTCATTTTTGCCATTGGGATAGGAGCAACAAAAGAAGCATGAACTTAAACAGAGAAGTGAAAGCTGAAAAGTTACACTGAGGAAGGGAAAAGAAAGAAGACTTGGAACTGAGGAGCCTAAAAAAGATCAGGATCATGTATGAGATGAATGCTAACTCACAGGTGTGCACAAAAGTGTTCACTCAACAGGCCTGGGTTGCTCAAACTGAACACTTCCAAGAAAATCCTGTCTTCAGGATTGGCCCTGGAAGACGAGCTCTGAGCCTTTGAAAGTTTCTGCCTGATAAGAGTCCTTTGTATGCCTGAGGCCTTGGGCCATGCAGCACTAGTTTGATCATAACGTTTATGGTGACAATATGATCTACCGTGAATGATTTTTCTAAGGTTGCATATGAATGACATGTTTTGCTTTGAGGTGCTGGAGTAGGAGCAGCTGAGGTCAGTCAGACAGTCATTGCATGTCTTTGTGATAAATCTCCAAAAATAACCCTCGATACCATGATTCAAATGAGCTTATCTGGTTGGCAACACATCACATATGTTGCCACACATCCTTGGAAGAATTAAGCACAACCATGCAACTCCCCTGTGAAGGACACCTGCAAGCTGATGCCTGGTTTCTCCAGGATTTTGCCTCATGCACCTTTTCTCTTAGCTTATTTTAATGTGTATCCTTTTACTGTAAGAAACCACAGCCATGAGTTAGTGAGTTTTCTGAATCCTGCAAGTCCGCAAGTCCTTCTAGTAAATTATTGAGCCTGAGGGTGATCCTAGGGATTCCTGGGAATTCTATAGAATTACCCATTCCCCAACTCCAAGTCAAAAACAGTGAGTAGAGGTTGACTGAAAGTTTTTCTCAATCGCAGGACAGTAAGTGAAAAGAGTTGCAGACACTGAAGACAGAGTTACAGAAAAAAATGCCACAGAATCCAGCCTGAGTAAGCATTAACATGAAGTCAAGATGGAACAGCTGGATGAAAGAAGAGTAGTCCCTGTAGTTACTGATAAGGTCAGAAAGAAGAATAGTGGCAGTAAAGGATTGAAGGTAGTGAGGACATGATGTTGGAGTACAGCACTTCAGAAATGATGGGTAAAGTTGCAAAGAATCCTAAAGTTTAGTCTGCACTATGGAGCTAGTAAACTGATTGACAGTGAAGGTAAAAGCAAATATAGTTGAGAGGATTCAGAAGCTATGATGCTAATGTGGTCCAGGGTAATGCACATGCAAGCAAATAGAGGAAAACAGTGAAATAAATGAATATCAACGTTCTTGATGGTGAAGTAGTGTTGTATTAGTCCGTTTTCATGCTGCTGATAAAGACATCCTTGAGACTGTGTAATTTATTAAGAAAAAGAAGTTTAATGGATTCACAGTTCCATATGGCTGGGGAGGCCTCACAATCATGGCGAAGGCAAAAGGCATGTCTTACATGGAGGCAGACAAGAGAGAGAATGAGAACCAAGTGAAAGGGATTTCCTCTCATAAAACCATCAGATCTTGTGAGACTTAATCACTACCATGAGAATAGTATGGGGAAAATCACCTCCATGATTCAATTATCTCCCACCAGGTCCCTCCCACAACTCATGGGAATAATGGGAGCTACAACTCAAAATGACATTTGGGTGGGGACTCAGAGCCAAACCATTTCATTCTGCCCATAGCCCCTCCCAAATCTCAAGTCCTTACATTTCAAAACCAATCATGTCTTCCCAACAGTCCACCAAAGTCTTAACTAATTTCAGCATTAACTCAAAAGTCCACAGCCCAAAGTCTGATGTGAGACAAGGCACACCCCTTCCACCTATGAGCCGGTAAAATTAAAAGCAAGTTAGTTACTTCCTAGATACAATGGGGGTACAGGCATTGGATAAATACACCCATTCCAAATGAAAGAAATTGGCCAAAACAAAGGGGCTACAGAGACAGTGAAATCCAAAATCTAGCAAAGCAGTCAAATGTTAAAGCTCCAAAAGTATCTCCTTTGACTCCGTGTCTCACATCTAGGTCATGCTGATACAAGAGGTGGGTTCCCATGATCTTGGGCAGCTCCACCACTGTGGCTTTGCAGTGTACAGCTTCTCCCCAGCTGCTTTCACAGACTGACATTGAGTGTCTGTGACTTTTCCAGGTGCACAGTGCAAGCTGCAGGTGGATCTACCATTCTGGGATCTGGAGGACAATGGCCCTCTTTTCACAGCTTCATTAGGCCCCAGTGGGGACTCTGTGTGGGGGCTTTAACCACACATTTCCCTTTGGCACTGCCATAGCAGAGATTCTTCATGAGGGCTCCGCCCCTGCAGCAAACTTCTGCATGGACATCCAACTGCTTCTATACATCCTCTGAAATCTAGGCAGAGGTTCCCAAACCTCAATTCTTGACTTCTGTGCACCTGCAGGCTCAACACCACGTGGAAGTTGCCAAGGCTTGGGGCTTGCACCCTCTAAAGTCACAGCCTGAGCTGTACCTTGGCCCCTTTTGGCCATGGCTAGAGTGGCTGGGACACAGGGCACAAAGTCCCTAGGCTGCACACAGCAGGGGCACCCTGGGCCCGGCCCATGAAACCTTTTTTTCTTCCAAGCCCCTGGGCCTGTGATGATAAGGGCTGTCTCAAAAGTCTCTGACATGCCCTGGAGACATTTCTCCCACTGTCCTGGTGATTAACATTTGGCTTCTTGTAACTTATGCAAATGTCTGCAACTAGATTGAATTTCTCCTCAGAAAATGGGTTTTTCTTTTCTATCTCATTGTCAGGCTGCAAATTTTCTGAACTTTTATGCTCTGCTTCTCTTTTAAAACTGAATACTTTTAACAGCACCCAAGTCACCTCTTGGATGTTTTGCTGCTTAGAAATTTCTTCCGCCAGATACCCTAAATCATTTCTCTCAAGTTTAAAGTTCCACAAAACTCTAGGGCAGGGGCAAAATGCCACCAGTCTCTTTGCTAAAACATAGCAAGAGTCACCTTTATTCCAGTTTCCAATAAGTTCCAAAACTGTACTCCTCCATAATAACAAATCTCAGTTAATGGTTACTTCATTCTTCTGGCTGCTTAAGCCAAAAACCTTGGAGTTATCCTTTACTCAGGTTTTTCTCAAACCAAATATTCAATCTTCTAACATATTATGTCAACTCTGGTTCAAAATACCTTCAGCTGCAACCATTGCTCACTACTTCCAAGCCACCGGTATCGTGTGCCTGGTTCTTTTCCTCATCCTCATGCTCCATCCCAGCATATTCTACTCAGCAGCAAGAGGGATCCTGGTAAAACACCATCAGGTCATGTCATTTATCTCCCAGCACTACCATCTCACTGGGCGCAAACCTCCAAATCTGCCAGTGGCTTTCAATGACCTGCATTTACTAAGCCAGTAGCATCCTCACTGCACTTCCCCTCACCCCCTGTTCCCCAGCCTTACTGGCCTCTTTGGTGCTCCCTGGCTTTCTACACCTACTGATCTCTCTTCTTGGAACATTAGTCTCCCAGATAAGCATGTTTCTCTCCTTCAGCTTCTTAGAGTTTTTGCTCAAATGTAATCCTCCAGTCGAGACTTTCTCTACTAACACTTTTTACTATTTACAATCGCACTACACCCACTTCACCGCCTGGCAATTCCTATCTCCTCCCTTGGTTTTAGTTTTTTTCTCCCTAGCATTAGTCACCTTCTGACATCTCTCTCTCTCTCTCTCTCTCTCTCTCTCTCTCTCTCTCTTTCTGTAATTTATTCATTTAGGATTGCTCTTTCTTTCTAGTATGTAAGCCCCAAGGAGCAAGGAGATTTTCCATTCACTACTGTTTTTCTAGTTCCAAGAACTGAAGCTAGCAGACTATTAAGTACTCAACACAGACTGTATTTGTTGAATGAATGAGTGAATGAATGAATGGATGTCTGAAAAGCAATGGAAAGTGTTACATAACATCATTTTGTAATCAGCAGACTCACCATTAAACCCAGCCCTTGGACACATCCTGTTATAACCTTGTCTGGAAGCAGCAAGTGTGAGGACTGAGAAACAGCTGCCCAATAGAGCACTGTCCTCCTAGTGAATTATGCAATGCTTCAACCATTTAATTCATTGTACATTGTCATCAGATAATGGCTTGTACAAGCCTAATTTCCTCAGGGGGAAGAATTTCGGCTTCCTAAACAAGAAAAACCTTTAATTATCTATTCATTTAACTATGAAGGAGAAAAGGACTATTTCTGCATTTTTTTTCTTCTTGGAAAACTGGGCTTCGTTGGTTGTCTTTGATAACTTAAATATATGGACTGTGTTTTTTAAATTACTTTATTGTATTCATTTTTACATGTATTTATGGAGCACCTACAATGTGCTTATTTATTTATTTAGTCATAAAAATGGTTATTAAATATCTGATATGTGCCAAGGGATGTGCTACTCAGTAAAACTGACATACTTATTTTACTGGGTTTCAATGTTCATTACAATAAAAAATATATTTAATAAATAAATAAATAACTGGGACTTTAGAATTGTTGTATTCTACATTTTGTGCATATTAATCCTGGAAGTGAACAATGGTTCACCACATGCCATTCAAAGACTATGCCTCCAGAAATCCACTAGGACATCTCTGATGCTCCCATGCTGTCTTCACTATGAATGCACAATTGTAACTGCAGCCTGAAAAGTGCATAGAAATCACAAGCTATATAGCCTTCAGGAAACAAGGTCTAGGTCACAGTATGAAGATCTGTGTCACATTAGAAGGCAAGACTCCTGAGCCAATAGAGGGTAAAAGGAATCTTGCATGTGCAGTGGAAATGATAGATAACAGTTTTAGCATTGGGACCAACCTTGGGGGCAGGAATGATTAGAGCTTATCTCACTAACCCTCCAGCCACCATATTGAGGTAGCCACAGCTGGAGGGAATGAACTTCATGCAGTGCATCTGAGCAATCAACAAGAGGAGTAGCCTGCTAAAGACACCCAGTGCTTCTCCTAGACCTCCTTGTATCCCTTTTGCCATTTCTGTACTTTGCTGCCTATTTTCTTCCAATGGCCAGCACCTGACACTCGTCTTAGGACAACTGCCCTCAGGGGTCCCTGAAGACCACTTGCCTGCAGCCATCATGGAAATCCACGATGGTGAATTCTCATCTCAAGGAGGAAAGCCCAGCTCCTTGGCCTCCAGTGGGGACACACTGAGGCTTAACCCACACACCAGAGTACCCTTGCAGAATCAGGCTGACACTATCCTCAACAACTCATTAGCTTCATCCCCATCCCTGCCCTGCTTCTTCAGCCTTCTTATAAATTTCTCTTGGGAAAATTTCCCTAATAAATCATTTGCCACTAATACTAATCTCAAAGATCACTTCTGGAGAACCCAATCTAGGTCACCCTCTTAGTCTCATTTTCAGGCATTGCCCATAGAGCCCCCCTTTTCTTATTCTATGGTGACATTGTGAATTCATAGGCAATCCCTTAGTGACATTTAGCAAGTGACAATATTGCTTTCCAGGAGGCAGCCCATAGAGTTTAACTCTTCCACAATATTATTTTACTGAGGATATATATAGATAGATAGATACAAACTCACTCTACAGAGAGTTTAACTCTTCCACAGTATTATTTTACTGAGGATATATATGTGTGTGTGTGTGTGTGTGTGTGTGTGTGTGTGTGTGTGTGTGTTTTAGGTTGCAAGGGGAAAGTAACATAAAACCTTTGAATGCTCTAGAATACTGTTTTTGCATTTCCTTCTTAATTCTTATATGACTACAACCCCAAGAAGGTTTTCTTTTCCTGGGTTGTTTTCTGAAGGAGCTCATCCTGCTACAACATCACTCCCACAATGTGTTTAGTTTCGGCAGCTCAGTTGGAGTCTGCCTTGCAATAAATGAACTTTCACTCTCAGCTCATATATGGGGTGACAGCAGTGTTGTCTTCAATTGTCTTTATGACAGGGCTCTGGTTCCTACCTGGTTGATTCCAGAGTGCATGTCTACCCAGAAGTTGGTGGCGAGCCATGCAGGTGGCCTGCCTGAACTCTTGAATGCAGCAAGCTCTGCGTACTCATCTGGTCCAGGCAGGCCAACTGCTATAGGGAGAGGTGAACACAGTCCTTAGAATTAAAGGATTCTGTGGCTGGAAGATCTTGCAAGTCATCCTGGTTCAATCTCTACTTTCTGATGAGAAAATTGAGGCTCCTCATTGTCACACAATGTTTTGGTGCAAGATCTGAGATCAGAATCGGTGTTTAGACCCTCAGTCTACCCTGCTTCATATAGAACTGGATTTTGTCTTTTTCCTTTAAAAGAGGGCCTTTAAGGTGGGGAACGTCACACACCAGGGCCTCTCAGGGAGTGAGGGGCTGGGGGAGGGATAGCATTAGGAGAAATACCTAATGTAAATGACGAGTTGATAGGTGCAGCAAACCAACATGGCACATGTATACCTATGTATCAAACCTGCACATTGTGCACATGTACCCTAGAACTTAAAAGTATAATAAAAAAAGAAAAGAGGACCCTTCAAATTTCTGCCTGTCACAGGAGTAGTTTGTACCATTCCCTATATGAGAAAGACAGATGGGAACTTTCCAGGTGAGTAACAAGTTTGATTTTTCATTCAGCAAATGTCTAGAGTGGGTGAAGATAGAAATGTCTATTTTATTCCACATTGACCAGTAAATGACCTGCTGTACAAACTGCTCAGCAATTCTCCTCATTTTGCAGATGAGAAAATAGAAGTTCTATAAGTTGTAATGACTTAACCTGAGACCATATGATAAAGAATATTTTCAGGGTGCAAACCTCAGTGTCTCTATTGTCAAAGCTTGCACTCCACATACCACTCTTGCCTCTCCAAAGCCTCACACCATTTGCTTTTTAGCTTGGCACAGATCTTACTAAAATGTCTTTGCCCACTTTCCTGCTTTGGTAATACAGTGGAGTGGTCAGAGTTGAAGTCTTCTTTGATGCATTGGGACCATGTTGTGCCACAGACAATTGTTCTTGGGCATGAATTTTTCTTGTACAGGTCCGTGCATGTAACTACCTTAAGGAGACAGGATTGTCCTAAATCTGCACTGACCACGTCCTTGAATATTGTTTTCCTCCTGATTTTAGGCATGTATCATGTAGGATTGATCCACATGTGGATGCACTTATGTCAACAAAAAGCATGCATAATTTCAAACATTCAGGCCTTGGTCTGCTCTTGCTCATAGCACCTCCACACAGCCAAGGCAGAATTCCCATTTGGGAACCAGAAGCTTTGCAAAGGAACTCCATTGGCATGTATTAGAATGCTGGTTGTTTTGACAGACCCAAGACTTCACTGAGCTCAACTGCACACAGATATTAATGCTGAGTCTCAAATATATTGAAAGCGGAAGAAGAACAGATTGTTCCTCTGTGTAGTGGTTTCGTTCTGAAGAACTCTCTTTGAAGTCAAGGAAATGGATGCCTGCAACAGATAGAGAGTGCAGTGGAGAATGGCACTCATGTGTCACTCTTAAATACTTTCAACTTGGCTATTTTTAAGTCAAATGTCTTCAAATATGTCAAAAGCACTTGTTCTAAATTAAGAATAAAGGCCATGGCAAGTTGTGACTTTTTTTTTAACTAAGTCAGTTTTTCAGCTCTTTAAACATGACTGAATCCATATGGAAACTTTTGTTCAATATGAAAACCATATTTTTCCATATTCCTGAATGGCCAGTCCAAATTTCCTCATGCTTAAATATTTTAACATATATACAGATACGTAAACACATTGAATGTAAATATGTATATGTGTATCTGTGTGAGTTAATCCATGTATCGTGTGTTTATGTGTGTATATGTGTATATCAAGTATAGAAAGTGTTCATTTTAAGGCCAGTTTTGATTGAAAAATTTAATATACTTTATTAGTAAGTGCCATAACTAGGATGTTTCTATTTCAATGTCAAAATACAGCAACAATAAAATTATAACAATTATGTTCCATTGAAGGTATCCATGATATTTGGACAAAAAAATTGCTTGCTTGACCTGTTAGTGACTTTCTCAGTACAGTAAATTATTTTTGGCCAATATGTTAAAGTAAAATTTTCATAACAACACACACACACACATACACTCACACAACCTGTTGCAGGATAATAAAAAGAGAAACTGCAGACCTGAGAAAGTAGTGTTGGCAGTACCAGTTGGAATATCCAAAAATTCACAAATCAAAGACAAATTTTGAGTTGTAACAGTATAGAGAGATAGTACTGTAACATGGCGGGCAATCCAAGCCCCAAGCATTCAAAATTCATTTTGGGCAGGATTTCTAAAAATGGGAAACAAAACAAAACAAAACAAAAACGCCAGGGAGCCTTAAAAGGTAGTTCTCTAAGTTACCAAAATCGTATTGTTCTCCGGAATATATCATTACAACTAAAACAGTGTTGTACATGCAGACCCATCCAAATTATGTTTGCCCATGAGCTCCATAAAGAAGCCAAATATGTGTGACTCTGTTGCCCTGCAACAGGCATCTCCTGACTCCTCTGGCTGGTCATCTCACTCCCATTATTACTCTTCAGTAGAAAATAACTTTGGGGTAACAAGGAAGGCAGGATAAAATACACAAATAAACTTGGTAGAAGCATTAAAAAAAATGGGAAAAAACTGTGTTGAGGTAAAAGACAAAGCTGATGATGTCCTAAATGGAGGCATTTTTATTAACTCATGGTCTGTATTCAGTAACAGTTTCATTTATTTATTCATTCATTTATTTCAAGCTATGCATTGAGCAACGTCTCAATGTGCCAAGCAATATGCACAGTGGTTACAGTGATAAATAAGACAGAAAAGGCTTCTGCCTCAATAAAGTTTACAGTTTAATGGCAAAGGCAGGCAAAGATGAAAGAAGTAAAATTGTTATAATTATGTTCCATTAAAAGTATCTATGATATTTGGACAAAGAAATTGCTATCTTAACCTATTAGTGATTTTCTCAGTGAAATAAATTATTTTTGGCCAACTTGCTAAAGTGAAATTTTTACTGGGGAAAGTATGACATATTTATTGAACAGCAAGAAATTCTGACCAGAATTCAGTGACCAAAGAAACACATATCAATGAGTAGGATAAGGAGAGATTATGGAGGCTTGCAAGAGGTATTCAAATTGGATTACGGGTGGAGGCTTAGTCAATTTTTAATATGAATGATATGGTAAAAACATTGTTTGAGGGCCGGGTGCAGTGGTTCATGCCTGTAATCCTAGAACTTTTGGAGGCCAAAGCGGGTGGATTGCCTCAGCTCAGGAGTTCGTGACCAGCCTGGGCAACATGGTGCAACCCCGTCTCTACTAAAATACAAAAAATTAGCCAGGCATGGTGGCATGCACCTGTAGTCCCAGCTACTTGGGAGGCTGAGGCAAGAGACTTGCGTGAACCTGAGAGTCAGAGGTTGCAGTGAGCCAAGATCGTGCCACTGCACTCCAGCCTGGGCAATACAGCGAGACTCCATCTCAAAAAAAAAATTATTAAATAATACATACATCAATAAATAAATAAATAAAATGTTGTTGAGGAAAACTGGCGTCATCATTGCAGGCAGAGAAGAGATCAACTAGGTTTCTGACATCCAAGATTAGGTTATGTTCACCCAATCCATGCAAATATATGACTCTACTCCTTCACTCTAGCCAACAGGTTTAATCTTACTTTTTTCTTCTTTGTCTGCCTTTGAGATTAAACTGTAAACTTCACGGAGGCAGAAGCTCATTCTGTCTTATTTATTACCATAACCACTATGCATATTACCTGGCACATTGAGAAGTTGCTCAATACATAGCTTGAAATAAATGAACGAATAAGTGAATGAAGCTATTACACAATATAGACGATGAGATAATAAAGGTTTAAATTAAGATTATGGATACGAAAAGAGAGGAAGAAATATTGCAAACATTGAAAATTAGATTAGCATGATTTTATATAGAAGATGCAAGAGGGGCTGATACAAAGATATTAACAGTTTGCATCTGTACAGACCTTGATAATTTACATAGTATTTTCACAAATGACTTAACAATTTTGAACAACTTTGCCCCATGTTTTCCATCCGAAACAAACAAAATTATGTTGACGATATTGAGGAAATCCAAGACTTGAGCTGCAGGACCATTTGGAGGGATATGTTAAGTTCAGTTGTAGTCACACTGAATTTGAAAATAAGGCAGAATGTTGAAATGAAAATATCTAGTATTAAATTGAAAATATGGAACACTGACATGAAAGAACAGTTCTGGAGATACAAACTGATTGTCTTTCAGGGCTGAAAAAGCAAGGAGACACTTTCAACCAAAACCCAAGTCAGTTTAATAATATGTTTTCATTCTCCAATTTTAAAATTTTCACTTTAGGGTATCAATTGCATTTTTTAATTTGTATATTCAAGTAAACTAAAAACTCCTATTAGCTTCAAGGCTAATACGTTTTCAACTTCAAAAAAAAAAAAAAAAGAAATGCGATACCAGAAAAAATGGCTGATAGGAGGTAGGACTAAATTGCAGCTCCCACTCAGATGGACAGAGCAGCATATGGAGACCCACTTCATGAACTTTTGCTCCAAGAACTACTGAGGAACATAACAGGAAACCCAAGAGAATCCATAGACCCTTTGAAGGAGGTGGATGGCTATTGCAGGCTCTGTGAGACAGCTGAGGAACTGTGAGTTGGCTTGCTTTCTCAGCTGGGAGGCTTGTAGCCTTGAGTAAGTTCTCAGCCATGCTCGCCGGCTGCCTGGAAATAAATTCAATGCTATTGGCAGGGCACAGTGGGAGTGACACTGGCCTTTTGGGCTGTGGACTGCATGGGAGCTGGGTGAGGCCTGTGGCTGCCAGCTTTCCCCCACTTTAATGATGACCTGGGTGACTCAACAGGGGCAGCCATCATCCCCCGGGAAACATAATTCCATTGGCCTGAGAACCACACCCCCATCCCTCACAGCAGCCACAGCAAGCCCTGCCCAAGGAGAGTCTGACCTCAGAAATGCCTAAACCTGCTCCCACCTGAACGTCCTCCCTACCCACTCTGGTCGTCAAAGACAAAGGACATAATCTCTTGGGAGCTCTATGGCCCCACCCACCACCTGTTCCTTCCTCTACTACCACAGCTGATGCACTCTTGAAAGCACCATCTCCTGGCTGGAGGCCAACCAGCACACGTAACAAAAATACAACCAAGAACCCTCACAGAATCCACTTCACTCCCCTGCTACCTCCATGGGAGCAGAAGCTAGTATCCATGACTAGGAGACCTGAAGATGGGTCACATCACAGGACTCTTTGCCAACACTCCCCAGTACCAGCTTGGAGCACAGTAGCTCTTCTGGGTGGTTAGATCCAAAAAAGAAACAACAATCACTGCAGTTCAGTTCTCAGGAAGCCCACCCCTAGGGGAAAGAGGAGAGCACCACATCAAGGGAGCACCCTGTGGGAAAAAGAAACTGAACAGCAGCCCTTGAGTCCCAGATCTTCACTCTGACATAGTCTACCCAAATGAGAAGGAACCAGAAAAACGGTTCTGGTAACACAACAAAACAAGGTTATTTAACATCCCCAAAAGATCACACTAGCTCACCAGCAATGGATTTAAACCAAGAAGAAACCTCTGAATTGCCAGGAAAAAAAAAAAAAAAACAACAGAAGGTTGACTATTAAGCCAATCAAGGAGGCACCAGAGAAAGGTGAAGTCCAACTTAAAGAAAAAAAAAAAAAAAGATATAGGATATGAATGGAAAAATCTCCAGTGAAACAGATAGCATAAATAAAAAACAATCACACTTTCTGGAAATCAAGGACACACTTAGAGAAATGTAAAATGCACTGGAAAGTCTCAGCAATAGAATAGAACAAGGAGAAGAAAGAATTTCAGAGCTCAAAGACAGGGCTTTTGAATTAACTCAATCTGACAAAGACAAAAAATTTTTTTAAAGAACAAAGCCTCCAAGAAGTTTCAGATTATGCTAAATGACCAAAACTAAGAATAATTGGTGTTCCTGAGGGAGAAGAGAAATCTGAAGGTGTGGAAAACATATTTGAGGGAATCATCCAGGAAAACTTCCCCAGCCTTACTGGCGATCTAGACATCCAAATACAAAAAGCTCAAAGAACACCTGGGAAATTCATCACAAAGAGACCATCACCTAGGCACATGGTCATCAGGTTGTTTATAGTCACGACAAAGGAAAGAATCTTAAGAGCTGTGAGGCAAAAGCATCAGATAACCTATAAAGAAAACCCTGTCTGATTAACAGCAGATTTCACAGCAGAAACTACAGGTTAGAAGGGATTGGGGTTCTATTTTTAGCTTCCTTAAACAAAACAATTATTAGCCAAGAATTTTGTATCCAGAAAAACTAAATTTTGTAAATGAAGGACAGATAGTCTTTTTCAGACAAACAAATGCTGAGAAAATTTCCCACTACCAAGCCAGCACTATAAGAACTGCTAAAAGGAGCTCTAAATCTTCAAACGAATCCTTGACATACACCAAAATAGAACCTCCCAAAAGCAAAAATTTCACAGGACCTATAAAACAATACAATGAAAAAAAAATAAGATATTCAGGCAACAAATAACATGATAATTAGAATAGTATGTCACATCTTAATACTAATGTTGAATGTAAATGGCCTAAATGCTTCATTTAAAAGATGCAGAATGGCAGAATGGATAAGGATTCACCAACAAAGTGTCATCAAGAGACTCACCTGACACATAAGGACTCACACAAACTTAAGGTAAAGATATAGAAAAAAATATGCCATGCAAATGGACACCAAAAGAGAGCAGAAGTAGCTATTCTTGTATCAGGCGAAACAAACTTTAAAGCAACAGCAGTTAAAAAAGACAAAGAGAGACATTACGTAATGATAAACGGACTAGTCCAACAGAAAAATATCACAATTCTAAATATATATGCACCTAACACTGGAGCTCCCAAAGTTATAAACAATTACTACTAGGCCTAAGAAATGAGATAGGCAGCCACACAATAATAGTGTGGGAATTTAATACTCCACTGACAGCACTAGACAGGTCATCAAGATGGAAGTTCAAAAAAGAAACAATGAATTTAAACTATACCCTACAACAAAAATGGACTTAACAGATATTTACAGAACATTCTACCCAACAACTGCAGAATTTACATTCTATCCATCAGCATATGGAACATTCCCCAAGATAGACCATATGATAGGCCACAAAACAAATCTCAACAAATTTAAGAAAATCAAAACTATAGCAAGTACTCTCTCAGACCAAAGTGGAATAAAATTGGAAATCAACTCCAAAAGGAACTCTCAAAATAATGCAAATACGTGGAAATTAAATAACTTGTTCCTGAATGATCATTGGGTCAATAATGAAATCAAGGTAGAATTTAAAATATTCTTTGAACTGAATGATAGTAGTGACATAACCTATCAAAACCTCTTGGATACTGCAACCGATATTACAACTGATACCACAGAAATACAAAAGATCATTCAAGGCTACTATGGACATCTTTACATGCATAAACTAGAAAACCTAGAGGAGATAGATAAATGCCTAGAAATATACAACCATGCAAGAGTAAACCAAAAATAAATAGACTCTGAACAGACCAACAACAAGCAGCAAGACTGAAACAGTAATTTAAAATTACCATTTTAAATGGGAGCAGCTCACACCTGTAATCCCAGGAGCAGCTCACACCTGTAATCCCAGCACTTTGGGAGGCTGAGGCAGATGGATCACTTGAGGTCAGGAGTTCAAGACCAGCCTGGCCAACATGGCAAAACCTCATCTCTGCTAAAAATACAAAAATTAGCTGTGCATGGTGGTGGGCACCTGTAGTCCCAGCTACTCAGAATGCTGGGGAAGGGGAATCGCTTGAACCCAGGAGGGAAGCAGAGGTTGCAGTGAGTGAAGATCGTGCCACTGCACTCCAGTCTGGGAGACAGAGAGAGACACCATCTCAAAAAAAAAAAAAAAAAAAAAGTTACCAACAAAAAAATTTCAGGACAGACGAATTCACAGCTAAATTCTATCAGACATTCAATTCAAAGAAGAATTGGTACCAATCTTATTGACACTATTCCAAAAGATAGTGATAGAGGGAATCCTCCCTAAATCATGCTATGAAGCCAGTAACACCCTAACACCAAAACCAGGAAAGGGCATAACAAGAAAAGGAAACTACAGACCAACATCCCTGATGAACATAGATGCAAAAATCCTCAAAAAAAAAAAAAAATCTAGCTAGCCAGATCCAACAGCATATCAAAAAGATAATCCACCATGATCAAATGGGTTTCATAGCAGGAATGCAGGAATAGTTTAACATCTGCAAGTCAATATATGCTATATACCACACAAACAGAATTTAAAACAAAAATCACATGATCATGTCAATAGATGCAAAAAAAAGCATTTGACAAAATCCAACATCCCTTTATGATTAAAACTTTCAGCAAGATCGGCATACAAGGGACATACCTTAAGGTAATAAACACCATCTATGACAAACCCACAGCCAACATTACACTGAATGGGAAAAAGTTGAAAGCATTCTCCCTGAGAACTGGAACAAGGCAAGGATGCCCACTTTCACCACTTCTATTCAACACAGCACCAGAAGTCCTAGCCAGAGCAATCAGACAAGAGAAAGAAATAAAGGGCTTCCAAATAGGTGAAAAGGAAGTCAACCTGTCACTGTTTGCTGATGATGACTGTTTACCTACAAACCCCTAAAACCCCTCCAGAAAGCTCCCAGAACTAATAAAAGAATTCAGCAAAGTTTTCATATACAAAATTAAAGTATACAAATTAGTAGCTCTTCTATATGCCAACAGCAACCAAGCTGAGAATCAAATTAAGAACTCAACCCCTTTTACAATAGCTGCAAAAATAAAAAATAAAATACTTGGTAATATACTTAATCAAGGAAGTGAAAGACGTCTACAGGGAAAACTACGAAACACTGATGAAAGACATCATAGATGACACAAACATATAGAAACATATCCCATGCTCATAGATGGGTAGAATCAATATTGTGAAAATGACCATACTGCCAAAAGCAATCTACAAATTTAATGCAATTCAAATGCCCATCAATTAACAAGTGGATGAAGAAATGTGATAGATAGATAGATAGATAGAAAGATAGATAGATAGATAGATAGACAGATCTACAGATAGATAGATACCTAAATATATATATATATTATATACAAAATGAGTGCAAGCTATGTGACTGTACATAATATGTATCTGTATGTATATATAGCACAGAAACCACAGAGTGGCTTGTATACTGGTGGACCTGAAGTGGTACACATGATCGGGGTGACTTCCAGCAAATTTTGACTCTAGAATCAAGAACTTCTATATTTGCTGATACCTCCCTCCATAATGTAACTGTGACTGTACATAGCTTGCACTCATTTTAGCCAGCAGCAAAAAGCTTAGTCAAAATAAAGAAACTTTTCAAAGTTCAAAGAGAAAAATCAATTAAATAAAATAAAATAGGATACCATCAGAATTCCCACACTATAGATGGGGAAACCATTGTATAGAGAGATTAAATAACTTTTTCAAATTACCCACCAGCAAAAGTATTTGCCTTGTCTTCTCAGGATCCTCACTATTATGGTAGCCTTCTCTCCTTTCTTTCTGCATATTCTTTTTTTTTTTTTTTTTTTTTTTTTTTTGCCCTTAACCAAAACCAGGACCTATCTAACAATATAATTAATTCACTAAAAAGAGTCAGGCCAAGTCATTTAGCTTAATGTGTCACATTTCCAAGATAGCATTTGTATTAAATAAAGACCTTAAGTGTTTTAAAAGAAAAAAAAAGAAATGGAGTTAAACATGTAAGAAATGTCCTCAAATCTAAGTTGCAGTACTCCTACACTGATGAAGCTTGCTGACTAGGACTTACATTTCCATTGTAAAGCATCATTATAAAAGTGCACTTTCTTCAGGGAAAAAGATACCCATGACTTTCTCCCCACGGTTCAAGTGCAGTGCTATGTTTTCTTCACTGTGGGAATATTTTCTAGAAGCAGCAACAAACCAATGCCTGTCTCTTGCATACATATTATGAGGCCCTATTGCAGCAATGCATGTCAATTTGAATAAAGTTTATAATTCCTTTCCCTCTCTTTTCCTCCCCCATCTCCATCCAGGAATTGAATTTACAATCATGGTGCAATATACAAAACTTTCTAACCATGGTAGGTAATTGAGTGAGAAAAGATGAATTACATATAGTTTACAAAATTAGAACTACCTAAGATGTCTATTCTTTTCTGTGAACATATATATCCTTTACACTAGACTGATATTCTTATAATCTGGTGGGTTTTTTTTTAAGTTTCTATGGTACGGCTTTTAAATTTTTCTTCAACTCTTCACTATGGAGCATAATGTTAGTTAGGATTACTTTTGATAATTCACTCTACTGGTTTTCATACATTAAAAAAAAAACATATTGAAACCTGTCCATCAGACATTTTGCAATTTAACAAAACTTTGAAATAAAAAGCTTTCCAGAAGTTTTCAGAGTGAAAAATATGATCAAATAGTGTAAGCCAAAGCCAAGATTTCAACTTGAGACTTCGCCATTTTCTTGGGCTCTACGGCTATTAAGAAAAACATGGTAGGCAATTTGTAAAACTAAATGACATTTTTTGGAAGAAAAAGTCCTTATATAAATTAGATTACAGTGACATTTTGCTGACATATGAACCACTAGAATATGGAATTTAATAGATGACATCTGATTCAAATCCTATCCAAGAAGTGTGTTACCGGAAGTAGCACAAACGCCTCCACATGGCATATGGCACAGGCTCACCTAGAGAATTCGCTAACACAGCAGCCTCTAAGGACAGCACAAAAGTGGTTCTCTTTTTGAGTTTCAAAACCCTTCAGAGCATTGAGTGATATTTTTCAATCTTGTAAGCATTGCTTTTTCAGTGAGGCCTTTTCCCACTCTATATAAAATTCCATAACCCCTTCCTAATCTCTGAACGTTTCTCTGGAATGCATGGTTCAGAATGCCTCTTCTTGTCTACAGGGACAGAATTTCTTAACTGCAAAGTAGGAATGTCCCAGCATGGTGAGATACAAGGGTGATATGGGTGGCTTCTCCCTTTCCTCATTTATTAATAAAACTGACTCTTATTTGTCTGCAAATAAGGGAAGAATTTAATTTCCCACTGCATTCAAATGATTCTTAGAAAGATCTGTAGTTCATGACCCTGAATGAAGCAGGAAGACGCAGGGAGTAAGATGCTGGAAGGAAGAAAGGAATAAGAAAGAAATACATTCTTCGGGGTTTTACTAGGGTCGTCTCTCTCTTTCCCATTTCCTTTCCTCCCTCCTTCCCCTTTTCCCCCTCCTCCTCTTCCTTCTCTTCCTTCTTCTTTTCCTCTCTCTGTCTCTCTGTCTCTGTCGCTGTCTCTCTCTCTCTCTCTCTTCCCCACAAACCCCCACCTCCGAGAATGATAATGAGATTAGACCACAGGACCAGCAGAGAGGAATGTTGAGTCACAGAGCTGGAGTCATAAGCACACCAGCATGAGGACCAAAAAGTCAGGAATGAACTGAGCTTTCAGATTCTGCTCATTACAATAAATTCTTGCCAAAAAAATAAAAATAAAAAGTGTAGATTTTATTTCCCTTCTGGTTATTTCAAAACCAGGAGGAGGGGCACTTTTCTTTGGTCCCTTGTTTAAATCTTGTACTGGAAAACCCAAAGTGAAATCACTAGAACTACAGTCCATATGGTATGGAATGCCATGTTTGTCTGCCTTCCACAAGGCTAGAATTTTATTTGTTAATGCATTATAATTAGGTTCAAAATGGAAAGGCTTAACGATTGCTTTCATATTTTTAATGCTAGATGTTATACAGGAACTAGTGCAGTGATCTCCAGAGTGGGGTAGATAAATCACAGGAAGTCTAAGATAGCCCACTGAGGTATGAAAACAAGTCAAAAGTTATGCTGATTTTTATAACAAGAAGAAAAAAATAATCATAACTAATATTTAAAGTACAAATAATGGCATCTTCACTAGGTCCATATATCAAGTGCCACTCATCATGTTTAGTACATGGGGTCTCCAGAGGGAACATTTTGTAATAAACAGGGGTTGACAGTGGAAGCTTCAGTCACTGATCACTTTCAGCTTGCAGATCAAATTGTCTAGACATAATTTCTCTAATCCTCAAAAAGTAGCTTTAAAAGATTTTTCAAGGCTGAAGATAGTGCTAATAATATAAGCAACAAGGAAATGTAGAACTAACTCTTCTGCTTTGGGGAGAGGTTCTTCGCTAATCACATCATGAGATTTTGAAAAACAATGGCAATTTTCATCAGATATGACAAGACTTGCCATTGAAACAATAAAAAAATTATTGGAAATATGGACTTATATCCAGCAGTATTGAGAATGAACCGTGCCTAAAATGTATGAGCTAAAGATAATTTTTAAAAATTAGTCTTGTTTGAAAAGTTATGAATTTTTATGTAAAGTCTTATTCTAATAAAATATTAGATTTTTAAGAAACTGTAGTTTTTTTAAATTCTATTACCTGCAAAATTCTCTCTAAAACTTCCCTGACACATGAAAAATTCCTGTGCTGAAATGCTAGCCTACGCCATTGTAGGAAAGCTCAAAATTATCAGAAAATTCTTCTTTTAACAAGTTGGATACTGTGTTCTTGTAATTTGTTTTTCTATTTCCTAGTCATTTAAATATTTTCCAGATTGAATATTGCCAGTTCCTACCCTACAAGTACCATTTGTATACCCTTTGCTATTCTAGTTTCTCATTTGTGGATGGATTCCAGTTTCTCTCTCTCCAACTCAAAAAACTCAACACATCACTCAGGATTGGATCTAACCATCGTGGCAGGCAATCAAATAATTGTCATTCTTGCTCAGTTACTTCACCAATATTAAATAAGAAACCATCAGGTACCAAGCACTTTTTAAGGCACTGAGGCACAGTGATACAAAGTATATAAAGTCTTGCTATGATAGAGCTTAGGCTCCAGTGAGCTGGCCACAGACAATTAGTTGGTAAGGGAAAAAAATAAATAAATAAACAAGAAAAATAAGACTTAGACATAGAAGCCAGACAGTGAAGTACAACAAGGCAATAGGTCAGAGAGCGACTTGGTGGCTAATTTGAATTGGGTGGTCTGGAATAGCCTTGCTGAGGAAGGTTACATGTATATGAAGATCTAGAAGAACCTTCCACACAGAGGCACAGCCAATGCCAAGGCCCTAAGATGGGAAGCAGTTTAGCATTGAGAAACTGAAGCACATCTGGCAGGGCTGGAGTAGAGGGAGGCAGGGAGAACAGTGCAAAATGAGACTGGAGATGCAAACAAGGACCAAATAATGAAAGACCTTGCATGACATGCTAAGATTATGTTATTTTGTGCTGATTTCATACTGAAGTCCCTTAATGGTGTCAGTATCAAATCTCTCACTGCTTCCCTTTCACACCTCATAAGTACTTACTGCTAATCAGCCAACCATTGCTGTAAGCTCTCAGACTGCCACCTCTAGTCACAATACTATGAGTTCTCTCAGCTCTACAAAGCATTGGCCATTGCCGCATGGAGAGATGCATATAAAAGTTGTCTCTTCACAATCCAAACAATCTGCTGATTCTTCCTACCTTAGCAGCTCATGATATGGCACTTTGTGTTCAGTGCCTGGACAAAATAATATTTCTAAAGGTCATAAATTAAAATTGTAAGCTATTCCTGGAAACAGCAAAATAAGAATGCTTGATTCATCTCTAATATTATGGTACTTGGTATTCTTGACTGCCTTTTTTTTTTTTTTTAAGACAGAGTCTCATTCCCGTCACCCAGGCTGGAGTGCAGTGGCATGATCATGGCTTACTGCAGCCTCGACTTCCTAGGCTCAGGTGGCCTCCCACCATACCCTCCTGAGTAGCTGGGACTACAGGCATATGCCATCAAGCCTGGCTAATTTTTGTACTGTTTGTAAAGATGGAGTTTCACTATGTTGCCCAGGCTGGTCTCAAACCCCTGGGCACAAGTGATCCTCTTACCTCAAACTCCCAAAGGGCTGAGGTTACAGGTGTGAGCCACCACGCCCAGCCTTGGCTGTTTTAAAGATTAAAAGAATAACAAGACAAACAGAATCAAGAGCTATCAAAATTAGGATAAGAATTTAAAATTAATAATATGAGTGGTACAATAAGCATATTTAAATTACTTCTCCTTGAAATGCGACTTAAGAATTTCAAATCCCTCATAGCTTCTTCCTCTGTGACCTTACTTTTCAAAGTAAAATGTTCAGGTTTTCATGACTTACAACTGTATATTCACAAAAACAAATATGTTTTTTGCTTGAACTTACAAAAGGAATTTTCTGGCCTATTTTCTTGTAATTACCATGCACTTAATCTTTGATTAATGGCTCATATGTTGACACATAGTTCATAGTTTATTTTACACTTCTAAATCATTCTCTACTATAAATAAAAGATTTGTGTCAAAACTACACTTGGAAATTTTATTTTGAATTGATTATTAAAGCAAAGCTAAGTCCACTAGTAAAATATTGTTGAATCACAGGTGAACCTCATTTAACTGTATATTTTGGATTGATCTCCTTCTTCTTAAAAATTACCATGTAAATTGATATCGTTGAAAAACAATTAGAAACAGATTTATAATCTGTCAATGATCCTATACAACACTCTCCTATAACTCATCCTTGCACACATGAACACATATCCTAAGGTACTTTTACTTTTTGACAGTACATTGGCACACAGCTCGCTCAATACTAATGATCACTTTTTACACTTATTAGTGTGACTGTGGAAAATTAACATTCAAGTTTATATGTAATAATAAACTAACTTTTGATGGAGTATTCCATGTACATTGGTCGTTATGAACTGAATTGTGTCTACTAAAAAAATTCATGTAAAGTCCAACCCCTGGTACCTCACCGTATGACTGTATTTGGAGAGAGGGTCTTTACAAAAGCTATGAAGTTAAAATTAGGTCACTAGCGTAGGCCTTAACTTAATATGATTGGTGTACTTATAAGAAAAGGAAGTTTAGACACTGACATGTACAGAGGGAAGATAATATGAAGACACAGGGAGAAGACGGCCATCTACATGCCAAGGAGAGAAGCCTGGAGTGGATTCTTCCCTCGCAGCCCTCAGAAGGAAACAATCTTGTCAATATCTGGATTTTGAACTCCTAGCATTCAGAGCTTGGAGACGATACATGACTATTGTTACAGCAACCCTAGCAAACTAATACACTGGCTTATAACAAAGAGTCTGCAAAAATTAGAGACAGCTCATATAATTTTGTGCCTTATGAGAAGTTATTTTCTGGCAATATATCTTTAAGAGAACATGAAGTAAATACCATAAGGTGACATAAAGGCTTTGAAATAACAAATTAAAGCCAAAGCAAATTTACTGCCTTTTTGTAAATGGGATTTACTTTCACCAAATCTCATGGTCCTATAAAAGATGACATTTGTGAAGCATTCATTTTACCACCCATTGGCACTTCTCACAAAGATACTAAAATAAACTGGTAAAACAGCTCTTAGTCTTTTCTAGGCATTGGCTACCATTAAAATCTTCATTTTATTTCTGCTCTTCTTTAACATACCTTCTTTTAGAGTCCTTTAAAAAAATTGTTTGGAGAGACTGCATTTTTGTTACAAAAGGACTGAATAGAAGAACTATTGATTCAGTGCTTTCCTTTCTTCTCCACTGTCAACAATAATTGATGTTCCTATTGAAGTGATATGGTTTCAATTTGGGTTTGGGTTGCTAAGGACTAAGGATAGCATGCAAATCAATAGAAGATTAAGGAACTATTGTTCCCACAAACCATAATCTGAGATAAACACCACATGACTTCGTAAATCTAAGGAAATGTCTCTTAAAACTCTAATGCCAGGAGATTTTGGGCTGACATGATGGGATTTTCTAAATATACAATCATGTCATCTGCAAACAGAAACAATTTGACTTCCACTCATGCTATTTGAATACCCTTTATTTATTTCTCTTGCCTGATTGCCCTGGCCAGAACTTCCAATACTATGTTGAATAGGAGTGGTGACAGAGGACATTCAAATTTTGCATGCCAACTTGATCCTGGTGGATAAGCTTTTTGATGTGCTGCTGGATTCGGTTTGCCAGTATTTTATTGAGGATTTTCGCATCGATGTTCATCAGGGATATTGGCCTGAAATTTTCTTTTTTTGTTGTGTCTCTGCCAGATTTTAGTATCAGGATGATGCAGTCTCACAAAATGAGTTAGGGAGGAGTCCCGCTTTTTCTATTTTTTGGAATAGTTTAAGAAGGAATGGTACTAGCTCCTCTTTGGACCTCTGGTAGAATTTGGCTGTGAATCCGTCTGGTCCTGGGCTTTTTTTGGTTGGTAGGCTATTAATTACTGCCTCAATTTTAGAACTTGTTATTGGTCTATTCAGGGATTTGACTTCTTCCTGGTTTAGTCTTGGAGGGTGTATGTGTCCAGGAATTTATCCATTTCCTCTAGATTTTCTAGTTTATTTGTGTAGAGGTGTTTATAGTATTCTCTAATGGTAGCTTGTATTTCTGTGGGATCAGTGGTGATATTCCCTTTATCATTTTTTATTGTGCCTATGTGATTCTTCTCTCTTTTCTTTTTTTTTTTTTTTTTTTTTTTTTTTTTTTGAGACAGAGTCTCACTCTGCCACCCATGCTAGAGTGCAGTGGTGTAATCGGGGCTCACTGCAACCTCCACCTCCCGTGTGCAAGAGATTCTCCTGCCTCAGCCTCCCAAGTAGCTGGGACTACAGGCACATGCCACCACACCCAGCTTATTTTTGTATTTTTAGTAGAGACAGGGTTTCACCATGTTGGCCAGGATAGTTTTGATCTCTTGACCTCATGATCTGCCCACCTCGGCCTCCCAAAGTGCTGGGATACAGGCATGAGCCACCGCACCTGGCCCTCTTTTCTTCTTTAGTAGTCTGGCTAGTGGTCTATCTAGTTGGTTAATCTTTTCAAAAAACCAGCTCCTGGAATCATTGATTTTTTTGAAGCATTTTTTGTGTGTCTATCTTAGTTATTTCTTGTCTTCTGCTAGCTTTTGAATTTGTTTTCTCTTGCTTCTCTAGTTCTTTTCATTGTGATGTTAGGGTGTCGATTTTAGATCTTTCCCTCTTTCTCCTGTGGGCATTTAGTGCTATAAATTTCCCTCTAAACACTGTGTTAGCTGTGTCCCAGAGATTCTGGTACATTATGTCTTTGTTCTCATTGGTTTCAAAAAACTTATTTATTTCTGCCTTAATTTCATTATTTACCCAGTAGTCATCCAGGAGCAGGTTGTTCAGTTTCCGTGTAGTTGTGTGGTTTTCAGTGAGTTTCTTAATCCTGAGTTCTAATTTAAATCTGGGTGTTCCTATATTGGGTGTATATATATTTAGGACAGTTATCTCGTCTTGTTGCTGTTTCACGCGTCCGTGTGAAGAGACCACCAAACAGGCTTTGTGTGAGCAACATGGCTGTTTATTTCACCTGGGTGCAGGCGGGCTGAGTCCAAAAAAGGAGTCAGCAAAGGGTGGTGGGATTATCATTGGTTCTTATAGGTGTTGGGATAGGCGGTGGAATTAAGAGCAATGTTTTGGGGGCAGGGGGTGGATCTCACAAAGTACATTCTCAAGGGTGGGGAGAATTACAAAGAACCTTCTTAAGGGTGGGAGAGATTACAAAGTATATTGATCAGTTAGGTTGGGGCAGAAATAAATCACAATGGTGGAATGTCATCAGTTAAGGCTGTTTTCACTTTTTTTGTGGATCTTCAGTTGCTTCAGGCCATCTGGATGTATATGTGCAGGTCACTGGGGATATGATGGCTTAGCTTGGGCTCAGGGGCCTGACAGCTGCATTGATCCCTTTACCATTATGTAACGCCCTTCTTCGTCTTTTTTTATCTTTGTTGGTTTAAAGTCTGTTTTATCAGAAACTAGGATTGCAAGCCCTGCTTTTTTTTGCTTTCCATTTGCTTGGTAAATATTCCTCCATCCCTTCATTTTGAGCCTATGTATGTCTTTGCACGTGAGATGGGTCAGCCCAAAATCTCCTTAAACTAATAAGCAGCTTCAGCAAAGTCTCAGGATACAAAATCAATGTGCAAAAATTACAAGCATTCCTATACACCAATTACAGACAAACAGAGAACCAAATCATAAATGAACTTCCATTCACAATTGCTACAAAAAGAATAAAATACCTAGGAATACAACTTACAACAGATGTGAAGAAACTCTTCAAGGAGAACTACAAACCACTGCTCAACGAAATAAGAGAGAACACAAACAAATGGAAAAACATTCCATGCTCATGGATAGGAAGAATCAATATCATGAAAATGGCCATACTACCCAAAGTAATTTATACATTCAATGCTATCCCCATCAAGTTACCATTGACTTTCTTCACAGAATTAGAAGAAACTACTTTATATTTCATATGGAACCAAAAAAGAGCCCATATAGCCAAGACAATCCTAAGCAAAAAGAACGAAGCTGGAGGCATCACACTACCTGACTTCAAACTATACTACAAGTCTACAGTAACCAAAACAGCATGGTACTAGTACCAAAACAGATATATATAGAAAATGGAACAGAACAGAGGCCTCAGAAATAATACCACACATCAACAACCATCTGATCTTTGACAAACCTGACAAAAACAAGCAATGGGAAAAGGATTCCCTATTTAATAAATGGTGCTGGGAAAACTGGCTAGCCATATGATGCAGAATACTGAAACTGGGCCCCTTCTTTACACCTTATACAAAAATTAACTCAAGATGGATTAAAGACTTAAACGTAAGACCTAAAACCCTAAAAACTCTAGAAGAAAACCTAGGCAATACCATTCAGGACATAGGCATGGGCAAAGACTTCAAGACTAAAACATAAAAAGCAACGGCAACAAAAGTCAAAATTGACAAATGGGATCGAATGAAACTAAAGAGCTTCTACACAGCAAAAGAAACTATCATCAGAGTGAAGAGGCAACCTACAGGATGAGAGAACATTTGTGCAATCTATCCATCTGACAAAAGGCCTTGTAGATCCTTCAGAATCTACAAGGAACTTAAACAAATTTACAAGAAAAAAACAACCCCATCAAAAGTGGGCGAGGACATGAACAGACACTTCTCAAAAGAAGAAATTTATGTTGCCAAAAAACATATGAAAAAAACTCATCATCACTGGTCATTAGGGAAATGCAAATCAAAACCACAATGAGATGTCATCTCATGACAGTTAGAATAGCGATCATTAAAAAGTGAGGAAACAACAGATGCTGGAGAGGATGTGGAGAAATGGGAATGCTTTTACACTGTTGGTGGGAGTACAAATTAGTTCAACCATTGTGGAAGACAGTGTGACAATTCCTCAAGGATCTAAAACCAGAAATATCATTTCACCCAGCAATCCCATTACTGGGTGTATACCCAAAGGATTGCAAACCATTCTACTACAAAGACACATGCACACATATGTTTATTACAGCACTGTTCACAATAGCAAAGACTTGGAACCAACCCAAATGCCCATCAGTGATGGACTGGATAAAGAAAATATAGCACATATACACCATGGAATATTATGTAGCCATAAAAAAGGATGAGTTCATGTCCTTTGAGGGACATGGATGAAGCTGGAAACCATCATTCTCAGCAAACTCACACAGGAACAGAAAACCAAACACCGCATGTTCTCACTCATGAGTGGGAGTTGAACAGTGAGAACACATGGACACAGGGAGGGGAACATCACACACTGGGGCCTGTAGGAGGGCTAAGGGGCTAGGAGAGGGATAGCATTATGAGAAATACCTAATGTATATGACGGGTTGATGGTGCAGCAAACCACCATGGCACGTGTATACCTATGTAACAAACCTGCACGTTCTGCACATGTATCCCAGAACTTAAAGTATTAAAAAAAAACTCAAATGCCAATTTGCGGTGTCAAGCAAATGCCAGCAGTTTCAGACTCATGAGTAAGGAAAAACTAGAAGGCTGTAAAACTGAGAAAGAAGTTATTGTCTTATCAGCAAAACAATTTTAATGTGTGTTCTGTTAGCTGTATAAACTGGAATGTATGAGCCATTTTTCAAAAAGAAAGAAACAACAACAAAGTTCATTTCTAGTCTTTGTAATACCAGAAGCACAGAGAAAAAATTACATTCAGATTTTGTCCAGAATTTTAGAGAAAGTTTATGCTCACATCCACTATGGGAATTTTGAACGCTAAAGCAAAGTAGCCTCTCCTCTCCATTGAGAAGTCCCATCATCCTATCCATAAAATTGGTAATTAGACACAGTTCTAAGTCAATCACTTCTCTCCGTAATACATACGAAGTGACATTCTTCTATTCCTATCTAAAACAAAGGTTAAGAGAATGAGGATAAAAACAGAGTTGTGGGTTCTGTTTGCTGCTGTCATCGAAGGGGAATATTCACCTAGTCAGAAGAGGGTGGCAGCAGTGGAATTTAGGGCATGATGACACCCACAGTCATGTGTCTGGTCCCATCACTGTCCTAAGACAATAGTCTGTTTTGTATCAGGCTCAAGTCAAGTGACTATGATTATTTGGGATCTAGAGACTCTAGAGAAGGACCCTGGAAAGATCTGAGAAGAATATCAAGTTCCTGGCTTAATGGGCTGGAATATGGAACCAGGCACAGAGAGGACTAGGAACACTAATCAGGAACCCAAGGCAGAAAGCCAGATCACCAGCTGAACAAACAAGGTAGCCTGTCTACACCTGAGGCACTCACACTTACTCATGATTCTGAGCAACTACACCAAGCACCAAAGAGGTCAGCTGCAGACCTAGGCCTAGGCGAGGCTTCTCCTGTATTAAGCAGAATGAGCTAATAGATGTCAAGGCTCAGCCAAACTAGGGATGAAAGGCAGAGTGTAAGACTTTTGTCTGGTAGGTGAATAGCTATATTTGCATTTATGCTACTTTGGTTTACTATTAGAACAGGCCTCGGCCTTTTTACAAATCCTCAGCCTTTTACAAATTGCTAAGTCATGCACCCAACTTACTGAAATCAACTGAGGAAAAGTCACATTATCACTGAGCTCTGCCCATAGGTCAGTAGAAAATGATAAAAGGAGAGATTAGATGCAAAAACAAACAGGTACATTTTTGCAGAGCTGTCTTGTTTCAAGAATAAAGTTATTTTAGGAGAAGGATTATTCAAAAATTTTCTATAAAGAAAAAAGCTAGCTATTGCAAAAGATACTTATGGAACTTATATTAAAATAAGCCCAGTAATCAAAACATACTTTTAGAAGATTCTTGAAAATATTACAACAGGTAGGAAGCCTAACACAATCCAGTCTAATCCTTTCATTTTGCTTATGAGAAAACTAAAGTTCAAAGAGATTATTTTTGGTGGCTCATGCCTGGAATCCCAGCACTTCGGGAGGCCAAGGGGGTGGATCACTTGACATCAGGAGTTCGAGACCAGCCTGACCAACATGGTGAAACCCCGTCTGTACTAAAAGTACAAAAACATGGTGGTGCATGCCTGTAATCTCAGCTACTCCAGAGGCTGAGGCACAAGAATCACTTGAATCCAGGAGGTGGAGGTTGCAGTAAGCTGGGACCCGGGGCCATGCCACTGCACTCCAGCCTAGGCCACAGAGCAAGACTCCCTCTAAAAAAACATAAAAATTAAAAAATTAAAAAAACAGAGACTATTTCTATTACCTTATTTGGCAAGGTAGGTAGATTAAGGTAGATAGGGAATGATACCAGATGGAAATATGGATCTACACGAGAAAATGAAGATCACCAGAAATGTAACAACAAGGATGAATATATTTATTGAAAATATCCTGTAAAAGAAAGGATTTAAAAAATCATTCTAAGATAAACAAAAGCTGAAAGAATTTGTCAGCATCAATCTGCACTAGAAGAAATGCTAAAGGCTATTCTCCAAGCTGTAGGAAAAAAATGATATCAAATAGAAACTGAAATATACCAGGATTGAAACCCACAGGAAACAGTAAATAACAAATACATTTTTATTGTTGTTCTTATAATTTCCTTAAAAGACAACTGACTATTTAAAGAAAAAAAAAAGCATTAAATGGTGGACTTTTTATGTTATATGTAAAAGATGGCACAAAGGATGGGTGGAGTAGAAAATAGAATTAAACTATTATGCGGTTATTGCAATGAGAAGTGTATTAAGTGTAGTTATAGTAAGTGTAAGTGTTAACTAGGAACTATGAAGTGTGAAGTAGTAAACTTTGATAAGTTTTAGGGCTAGAACAACTACTAAATATTAATAAAAAGAAGTTTAACTAAGAAGTCAATAGAGCAAATAAAATAAATCCTAAAACAAATTAGTTAATTCATTGTTAAGAAAATGATATGGCAAGCACAGATTGGGAGCAAATATTTGAAATACATATATTCAAAAAGAGCCTATATTACAATACATAAAGAACTCTTACAAGTCAATAATAATAAGACAAACAATGCAATAAAGAAAAGACACGCCAGACACAGTGGCTCATACCTGTAATCCCAATGCTTTGGGAGGCCAGGGTGAGAGGATCGCTTAAGACCAGGTGTTTCACACAGCCTAAGCAACACATCCAGGCCCCATCTCTACATAAACAATAAAATGAAATAAGTTAAAAATTTTTTTAAAAGGGCAAAAAGCTTGAACAAGCGAAAAAAGAAATACAAGTAGCCAACAAGTACATGAAAAGATGCTCAAGGTCACTAATAATCAGAGAAATGCAAATTAAAATTGTAATGAGACACTACTTCAAACCCACTCATATACTTATATGACCCAACAATTCTGCTCCTAAGTATTTAATTAAAAAAATAAAAATTTGTATTCACAGAAACATTTTTACATGAATGTCTACAGCAGTTTTATTCATAAGAGCTAAAAACTACAAGCAATCCAAATGTACATTAACAGCTGAATGAATATGCCAATTGTGGCATATTCACTCAATAAAATACTGGTCAGCAATAAAAAGGAACAAATACTGAAATGTGCAACAACATGAATCAATTTCAGTGACATTACATTGAACAAAAGAAGCCAACCACAAAAGAACATACGTAGTATGATTCCGTATATATGAGATTCTAGAACAGGTAACATTAATCTATAAGGATAGAGATCAGAGCAGTGCACTGCAAAGAGGCATGAGAGAAATTTCTGGGGTTATGGAAATGTTACCTGTTTTGATCAGGACGGTGGTTACACAAGGGCATACATTTGTCAAAACTTACTGAACACTGAAAATGGGTGCATTTTCTATCACATAAATTATGCTTTGATGAATCTGATTTAAAATAAAATTAAAATGTGCTCTGAGCAAAATATTGACAGTAACAGTTCTTGTCCATGCTCCAACAATAACCATCTGTTTCATTTTAGCCTCCCCACGTTTCAATATCCTGATGAGTAAGATGAAGTAGTTGAAATGAATTATTTGTAAGCGCTCTTCCATTTGAACTGCTTCCAATGCTAAAATTAACATAAGTCAGGTACCATCCATAAACTTTCTATACCTAGTGTTATTCATGTACCTTATATGTATAAAGATTTGTGTATACAGTGAGGCAGGAGAATAGGATCTGGAGGCAGGGAACCTAAGGCCAATTCACACTGACTTCCTAGAACTAAATCAAAAGGAAAACCCCAAGTTACCACACCTAAGTAACAAAAGGACCAGAGGCTACTTTCTTTGCAACCTCCCTGCTCTTTTTCTGCCTGGCAGATGGAAAATTGAAAGTACCACTGATTGGTTGCTTTCCACAACCAATCAGACATTTGCATAGGGTGTAGCCTTTGTAACATCACTTAAGTCTCTGACTGGTTGCTGGCCACTACTTCATTTGCATGGGGACTACACCAAGTGTCCAATGGGAAACCTCTAGAGGGTATTTAAACCCCAGAAAATTCTGTAACAGGGCTCTTGAGCCCCTATGCTCTGCCCACTCCAACCCTCAGGAGTGTACTTTCATTTTCAATAAATCTCTGCTTTTGTTGCTTCATTCTTTCCTTGCTTTGTGCATTTTGTCTAGTTCCTTACTCAAAAGCCAAGAACCTGGGTACCCTCCACTAGTAACAATAGCATATGTATCTACACAGATATACACATATGTATGTATACAATACATACATTTATATATAGTATAAGCTTCCTTTTTATTTGACATGCTAACTTAATAGTATTGATATTTTAAAATATCAAAAATATGGTGTTTTTATTTTATAAAGACTGGATATGGTTTTAATTGATCTTTGCAACCACTATGAGTTAAGAATTGCTTGTTTTGACTGCATTATTATAAATAAGGCCAACTTTAGTTTCTGTGATATTCTTTGGAGTTCAGATTAGATCACAGGTTCTGCAAAGGTTTTCTTTTTTTTGAGACAGAGTTTCACTCTTGTTGCCCAGGCTGGAGTGCAATGGCACGATCTCGGCTCACTGCAATCTCTGCCTCCTGGGTTCAAGTGATTCTCCTGCCTCAGCCTCCCAAGCTAGCTGGAATTACAGGTGCCTGCCATCACACCCAGCTAATTTTTGTATTTTTTAGTAAAGACAGGGTTTCACCATGTTGGCCAGGCTAGTCTCAAACTCCCAACCTCAGGTGATTGGCCCACCTTGGCCTCCCAAAGTGTTGGGATTACAGGCGTGAGCCACCGCGCCCAGCCTGCAAAAGTTTTCTTGAACAGTCCTACTGTTTAGAACAAGTGAGCGTCACGTGCTGCCATTGGCTTTTTCAGAATCACAAGAAGCTTTTAGCACCCTGCATCCATGTGCTCTGGCATTAACTGTGTTCACACACATCCCTGGTCATAATTTATTGAGCTTGCAGTATTAAAGCATCAGAATGAAATAAATCCCAAAATATTAGTTAAAGTGGGGATTCTTGAACTTACCTGTTCATAAGAATCACCTGCTCGCACCCCCAACAGACCAAGTGAGTGAAAATTCCTGGGAAGGCTTGGGATCTACATTTTTTAAGTACAGCCCTTCCTCATCCCTCCCCATACACAAGGACTTTTAAGATCACGCAAGTCTGGGAAACACAGGCATAATGTGAGAAACCATAGAATTTACCCCAGAGTCTTGGCAGGTCTCTTCTCAAAGACATTTGATGCATTTAGTGTGCTTGGATTTGGATTACCTCTTTCTCTAAAGTCTCACTGGTAATTAGAAAGGAGGAGGTGGGTGGCAAATTATAACCAGACAGCCAGATTCTGAAGCCAAGGGAGACAGTGCTGTGGTGTTGTCTCCAGTTATAAATAAGTGGGCCTAGGTTTAGCGTGGTCACGCAATCACCTCGACATCGAGCAGATATTCCAACCCAGATCCTACACATCAAAATACATCATGGCATTTTTCATCCAAAATAGCCAGAATGTGCACTTCCAAAGCAAAGGCCCTAATATAAACAAATGCTCATGTAGACATTGGGTATGTATCTGACAGCCAAATATTGGAGCTATGCAGAGCAGCTAGAAGAGTGGACCGCAGGCAGCATGGCAAGTCCAGAAGACAGCTCACTTAAAACATCATTTTTAAAATGTACATTCTTAAAGCCTTAAAGACAAGACTCAAATCTGATCCAGGAATAACTGTAGCTGCCATCTCTAATTTAAAAAGCAGGTGATAATCTCATTTTCCAGCCCTCCTGTCATGTGAAGGTTGTTTATCTTTCCATAGAGACATAACCTACCAGTATCCAGGTTTCCGCAGGGGCCTGGAAGGCATATACAGTGGCTGCATAAACCAGATCAGGGGATCGAAGGACAAGCTTAGTCCACTGGTCCAGAGGGAATCAGTACAGCTTAGTCTTCTCAAAACCCCCTTTGCTCAGTTTCTTTTTTTTTTTTTGATATATTATTTTATTTAACTTTCAAAAAGATTTTATTAAAGTAACAGGATTTGAGAGTCATAACTTCACACAATTTGTGAGTATGAGTATTACAATTTGTAATCAAGTATATCTGACTCCAAATCCTATGTATTTTCCACTACATCTTAATGCCACAATGTTAATAAAAGGATAAAGCTTTAACATATCTTAAGGCCGATTTGCTGTAAAGTTATAAAGCTTAATTAATCATTAACTTTCTTTTTTTTCACTGGCCATCAGAGAAACACAAATCAAAACCACAATGCGATACCATCTCACACCAGTTAGAATGGCGATCATTAAAAAATCAGGAAACAACAGGTGCTGGAGAGGATGTGGAGAAATAGGAACACTTTTACACTGTTGGTGGGACTGTAAACTAGTTCAACCATTGCGGAAGTCAGTGTGGCATTTCCTCAGGGATCTAGAACTAGAAATACCATTTGACCCAGCCATCCCGTTACTGGGTATATACCCAAAGGATTATAAATCATGCTGCTATAAAGACACATGCACACATATGTTTATAGCAGCACTATTCACAATAGCAAAGACTTGGAACCAACCCAAATGTCCAACAACGATAGACTGGATTAAGAAAATGTGGCACATATACACCATGGAATACTATGCAGCCATAAAAAATGATGAGTTCATGTCCTTTGTAGGGACATGGATGAAACTGGAAACCATCATTCTCAGCAAACTATCGCAAGGACAAAAAACCAAACACCACATGTTCTCACTCATAGGTGGGAATTGAACAATGAGAACACATGGACACAGGAAGGGGAACATCACATTCTGGGGACTGTCGTGGGGTGGGGGGAGGGGGGAGGGATAGCATTAGGGGATACACCTAATGCTAAATGACGAGTTAATGGGTGCAGCACACCAACACGGCACATGTATACATATGTAACAAACCTGCACGTTGTGCACATGTACCCTAAAACTTAAAGTATAATAATAATAAAATTTTAAAAAAAGAAAGTTAATGATTAATTAAGCTCAGTTTTTTATGTAGGTTTAACAGTGACTAAGGAAACAGGAAGTCACTAGAGAGTAATGAATCTCCCCAAACAAAGTATGTGTGCCTCTCTCACCAACTTCAATGGGGTTGGGGTGCAGAGGAAAATTTAGATATTCCAAAACTGACATAGGGAAATTTTGATCCAAAGCTCTCCCTCTTCCTGGTTTATAAATGGACAGTTTCAGAGGGACCAGCTGGTCCAGTCCCAGGAAAACTTCAAAAACATCATACTAGGAAAGGAGACAATATCCAAAAGATTATCTGTGGAATCAGGTGAGATTGCTTTTTATTGTAAAAATTCTGGAAATTCTTTAGCAAATGTGCTAGTAACATTCTTAAAATATCTAAACCTGTAAAAGTTTTTCTACTTCCGTAATGTTGCTTGGTCAACCAGGATTCTCTACTTCAATAATTTCCAATCCTAGCTGAATGGCAGGTCTTTTTAAAAATACATATTCTAAACCCCACCCTAATTCAGTGGTCTTGGATGAGATCTGGAAATATGTGTAGTAGAAACCCTGACAAAATTATAACTAGCATACAATTTGCCCAACCCAAAAGTTTCATAAAGCAAGAAATCAGAAAAAAAATGGCATATGTACATCTTTAAGGTTAATCCTTTATATGAAACTAAAACATAAACATATGCATTTGACAGACTTTTTATGTCAAGTACAGGCTTTTTCTCATATAAGTCTACTGATTAAACAGTAAAGCCATTTTCTTGTGTATTTCACACACAAAGACAAGATATATAATCTCCAGTTTTAGTTTCTTTGGAGTGAAGACTTCAAGACTTTGTTAAAAAAAAAAAAACAGGAGCCTAACCTCTTAGATTTAAAAAAATTTTTTTTATCACTTACAGTTGCCCTGTCCACATACAACAACAAATAAATGGTATCACTCTCTTCACACTCAGATTTTATCAATTTATATTATTTACATTGCACCATCAGCAGGCTTATGAACAAACACAACAGTATCCAGTAAACACAATCAAGTGGAGTGTGCAGAAATGCTTTGGAATACTAGAGAATTAGCTACAAACCAGGACTAGTCAGCTTGCTGTGGTAACTAGTCAATATCTTACTGAAGTAAAGGCGAAAGTTTGTTAAAACAATGAGTGAGTTGAATAAGACTCATGAATTATCTCTGTACAATATATTTCTGAAGAGCTCTACACATAAGCAATTATGATGGTTATCTAAGTTTGTGAAATATTACCCTATATCAGAGTTTCTCAAACTTAAATGTGCATACAAATTCCCTGAGAGTCTTATTAAAATGCAGATTGTAGAAATCAGTGTGTCTTGGGTGGAACCCCAAAATCTAACAGTCTCCTAGCTTTTATCAGAGTAAGAACTCTAAATGAGATCTCTACTATGTCACATGTTTTTATCAGTTGTGGCAGCAAAATTGTAGTTGAAAGTGAATTTTCTTGCATTTTAACCTTTTATAATTAAATAACTTCAATTTTTTTAAACAGAAGAGTTTCTTGACCAATTATTCTCAGTAACAGCATAAGATGTTTTCATTTTTTCCAACCATTCTTCGGTTTAGTAGAAAGAAGTGTTAGAGAGCAGTCACAAAATGTGTTTTCATTTTCTATCGATGTCAACATTACCAAGTCTGTTTCTCTGTCCACACGGTAAAATAGAAATCAAACTATTTGTTCTTATAACTTTTGGCTTACAGGGGAAAAAGTTATATTTATAGAAAACTTTATCAGGATGGCTGCTTCTAACTCTCTCTTCCAATTCTTGCTGTACAGTTTGGATTTAGCTAATGACAGTAGCTAAAAGAAAACCAAAATAAGTGATTTCTTGGCAGCAAATGCCTCCCTGATGAATCACCATAGAAAAGATAGCACTGGAGTTTGACGGTGGGATGAGCAAAAAGCAGACGCAGTGTAGACAGGTTTTCTCCTGCTGCAAGTGGCTTATTTCAACTGTCAACACATCACATAAGAAATTTATAGTCAGAGTCCTATTTCCTCCCATTCCTATGGCTCCTAGCATTACTGCCACTTGATCGGACCCCATTTTCACAATCCACAGCTTTTCTCTAAAACCAGCCACCAAACTCTGATTGTGATACACTCACCCACTGGATGAGATTATGGGGACTGACATCACTATAGAAGGAGTACTTGCTCCAGGTGGCCTGAGAGGAAGCAAGTCTGAACCTGTGTACTGAAAGGGCAAGGCTGGGTCTCTACAGAGGTTAGGAATGCAGTCCTCAGTTGTCAAAAGGCCTGCCAGCACTAGTGTGCATAGTCACAAAGAGAAAATGAACAAAGCTGTCTCTCCCCATGAGCCAGGATGATCCACAAATACCTCACCTTTACTACTGACATCATTTACTATTGAAAATCCACAGGTGAGATCTTAAACTCCTACTTAGGTGGAAACTGTGATTCTAAAAGCACACAGGGCAATTCTCTGGGTCTATTTGTTTTCAAAATTATGGCAACTTTTTTAGGGAATAGAAGAGACTGAACAGGAAGCCTACCAAATAAATGGGCTGTTAGTAGCTAAGTCTGGCAGTCATACCCACATTCCCAAGTATTTTTTTAAATGCCAAGTATTTTTTAAAGTTCTGTTCTTTTAGAAACCAGAGGCCCATTTCAGAATATAACAGGAACTGTGAACCCTTTTCTCAAGACACAAAATCAACCTTCTGTATATGACTTCGAGATGACTTAAAGAGCTTTTTCCTCTGCGTGGCTACCAGGTTACAAATTCCCATTGTAATACAATACGAATAGTTCTCTGAGCCATTGCAAAGACAAAGGTGTAAGTAAATAAGCACTGTACACTATGCTCAGGGTAAGAAGTTCAGCAACTTCTCCTTCTGAAACCTATCTGCCATCCGTCTCCACACCAGGAAAACGTTAGGGCGGTAACAGGAATAACCTACTGTGAAGTTCTGATAGTCACCAGCTTCCTGTGCTGGGCCCAATGGAACAGGCTTCGGTTATCTAAGATAATTCATTCTGTGCCAGCTACAGTGCCTGTTTAATTGTTCAGCGTTTCATGTTCGGGAACTCCTTTCCAATGACTGACTGCCCGTGGCGTCACTGCCATTCTGAATCATGCAAATGAGAATGTCATATCCTCTGACTCAAGAAGCTTTATCTCATTAAAAATTATTTTGAGAACTCCAAGCAGAGAGTTGGTCTTTGCTTAGATCTGACTTCCCAAATACATCACTTTTCCTTTTCTCACGGGGATCCAGCTGATTTGGAAGGAGACTGGGAAGTGTGCAAGGGGGGAATCCTATGGAACTGAGCTTGGGAAGCAGGTATTTGCTGGCAGGGATGCTCTCCTCCTTTGCTGAGAGGCTGTGGTCCACAGCCCTTGCCAAATCTGTCGCAGTAGCTAACAGTACATTTCCATGTATGTACTATTTTCTCCCAATTTTCCCCAAGGAAAGGGCGAGTCAGGATATGCACGCATAGCACAGGACAAAAATAGCCTTGTTTAAGTAGATAAGTAGCTATTAAGTGAAGTTCCTTGACTTTGTCTATTCTGAGCACCAGTATTTGCACTAGTCAGGCAGCATCCCCCTAGGTCAACTACCTGTGTATTCTTGTACTCTCTACTGAAAGACAGTATGCACAGGGCTTATGAAAACAGACATTAGAAATAGGATTTGAGTCCTTGGGGTAGTTGTGTGACTTACTGGTTATATGAACTTAGACAATTTACCGAACCTCTCTGAGCTTAAATTTGCTCATTTATAAAATGGGGTAATACAAGTTTGTAACTTATAGACGTATTATAAGGATAAAATTAATTAATATACTGCATATAAAGTTTCTAGCTCAGTGACTGACACATATTACGTGCTATGTGATGCATATGTTAAGTGCTTGTGAAGGTTAGCTGTTACTATTACACCAGGTATTCTTGAACATTTCTTTAACTCAGAGTTAAAGCCAGGAAAGACATGTGTTACATTTAGTTTAAAGGATAAAAAACAATATAGCATAGACTTGGGAGTCTGGTAGTTTATCACGCAGGTAAATGCTATAGCAGTTAAAAGTCAGCAAAGTTCAAAATTAACTCTGAATGATCTATGATCTATGTGTTTAATGTCCTCATCTTTTTTTT